>NC_000008.11:73427265-74052265 GCF_000001405.40 Homo sapiens | reverse complement strand
TCTTTTCTTAGCCCCTGTTGTCTAGCACTCCCACCAGCCCCTGTGGGCCTCCCGCATGCACACTCATGGCACGTGGTGACATACACAGTCCCCTTCTACTGGCAAAAACCTTCCATCCACAAAAACCTCCTTCCCTTCTCCAAAATAACCTCTTCTCTCCCCAACAATATTGCCAAGTATTTTTCTTTTTCTTTTATTTTTCCTTTCTTTTTTCTTGTTTTACACCTTCAGCTGCACTAAACATCTGTAGGAATAAATTTTACTTACACAGCTGCACTAAACATGTATAGGAATAAATTTTACTCACACAGGAGTTGAACTTGAAAATTCAATAATTTGAATTAGGGAGTAAAATTGAACCCCACTGTCTTAGTATGTATGAACTGCTATAATAGGATACCATAGACTGGGCGGCTCAAGCAACAAACATTTATTTCTCCCAATTCTGGAGCTAGGAAATCCAAGATCAAGGCACCAGCAAATTCGGTGTCTGTTGAAGGCCGACTACCTCGTTCACAGACAGCCAACTTTTCACTATGTCCTCACGTGTTGGAGAGGGAAGGGCACTCTCTGAGGTCTCTTTTATTAGGCACTAATCCCATTCATAAAGGCTCCACCCTCACGACTTCATTACCTCCCCCAAGACCCCGCCACCTAATACCATACAGTGGGGATTAGGATTGCAACACAGGAATTTTGGGGAAGCCACACAAATGAATTTGGGGGTACATTCAGTCCATGGTACCTGCTAAAAATTTCAGCATCATGAGAGAGAAGCATGAATTACTAAGATAATTACTAAGAAGTATATATGGATTGGAGAACCTACCTACAGTCAAAAGCATTTCTGAGCAGTCACTGGACAATTTAAGAAGCTACTCTCAGTCTTTTATCTCATGCCCAAGTTACACCAAGAGCAAAACAAATGAATTCTCAAGCACTAATCCTTGGTTATCTGCACACCAAAGCCTGGTGTGTACTTTTTGCCTGAAAGCATGTTGTTCTCATTAGCAGTTATATCCAGATCAGGCCGGCTCATGAACACTAAGGAAACAAGCTCTTCACTTCCCTTGCTTTGAATTACTGCTTCCTCTCTTGGCTCTGAGAATTATAAATGAATCTTATACAGGAGAATGTGTCTTCTGCCCATTGGCCACATTCGTGCTTATGTTTAGAACAACCCCATCTTCTTTCCTCTATTACTAATAGTATCTTATGGGTCTTAGATAATTTTTATTTTTTTGAGACAGAGTCTCACTCTGTCGCTCAGGCTGGAGTGCGGTGGCACGATCTCAGCTCACTGCAACCTCCACCTCCTGGGTTCAAGCGATTCTCCTGCCTCAGCCTCCTGAGTAGCTGGGATTACAGGTGCGTGCCACCACGCCTGGCTAATTTTTGTATTTTTAGTAGAGACGGAATTTCACCACGTTGGTCCAGGCTGGTCTCAAACTCCTGACCTCGTGATCCACCTGCCTCGGCCTCCCAAAGTCCTGGGATTACAGGCATGAGCCCCCGTGCCCAGCTGAGTCTTAGATAACGTTTAAAAGAGCATTGCTAACAGGATTGGTGGTGGTAATTATGTTTTGGTGATGGTAATAGTGCTATAATTTCATTTAATTAGCAACAATATGAAAACAACGTTAAGAAATGTTAAAATAACAATAATAAAATTGAAAGCTCACCACTTTCACATACTATTTCCATTTTTCATATGGCTTCATTAAGAGTGTCCATATTAAATATATTATTTTATATTCTTATTATTGCAATATGATAATGATAAGCAAAACATCTGTACCTGGTGACGGATGGTGGAGTGGGCGGGTGGGTATGTGTTATGGGTGAGGTGGCCAGCATTCACACCAAGTCTTTTTTTTAAATATTTTAATTCATACTAAATTTATTTTAACTTTTTTTTTAATCGAGATAGAGTCTCGCTCTGTTACCCAGGCTGAAGTACAGTGGTGCTATCTCAGCTCACTGCAACCTCTGCCTCTCCTGTTCAAGTAATTCTCGTGCCTCAGCCTCCTGAGTAGCCGGGATTACAGGTGCCCATCACCAGGCCCACCTAATTTTTGTATTTTTAGTAGAGATGGGGTTTCACCATGTTGGCCAGGCTGGTCTCCAGCTCCTGACCTCAGGTGATCCATGTGCCTCAGCTTCCCAAAGTGCTGGCATTACAGGTGTGAACCACCATGCCCGGTCATACTTTATTTAATTGCATGTATTTATTTATTTATTTATTTAAAAAATGGAGTCCTGCTCTGTTGCCCAGGCTGGAGTTCAGTGGTGCAATTACAGCTCACTGCAGTCTCAAATTCCTGGGCTCAAGCCACCCTCCTGCCTCAGCCAGCAGAGTAGCTGGGACTACAGATGCACACCACGATGCCGGGCTCCACCAAGTCTAAATTAAACTTATTAATTGATCAATACAATATTAATCTCTATTGACAGCTACAACTCATGGATATTCCATTAATTAGCAACTTAAAATACCATCCTGCTAGATTCTAAACAGAGATTATAACATTTAACTCTTTGCTTCCCAACTCTCATGGAAGGCTGAGGTTTGAGAAACAGCACTCATGTAGAATTGCGTGAATGCCCTAATTCAAGTATCTATTTCACTCCTCAGCAAGCAAGTCCCTGGGTGTGCTGCCTAACTTGGCCTTTTTTGTTTGTTTGCTTTTTTCTTTTTGCACTTATTTCCTTTCGCCCTTATTTTTTGACTGAAATCAGCCGCATCAACCTCTTCATGTACCTCAGGTGATGTTATCAAAATTGACATGCTATTATGTCAAATCTCAAAATGAGAAGTATAAATAAAGACGTGAAAATGTGTATCACCTGAAAACTCACCAAAGAAATGTAAGCAACAATGAGATGACTATGTTTGTTTATCGGATTAGCAGTGATTTCTTTTTAATTGATAATGAATACATTGCTAGGCAATCACGAGTGGTATGGTCTGGCTGGAGTGTCAAGCATGACAGGGATAGCAAGAGGGAGGGACCTGATCCATTCACTCGTGTATTCAACAAATATTTATTAAGATCCTACTGTGTACCAGGCACAGGATAGATGGTAAGGATACAATGGTGGGCAAAAACACATACGGTTCCTGCTCTTGTGGAGATACAGTCTAGTGGGGTAGATAGCTATTAATCAATAATCACACTAATTAATCTAAGCTGGGCGTTCTGCTCCAGGGACCACTAGGTGTCCTCATATCCACTCACTCTATCTACAATAACAGAGCTCCAGGTACACAGCTACGCACAAGGCAGCCAAAATAAAGGCTACTTTTCTGAGCCTCCCTTACGGCTGAGTGTAGCCACATAACCAAGTTCATTCATTCGTTCATTTTTTTTCTTTCATTCTTTCTTTCTCCTTTTCTTTCTCCTTTTCTTTCTTTCTCCTTTTCTTCTTTCTTTCTTTCTTTCTCTCTCTCTCTTTTTTTCTTTTTCTCCTTCCTTCCTTCCTTCATATGGACCACATCACAAATTTGCATGTCACCGTTGCGCTGGGGCTGTAGCTAAGTTTCTCTGTATGGTTCCAATTTTAGCATATGTGCTACTGAAGCGAGCACGTGACCAAGTTCTGATCAGTAAAAGGTGAGTAAAAGTAATGAGTGCAATTCCTGAGTCATGCTCTTATAAGCAGCAGCTGTTTCCTCCCTTTTCTCTTCCTTCCTTCCACTGGCTGGAATGTGGATGTGGCAGAGCATTCTCCCAAAGCATGCTAGGGAGCCCAACAAGGCAGAAGGGCCCTGGGTTCCCAACATCGGAGCCTCCAGATAAGTCCTGGCCTGCTTAGGCCCACCCGGATTTAAAAAAATTACCTGGGCATGGTGGCAGATGCCTGTAATCCCAGCTACTCAGAAGGCTGAGGCAGGAAAATTGCTTGAACCTGGGAGGTGGAGGTTGCAGTGAGCCAAGATTGCACCACTGTACTCCCGCCTAGGCGACAAGAGCAAAACTCTGTCTCAAAAAAAAAAAAAAATAGAACTAAACGAAGACCACTGTGGCTTAGAGCCTAGAGTAAGAATGTATTAAAATAATGGTGGGAGCTGATGCCAGGCTTTGAGGACTTGAAGGCCATATCAGAGATGTGAGTCTTCATTCTAAAACCAGGGGGACTTGAGCCCAAGGAGTTCAAGACCAGCCTGAGCAACATAGGCAGACCCTCACCCAAAAGAAAAGTTAGCTGTGTGGCGGTGTGTACCTGTGGTCCCACACACTCAGGAGGCTGAGGTGGGAGGATTTTTTGAGCCAAGGAAGTCAAAGCTGCAGTGAGCTGTAAGCTGTGATTATGCCACTGCACTCCAGCCTGGGGAGACAGAATGAGACCCTGTCTCATTAAAAAATAAAATAAAATAAAATAAAATAAAACAGTGGGAAATGGTTAAAATATTTTAAGCAGGGTAATGATATTATCAGATTTGTGTTTCAGATACTTTGCTCTAGTTGGGATTAGGGTTAGCATTGTGGTTTGGATAATACTACAGCAGTCTAGAAAGAAATTCACAACCACCTGAGGTGGTAAGTATTATTATTAACTGTATTTTAGAGATGTGAAAACTCTGGCTCTAGGCACACAATTAGTGGCTGAGCCAGGACGCAAAGCCAGGTCAGAGAGTGTTCTACCAGCATTGCCATAACTTATTTACCAGTCCCCTGGCATTGCACTGGGGTAGCAGAATAGTTTTTCTCTTGTATCTTGTGCACAAGGATTATATTACTGGGCATGATGCTTTACACAACTTTCAAAGTAGACAGCCAACTTGATCTGCTAAGATATTCTTCCTCCTGTACCCTGATTCTGGTGAAGAAATGCTCCTGAACCCTCTGCCTCCACGTCTACCCATAAGTTGTGGGGACAGAAGCACAGTGAGAGAAACAGACTCCACCACACCTTCTTGGCTGTGCAAGGAAGTCAGATGATGTTGGAGTCTGTGCTACTGTGCCAGAAAGCATATTAAGGAAGAAATAGTCCCTCTAGTGCAGAAAACGGGCTCTTTCACAAATTCAGGACCAAATCTTTTTATGTAGAAAATCCATGTAGAATGAGTGGGTCAGGGCCGGGCGCTGTGGCTCACGCCTGTAATCCCAGCACTTTGGGAGGCTGAGGTGGGCAGATCACTTGAGACCAGCCTGGCCAACATGGTGAAACCCCGTCTCAACTAAAAATACAAAAATTACCTGGGTGTGGTGGCGTGTGCCTGTAATCCCAGCTACTCAGGAGGCTGAGGCAGGATAATGGCTTGAACCCAGGAAATGGAGGTTGCAATGAGCCAAGATCATGCATCTGCACTCCAGCCTAGGCGACGGAGCGAGACTCAGTCTCAAAAAAAAAAAAAAAAGAATGAGAATGAGAATGGATGGGTCAGGAAAAATGTTCACCTCCCCCAAAAAGCCATAAAAGATAAGTTCTAATTTAGAAAAACATTCATGTAGGAAAAAGAAGGGGGATTGCTGGAAGAGAAGGTGAAGGATTATGAGGATAAATTCATAGTTTACCCTTCACAATTAGCAGAGGGTGCATTATTTAAGCATAGCCTTTGTTTCTTAGTATAGCCTTCTCAGTCTTTGTTATTGATCATATGCCACCAAAAAACAAGTTCAGGATGGCTTTCTGCTTATTGTTAATATCAGAAAATATTCATATATCCTGTCCGGGGTTTTTTTGCGTGGGGGGTGGGCATATTTATATTCTGTTTTGAAAAAACACAGAAGAGTACCTTTTGGTATGCAGAATTTTCTTCTTAAACTTACACTGCCTTACTAACTTGAAAAATGTGTTCCTAATAAATAGCAAGATTTTTGGTGAGTGTGCTGTTAAGGTTTTGCTATCCACATTCAGTAACCATTAAATTACCAGTTCCAAGAGTTGTCAAATGTTGACTGCGAAGTTGTTGCAAAGGTCTTTGTGAACACTTGACTGTCAGATTCTTGGTCACTTAGTTATTCTGGGTGTCTTATTTTTTTGAGAAGGAGTCTCACTCTGTCACCCAGGCCTGAGTGCAGTGGCACAATCTCAGTTCACTGCAACCTCTGCCTCCCGGGTTTAAGTGATTCTTGTGCCTCAGCCTCCCAAGTAGCTGGGACTACAGGTGCACGCCACCATACCCAGCTAATTTTTGTATTTTTAGTAGAGATGGGGTTTCACTGTGTTATCCAGCCTTGTCTCGAACTCCTGACCTCAGGTGATCCACCCGCCTTGACCTCTGAAAGTGCTGGGATTTCAGGCACGAGCCACCGTGCCCAGCCTAGTTCTGGACATCTTCCATTCATCCCTCCAGATGCTCTCTACCCTTCTCCACTGTCCTCTGTGCTCTGGGAAGCTGACCACTATAGACTAGGTCAGCTGGCTCTCTTGTCTTCTGGTTACAGTGGGTCCAGCAATGGGGAGCCCAGCAGGAGATCTGAGGGTGTAGCAGTGCGATCCCTCCCTGTAGGGTTACTTCCAGCTGGTCTAGTTACATAAAGGAGGTAGGGGGGCGGTCTTCGCTTTTTGCTTCCGTCAGACAGGCCCCTCTGTCTCCTGGTTCCCCCACCCTTGACCCTTTAGACTTAGAGCAATAATGGGGCCCCACTGCTACTAGCCCTGGGGGACTGCACTATTCATGGTTTCCTACACCTGGTCCACACCTCTGTAAACATTCCCTTTATTAAACTCTCCTTAAGTAATCCCAGTTTAAATGTGTCTTCTGTTTTCTTCAAGGACTCTGACTGACACAGTAATAATACCTTACAGCTAAAAGCTTTTACAGTGTCTCATTAATGTATTCAGACTTGGATAACATATTTTGGATTTTTTAAACAGTAGACCTAGAACCTTAAAATGTGTCAGGGTTTGATTCCTAAATCTGTCTGCTGTTAAGTAGAACTGAACAGTGCCTTTGTTTTTGTCACTGGCATTTATTGTAGCCTTCGTGTTTTTATTTTCATCTGTTGTTCCCTGTATGGTTTTTATATTTATGTCATGTTAAGGCATGAAACAGCTTTTTCCCATTGATTATTGCTTGGTTCATTTTTTATCCTCTCTAATGCCCAGACTGACAAGCCTGTGAATGCCCTGAAGACAGGGACCAAGTGTTCTTCTGTTTGTATCCTCTGCATGAAGCACAGGACAGACATTTTGAATGAATGGAGAATATTATCTATTCTGGATTTCAGTTATTAGGGAGCAAAGATTATCAGACAGTGCTCTGCCCACCTGGGCACTACCCAGTCATGCTCTGAAGCCCCAGCAATGGCTGACAGGAATTTTATACATTCTCACAGCTTAACCACAGAGGTTGTATAATGTGAGTCAAAAATCAGAGATGAACCCAAACCTACTTTCCATTTCGAAGTAAAGTTTCTTTCATAGAGAATAAGGGATTCATGGGAATGTAAAAGAAATCCTTCAACTTGACAACCCACTGACAAGACAGCTGAAATGTATGAGACAGAAACCATTTTTCTTCTTTGCATTGAAAGTAGGTTAATGTGGTTAATTCATGAATGTTTAAATGGGATAATTTGCTCAGAGAAAAAAAATTGTTCATCTTTGAATTTTTGAAGGAGAAAAGAATGAAAAGGTAATGTGAGTCTGTGAGCCCCTCAGCTTCCAAAGGTCCCTCACCACCGTCTCCATTTGCTTTGCCCTCTTCCCATGCTCTGATCAGCTCCAATTTTTTTTTTTACCCTGCCAACATCTTGATTTTGTCTAATTTTTGACTCACATTTTACAGCCCCTCTGGCTAAGCTGTAAGAACATATTACATACATTGGGATGGGTACAGTGGCTCACAGCTATAATCCCAGCTTTAAGAGGCCAAGGCAGAAGGATTGCCTGAGCTCAGGAATTTGAGACCAGCCTGGGAAACTTATTAAGACCCCATTTCTACAAAATAAATTTTTTTTTAATTAGCTGTGCATGGTGGTGCATGCCTGTAGTCTCACTCAGCTACTGAGGAGGCTGAGGCAGAAGAATCGCTTGAGCCTAGGAGTTGGAGGTTACAGTGAGATATAATTGTGCCACTGCACTCCAGACTGGGCAACAGTGAGACCCTAAAAAAAAAAAGAAAAAGAAAATTTTTTTTATGTACAAAAAAAAAAATAACATACATGTTTCCACCTTGCTTACTAAGTGTTGTTTACCTTTCTCATGTTTGCTCTGGCACTGGCCATTGCTTTAAACTTTACAACGCTGGTCTGGCTTGGTGGCTTATGCTTGTAATCCCAACACTTTAAGGCTGAGGCAGGAGGTTCCCTTTAGCCCATGAATTTGAGATCAGCCTGGGCAACCTCCCAACTACTTGGAGGGCTAAGACGGGAAGATCGCTTGAGCCTGTGAGGTCGAGGCTGCAGTGAGCCATGGTGGCACCATCTCATTTCAGCCTGGGTAACAGCCAGACCATGTCTCAAAGATAAAAATAAAACAATATTAGAATGCTAAAACTTTCATTTTTAATTTTAGAGGCCTAAGTATCCTCCTTTAATTAATTAGGCATTCATCAACTTTTATCATCTCAATTAAATGATGAAAGAGTTAATTTATATCATTAATTTTTTAAGTTAATTTATATTAAGATCTTCATAGTATTGTTTATATTTTCAACCAGTGTATGTAATCCACGTATCCAACAATAAGTAGATATGCCAACTGAAGCAGATAAGGCCAATTAAAAAATGACAAATACACATGTGTCAACCTCCTTGGCAACTAATATGAGCAAATTCCAGTCAACCTCAACCTGCAAAAAGACCACTGGCAATGGCAGTGCCCCCACCACTGCTGCATGGTCTATCCCAACTGCAGTCCCTGGCTGAGTATTCCAGTTCATTGCTTTTGGGTCTAAGCTCGCATCTTACCTCTCAAAAGCCCTGAATAAAGCCCTACAGAATTCTGACAGCAAGAACACAATCTTCACACATCTGTGACACACAGGACTTCAGAATTAGTCCCAATTGACAACCTCTTCATTCACTGAGAATCACTTCAGCTAGCATATCTCACTGGCCCACACCTCCCTACCCCTGTTCCTGTATTGCCCTGTAGACTTATTTTGAGTTACTGATCCTAATCATTCAATATTTACTGGCACCTCTATGTGCCAGACATTAAGCGTTGGTGAATGACAGGGATGTGGTTGCTGTATCAACCCTCCTGTGGGCCTTTTCTTCTTCAAAAGGTAACAAACCGGCCAGGTATGGTGGCTCATGCCTGTAATCCCAGCACTTTGGGAGGCTGAAGTGGGTGGATCATGAGGTCAAGAGATTGAGACCATCCTGGCCAACATGGGGAACCCCGTCTCTACTAAAAATACAAAAAATTAGCAGGGTGTGGTGGCACATGCCTGTAGTCCCAGCTACTCGGGAGGCTGAGGCAGGAGAATCTCTTGAACACGGGAAGTGGAGGTTGCAGTGAGATGAGCTCACGCCACTGCACTCCAGCCTGGCAAGAGAGCAAGACTCTGTCTCGAAAAAAAAAAAAAGGTAACAAAACAAAAGTTCTCCAGATCCTAAAGCCTAAATCTTAACAAACTTTTAAGGACTACTAAAGACTAGAACCTAGACCTCTGTACAAACAGGTTTTGTTTGGTTTGTCTGAAATTAAGAAACTGCCTCTACAAGATTCCAGCACTCATTCATTCCTAACATAACCTCTTACCTCAGTGCTATGCTCGTGTTGGAAGAGTTATGCTCTTGTGTAAAAAAGCAGAATTTTGAGTGAGTCCAATCCCAAATTTTTTTTTTTGAGATGGAGTTTCGCTTTTGTCACCCAGGCTGGAGTGAACGATCTCGGTTGCTCACTGCAACCTCCACCTCCTGGGTTCAAGCAATTCTCCTGCCTCAGCCTCCCAAGTAGCTGAGACTACAGGCACCTGCCACCATGTCTGACTAATTTTTTGTATTTTTAGAGAGATGGGGTTTCACCATGTTGGCCAGGCCAGTCTTGAACTCCTGACCTCAGGAGATCCACCTGCGTCAGCCACCCAAAGTGCTGGGATTACAGGCGTGAGCCTCTGTGCCCAGCCCCAGTCTCAAATTCTGTTAGTTTGACTAGAAAGGTACACAGTAATGCATGCATGCCTTTGTTATTTTTAATTAACTTAAAAATGTTTATTTTTAGCTAATTTATGGTGGAACCTGCCCCCAATATTTCAGTGTAGGTTCTTTCTATTTTCCGTAAGTGTCAGCTGGCTGAGAAATAAAGAGAAAGAGAATAAAGAGAGGAATTTTACAGCTGGGCCTACAGGGGTGACATCACATATCAGGAGGACCATGATGCCCACCTGAGCTGCAAAACCAGCAAGTTTTATTAAGGATTTCAAAAGGGGAGGGGGTGCAAGAACAGGGAGTAGGTCACAAGATCACATGCTTCAAAGGGCAAAAAGAACAAAGATCACATGCTTCTGAGGAAACAGGACAAAAGGCAAAACAGAACTACTGATAAGGGTCTATGTTCAGCTGTGTATGTATTGTCTTGATAAACATCTTAAACAACAGAAAACAGGGTTCAAGAGCAGAGAACCGGTCTGACCTCAAATTTACTAGTGGTGGGGGGGGTTTCCCCACCCTAATAAGCCTGAGGATACTGCAGGAGATCAGTGTGTATTTCAGTCCTCATCTCAACCGCATAAGACAGACACTCCCAGAGCGGCCGTTTATAGACTTCCCCCAAGGAATGCATTCCTTTCCCATGGTCTTAATTATTAATATTCCTTGCTAGGAAAATAATTTAGTGATATCTTCCCTACTTGCACGTCCACTTATAGGCTCTCTCCAAGAAGAAAAATATGGCTCTATTCTGCCCAACCCCACAGGCAGTCAGACCTTATGGTTGTCTTCCCTTGTTCTCTGAAAATTGCGGTTATTCTGTTCTTTTTCAAGGTGCACTGATTTCATATTGTTCAAACACACATGTTTTACAATCAATTTGTACAGTTAACACAATAGTTGTCCTGAGGTGATGTACATTCTCAGCTTATGATGATAACAGGATTAAGAGATTAAAGACAGGCATAAGAAATTATAAAAGTATTAATTTGGGGAACTGAGAAATGTCCATATTAAAATGAAATCTTCACAATTTATGTTCAGAGATTGAAATAAAGACAGGCATAAGAAATTATAAAAGTATTATTTGGGAACTGATATATGTCCATATTAAAATGAAATCTTCACAATTTATGTTCCTCTGCCGCGGCTCCAGCTGATCCCTCCGTTTGGGGTCCCTGACTTCCCGCAACACTAATTTTAAGTAAATATTTAAATAATTTCAGATTCATAATAGTTTCAAATTTATAGAAAAGTTGCAAGAAGGTGGGTGGATCACGAGGTCAGGAGATCAAGACCATCCTGGCTAACTTGGTGAAACCCCATCTGTACTAAAAATACAAAAAATTAGCCCGGTGTGGTGGCACGTGCCTGTAGTCCTAGCTACGTGGGAGGCTGAGGCAGGAGAATTGCTTGAACCCGGGAGGTAGAGGTTGCAGTGAGCTGAGATCGTGCCACTGCACTCCAGCCCAGGCGACAGAGTGAGATTGCATCTCAAAAAAAAAAAAAAAAAAAAAACAGACACATAGAGTAATGGAAAAGAATAGAGAACCCAGAAATAAATTCATACATCTACATTGAACTGATTTTTGACAAGGCTACCAAAAGCATACATGGGGATAGAACAGTCTCTTTAATAAATGGTGCTGGGAAAACTGGATATCCATAAGCAGAAAAATGAAGCTAGACCTCTATCTCTCATTATGTATACAAATCAAATCAAAATAGATTAAAGACAAATCTAAGACCTCAAACTATGAAACTACTACAAGAAAACATTGAAGAAACTCTCTAGGACACTGGTCTAGGCAAAGATTTCTTGAGTAATACCCCACAAGCACAAGCAACCAAACCAAAAATGGACAAATAGGATTGTGGGTGAAAGATTACCTAGGTGCCAAGGCAAGAGCCTGAAGGCACAAACTGTTTCAGTATAATAAAGAAAATAGTTAGATTAAGAATAGTTATAATACAAATTAGATATAGAGATGATCATGGACATTATCAATCATTAGTATAATCATTATTAATCATTAGCTTTTAATATTACTCTTCGTTGCATTACTAATATAACCTAGGAATAACTGGCGGGTATAGGGTCGGGTACTGAAGGGACATTGTGAGAAGTGACCTAGAAGGCAAGAGCTGAGCCTTCTGTCACGCCCGCATAAGGGCCGCTTGAGGGCTCCTTGGTCAAGCGGTAATGCCAGTGCCTGGGAAGACACCCATTACTTAGCAGACTGCAAAAGGGAGTCTCCTTTCCTTGGAGGAGTCAGGGAACACTCTGCTCCACCAGCTTCTTGTGGGAGGCTGGATATTATCCAGGCCTGCCCGCAGTCATCCAGAGGCCTAAACCCCATCCTGTGGTGCTGTGCTTCAATAGTCATGCTCCTTGTCCACTTTCATGTTCCTCCCGTACTCCTGGTTCCTCTTTGAAGTTCACAGTAGATAGCGGTAGAAGAAATAGTGAAAGTCTTAAAAGTTTTTGATCTTTCTTATAAGTGCATAGAAGAAAACGCTGACGTATGCTGCCTTCTATCTCTGCTTCGGCTACCTAAAAGGGAAGGGCCCCCTGTCCTATGATCACATGACTTGCTTCACCTTATCAATCACTTAGAAGATCCACCCTCCTTACCCTGCCCCGCTTGTCTTGTATGCAATAAATATCAGCACGCCCAGCCATTCAGAGCCACTACCAGTCTCCACGTCTTGATGGTAGTGGTCCCCCGGGCCCAGCTGTTTTCTCTTTATCTCTTTGTTTTGTGTCTTTATTTATTACAATCTCTCATGTCCGCACACGGGGAGAACACCCATTAACCCCCCTAGGGCTGAACCCTACATAGGATCACATCAAGTTAAAAAGATCTGCACAGCAAAGGAAACAATCAACAAAATGAAGAGACAACCCACAGAATGAAAGAAAATATTTGCAAACTACCCATCTAACCAGAATATATAAGGAGCTCAAATAACTCTACAGGAAAAAAATCTAATAATTTAATTTTTAAATGAACAAAAGACTTTAATAAACATTTCTCAAAAGAAGACATACAGATGTTAAACAGGCCATATGAAAAGGTGTTCAACTTCATTGATCATCAGAGAAATGCAAATCAAAACTACAATGAGATATCTCACCCCAGTTAAATGGCTTTTATCTAAATGTCAGGCAATAACAAATGCTGGCAAGGATGTAGAGAAAAGGGAACCTTCATACACTGTTGGTGTGAATGTAAATTAGTTGGCATGAATGTAAATTAGTATAACCACTATGGAGAACAATTTTGAAGTTCCTCCAAAAACTAAAAATAGAGCTACTGTACAATCCAGCAATCCCACTGGATTACCCAGAAGAAAGGAAATCAGTATATCAGAAAGATATCTGCATGCCCATGTTTATTGCAGCACTATTCACAATAGCCAAGATTTGAAAGCGACAAAAATGTCCATCAACAGATGAATGGATAAAGAAAATATGGTACATTTACACAATAGAATACTATTTAGCCACAAAAAAGAATGAGAGTCTGGGTGCACTGGCTCATGCCTATAATCCCAGCACTTTGGGAAGCCGAGACGGTAGGCCTCCCTTGAGGCCAAGAGTTCAAGACCAGCCTGGTCAATATAGTAAGACCCCATCTCTGTGTAAAAATAAAATTAAATTAAAAATTAAAAAACAAGAGCAAGAATAAGATCCTATTATTTGCAACAACATGAATGGAACCGGAGGTCATTATGCTAATTGAAATAATCCAGGCACAGAAAGACAAACTTCACATGTATTCACTTATTTATAAGAGCTAAAATTAAAACAACTGAACTCATGGAGATAGAGAGTAGAAGGATGGTTACCAGAGGCTGGGAACGGGGGGTGGCACAGAGGAGTGGGGTTGGTTAATGGGTACAAAAAAAATAGTTTAAAAGATGAGTAATACCTAATATTTGGTAGCACAGCAGAGTGACTATAATCAAAATTAATGTAATTGTATATCTTAAAATGACAAAAAGAGTATAATTCAATTGTTTGTAACAAAAAGGATAAATGATTGAGGTGATGGATACCCCATTTACCCTGATGTGATTTTACACATTGCATATCTATATCAAAATACCTTATGTATTCTTGGAAGTCTATTTTGATTTAAAAAAATTTTCTCATGTAAACCATAAATATATATACCTACTATGTACCCATAAGAATTAAAAATTAAAAATTTTTTTTAAAACAAAACATTTTTGAGGACCCTAGGCACTGTGCTTACTCTACCTAACGGATAAGTTAACCCTGCAACTATTAGCAAGAGAAGGGCTGAAAGCAATGGGAAAACTCAGAAGGGAATGGTAGGAGGGCTAGAATCTGAAATTAGCCTAACTTATGAGATGAAGCAGACAATTTAGCTGTGAATCAACTAGAATGCTCTCAGGTGCAAGTAATAAAATTCTGACTCCAACTCACTAAAGCAATAACCAGAAAGTCCAGAAGTATGGCAAGACCCAGACTTGGGTGATTGAATGACTCCACAGTATCTGCAATTTGAGTTATTATTTTTTTAATTTTTAAAAATTATTTTAAATTTTATTTTTGAAACAGAGTCTCACTCTGTTGCCCCAGCTGGAGTGCAGTGGCACAATCTTAGCTTCACTGAAGCTTCAAACTTCTGGGCTCAAGCTATCATCTCACCTCAGCCTCCTGAGTAGCTGGGACTACAGGCAGGTGCTGCGATGCTTGGCTAATTTTTATTTTATTTTTTGTACAGACAGGGTCTCACAGTGTTGCTCAGGCTGGTCTTGAATTCTTGGGCTCAAGCAATTCTCCCACCTCAGCCTCCCAAAGTGCTGGGTTTACAGGCATGACCCACCACGCCAGGCTCTTATTTTTTTAGACTCACCATTCTTCTGTTCACAGTATCATCTTCATCCAGAGGCTAATTCCCTTTTATGGTCATCAGATGATTGTCCACAGAAATGTGGGCAACATTCCTCGTTTACATCTAGTGAGACAACCAAGGAATTTGAATCCATCCCTTCTGATTGAGCCAACCTAGTCATGTGACAAACCAGACCAATAACCATACCCTGGGAATACTTCACATGGCTGACCTAGCAAATCAAGATCCACCCTAGAGTAGAAATGTGTTGTACATCAGAACAAGACCAGGAAACAGGACATGTCTGATAACCCATTCCACAGTTCTGAACCCTGTCCTAACATCAAGCATATAAGAAGATCAAAGAATCTTTTAATCCAAGAGAAAATCTAAGAGAGAGGATTTGCAGAGGATATTTTGAGAGAAAGCTATGCTGTGAGTCCTGTTTCCAAACCCCTCCCCATAAGGAATGAAACAGGGTTGGGTAAAAACCTGCTCTACCTCAAAACTAAGTGAAGGGGTACTCCACAGAGCTACTCAGAGAGCTTAATGTGTAATCAATTGCCTGATGGGTTCTTCTTGCCTACTGCAATTCACTGAGACCATGGCACTGCAGTAAGGAAAGTTTAATATGAAGGAGAACTGGAGTTACCACTCAAATCAGTCTCCCCAAAGGCACAGATGCTAGATTTTTTATGGACAATTTGGTGGGCTGGGGGCTAAGGAATGGGTGCTGCTGATTGGTTGAAGATGAAAGTATAGATGTGTAAAAAATAATTCTCATGAGCTGAGTCTACCTCTGGGTGGGGACACAGGACCAGTTGAGTAATGAGTCATGAATCTGGGTGGGGTCAGTGTGAAAAATATCTCAAAAAACCCATCTTAGTTTCTATAATAGTGATATTACCTATAGGATCAATTGGGAAAGACACAAACCTTGTGATCTCTGGCCATGTAACTCCTTAGCAGTACAGGATTACAGAACTACACCTATCTTGTGACCTCTGACCCCACTACTCCTGAGTAGTAAGGGATTACAGAAACTACATCTATCTTTTAGCAGAATTCAGGCACCTCCCATAATTCTAATCTTGTGGACTTTCATTAATTTTACAAAGGTGGCTTCAGCCCCTGAACCAGGGAGGTGATTTGTTTTGGGGAAGGACTATTATCATCCTTACTTCAAAGTTAAACTATAACTTAAATTCCTCCCAAAGTTAACTTGGCTTACACCCAGGAATAAACAAGGACAGCTTGGAGGTGTGAACCCAAAAGTATCCCTGAGACGAGTCTCAATTTCGAAAGTTTATTTTGCCAAGGTTAAAGATGCACCCATGACACAGCCTCAGGAGATCCTGATGACATGTGCCCTAGGTAATCAGGATACAGCTTGCTTTTATACATTGTAGGGAGATATAATACATCTATCAATACATGTAAGATGTACACTGATTTGATCTAGAAGGGCAAAACAACCCAAAGAGGTTGAGGGGCTTCCAGGTCATAGGTAGATTTTAATTTTTTCTGATTGGCAATTGGTTGAAAGAATTATTATCAATAGAAGGGAATGTCTGGGTTATGACAACAGGTTGTGGAAACCAAAGTTTTTATCACACAGATGAAGCCTCCAGGTAGCAGGCTTCAAAGAGAATAGATTGTAAATGTTTTTTATCAGACTTAAGGTCTATGTTGCTGTTAAATGTTGGTTGGCATTTCCTGAATTCCAAAAGGGAAGAGGGCATACTGAGGCATGTCTGATCCCCCCTTCCTGTCATTGCCTGAACCAGTTTTTCAGGTTATCTTTGGAGTGCCCTGGCTGAGAGGAGGGAGTTCATTCAGATGGTTGGAGGGGGGCTTTAGAATTTTATTTTTGGTTTACATTCTCCCTCTTACGACCAAGATTTGCCAGAGGCAACATCGATGGCCACCAAATCTTTATTTTGCCCCATAACATTGCCAGGGCGGCGTGGCTGCCTGCCCTGGGTCCATCCTGTCCCTTGGTATGGCCAAGGGACTTAGTCAAAGGGACTCTAAGCCAAGGGACTTAGAGTCAAAAGACTTATAGCCAATTGAAGGGCCAGATGGGAATGGACGTGGACAGGCATTCATTATCCCTTAAAAAAAAAGTTTTTACATAAAAAGCCAATAAACAAAAAGCCAAAGGGAAGGTTACAAAACTGACTTATCTTTAACTTCTATGCCTTGAGTACAGTAATCTTGGGTTTAGTTACAGACTTTTAGCAATTAGCTATACAAAATATAAACATTGTTCTGAAACAAAAAGTTTTTAAATATATATCTTCGCAACTCATAACTGGGAGTTTTGTACCCAGGAGGCTTTGTCACAAGGTATCTTTATCCTGTCAGTAATTATCTTCCTTTAATTCTACGGGAATTAGAAAATGTGTCACATAACAGCTCAGTAGGCAAAGTCCCTTGTTTTACTGGCTGTTTAGGCATCTTTGTACCCATCCTTGATTTGGAGGATCTGACCTTGACTTAATTCTATCCCTCAAAACTGGCCCTTACAATCTCACATGCTCACCCCTTCTGTGACAGTCCCCGGGCCTAGAAGGAGGGTGTTTGTATAGTCTTAGCAGCGGGGCATTTTCAGTGAAAAACAAATTGGACCCAGTGTGATGCCAAATGAGGGAGATTCGCATCTCTACTCTTCAGAATACCATGATTCTGGTTTCCTTGGAGGTAAAACAAGGAAAAATAAATAACAATATTTTTGAAAATCAAAAGAGTATTTATGTGTCAGAACAGAAAAAGGAACCTATTCCATTAAGGCACCAACTAAAAATAAGAAGAAAAATGATAACCTGGCACTCTTTAGAGAATTATATAATTCATGATTCAATCTGCACTCAAAAACAAAAGTTGGGGCTGAAATCTAATAAAAAGTGTTACACTTCTTTGAAACAACCTCTTTCTCTGGTTCTCCTTTTCTATTAAAGAATTTTTTTTTTTTTAAGGCACAGAGTCTCGCTTTATTGCCCAGGCTGGAGTGCAGTGGCATGTTCTTGGCTCACTGCAACCTCCATCTCCCAGGCTCAAACAATTCTCATGCCTCAGCCTCCCGAGTAGCTGGGATTACAGGCATGCACCACCACACCTGGCTAATTTTTGTATTTTCTAGTAGAGATGAGGTTTCTCCATGTTGGCTAGGCTGATCAAACTTCTGGCCTCAAGTGATCCACCCACCTTGGCCTCCCAAAGTGCTGGGATTACAGGTGTGAGCCACTGCACCCAGCCTAAAGAGAAATTATAGTAAGACCAATGTATGTGCAAAATAAGTTTTAGGCTTACTATACTTGGCCTGATTATTCACATAAAGTGCAGCAAGAATTAATTGGCCACATAGGTTCCTTTTAAGTTGGCTTTGCTGGAAATTTGCCTAAAAATATGTTATTCTAGTCAAAGCCCTGGTTTAAAAAAAAAAAAAGTCTCCAATTGTCCTGTTTTGAAAGAAACGAATCTTACTACACTTATGCAAATAACTATATTGTCATAAAATCAGAATACCCATGAACAGTTTCTGAATTCTGGAGAGCTCAGAGAGAAAAGTAAACTTGCTCACAAAAACATTCTTCACTTAATTGCTCTAAACAATAAATAATTCAAAAGAAAAAGATTTGCTTGACTCCTCTTTAACCACAGCAGCAGCCTTCCAAACAAGATGTCCTTTGTTCACCTTCGAACTTCACAAGTGAAACAGCTCTGGTTAGATGGGAGCTGTCTATCAGGCACTGCAGAATCTAGCAGCTTCTATAAAGTTAGAATCAGTCCTAGGGGAAAAAGAGGCCCCCTGCTCATAAGTATTCTCCTCCTTGCATTCGTCAGGGAGCAAGACCCTATATCAAAAGGATATGGGCCCCCAGCAGGGGGTTGGGCCAAAGGACTCAGTCCCTTTTGTCAATCTTTATCTTAATTTGCCTCAGTATTGCCCCAGGCAACGTAGCATTCTCATTATAACCATTGTCTTTGGATTTTTCTTATATTTTCCAATCTAGGGGCAAATAGTGTTTTAAAGGCCTTTGTTTTAACTCCCTCAATTTTCATTTTATTTCTTTCTTTTCTTAATAACCATCCAAAAAATTATATCACTGTTCTGGGGTGAGCTCTTTTAATCCCTTTCTCCTTACCCATCTTTTTTTTTGTTAATTATGCCTGATATTTTATTAAGCATCTGTAAAACCCACAAGAGACAGCAAACTTGATAAGGCTGCTCAAATAGTCGTATGATTCTGCCGGAGTAATGTCACCCAGGGTGCCCATGTAAAAAGGGCCCCCTAAACCCCAAAATTTACCATGATGTGGGCAATAGAAATTTTTGTTGGAGAATATTTGGGTCATCATAAAGCCAGTCCCACATGGCTTGCATATGAAGCATATCAACTGCTTCATCTGGGGTGTTCCACTTGGCATTTTATAGGGAGAGTTGGGCAATCTCCTTCTCAGGATAAACACTAGGCTGGTTGTTCCCTCAGGAATCACCTCCTGTGTATTTGGATCACACACATTCACCAGCAATTGTTTAATAGTGAGCTGTGGGTCCTGCATCAACCCAATCAAGCTCTTTCATTCTGTAGCATTTAAAATTAAGGATTCTATCCTTAAAGTAGTTATTTTTACAATTTATTGTGTAGCAGAATGAGCTGCAGACAACAACCCCTCAGACACCAAGTTGTGGAAGGAAAGGGCTTTATTCAGCTGGAAGCACCGGGCAGACTCACGTCTCCAAAAACCGAGCTCTCCGACTGAGCAATTCCTGTCCCTTTTAAGGGCTTACAACTCTAAGGGGGTCCGCGTAAGAGGGTCGTGATCGATTGAGCAAGCAGGGGGTACGTAACAGGGGGCTGCAAGCACAGGTAATCAGAACAGAACAGGACAGGGATTTTCACAATGCTTTTCCATACAATGTCTGGAATCGGTCAGGGGTTGATCTTTACCAGGCCCAGGGCGCAGCACGCCGGGCTGTCTGCCTGTGGATTTCATTTCTGCCTTTTAGTTTTTACTTCTTCTTCCTTTGGAGGCAGAAATTGGGCATAAGACAATATGAGGGGTGGTCTCCTCCCTTAATTGTAGTAAAGGTTTCTCAGGGAGATGATGATACCAATCTACAAAATGGAACAATTCATTTACACAATCCCCTGTGGCTTTTCGGGTTTTATGTTTGGTTGGTTGGTTGTTTTTTTGTTTTGTTTTGTTTTTGTTTTTTGAGACAGGATCTTGCTCTGCCACCCACACTGGAGTGCAGTGGCACAATTTCGGCTCACTGCAACCTCTGCCTCCTGGGTGCAAGAGATTCTCACTCCTCAGCATCCAAAGTAGCTGGGATTACAGGTGTGCGCCACCACTACCAGATAATTTTTGTATTTTTAGTAGAGATGAGGGTTTCACCGTCTTGGCCAGGCTAGTCTGGAACTCCTGACCTCAGGTGACCCACCCACCTCGGCCTCCCAAAGTGGTGCGATTACAGGCAGAAGCCACCATGCCTGGCTACCCTCTGGTTTTAATGGTTGCTTCATTTTGCCCTTCCTCCACATTGACTGTCTTCTTGGTAACCACAGGTCTCAGAGGTAACTTTGTTGCCTGGGCTTAGTTTTTCTCTTTATCCATTTAGTTTTATCTGTATAATTTTTCCTTTACTCTAAAGCAACTCTTAAATAGTCACTTAACTAAAAAAAAATTACTTTTTTTTTTTTTTTGAGACAGAGTCTCACTCTGTCGCCCAGGCTGGAGTGCAGTAGTGGCACGATCTCGGCTCACCGCAACCTCCGCCTCCTGGGTTCAAGCAATTCTCTTGCCTCAGCCTCAGCCTCCTGAGTAGCTGGGACTACAGGTGCCCGCCACCACACCCGGCTAATTTTTGTATTTTCAGTAGAGACAGGGTTTCACCATACTGGCCAGGCTGGTCTCGAACTCCTAACCTTGTGATGCGCCCGCTTTGGATTCCCAAAGTGCTGGGATTACAGGCGTGAGCCACCACACCCAGCAAAATTACATTTTCTTTAGCAAAAAACACATCCTTGTGTCTTTTTGTTTTTTGTTATTTTGGAGCAGAGTTTTAATAGGCAGAAGAGAAAAGAAAGAGAAATAGTCTCCAAGTGGAAAAGACCAGCAGGCGGCATATACTCCGGATTTCATACAGAGAGGATGAGAGATATGGTGGTCATGGACAGGAAAGGAGGAAATTACAATAGGAAAGGTGGCAATCCTATTACTGACACCCTATCAGGTGGTCGGAAGCTGGGGTCAGTCCAGAAGCCTTTGGATAACACGGGGGTAGCCCCAGCCAGAAATCCTCAGTTGCTCCAAAACCTCTTCCAGCCCCATGCAACAGCTAAGTCCTCTCTGAAAGTAAGCTGGTTCAAACAGGGCCAATATGCCCAACAACCCATGGGTACTCGGGGATTCTCCATGTTCTCTCCAGAAAGCCTGTCCTCCAAGTCTTATAAGGCTGGCAGCCATGCTAATCATTTTTAAATGGCTGAAGGTGGCCCAGTAGTTGGTTTGATTTGGTTCTTAAATGGAGGCTGACAGCCTTGAAATGTAAGGACAGAGTTGGAGTCTGCTCCTCTGCTCACCGTTTCAATGAATGTTGTACTTTGGTATCCCAGATGAACCTCCAATATGAAGCTGCTACGTTGTCTGGAGTATAAACCCAGGGTTTGTCATCTTTCACCAGGAAAACTTAGGACACAAACACACACGAGGAGTTTAGGAGTGGAGGTTTAATAGGCAGAAGAGAAGAGAAAGAGAAACAGCTTTCTCTATATAGAGAG
Source organism: Homo sapiens (assembly GCF_000001405.40). Taxonomy (NCBI): domain Eukaryota; kingdom Metazoa; phylum Chordata; class Mammalia; order Primates; family Hominidae; genus Homo; species Homo sapiens. The sequence goes on along the minus strand of NC_000008.11, from coordinate 74,030,557 downwards.
AGGGGTCTCCAAGCAGAAAAGACCCCATCCTTTTGTTTCTATAAACTTCACCAAAAACACTTCTGTCGCCAGGCTGGAGTGCAGTGGCACAATCTTGGCTCACTACAACCTTCACCTCCCGGGTTCAAGCGATTCTCCTGCCTCAGCCTTCCAAGTAGCTGGGATTACAGGCGCATGCCACCAGGCCCAGCTAATTTCTGTATTTTTAGAAGAGACAGGATTTCACCATGTTGGCCAGGCTGGTCTCAAACTCCTGACCTCAGGTGATCTGCCCGCCTCAGCCTCCCAAATTGATGGGATTACAGGTGTGAGCCACTGCACCCAGCCTTTTTAATGTAAATTCTTGGTAAACAACTCAGAAACTCCCTCTTCTTTCCCTTTAAAAACCCTCTTGTAACTGCTGCTAATTTATGGAGTATATATTCAGGGCAACTCAAGTTGCCATGCTCCCAGGATGCAGTCCTCAAGCTTGGCCCAAATAAACTCTCTACTTACACTAATTCTGTCTCAGCTTCTTCCTTTTAGGTCAACACTGCTGTATTAGTCCATTCTCACGCTACTATGAAGAAATACCCAAGACTGGGTAATTTCTAAAGGAAAGAGGTTTAGGTTGGGCGCAGTGGCTCATGCCTGTAATCCCAGCACTTTGGGAGTCCGATCACCTGAGGTCAGGAGTTCAAGACCAGCCTGACCAATATGGTGAAACCCCATCTCCACTAAAAATACAAAAATTAGCCAGGTGTGATGGCAGGTGCCTGTAATCCCAGCTACTTGGGAGGCTGACGCAGGAGAATCACTTGAACCTGGAAGGCAGAGGTTGCAGTGAGCCGAGATGGTGCCACTGCACTCCAGCCTGGGTGACAGAGTGAGACTCCATCTCAAAACAATAAATAAAATAAAGGAAAGAGGTTTAACTGACTCACGGCTCTGCAGGGCTGGGGAGGCCTCAGGAAACAATCATGGCAGAAGGGGAAGCAAACGCGTCCTTCTTCGTATGGTGGCAGGAAGGTGAAGTGCAGAGCAAAAGGGGTGGGTGGGGAAAGCTCCTTATAAAACCATCAGATCTCATGAGAACTCATTCACTATCATGAGAACAGCATGGAGGTAACCATCCCCATGATTCAATTACCTCCCACTGGGTCCCCCATGACATGTGGGGATTATGGGAACTACAATTCAAGATGAGATTTGAATGGGGACACAGCCAAACCATATCAATTACTTACCCTACCTTGCCCATTGCTTCCTGTGGAAAACATAACAAACACTCTTGCCCACATTCTTCCCCTCCCTCCACATTCTCACAGACACTGGTGCTTCCCCAGGTGGCTCTGCATGATGCACCATGCCTCCGTTTCCTAGAGATCTGTGAGGATAAGCTTCTTTCTTCATGACAGTCATTTCTGTGTCTTCCTATCCTACCATATCTGATTAAAACAAATCCTGGGTACCCTTAAAACAGGAACAATACCTTTAAATTTTTTTTTAAATACTCAATTTATTCTAATTTGAATTAGGTTGGTGTAGGATGACAAACTCCAAGCAAAAGAGCATTTCTTCTGGGCTCCCAGAAATAGCTTCAACAACACATTTGTATTTTCCCTAAAATGAAGTATAAGAAATACAAGTAATACAAAATGTTAGATGCTACTATTTCAGAGGCTTTGTAAGAACTTTCTCTTACTAGCAGAAAGCCATTTAAATTGGATTGATTTTATAGTTTTCCAATGAGACGAAATTTTCCATGTCTTTGAATTAAATGAGCATAAAGCCCATTTATTTCCCAATTATAAGATTATGTTATTTTTAAAAACTAACCTAAGAGGTTTTGAAATATTAGATATTAGTTTATAACAAAATAATGAAAGAATATGCATTATTAAATTTTATTTTAAAATGGTCACCATAAGTAAAATGCATAAAATCTCATTACTAGATATGTCACGCAAATATCTAGAATCACAATGGTATTATTCATTGAGGCAGCAATTATTTTTACAAAGGCATGGATGACCAGACTAAGTTCCCAAAAAAATCTTGAACAAAAAAAGTCTGTAATTTATGTGATTTTTATTCTCCTAAACAATGTTCACATTATATTTACATGAATAGTTATAGAGATTTACTGGCTTATACACAATGGTCATCCAGTGCTTTCATCTGAAGACTGTTCAACAGATTAGTAATGAGCACTTGCATTCAAATTACTTTTGCCCATGTATGTTAGAGGGAAAAAAAAATGAAGCGGAAAAAAATGCTATGTTTTGTGCAATTTTTCCATAGTCTACAGAAAGAAAAAATACCAAAAGACCTAATACTAAGGCTGGGTGTGGTGGCTCACACCTATAATCCCAGCAGTTTGGGAGGCCAAGGCCAGGTCTCACTAACAACTGTTTCAGTACTGAGTGGTTAAGTTAAATATTTAAAGCCAGCGCCCTTATGCAAAGGATGGGATGTAACAAAAGCCCATCAGGAGTTTTGCCCAGGCCCTTCCTTTAAGGCTTTCTTAAACCATAACAAAATAACTAAGAAATTCTTAATAGGACCCATTTAGGATCAATCGAGTTTTATTGTGGGTCCGAAGAAACTCCCCAGGCTTCCACAACCAAGTTTACTGGGGGTCTGAAGGAACTCCTCAAACCTCCATGATTTAGCAGGAGACAAGATAAAGGTAATCACCCCAGCACCCAGACCCATTTAGATTAAGTAAAGTTCCTGAGGCTCCAGATGAAGGTCTTCAGGACTCAGACCTTAATTATAGATTAAAAGAAGTTAATCACTTGTGTCTTCAGATGAATGCACACTTACACATAGACATATACCTTAGAATGTATATAAGCTCTGAAAACTTTGTAATTTTGAGTTGGTCTGGCGATAATTTCCAGACCTTCTCCCTGTAACCAGTTACAGAAATAAAAGCTCTCTTCCTCCCCAGTTCATCTGCATCTTGCTATTGGGCTGCGAGAAATGGCAGCCCGACCCTCAGTTTGGTCCAGGAACAAAGGTGGGTGGATCACATGAGGCCAGGAGTTTGAGACCAGCCTGGGCAACATGGTGAAACCCCATCTCTACTAAAAATAAAAAAATTAGCTGGGCATAGTGGCATGTGCCTGTAATCCCAGCTACTCGGGTGGTTGAGGCACAGAATCACCTGAACCTGGGAGGCGGAAGTTGCAGTGAGTCCAGAACACACTTCACTCCAGCCTGGGCAACAGAGCAAGACTCAGTTAAAAAAAAAAAAAAAAAGCTAATTCTAAATAAAAGTGAAAGAAAAAACCCTGAACATCTTAATCTCGAACTGCTATTCATGAAATTGTCAGCTGGGCACAACTGCCCATACTTGTAATCCCAGCACTTTGGGAGGCTAAGCGGAGTGGATCGCTTGAGCTCAGGAATTCAAGACCAACCTGGGCAACATGGTGAAACCGCGTCTCTTCCAAAAGTACAAAACATTAGCTGGCATTGTGGCATGGACATGTAGTCCCAGCTAGTCAGGAGGCTAAGGCAGGAGGATTGCTTGGGGTGGGGGTTGGCGGGTGGAGGTTGCAGTGAGCAGAGATCGTGCCACTGCACTCCAGCCTGGGTAACAGACTGAGATCCCATTTAAAAAAAAAAAAGAAAGAAAAAGGAAGAAGTTGTGAATTGCTTGTTTCAAATGCTTAACATGTCTATTACTGCTAAAGGTTAGACAGTACAAAATAAATCTTGAACAATACCTTAGAAAATTTTATTCCCTTGAAGGAGAATGATATTGTTGTATTCACAGTCTCTGCAAACAAAATATAAAATACAAAACGTTATTGGTCACGGTTAGGTGATATTTTTTTCTTGGTAGCATGGAGTATACCTTAACTACTGACAGACGCAGTCCCAAGCAAAACTGTAGAAAAATAATGAATCTTTTATACCCTGGCTGCTATTCTCCTGTGGCTTCCTTTCTCCGCCCCTAGAGCCTCTCTGTACACCTGCCCCTACCTTATCCCTTAGGGGACACAAACTATTAAGACCTGCTGGTCTCAATAATGAATAAACGATGAACAAGCTAGTGCTAATATGCTTCAGAACAAGTTACATATGTGCATTGCAAACTAGTTTTCAGAGATATTGATGCACATTAAGCTGGGTATAATAGAGAACAATCTTGCAAAGACAGATGAGATATTTTGGAGGCAGCCAGAATACTGAAGCTCCTCCCAATTACACCACTGAGAAGCTCAAGTTAGCTTCTGTTTAAGTGCATAGCCACGGGCCTGGCCCCACACAAGCTGTGGAGCACAGAGTCAAAAGTGCAGAAAAATGCACATCCTACTGTTCCAGTCAGAACAAAGTAGTGAATGTGGTGGGGTAAAGATAGAAATGTATGTTTTGAATCTCAAACAAAAGAAACAGTGGCCAAAAATATTTTTAATATAGTTAAATCAAAAACTATAATATTGTTCTCAGAAGTAAATAATTAATGTCTGCATGTATACTTCTAGTCTCACAAGTAAGCATTTATTTATTTACTTCTGGATGTATCCTCTTTCTGTTTTTGTTTGTTTCTTTGTTTTGAGATGGAGTCTCACTCTGTTGCCCAGGCCGGAGTACAATGGCGTGATCTCAGCTCACTGCAACCTCTGCCTCACGGGTTCAAGAGATTCTCCTGCCTCGGCTTCCTGAGTAGCTGAGATTACAGGCGCCTGCCACCACACCCGATTAATTTTTGTATTTTTAGTAAAGACAGGGTTTCATCATGCTGACCAGGCTGGTCTCGAACTCCCAACTTCAGGCGATCTGCCCGCCTTGGCCTTCCAAAGTGCTGGGATTACAGGCATGAGCCACTGCGCCCAGCTGTCTTTTCTTTTCTTTTTGCTCTTTCTTTAAAGCAGATAAAGGGTGTATCTTTTTTTTTTTTTTTTTTTTTGAGACGGAGTTTCGCTCTGTCGCCCAGGCTGGAGTGCAGTGGCACAATCTTGGCTCACTGCAAGCTCCGCCTCCTGGGTTCACGCCATTCTCCTGCCTCAGCCTCCCCAGTAGCTGGGATTACAGACACCCACCACTACGCCTGGCGAATTTTTGTATTTTTAGTAGAGACAGAGTTTCTCTATGTTGGCCAGGCTGGTATTGAACTCCTAACCTCAGGTGATCTGCCTGCCTCGGCCTTCCAAAGTGCTGGGATTACAGACATAAACCACCACACCTAGCCGGGTGTATCCTTACTAAAGGAGTTGATACCTGAGGTGTTTCTTGAGCTCAGTAAAGTGATCATGTCTTCATAATCTTATGATCTTTCATTCAAGGCCAATCCAATTCAAAATTTAACAGTTCAACAACTCACTTATTGAAAGCCTACTACCCACCAGGGCCTGGGAAGACAATGGTAGTACAACTCTGTCCCTTCTCTCAAAGAGCTAAAGTCTATTGGAGATATAGATATTTAAGAAACCATTCCAGCTGTGAGCGGTGGCTCATGCCTGTAATCACAACACTTTGGGAGGCCAAAGAGGGTAGATCCCTTGAGCCCAGAAGTTCAAGACCAGCCTGGGCAACATGGTGAAGCCTTATCTGTACAAAATATATAAAAGAAAGATGGGTGTGGTGCATGTGCCTATAATCCCAGTTACTCGAGAGGCTAGGGTGGGAGGATCACTTGATCCCAGTAGGTAGAGGCTACAGTGAGCTGTGTTCGTGCCACTTCACTCCAGCCTGGGTGACAGGGAGACCTTGTCTCAAAATAAATACATTAAATTAAAATAAAATTAAAATTTTTAAAAACCAAAAAAAGACCCCTAAAATGATAAGAAGAAACCATTCCAAATACAATATGCAATGAGAAAGATGCAGTAAGGATAAAGATAACATCTTTGTAAGAGTGATGGCTCTGGGGCCAGAACGGCTTGGGTTTGAATCCCAGCTCCTCTACTTGGTGTGTAACTTTAGGCCAGTCACTTAATTTTTCTATGCCTCAGTAAAATGCTGATGGGCGATAACACGTATCTCATAGGATTATTACAAGGGCTATACCAGTTAATACATGTTAAGTGCTAAGAACAATGCCTAGGACATAGCACTTATTAAATATTATTACCATTAAATGTTACTTATAACATTTAATATTATTCCTTCTCCCTTCTAGACCCTCCTTCCAATGGCATCTTGTGAATAATAACATATTCATACCTTGTGAATATTAATGCATTAATATATTAGTCATATATGTATATATTATATAATAATATAATAATAATAGGCTCTATCTCATTAACTTGCTTGTTTCTTTGAGAGTATTTATCACAAATTGAATCATATTTCATTTTTCTGCTTTTCTTTATTTTATTACTTCATTAGGATCTTGTTTTCTCCACTAGTCTATAATCTCCATGAGGACCGGGGTTTTGCTTTGGATATTTGGATATCTGGCACCTAGCACCTAATTCTCAGTACCCAGCTTCAGGATCAACTATTAGGTTGGTGTAAAAGTAATTGCAGTTTTTGCCATGAAAAGTAATGCAATACATCATTACATAATTAAATACATAATTTTCAAGGCCCAGCACAAAATGACAATATGAGGCTGCTTATTCAAAAGATGGGGGAAACCTGTTAAAGTTACTAGAACATAAAACTTTTTCCTTTCTTCTGTGTGTTTCTCTCTCTAGACTTGCCATAATGTTTTTATTGCAATTTAATATCATTTGTAATAAAGAGAACATTTTAAACTGTTAGTATGAATTTCACTATTCATCTTTTTATAATACAATGCCAGTTTTAAATGCAAATATTAAAGCATTTAACTTCAAGGTAGAATCACGGAGATTACATAATTTGTCTTTCCCTGCTCAACCCCAGAGGGTGCCTCGAGCTGGCCAGAGGAAACTAACACAAGCCAGAGGCAGGAAATTTGAACGGAGAAAGAGAAGGTCCCCAAGACATGGAACAGCCTGAGGGAATGACCCCTCAGCAAGCAGCATAGGTGAGTGCAGAAACACCCAGGGGCTCCTCCACGACTGGGGGCTCCTGTGCAAGCTTGGGCCTGAGAGTTGCCTGTCAGCGTCCTCCTTCCACAAACTGCCAGATGCCCCATGCTCCTGTGAGAGGCAGGAAGTCCAAGCAAGTACCTTTCTTTCCCACAGGCCTGCTATTCAACAGTGACTCTCAACGCACTGCAACCTCCATGCAATACCTCCACACACTACCTGTTTCGGGGTGGGGCAGGGGATGGTGTGCCCAACTAGTCAGCTGCTGAACAGGGCTGTGGTGCTGCCAGCCCAGGTAGGGCAGCCACTGTCATGCCCACCCAAGATACTGCAGGGCACCCACACCGGATCCTGACCCTCCCTGTAGCCAGGATTTCACCAGGAGCAGAGGGTAGCAGGTTGCACTGGACAGAAGAGGGGAGGGGATCCCATGGTGCCAGCAGGGAAGTGGGCAGCGGGAACCAAGAACCGGTCCAGGGAAGGTGGGTTCATACCTCATCATCTCATTAGATTTCACTTACACAAAACACACACTCAAAGATAAAATTATTAAGAATTTCAAGACTATGATCACAGGGCATTAAACCCCAAGCATGGGGCCCTTCCGTATATGGGGCCCTGGACTCTGGTCATAAAGCCAACTCTGTAAACTTTGTGTAAGGGGCAGGGGAGGAAGATGGATGAGACTTGAGGATATGAGAAAGAAATTAAGAACAACCACTAGACCAGGAACAGTGGCTCACGCCTGTAATCCCAGCACTTTGGGAGGCCGAGGTGGGCTGATCACGAGGTGAGGAGTTTGAGACCAGCCTGGCCAACATGGTGAAACTCCATCTCTATTAAACATACAAAAAAAGTTGTTGGGCGTGGTGGCATGCACCTATAATCCCAGCTACTGGGGAGGCTGGGGCAGGAGAATCTTTTGAACCTGGGAGGCAGAGGTTGCAGTGAGCTGAGACTGCGCCATTGCACTCCAGCCTGGGCGACAGGGCGAGACCCTGTCACAAAAAAAAAAAAAAAGAAAAAAAGAAAAAACCCTAGATTTCTATTAAGGGAGACTGTCCTAACACTTAGCAGTTCAGGTAGGTGGAAGGAGTTCTAACCTCTTCTGTTGGATAGAACCCTTTTTTTTTTGTTTTTCAATTGTTTTGTCTGTCTTAGAAAGCTATCTTTTTTTTTGGTTTTTCTTTTTTTGAGACTGGAGTCTCACTGTGTAGCCCAGGCTGGAGTGCAGTGGTGGGATCTTGGCTCACCGCAACCTCTGCCTTCATTCAAGTGATTCTCCTGCCTCAGGCTCCCGGGTGGTAGCGGGGATTACAAACATGTGCTACCACACCCATCTACTTTTGTATTTTTAGTACAGACTGGGTTTCACCATGTAGGCCAGGCTGGTCTGGAACTCCTAACCTCAAGTGATCTGCCCGCCTCGGCCTCCCAAAGTGCTGGGATTACAGGCTTGAGCCACTGTGCCTGCCAAGAAAGCTCATATCTTGCTCATACCTTCCATTCTTTTCTTTTCTTTTTTTTTTAAATTATACTTTAAGTTCTAGGGTACATGTGCACAATGTGCAGATTTCTTACATATGTATACATGTGCCATGTTGGTTTGCTGCACCAATTAATTAGTCATTTACATTAGGTATTTCTCCTAATGCTATCCCTCCCCCAGCCCCCCACCCCATGACAGGCCCTGGTGTGTGATGTTCCCTGCCCTGTGTCCAAGTGTTCTCATTGTTCAATTCCCACCTATGAGTGAGAATATGCAGTGTTTGGTTTTCTGTCCTTACAATAGTTTGCTCAGAATGATGGTTTCCAGCTTCATCCATGTCCCTACAAAGGACATGAACTCATCGTTTTTTATGGCTGCATAGTATTCCATGGTGTATATGTGCCACATTTTCTTAATCCCGTCTATCATTGATGGACATTTGGGTTGGTTCCAAGTCTTTGCTGTTGTGAATAGTGCTGCAATAAACATACGTGTGCATGTGTCTTCATAGTAGCATGATTTATAACCCTTTGGGTATATACCCAGTAGTGGGATGGCTGGGTCAAATGGTATTTCTAGTTCTAGATCCTTGAGGAATTGCCACACTGTCTTCCACAATGGTTGAACTAGTTTACACTCCCACCAACAGTGTAAAAGCATTCCTATTTCTCCACATCCTCTGCAGCACCTATTGTTTCTTGACTTTTTAACAATCGCCTTTCTAACCAGTGTGAGATGGTATCTCATTGTGGTTTTGATTTGCATTTCTCTGATGACCAGTGATGATGAGCATTTTTTCATGTGTCTCTTGGCTGCATAAATGTCTTCTTTTGAAAAGTGTCTGTTCATATCCTTTGCCCACTTTTTGATGGGGTTGTTTGATTTTTTCTTGTAAATTTGTTTAAGTTCTTTGTAGATTCTGGATATCAGCCCTTTGTCAGACGGGTAGATTGTAAAAATTTTCTCCCATTCTGTAGGTCGCCTGTTCAATCTGATGACAGTTTCTTTTGTTGTGCAGAAGCTCTTTAGTTTAATTAGATCCCATTTGTCTATCTTGGCTTTTGTTGCCATTGCTTTTGGTGTTTTAGTCATAAAGTCCTTGCCCATGCCTATGTCCTGAATCATATTGCCTAGGTTTTCTTATAGGGCTTTTATGGTTTTAGGTCTAACATTTAAGTCTTTAATCCATCTTGAATTAATTTTTGTATAAGATTTAAGGAAAGGATCCAGTTTCAGCTTTCTACATATGGCTAGCCAGTTTTCCCAGCACCATTTATTAAATAGGGAATCCTTTCCCCATTGCTTGTTTTTGTCAGGTTTGTCAAAGATCAAATGATTGTAGATGTGTGGTGTTATTTCTGAGGCCTCTGTTCTATTCCATTGGTCTATATCTCTGTTTTGGTACCAGTACCATGCTGTTTTGGTTACTGTAGCCTTGTAGTATAGTTTGAAGTCAGGTAGCATGATGCCTCCAGCTTTGCTCTTTTTGCTTAGGATTGTCTTGGCAATGCAGGCTCTTTTTTGGTTCCAGATGAACTTTAAAGTAGTTTTCTCCAATTCTGTGAAGAAAGTCATTGGTAGCTTGATGGGGATGGCATTGAATCTATAAATTACCTTGGGCAGTATGGCCATTTTCACAATATTGATTCCTCCCATCCATGAGCATGGAATGTTCTTCCATTTGTTTGTGTCCTCTTTTATTTCGTTGGGCAGTGGTTTGTAATTCTCCTTGAAGAGGTCCTTTACAACCCTTGTAAGTTGGATTCCTAGATATTTTATTCTCTTTGTAGCAATTGTGAATGGGAGTTCACTCATGATTTGGCTCTCTGTTTGTCTGTTATTGGTGTATAGGAATGCTTGTGATTTTTGCACATTATTTTATATCCTGAGACTTTGCTGAAGCTGCTTATCAGCTTAAGGAGATTTGGGGCTGAGATGATGGGGTTTTCCAAATATACAATCATGTCATCTGAAAACAGGGACAATTTGACATCCTCTTTTCCTAATTGAATACCCTTTATTTCTTTCCCTTGCCTTATTGTCCTGGCCAGAACTTCCAACACTATGTTGAGTAGGAGTGGTGAGAGAGGCATCCCTGTCTTGTGCCAGTTTTCAAAGGGAATGCTTTCAGTTTTTGCCCATTCAGTATGATATTGGCTGTGGGTTTGTCATAAATAGCTCTTATTATTTTGAGATACGTTCCATCAATAGCTAGTTTATTGAGAGTTTTTAGCATGAAAGGCTGTTGAATTTTGTCGAAGGCCTTTTCTGCATCTAGTGACATAATCGTGTGATTTTTGTCTTTGGTTTTGTTTATGTGATGAATTACGTATATTGATTTGTGTATGCTGAACCAGCCTTGCATCCCAAGGATGAAGCCAACTTGATCTTGGCGCATAAGCTTTTTGATGTGTTGCTGGATTTGGTTTGCCAGTATTTTATTGAGGATTTTCTCATCGATGTTCATTAGGAATATTGGTCTAAAATTCTCTTTTTTTGTTGTGTCTCTGCCAGGCTTTGGTATCAGGATGATGCTGGCCTCATAAAATGAGTTAGGGAGGATTCCCTCCTTTTCTATTGATTGGAATAGTTTCAGAAGAAATGGTACCATCTCCTTTTTGTACCTCTGGTAGAATTTGGCTGTGAATCTGTCTGGTCCTGGACTTTTTTTGGTTGGTAGGCTATTAATTATTGCCTCAATTTCAGAACTTGTTATTGATCTATTCAGGGATTCGACTTCTTCCTGGTTTAGTCTTGGGAGGGTGTATGTGTCCAGGAATTTATCCATTTCTTCTAAATTTTCTAGTTTATTTGCATAGAGGTGTTTATAGTATTCTCTGATAGTAGTTTGTATTTCTGTGGGAACGGTGGTGATATCCCCTTTATCATTTTTTATTGCGTCTATTTGATTCTTCTCTCTTTTCTTCATTAGTCTTGCTAGCAATCTATCTATTTTGTTGATCTTTTCAAAAAATCAGCTCCTGGATTCATTGATTTTTTGAAGGGTTTTTTTGTCTCTATCTCGTTCAGTTCTGCTCTGATCTTAGTTATTTCTTTCCTTCTGCTAGCTTTTCAATGTGTTTGCTCTTGCTTCTCTAGTTCTTTTAATTGTGATGTTAGGGTGTCGATTTTAGATCTTTTCTGCTTTCTCTTGTGGGCATTTAGTGCTATAAATTTCCCTCTACACACTGATTTAAATGTGTCCCAGAGATTCTGGTACGTTATGTCTTTGTTCTCATTGGTTTCAAAGAATATCTTTATTTCTGCCTTCATTTCGTTATGTACCCAGTAGTCACTTAGGAGCAGGTTGTTCAGTTTCCATGTAGTTGTGTAGTTTTTAGTGAGTTTCTTAATCCTGAGTTCTAATTTGATTGCATTGTGGTCTGAAAGACAGTTTGTTGTGATTTCTGTTCTTTTACATTTGCTGAGGAGTGCTTTACTTCCAACTATGTGGTCAATTTTGGAATAAGTGCAATGTGGTGCTGAGAAGAATGTATATTCTGTTGATTTGGGGTGGAGAGTTCTGTAGATGTCTATTAGGTCTGCTTGGTGCAGAACTGTGTTCAAGTCCTGGATATCCTTGTTAACCTTCTGTCTCATTGATCTGTCTAATATTGACAGTGGGGTGTTAAAGTATCCCATTATTATTGTGTGGGAGTCTAAGTCTCTTTGTAGGTCTCTAAGGACTTGCTTTATGAATCTGGGTGCTCCTGTATTGGGTGCATATATATTTAGGATAGTTAGCTCTTCTTGTTGAATTGATCCCTTTACCTTTATGTAATTGTCTTCTTTGTTTCTTTTGATCTTTGTTGGTTTAAAGTCTGTTTTATCAGAGACTAGGATTGCAACCCCTGTTTATTTATTTATTTTTTTTATTTTTTTTTGCTTTCCATTTGCTTGGTAGATCTTCCTCCATCCCTTTATTTTGAGCCTATGTGTGTCTCTGCATGTGAGATGGGTCTCCTGAATATAGCACACTGATACGTCTTGACTCTTTATCCAATTTGCCAGTCTGTGTCTTTTAATTGGGGCATTTAGCCCATTTATATTTAAGGTTAATATTGTTATGTGTGAATTTGATCCTGTCATTATGATGTTAGCTTGTTATTTTGCTCGTTAATTTATGCAGTTTCTTCCTAGCATCAATAGTCGCTACAATTTGGCATATTTTTGCAGTGGCTGGTACCAGTTGTTCCTTTCCATGTTTAGTGCTTCCTTCAGGAGCTCTTGTAAGGCAGGCCTGGTGGTGGCAAAATCTCTCAGCATTTGCTTGTCTGTAAAGGATTTTATTTCTCCTTCACTTGTGAAGCTTAGTTTGGCTGGGTATGAAATTCTGGGTTGAAAATTCTTGTCTTTAAGAATGTTGAATATTGGCCACCACTCTCTTCTGGCTTGTAGAGTTTCTGCCAAGAGATCCACTGTTAGTCTGATGGGCTTCCCTTTGTGGATAACCTGACCTTTCTCTCTGGCTGCCCTTAACATTTTTTCCTTCATCTCAACCTTGGTGAATCTGACAATTATCTGTCTTGGGGTTGCTCTTCTCGAGGAGTACCTTGTGGTGTTCTCTGTATTTCCTGAATTTGAATGTTGGCCTGCCTTGCTAGATTGGGGAAGTTCTCCTGGATAATATCCTGAAGAGTGTTTTCCAGCTTGGTTCCATTCTCACCATCACTTTCAGGTAACCAATCAAATGTAGATTTGGTCTTTTCACATAGTATCATGTTTCTTGGAGGCTTTGTTCATTTCTTACTACTCTTTTTTCTCTAAACTTCTCTTCTTGCTTCATTTCACTAATTTGATCTTCAATCACTGATACCCTTTCTTCCACTTGATCGAATTGGCTACTGAAGCTTCTGCATGTGTCATGTAGTTCTCGTGCCACGCTTTTCATCTCCATCAGGTCATTTAAGGTCTTCTCTACACTGTTTATTCTAGTTAGCCATTCATCCAATCCTTTTTCAAGGTTTTTAGCTTCCTTGCGATGGGTTCGAACATCCTCCTTTAGCTCAGCGAAGTTTGTTATTACTGACCTTCTAAAGCCTTCTTCTGTCAACTCATCAAAGTCATTCTCCATCCAGCTTTGTTCCGTTGCTGGCGAGGAGCTGCGATCCTTTGGAGAAGAGACACTCTGGTTTTTAGAATTTTCAGCTTTTCTGCTCTGGTTGCTCCCCATCTTTGTGGTTTTACCTACCTTTGGTCTTTGATGATGGTGACCTACAGATGGGGTTTTGGTGTGGATGTCCTTTTTGTTGATGTTGGTGCTCTTCCTTTCTGTTTGTTAGCTTTCCTTCTAAGAGTCAGGACCCTCAGATGCAGGTCTGTTGGAGTTTGCTGGAGGTCCACTCCAGACCCTGTTTGCCTGGGTATCACCAGCGGAGGCTGCAGACCAGTAAATATTGCAGAACAGTAAATATTGCAGATCAGCAAATATTGCTGCCTGATCCTTCCTCTGGAAGCTTCATCTCAGAGGGGCACCAGCTGTATGAGGTGTCAGTAAGCCCCTACTAGGAGGTGTCTCCGAGTTAGGCTACACAGGGGTCAGGGACCCACTTGAGGAGACAGTCTGTCCGATCTCAGAGCTCAAACACCATGCTGGGAGAACCACTGCTCTCTTCAGAGCTGTCAGACAGGGACCTTTAAGTCTGCAGAAGTTTCTGCTGCCTTTTGTTCAGCTATACCCTGCCCCCAGAGGTGGAGTCTACAGAGGCAGGCAGGCCTCGTTGAGCTGTGGTGGGCTCCACCCAGTTCGAGCTTTCAGGCCTCTTTGTTTACCTACTCAAGCCTCAGCAATGGCGGACGCCCCTCCCGAGCCAGGCTGCTGCCTTGCAGTTCAATCTTGGACTGCTGTGCTAGCAGTGAGCAAGGCTCTGTGGGCATGGGACCCACTGAGCCATGCACAGGATATAATCTCCTGGTGTGCTGTTTGCTAAGACCATTGGAAAAGTGCAGTATTAAGGTGGGAGTGTCCCAATTTTCCTGGTACAGTCTGTCACAGCTTCCTTTGGCTAGGAAAGGGAAATCCCCTGACCCCTTGCACTTCCTGGGTGAGGCAATGCCCCACCCTGCTTTGGCTTGCCCTCTGTGGGCTGCACCCACTGTCCAACTAGTCCCAGTGAGATGAACCAGGTACCTCAGTTGGAAATGCAGAAAACACCTGTCTTCTGTGTCGATCACGCTGGGAGCTGCAGACTGGAGCTGCTCCTATTTGGCCATCTTGGAACGGACCCTTCCATTCTTTTCTTAGGAAGTTAGCTTGAAGCTTTGCCCACATTGAAGAAGGCAAGAGGGAACTGAGGCAGGGCGAGGGAGAACAGAACCCCTTCTTAGGCTCTCCTCTCCTCTTCTCAAAAGGTATCCATGCAGCTCACTCATGGTCCAGTCTAGTTTTCCTGGCAGCTATGCAGGGGGCGGGATCTGAGCCTCAGATGGTATTGTACATTGAATTGTGTCCCCCAAAAAGATATGTTGAAGCCCTAACCTCCAGTGCCTGTGAACATGACCTTATTTAGAAACAGGATCTTTGCAGATAATCAAGTTAAAATGAGGTCATTAGGGTGGGCCCTAGTCCAATATGCAAGTGTCCTTATTAAGAAGGGGAAATTTGGACACTGAGATAGACAAACATAGGAGGGAAGACCACAGTGAAAGGACCCAGGAAGAAGATGACCATCTACAAGGCAAGACATGCCTTAGGCCACCAGAAGCTAGGAGAGAGGCCTGGAACAGATCCATGCCTAGCTCCTACAGAGGGAGCATGGCCTCGTTATCTTGGTTTCAGACTTCTGGACTCCAGAGCTGTTACATGATAAATTTCTGTTTTTCTAAGGTATTCAGTTTATGGTACTTAGTAACAGCAGCCCCAGCAAAATCCCGGTAACAGAACTTACAGGCTTATGAATTTTTTTTTAAACAGGATCTTGCTCTGTTGCCCAGGCTGGAGTGCAGTGGTGCAATCACGGCTCACTGCAGCCTCCACTGCCCAAGCTCCAGTGATCCTCCCGCCTCAGCCTCTCAAGTATCTGGGACCACAGGCATGCACAACCAGACCCAGCTAATTTTTGTATTTTTGGTAGAGACGGCATTTTACCATGTTGCCCAGGCTGTTCTCAAACTCCTGATGTCAAGCAGCCCACCTCCCTTGGCCTCACAAAGTGCTGGGATTGCAGGCATGAGCTACCGTGCCCAGCCCAGGCTTATTAAATTTAAGATGCTTTGAAATATCCATCCATTGATTCATAAATGTGTTTTTGAGAGAAACAGATATATGTGTGTGTGTGTGTGTGTGTGTGTGTGTGTGTGTAAACTGGTGAGATTATGGGTAACTTTTACTTTATAATTGCTTGTCCATATTTTCTAAATATCATATCATAAAGATGTATAACTTTTATAACAACCAAAAGGAAAATTATTTTAAACATAGATATGTATGGTACTTGCAAATTCGACTCCCAAATTTCAAGGGTCTCTTGATACGTCAATGCTTCTTAAATCAGAAAGTCCTAAGTTCTGGGCCCACATACTCAGCTGCCAGATGGCCATGTTTATTTGAATATTCCAAAATTACCTTGAGCTTAACATGCCCAAGCCAGAACTCATTATGTTTCCCTTTAAAAAAAAAAAAAAAAAAACCTGCCTGTTCTTTTGTACACATCATCTCAGATAATGGCACTTCCATACATCCAGTCACTGGCCCTCAAGTGTGGTGCTTTTTTTTTTTTCTTTTTTTTTTTTTAAGTCAGGGAGTGCAGCGGTGGATCACAGCTAGCCAAGACCTCCTGGGTGCAAGTGATCCTCCCACCTCAGTCCCAAGTAGCTGGACTAAAGGCTGGTACCACCACACCCAGCTAATTTTTTTTTTTTTTCAGAGATGGTGTTTCACCTCCTTGCCCAGGCTGGCCCCAAACTCCTAGCCTCAGCCTCCCAAAGTGCTAGGATTACAGGCACCCAGCCCAAGAGGGTCTTGATTTTACCTAATCCTTGCCTGCCACATTAAATCAGTGTATCCTGCCTATTCTGTCTCCCAAAAATCTCTCTTTCATCTCCTCCCTGCTACTCCCTGGCCGCCGTCTCGTTCAGCCCTCATGGTCTCTCACAGAGCCTCCTGGATGCTCTTCCTTCCACCCAAGTTTCCTGCCTCAGCCTACCCCCACCTCCTGCCATATGGATGCTAGTTATCTGTAAAAATGGAAATCTCAGTGGGTCATCCCTGCCCACTGACTATAGGATACCGGCCAATATTTTGCGCATGAGTTACATGCTCACACTGCCCCCTTTTCTAGGCTCATCTCCAGCAATTCCCCACAAGCACATTCTGCTCCAACTACAAAAAAACTACTCTCCAAATAAACCATACTCTTTCATGACTAGATGTGTTTGTACATGCTGTTTCCTCTCCAGGGAATGTTTTTCCCCCTCACCCTCTGATGTTCTCAGATTCAAGACCCTAATAAAATACTCTATTGAAGGCTTGTCTGACCAGCCTGGGCAACATAGTGAGACCCTGTCTCTACAAAAAATTTAAAAATGTCCAGGAGCAATGGCTCACACCTGTAATCCCAGCACTCTGGGAAGCTGAGGCAGGAGGATCACTTGAGCCCAGGAGTTCAACACCAGCCTGGGCAAGATGGTGAGACCTTATCTCTATTTTTTAATTAAAATAAAATTAAATTTAAAATTAGGGCCAGGTGCGGTGGCTCACACCTGTAATCTCAGCACTTTGGGAGGCACTTTGGGAGGCCGAGGCAGGCAGATGGCCTGAGGTCAGGAGTTTGAGACCAGCCTGGCTAACATGATGAAAACCTGTCTCTACTAAAAATACAAAAATTAGCCGGGCATGGTGACACACGCCTGTAGTCCCAGCTACTCGGGAGGCTGAGGCAGAATCACTTGAACCCGGGAAGTGGAGGTTGCAGTGAGCTGAGATTGTGCCATTGCACTCCAACCTGGGTGACAGAGTGAGATTCTGACTCCAAAAAAAAAGAAAAAAAAATTAGCTGGACATGGTGATCTGTGCCTGTAGTCCTTGCTACTCAGGAGGCTGTGACTAGATGATGACTTCAGCCCAGGAGTTTGAGGCTGCAGTGAGCTATGGTTGCACCACTGCACTCTAATCTGGGTGACAGAGCCACAAGATAAGATCTTGTCTCAAAAAAAAAACTTATCCCAGTTTTTCTGCCACAGTTATTTAGTAATTATATAGTTAAAACCAATAACATATAGTTCTATTGCTAATAGAACTATATGTTATTTACATACACCTTTTTACAATAAATTTACAAAAAATTTACAATAATTTTACAAAAAAATTATATGTAAATATAATTTTATTGTATGGCAATGGCTCATACCTATAATCAATTTACAATAAAATTACACATAATTTTATTATAAATTTTGTTCTTATAACTGTCTTTCCCAGAATGGAGTGACTTTTTTATTTATTTATTTATACTGATTTACCAGGTACATGTGCAATCTCATTACCTGCATAGGTTGTGTAGTGGTCAAGTCAGGGCTTTTAGGGTGCCCATCACCCAAGTAACATATACCCATTAACTAATTTTACATCATCCACCCCCTCACCCTTCCAACTCTTCACTATCATTCCACTCTGTAGTACATGTGTACACATTTTTTAGCACCCACTTATGAGTGGGAACATGCAATATTTGACTTTCTGTGCCTGGTTTGTTTCAGTTAAGATAATGGCCTCTAGTTCCATCCATGTTGCTGAAAAATACATGATTTCATTTTTTTAATGGCTTAATAGTATTCCATTGTGTAAATATACCACATTTTATTTACCCATTTGTCTGTTGATGGACACTTAGGTAAATTCCATATCTTTGCTATTGTGACTAGTGCAATAAACATATGAGTGCAGGTATCTTTTTGATATATTGATTTCTTTTCCTTTGAGTAGATACCTAGTAGTGAAATTGCTAGATGGAATGGTGGTTCTATTTTTAGTTCTTTGATAAATCTCCATATTGCTTTCCATAGACTATACTAATTTACATTCCCACCAAAAATGGATGAGTTCTTTTTTCTCCATATTCTTGCTAACATCTGTTACTTTTTGTCTTTTTAAGAATAGCCATTCTGGCTGGGGTAAGATGATATCTCATTGCAACTTTAATTTGCTTTTCTCTGATGATTAGTAATATACCTATTGACCATTTCTATCTGTTCTTTTGAAAAGTATCTATAAGTGTCTATTCATGTCCTTTTCCCACTTTTTTTTTTTTTTTTTTTGAGATGGAGTCTCACTCTGTCACCTGGGCTGGAGTGCAATGGCATGGTCTCGCCTCACTGCAACCTCCACCTCCTGGGTTCAAGCGATTCTCCTGCCTCAGCCTCTCAAGTAGCTGGGACTACAGGCGCATGCCACCACACCTGGCTAATTTTTGTAGTTTTAGTAGAGATGGGGTTTCACTATGTTGGCCAGGCTGGTCTCGAACTCCTGACCTCATGATCCACCTGCCTTGGTATCCCAAAGTGCTGGGATTACAGGCGTGAGCCACTGCGCCTAGCCACTCTTCCCACTTTTTAATGGGGTTATTTGTTTTTGTTGTTGCTGTTGAGTTGCTTGAGTTCTTTGTACATTCTGAATATTAGTCCCCTGTTGGATGAATAGTTTGCGAATTTTTTCTCATATACTACAGGTTGTCTGTTCACTCCGTTGATTATTTCTTTTGCTATGCAGAAGCTTTTTGATGTAATTAAATCCCATTTGTCTACTTTTGTCTTTATTGCCTGTGCTTTTGAGATCTTTGTCATAAATTCTTTGCCTAGACCAATGTCCAGAAGAATCTTTCCTAGGTTTCTTCTAGTATGTTTGTAATTGCAGATCTTATGCTTAAGTTGTTCATCCATCTTGAGTTGATTTTTGTATGTGGTGAGAGCTAGGGGTCCAGTTTTATTCTTCTGCATATGGCAATCCAGTTTTCCCCAGAGTAACTTTCTGAGGAAGGAGATCCTACCATTCAACTTCAGATAACCAGAACGTAAATCACGATTTGCTCAAATTAGGTTCAATAGATGTTTATGGAAGAAAGTGGGAGGAGGGAGAGAAGAAGTAGACAAGCTGATTTGAGTCTGACACCTCTGAGGTCTCAAGAAAGAGAAACTTTGAAGATTCAGGTAAAATATCAATGTAATTCCACAGAGATTGTGTAAAAGAAATGCACAATTAAAAAAAAAAACAGTAATCTGCTAAGGGATTTTTTTTTTCCAAAGAGAAAGCATGACACAGTAGGAGAGTCATGTCTTAGAGTTAGGATGCTGCTCTGTTACTAGTTCTCCAAATGACCATGGACACATTACTAAGCCACTGCAAACATCAGTTCCCTCATTATAAAGATGACAGGACTGGAAAATTCATAACAAAAGAAGGATTCTTATTCTGAACACTGTACTAGGCTTTTTTTTTTAACATACATTCTCAAATTTAATTCTTAAAACTATGTATGATGTGTTTTACTTTCCCATTTTATAGCTGAGGAAAATGAGGCCAAGAAAGGTTAAATATTAATAACATGCCAAAAGTCACATTGCTGGTAAATGGAAAAGCTGGAATATAGCTCTAAAGTGGTAATTCCTTTTTTTTATTCATTTTTATTTTTTATTTTTTTATCCCTTGGTGCAAGATCTCTGTAAGGGTCCTAATTTCTGAATGTTATTATTCTGTAAATAATTCCAAGGAGGAACATAAAGGCAGAAGTCACTAAAGAAACCAAGGACTGTATAGAAAATCTGGTGGGTTACTATGAAAAATATTAATAATACAAATCATGTAAGTGTCATCCTAACAGTTCAAGTATATAGTTATAAAATGTTATTTAAGCTGCTAAAGTAAAAACTTTGGATGGAAAAAGAATTATTAGCAGAAAAGGAACTTCCCATTTTCAATGTATTTAATTTTCATAACATTTTCATAAAGAATTATTTCCTATTCTAAAAGTAATATGAACTGAATACTTACCTCCCTTCAGAGCTCTGCAAAAAGAGTAATCGTCATCAGATCCTCGGCAAATAACTTCTTTGCGCTTTGGAAGATTCATGGTGTTGACAGTTATATAGAGATTGAAATATAATTGCTTTAAATCTCTCCCTTTAAAAGAAAAAATCCCATTAGGCCCTCAAATAGTAGATTCTTTTATACATAGTAATTAACATTTATTGTATAGTTAAAAGGGGCCCTGTGCTTTTCTTACATTATTTCATTTAATCATCACAACTATCTACAAGATGTCAATTATTACTCTTCTTCTGCAGATGAGAAAACTGAAGTTCTGAGAGGGCAACTAGTAAATCATAATCAAATACAATGTTCCACAGTAAAACTATGCATGCTCTGCCTAAAAACAGAAGAGCCTTCATAACTTCATTGAGAAAACTATCAAATAAAGACATAAAATGTCTAGTTCTATGGTTCTGCTAGAAAATTCAAAAGAAAAGAAAAGGAAAGGAAGGACAGTGAGACAGTCAACTTTCTAGGAGTTCTGATGAAAGATTTCTTGAGAATAAAATAGAATCTTTTGATGAAAAATTAAATGTATGCCTATTTTTTAATTTCCTCATGATCTCCCTATTTCCAGCTACCATGAAAAATTCCAGTAATCAATGCATTTTTCTCAACTCTTCCAACTTATTCAGTTGGCCCAAATGAAAAAGATGCACAATCCTTTTCTTTCTTTTCTTTTCTTTTCTTCTTTTTTTTTTTTTTTTTTTTTTTTTGAGAAAGACTGGAGTGCAGTGGCGTAATCTTGGCTCACTGCAACCTCCGCTGCCCAGGTTCAAGCAATTCTTCTGCCTCAGCCGCTGGAGTAGCTGGGATTACAGGCGCCTACCACCGTGCCCAGCTAATTTTTGTATTTTTAGTAGAGATGGGGTTTCACCATCTTGGCCAGGCTGGTCTTGAACTCCTGACCTCGTGATCCACCCACCTCAGCCTCCCAAAGTACTGGGATTACAGGCATGAGCCACCATGCCTGGCCAAAAAAGATGCACAATCCTTTTCATAAAGAAAACAATTTTGCAACCACTACCTCACTGAAAATATTTTCCTAGTAAGATCACCATGACTCATTGTAACCATAATCAAAAGACAACTTTTCTAACTTTAATTTGAACTTGGCTATGCTTAACAGAACTGCCTGCTCCTTTCCCTAAACCTTCTTTGGTGTTGGTGCAACCACTCCCTTCCAGGTGTCCTCCAATCTCTCTGACTCCTCTTCCTCAGTCTATTTCATCGACTCCTGGATTTCTCCAGGATCTATCCTCAGTTCTCCTTAGTTTTCACTCTGCACACTCTCTCAGGCCAAGTACCACATAAGGTGACAATTCTCAAGTCAACTTTAGTCTCAACCTTTCTCCTGAGCATTGATCCCATGTATTTATTCAATATCTCTACTCAAATGTTGCCCAGTTACCTCACCCAACAGATCTAAAAGTGATTTCCTCCTCTTCATCACCAAGTTGGCACTAGAATTCCCAGTCCCAGTAAATCTTTCTAACCTCCTTTTCATCCCCATTACCGCGCTGCCTTCATGTAGGCCCTCATTGCTCTGAACCTGAAGCACCACCAACTTTCCTAATTTGTCTTCACTTCTCAACTTTCAGGGTAGGGTGTGGAGAAGAATATCATGGCGTCTGTTTCAAACAGTGATCCCATGGCCTACTCCATGGACTTGGGCTTGAACTTCTCCAAAAGCAGTGCTGTGTGTAGAAGTTGAAAGACCATTTTCATAAGGAATTCCTGGAGACACAGAAGCACAAGACAGCACCACTGTGGTGTCCAGTGACAATGCAGGGCAAAGGACCTTCTTCCATTTCTTCGTGAAACACAGCAAGATTCCAGTCTTCAATAACTCCAGGAAAGGAAGTCCTGCTTTGACAACTCAATAGTTTAAGTTGTGAGAAACTCCTTGTCCTTGGACACCACTGTGGTCACGTTAAGAACATGAACGATGGCAACAATGAGACACCACTTTTGTGGCTCAGCAGGCTGGGGATGTCAATATGGGTGTTGGAGTGAGAGACAAGAAACATGGGCTGGGCGCGGTGGCTCACGCCTGTAATCCTAGCACTTTGAGAGGCCAAGGCGGGCAGATCTCCTGAGGTCAGGAGTTCGAGACCATCCTGGCCAACATGGCGAAACCCTGTCTCTGCTAAAAATACAAAAATTAGCTGGGTGCAGTGGCAGGCGCCTGTAATCCCAGCTACCAGGGGTGCTGAGGCAGGAGAATCGTTGGAACCCAGGAGGCAAAGGCTGCAGTGCGCCGAGATCACGCCACTGCACTCCAGCCTGGGTGACAGAGTGAGACTCCATCTCAAAAAAAGAAAAGAAACATGGAGGCTGTCATGTGGTATAAAAGAGGACTATTTTTTAGCTTACCAAAGACAATTCCAGGAACTTCCAGAAATAACCTTGAAGGAAGCTTATGCTCCAGTTTGATTTGTCAATCAGTTAATAATATACAAATAATTTACTAGCAAGGCTATGACATCTCAAAAGATATCATTTCCATTCTCAACCTATTTTTGGTTCAAGTTTGTACTTGTATCTCTTCCTGAATTCAAGTAGAAATGAGGCCATAAAAATAAGGTTGATTTCCATGAATGTGGCCTCACACTTTATACCAACATTATAGTATATTCTATGGAAACATAATTGCGCTATAAAAATATGACTGAATAATTATTTTGTTAATGAATTAATATAATTTGTTATATAAATGTCATATTTAGTGAGAAATTATAAAACACTTGTGATGGCCATTGAGGTATGTCCCTCAAATTTCCCTTCAAAAGCAGCTGCTGTGAGAAGAGTAGCTGGCAGACAGCCTGCAGCTGCCATACCTTCACATCTATCTCAGCACTCAGCCAGAGGCCACCCTCTCGTAGGCTGCTCCTATAATGATCCAGCACTGCAAGGACCCTAGAGCCAGGCTACTCCCGCCTGTCATGGGTCTCTTACAACAGGCATTCTGCTCTGGGGCTTCCTATTTGGCCCAGCCCAAGAGTGTCTCAGGGATGCATTCTGGTCTGAGGATTATCCTACTTAATTCTCCTTCCTCCCTACTCTCTTTTCAAAGGTATCAGACCTGCACCCCAATCTGAATTTTCTCCTAGCCTACTCTGGCTTCCTCTCCCCTTTACTGTTCACAAGCGTTTCCTCCAAGAAATCTCTAGCCTAATTCCTTCTTAGTGTCTGCTTTTCAGAGAACTCTAAATGATTTCGTACTGTCTTATTATCTTGGCCTGGAAAGATACAACCTGTTTCCTGCGAGTAAGGGCAAGGGATTCACTTGAAAGTGAGATTATTCATTATGTAAATCATCCTTTATGCCAATTGTGTAGGGGTAAAACCTGCCAACAGACCAGAAAACAGAACCTAGGAAAAAAGAAGAAACTGTAGAGCCTTAGCCAAGCAAAACTTTAGATTATTTATTTTATCTTTGGCCAGGAAAGTGAAGGAAATAGAGTTAATCATCCTTTGCTCTGTGCTGTCACTAAGCCCTGTTGCTGTCACTTCACTTATACCATACTATCTGCAGTTCTGTCTCTCCTATTGCACTGATGGATTCCTGAAGATCAGGAGAATGTCTTATTGGCTGGGCACGGTGGCTCGCGCCTGTAATCCCAGCACTTTGGGAGGCCTAGGCGGGTGGATCACTTGAGGTTAGGAGTTCAAGACCAGCCTGGTCAGCATGGTGAAACCCCTTCTCTACTAAAAATACAAAAATTAGCCAGGCATGGTGGTGGGTGCCTATAATCCCAGCTACCCGGGAGGCTGAGGCAGGAGAATGGATTGAACCCGGGAGGCAGAGGCTGCAGTGAGCCGACGAGATCATGCCACTGTACTCCAGCCTGGGCAACAGACAGAGACTCCATCTCAAAAGAAAAAAAGAGAGAGAGAGAGAATATCTTATCAATGAATTCACAGTGCCTAGCATGATACTTACAATTTACTAAGCATCTTTTTAGTGAATAAATGAATGCAGATACAGAGTGTCAAAAAAACAGGTTGAACAACTAGAATCATGAAAATTAAAACACAAGTTTGTTGTCTATCATTCCTGGGTTCTCAGTTTTGGGGATTTTGTTGTTGTTGTTTTTCATTTTTCTGGTAAGCCAGAGAACTAAAATCGGGGGAAAATGTTTAAGCTTATTCATGTAAAACTACTCTGTAAAGTATTAATCTAAAACAAGCTCCAAATCTAAACTAGGATGTAAATTATGTGATAATGATGATGATAAAGATTAAAACTAAAGTTTTCTGGGATTCCAGAGCTTACAGGCAATAAACAATGTTTGGTAACTGGTAGGAGAGGAAAAAGTTTTGTGTCTGCACAGAGACTGAGATACAGCCCCATGCTATCACCCCACCTGCGTTAGTTTTTTCTAAGCTGATAACAAGCAAAGTCATAGAGAGGAAAACCAAGACACAACACAAAGCAAAACAAAACACATGGCCTTCTGTCATCCCATTATTACTGTATTTTTCTCTAGAAAGACCATCTTTAAAAAATATTGAAGTCCTGGCTTGCTGACACACAGATCTTTGACTAATGGAAACCCAATATTACTTATAGCTAATGATTGATGAAGGATATACCTGTAAGATTGTTGGACAGCTGAAGTTATTCCCATTTCTACCCACATGTTCTTGTGTAATCCTCTCCCAGTAGTATGGGCTAGCCTAGTGACTTGCTTCTAACCAATAGAACACAGCAAAGATGATGGAGTGTTACTTCCATGATTATGCTATATAAGATTGTGACTTGCCTAGTTAGCTGACTGTCCCCCTCGCTGGCTTTGAAAAAGCAAGCAGCCATACTGAAAATGCCCATGTGGTAAGGAACTGACGGGTGGCCAACAGCCAGCAAGGGACTGAATACTAACAACTGAATACTGACAACAGCTACGTGAGCTTAGAAGTATATATTTCCTAGTTGAGCCTCAGAAGGGACTCCAGCCTGGCAAACACCTTGATTGTAGCCTTATGGGAGACCTTGAAGCAGACACAGGTAAGCTATGCCCAGAATACTGATCAACAAAGATGATGAGATAATAAATGTGTGCTGTGTTAAGCCACAAAGATCGTGGTAATTTGTTACGTAGCAATAGATAACGAATACAAGTATATTTGAAACACAATCATTTATCACTGATATTTCTTAACTCCTTTGATTGGTCTATAAAAGCAAAAATTTGAACTTACTTGGAATGTAGAAAATGTGCAATAATCCTTTGGATCTTTTCAATTCTATACAGGGGTTAACATTAATTGAAATTGGGTATTGCATTTTATCTAAAAGCAATAAAGATAATGTCAATAAATTACTACAAATCATCTCCATTAAGTATAGTATTCTGAATATCAGCCTTTTAAGATGAATCTTGCATTAAAATTATAAAATAAGAAAAATTGATGATGATTGAAAATATCTCCCCAGAAGAATGACATCAGCAATGTGGCAGAATCAGAAGCCCTGAACTCTTCTTGCCTCCACTAACACAACAATTTACAGAAATATTCCCTTTATGAAAAATCAAACTAATTGAAAGACTCCTGCATGCAAGGAGAACACAAAACCAGATTCAACAAAGCCAGTAGGGAGACTTGGGACACTGTCTAATCAGAGATTATTACCCTGGTGTGGTGTCATACAATCAGGAAGAGACCCCCCCAACCAGCTCCTAGCTCCACCCATGGGAGGAGAGAAGTTGTTTCACATGTCCAGAACACCAACTTTTTCACGAGGGCTCCCCAGAGGACTGGCTTCTGTCTTGCCAGTCTTGGAGCTCTGATGAGTCTGGCACAGTCTACCACCCAGGGGAGAATAAAGGCAGTGGCTTGGGCAGATAGGCATCATTAATCCTCCCCTCTGCTCAGCACAGAGTGAGAAGATGAAAAATCTTAGCTCTCAGCTTTCTCCCGGGGAGGGAAAGAGTTAATCCATGCATCCAGCATCCCAATTTCTCTGGGGATCCCCAGAAAACTTATATCTGTCTCATCAGTCCTAGAGTTCTGACAGGTCTGGCATAGTCTAGCTGCCTGGCAGGGGAATGGAGACAGCAGCTTGGGCTGGTAGATGCCACAGTTCCCTTCACCACCCCATCTCTGGCTCAGTATGGAATAGGTGGACAAAAAAACACAGCTGCCTGCATCTCCCTGAAGTGAGAAAGAGTTGGTAGAGGACCCCAGAATCTCTAACCAGGCTAATAGTGAAGTGGGAAATTAAAGAAAGAAAGAAAAAGAAAATTAAAAAGAGAAAGAAATAAGCTTTCCTGTATTAGGCTGACTCATCTCAAAGGCAGTAGCAGGCAAGGCCCAGACCCAGGAAAAGTCTTGATAAACACTATCTGAGAAGATAGGACACAAAGAAATGTGCTCTGGAGACTCTTCCAGCACTCCCTCAACATAGGGAGAGGAAAAACAAATTTTCCTTTCTTTTATGATATGAGTTTACAGATTCTTGTTCTCTGTAACTAGGAACTTCAAGTATTCTGTTTTACCTAAGAAGTACAGCGAAGGTCGTGAGAAGCCTGAGCAGGCCTGAACTACAGCCGTCTGGGCACCATGGTGAAGGTTATGAGATAAACCAGTGCAAGGCTCTTTTGAGCAAAACCTAGATAACAGACATCTGGGTTGCATAGCAATGTTCATGTATAGTCCTGAGTTATGAACCTGTCACAATTGGATTAATTGTTCTGCCTCTATATCCTTGCTTTTGTGCCACTGTAAGCCTGCTTCAAGCTAGCCCACCCCCTTTTAGAAGTGTGTATAAAAGTCAAGTGCTGTCCTTGTTCAGGGCCCAGTTTTTGGATGTTAAGTCTGCTGGGTCTGAGTGCATTCAATAAAGATCCTCTTGCTTTCCCCCGAGGTCTCTCTCGTCCTCCTGATTCCCACAACAATAGGTGTGGGTATGTTCCTGTGTGAGGCCAATCTGTGAAGACTGAAAAAGATGTCTGCTTTGTAATGTGTAGATGCCAAACAGAGAGACAAGGAAAATGAAAGATCAGGCAAAGATGTTTCAAACAAAGGAGCAAGACAAATCTTCCTCACTTACACTAAGGAAATGAAGTTATATGATTTACCTGACAGACAATTTAAAATACCTCCATAAAGATGCTCACTGAGGTCAAGAGAACAATACATGAATGCAGTGAGAATTTCAACAAGAAGAAAGAAAACATTTTAAAGGACCACACAGAAATCATGGAGCTGAAGGCTGGGCACGGTGACTCATGCCTGTAATCCCAGCACTCTGGGAGGCCGAGGCGGGCAGATCACCTGAGGTCAGGAGTTCTAGAACAGCCTGGCCAACATGGTGAAACCCCACCTCTATGAAAAAAATACAAAAATTAGCTGGGCGTGGTGGCATGTGCCTGTAATCCTAGCTACTTGGGAGGCTGAGGCTGGAGAATCACTTGAATCCAGGAGGCGGAGGTTGCAGTGAGCCAAGATTGTGCCACTACACTCCAGCCTGGGCAACAGAACAAGACTCTGTCTCAAAAAAAAAAAAAAAAGAAATAAATAAATAAATCATGGAGCTGAGGAACACAATAACTGAACTAAAAAGTTCACTGGAGGGGTTCAGCAGCAGACTAGACCAAGTAGAGAAAGGATCAGTGAACTCAGAGAGAGATCACTGGAAAAGAATTCAATCAGAAGAGCAAAAGGAAAAAATAATTTAAAAGAGTGAAGAAAACTTAAGGTAATGGTGAGACACCACCAACCAGAACCATATATGCATTATGAGAGTTCCAGAAGTGGAAGAAAAAAAGAACAGACTACAGAAAGTTTATTCAAAGAAATAATGGCTATAATCCCAGCTACTCAGGAGGCTGAGGCATGAGAATCAGTTGAGCCTGGGAAGCAGAGGTTGCAGTGAGCTGAGATCACGCCACTGCACTCCAGCCTGGATAAAAGAGCAAGACTCTGTCTCAAAAAGAAAGAAAAGGAAAGAAAGAGAGAGAGAGAGAGAGAGAGAGAGAGAGAGAGAGAGAAAGAAAGAAAGAAAGAAAGGAAGGAAGGAAGGAAGGAAGGAAGGAAGGAAGGAAGGAAGGAAGGAAGGAAGGAAGGAAGGAAGGAAGAAAGGAAGAAAGGAGGGAGGGAGGGAGGGAAGGAAGGAAGGAAGGAAGGAAGGAAGGAAGGAAGGAAGGTTGGTTGAAAACTTCCCAAATCTAGGGAAGAAAATGGAAATAATGGAAATACAAATCCAAGAAGCCCAATGAAATAGTTTTGTTTGTTGGTTTGTTTTTAAATACGGGGGTCTGCTCTGTCACCCAAGCTGGAGTGCAGTGATGCAATCATAGCTCATTGCAGCTTCTAACTCCTGGGCTCAAGTGATCCTCTTGCCAATAGCTGAGACTACAGGTGTATACTACCACACTCAGCTAATTTTTTTTTTTGTAGAGATGAGGTCTCACTATGTTGCCCAGGCTGGTCTTGAACTCCTGGACTCAAGTGATCTTCCTGCCTCAGCATCCCAAAGTGCTGGCATTACAGGCATAAGTCACCACATGTGGCCTGTTTTTTGTTTTGTTTTTAATTAAAAAAAAATTTGTAGAGGCCAAGTGTGCTGGCTCATGCCTGTAATCCCAGCACTTTGGGGAGGCCAAGGTGGACCGATGGTTTGAGGTCAGGAGTTCAAGATCAGCCTGGCCAACATAGCAAAACCCCATCTCCGCAAAAAATACAAAAATTATCT
This sequence comes from Homo sapiens, assembly GCF_000001405.40. Lineage (NCBI taxonomy): Eukaryota > Metazoa > Chordata > Mammalia > Primates > Hominidae > Homo > Homo sapiens. The sequence continues at coordinate 74,001,389 of NC_000008.11, read as the reverse complement.
GGGCATGTCAGCACAGCACGTGCCTGTCATCTCAGCTATTCGGGAGGCTGAGGCACAAGAATCACTCAGACCCAGGAGGTGGAGGTTGCAGTGAGCTGAGATCACACCTCTGCACTCCAGCCTGTATGACAGAGCGAGACTGTCTCAAAAAAAAAAAAAAATTTTTTTTTTTTTAGAGATAGAGGCTTTCTTTGTTGCCCAGACTGGTCTCCAACTCCTAAAGTGTAGAGTTGTTATATGTGATTCAATTTAAGTTGTCATTAGCTTAAAACAGACTGTCATAACTATAAGGTGTTGCTATGGTTTGAATGCATTGCCTGAAGTTCATGCATTGGAAATTTAATCCCCAGTGCAAGAGTGTTGAGGGGTGGAACCTCTAAGAGGTGATCAGTTCATGAGGGCTCTGCCCTTGTGAATGAATTAATGCTGTTGTTGCAGGAGTGGATTAGTTATTGTGGGTGTGGATTCCTGATGAAAGGATGAGTATAGCCTCCTTCCCCACCCCTGACAAGTGCCCTTTCGGCCTTCTGCCCTTCTGCCATGGGATGATGCAGCAAGAAGACCATTGCTAGATGCAATGCCTCAATGTTGGATTTCTCAACAACCAGAACCATAAGCCAAATAAATTTCTGTTTATTATAAATTACCCAGTCTTACGTATTCTGTTATAGCAGCAAAAAACAGATGAAGATAGAAAATTGGTGCCAGAGAGGTGAGGTGTTGCTGTAACAGGTACCTAAAAATATGGAAGCAGCTTTGAAACTGGATAATAGGCAGAGGCTGGAAGAGTTTGGAGGAACAGGCTAGAAAAAAGTCCATATTGCCATGAACAGAGCATTAAGGGCAATTCTGATGCGGGCTCAGAAGAAGGGAAGAAATGTAGGGAAAGTGTGGAAATTCCTAGCGATTACTTAAGTGGTCATAATCAGAATGTTGGTAGAAATGTGGAAGGTAAAGGCAATTCTGATGAGGCCTCAGACACAAATGAAAAACAAGGTATTGGAAACTGCAGTAAAGGCCATCCTTGCTACACAGTTGCAAAGAACTTGATGGACTTGTGTCTGTTCCCTAAAACTGTGTGAAAAATGGAACTTAAGAGCAAGGATCTACTCTATCTGGTAGAAGAAATAGATAAGCAGGAAAGTGCTCAAGGTGCTGCATGGCTTCTTTTGGCCACTTATAGTAAAATTCGATAACGAAATTAGTATGGATAGAAGGGAGCCAAGTGTTCTTCTACATCAAGACAATGGGAGAATGACCTGAAAGGCATTTCATAGATCATTAAGATAGGCTAGGACTTTGAGGACAAGGTCATATGTGAAAAACCCACAGTCAACATCATACTCAGTGGTGAAAAACTGAAAGGTTTTACTTTAAGATCAGGAACAAGGCAGTGATGTCCATTCTCACCACTCTTGGTCAACATAGTACTAGAAGTCCTAGCCAAAGCAATTAGTCAAGAAAAAAAAAAGCATCCAAATTGGAAGGGAAGAAGTAAAATTATCTTTTTGCAGATGACATAGTCTTATATATAGAAATCCCTAAAGACTTCATTAAAAATTGTTAGAGCTGGCTGGACATGGTGGCTCATGCCTGTAATCTCAGCACCTTGGGAGGCAGAGGTGGAAGGATCACATAAGGCCAGGAGTTCAAGACTAGCCTGGGCAATATAGCAAGACCCTGTCTCTATTAGAAACTTTAAAAAATTTTAAAGAAAATAAAAATGTAAAAAAGTTGTTAGAACTAATAAATGAATTCTGCAAAATTGCAGGATATAAAATGAACCTACAAAAATCAGTAATGTTACTAAATACTGTCAACAAGCTTTCAGGCCTGGTGCAGTGGCTCACACCTGTAACCCCAGCACTTTGGGAGGCCAAGACAGCAGAATCGCTTGAGTCCAGGAATTCAAGACCCGCCTGGGCAACATGGCAAAACCCCGTCTGTACAAAAAATACAAAAATTAGCTGGATGTGATGGCACATGCCTGTAGCTACTCAGGAGGCTGAGGTGGGAAGATCACTTGAGCCCAGAAGGTCAAGACAGCAGTGAGCCAAGATTGTGCCACTGCTCTCCATCCTGGGCAACAGATTGAGATCTTGTTTCAAAAAAATTAAAATTGCCAGGTGTGGTGGCTCACACCTGTAATCCCAACACTTTGGGAGGCTGAGGAGGGTGGATCACCTGAGGTCAGGAGTTTGAGATCAGCCTGGCCAACATGGTGAAACCCTATCTCTACTAAAAATAAAAAATTAGCCGGGTGTGGTGGCGGGTGCCTGTCGTCCCAGCTACTCAGGAGGCTGAAGCATGAGAATTGCTTTAGCCCAGGAGGTGGAGGCTACAGTGAGCTGAGATCATGCCACTGCATTCCAGCCTGGGCAACAGAGCAAGACTTGGCCTCAAAAAAAAAAAAATTATAACAAGCTATCTGGAAAAGAAATTAGAAAAACAATCAAATTTACAATAGTACCAGGAGGAATACAATAAACTTCACTAAGGAAGTTAAAAACTTTTATAGTAAAAACAATAAAATAAATTGATCAAAGACATTAACAGGACAAAAAGAAACAGAAAGATATCCCTTGCTCATAGATTGGAAGACAATGTTGCTAAAATGTTCACACCATTCAAAGTGTCCTACAGATCCAGATTTGAAGCAATCTCTATCAAAATCCTAATGGCATTTTTCCTTTTTTTTGAGAGAGAAGAGACAGGATTTCACTCTGTCACCCAGGATAAAGTGTAGTGGCACAATCATAGCTCAGGGCAACCTCAAACTCCTGGGCTCAAGAGATCCTCCCACCTCAGTCTCCTGAGTCGCTAGTACTACAGGTGCATGCCACCACACCCAGTGAATTTTTTTTTCTTCATTTTTTTGTAGAGATGGGGCCTCACTATGTTGCTTAGGCTGGTCTTGAACTCCTGGCCTCAAGTGATCCTCTCACTTCAGCCTCTCAAAGCACTAGGATTATAGGCATGAGACACCATGCCTGGCACCAGTGACATTTTTTACAGAACTAGAAAAAAAAAACTATAAAATGTGTACAGAATTTGTGATACTGTGATATAATAAGAAACATATATTTTGTCTCTGCCCCAGTTTATGGCACAGAGATCCTAAAACCCTTGTAGTTTACAGAACAATGGGAGTGGTAAGAGAATTTTTGGTCCTAACATTTGGTTTTTGATCCCAATTTCTTGCCCAGAGCTTCTAGTTCCTTAGACTGTCCTGGGCAATAGCAGCATCTTTTTTTCTAATGGTAACTTTTGGTGGGTTCCTGGATAAGGGCCAGTTATGAGAAAGACCAAGCCATGATGAGAAGCTTGGAACTTTTAGCCCCACCTCCCATCCTGCAGGAAGGGGAGAAGGGCTACAGACAGAGTTAACATTCGATTATGCCTACATGATGAACACCCCATAAAAATTTCTGGACGACAGGTTTAGGAGAGCTTCTGGGTTGGTGAACACATGGAGATGCTAGGAGGATGGTGCACCCAGAGAGGACATGGACACTCTGGTCCCCTTATCCTGCACCTTACCTTATATATCTCTTTCATCTGGCTATTCGTCTGTATCCTTTGTATTAATAATATCCTTTATAATAAACCAGTAAACATAAATGAGTGTTTCCTTGTGTTCTGAGAGTTAGTCTAACAATGATCAAACCCAAGAAAGGGGAACCTCCAATTTATAGCCAGTGAGAACCACAGGTGTCAGCCTAGGGCTTGCACATGGCATCTGATGTGGGAGGAAAACTTGTGGGAAGGACCCCCTAATTAGACTGTAATTCTAGGTAGTCTTAGTATTGCTTCAAGATCCTGAGGAGTCCTGGAGGTCTTGGTATAAAGTTGAGATTTCACTCTAATTGTAGTGAAAGCTACTGGAGGATTTTCAGCAGGAGGGGTCACATTATCTAACTTATTTTCATTTTGCAAAGATCTCTCTGGCCTCTGTGTCAAGAATAGATTGTATGGTGGCAAGAACTGAAGCAGAGGGAGGGCAATTTAAGAGGTTTTTGTAGAGGCCAAGGAGAGACAAATGTGGCATGAGTGTTAGAGAGCAGTGAGAAGCACTTGGATATAGAATAGAATCTGGAGATCATGAAAACAGGAATGACTAATACAATAATGTAATAGGTGAGGGAAAGAGATACTTAAGGATACTTCTGGTTTGGGGCCTAAGGAATTAGGTGGATGATGAGATGGAGAAGACTTAGACAGAAACAGGTTTAAGGCCGGACACGGTGGCTCATGCCTGTAATCCCGACACGTTGGGAGGCCAAGGCAGGCTGATCGCCTAAAATCAGGAGTTCAAGATCAGCCTGGTCTCTACTAAAAAAATACAGACCAGGCATGGTGGCTTATGCCTGTAATCCCAGCACTTTGGGAGGCCCAGGCGGGTGGATTGTCTGAGGTCAGAAGTTCGAGACCAGCCTGACCAACATGGTGAAACCCCGTCTCTACTAAAAACACAAAAATTAGCCGGGTGTGGTGGCGCAGGCCTGTAATCCCTGCTACTCAGAAGGCTGAGGCAGGAGAATCACTTCAACCCAGGAGGCAGAGACTGCTGTGAGCCAAGATTGCACCACTGCACTCCAGCCTGGGCAACAGAGCAAGACCCCATCTCAAAAAAATAAATCCCATCCCCCAAAAAATACAAAAATTAGCCGGGACCAGGCGCAGTGGCTCACGCCTGTAATTCCAGCACTTTAGGAGGCCAAGGTGGGTGGATCATTTGAGGTCAGGAGTTCAAGACCAGCCTGACCAACATGGTGAAACCCCGTCTCTACTAAAAACAGAAAAAAATAGCCAGGCATGGTGATGCATGGCTGTAGTCCCAGCTACTTGGGAGGCCGAGGCACGAAAATCGCTTGAACCTGGGAGGTTGCAATGAGCTGAGATCGTGCTGCACTCCAGCCTCAGTGACACAGCAAGACTCTGTCTCAGAAAAAGAAAGAAAGAAAGAAAGAAAGAAAGAAAGAAAGAAAGAAAGAAAGAAAGAAAGAAAGAAAGAAAGGAATGAAGGAAGGAAGGAAGGAAGGAAGGAAGGAAGGAAGGAAGGAAGGAAGGAAAAGAAACAGGTTTTAGGCCTAGCGTGGTGGCTCATGCATGTAATTCCAGCACTTTGGAAGGCCAAGGCAGGAGAACTGCTTGAGCCCAGGGGTTGGGACTGGCCTGGGCAGCACAGCAAGACACTGTCTCTACAAAAAATTTAAAAATTAGCTAGGTTCAGTCTTGCTCTGTTGCCCAGACTGGAGTGCAGTGGCACAAACATGGCTCACTGCAGCCTTGACCTCCTGGGCTCAAGCTATTCTCCTGCCTCAGCCTCCTGAGTAGCTGGGCTATACTACTGGTGAGTGCCATCACATCTGGCTGGCCATCCTGATTTAAAATGCAACCCCCTAGCTTCTCCATTTTTGCATCTTTGCACCCTCTACCCCGCATCCCCCAGCCTTATTTTTCTTTCACAGCAATTACCACCATCTGACATGCTGAATATTTTACTGAATCCATAAGGGCAGGGACTTTTGTCTTTGTTGTTAATTCACTTATCTCCTCAGTTCCTAGAGTAAGTGCATGCTAAATGCTCAGAGAATATTGGTTTCACTAAATAATCTATTAATTCCTTGGATTTTCTAACCATCTGTAGCAAAAAAAAAATAAAGATTAGAACTGAGACCAATGACTCAGGATCATAGGAAAGCATGTGCCTAAGATCCTAGGAACCAACTCACACACCCACATTTTTTGCCTTTTCCAAAACTGGGAGAATAAATCAGTCAATTTTTGCCATTTTTGTATGTTATGGACCGACAGAAATGTGTCCTCATTCCTCTCGTCCCCATTCACATGTTAAGGCTCCAGTACCTCAGAATATGACTGCATTTGGAGACAGTGCCTTTAAAGAGGTAATTAAGTTAAAATGAGGCTGTTAGGATGGGCCCTAATCCAATCTTGTTGGTGTCCTTATAAGAAGAGGAAATTTGGACACACAAAGAAACGCCAGGGATGTGCACACACAGAGGAAAGGCCATGTGAGGACACAGTGAGAAAGCAGCCAGCTGCGAGTGTCTTAGTCCACTTTGTGCTGCTATAACAGATTATTGGTGTCTGGGTACTTAATAAAGAACAGAAATTTATTTCTCACAGTTCCGGAGGCTGGTAAGTTCCATGTGAAGGTGCTGGTATCTGACAAGGGCGTTCTTGCTGTCTCATCCCATGGTGGAAGAGCAGAAGGGCAAGAGGGGGCAAAAGCAGGAGACATAAGGGGGCTAAACTTGTCTTTTTATGAGAAACTCACTCCCTCAATAATGACATTAATTTATTCATGAGAGAAGAGCCTTCATGGCTTAATCACCTCTTAAAAGTCCCACCTCTTAATATCATCACAATGGCAATTAAATTTCAACATGAGTTTGCAAGGACACAAAATTCAAAACACAGCAGTAAGCCAAGGAGAGAGGCCTCAGGAGAACCCAATTATGCAGACACCTTGATCTTGGACTTCTAGCCTCCAGAACTGTGAAAAAATAGGTTTTTGTTGTTTGAGCCATCCAGTCTGTGGTATTTTGTTATGGCACCTGAACTAATTAAGACACTGTAGCCCGGAATCAGTGGCTCAGGCCTGTAATCCCAGCACTTTGGGAAGCTGAGGCAGGAAGATTGCTTGAGACCAGGAGTTCAAAACCAGCATGGACAACATGGCAAAACCCCATCACTACAAAAAACTTAAAAATTAGCCAGACATGGTGGTGCACGCCTGTAGTCCCAGCTACTTGGGAGGCTGAAGCGGGAAAATCACTTGAACCTCAGAGTTTGAGGCTGCAGTGAGCCATGATTCCACCGTTGCACTCCAGCCTGGCTGACAGAGCAAGACTCTGTGTTTAAAAAAACATACACTTAGATGCCCAGCAGCTTGACCAAATGGAAATCTATCTCTTCTTTTTCATGGAAATCATCACAGTGAATCAGAGGTTGTTGTCACCAACACCCTCACAATGGTACCTAGAGGAATCAGTGCTTCCCACAGGTGATGCATTTTTGGCTGGGCAGGATGGATTCTCTCAGGCCGGGAAGGCAGTCATATGGCAGTGGGGATGGCAACAAGCAACATCTTGCTGTAGATGTGTATTCCAGTGGCTTGCCCACAGTCCCTTTGTCAGTGGGGCAGCAGGAAAGGACCACAGGGTTTCTCAGAGAGAAGGAAGGAAGATCCTCCTTCATAAAGTCAAATCAAATTAGCCAGGCATGGTGGTGCATATCTGTAATCTCAGCTATTTAGGAGGCTGAGGCAAAAGAATCGCTTGAACCCAGGAGGCAGAGGTTGCAGTGAGCTGAGATCGTACTACTGCACTCCAGCCTAGATGACAGAATGAGACTGTCTCAAAGTAAAAAAAAAAACTAGAAAGTCAAATCAAAAGATACACCAACGGTGATGGTTTCACAGCAATGTGCATATACTTAATACAATTGAGCTAAACACTCAAAAATGATTAAAATGTGAAATTTTAGGCCAGGTGCAGTGGCTCATATCTGTAATCCCAGCACTTTGGGAGGCCAAGGTGGGAGAATCACTTGAGCCCAGGAGTTCCAGACCAGCCTGGGCAATATAGCAAGACTCCATCTCTACAAAAAAATTAATAATTAGGCCAGCTGCGGTGGCTCACGCCTGTAATCCCAACACTTTGGGAGGCCAAGGTGGGCGGATCACCTGAGGTCAGGAGTTGGAGGCCAGCCTGGTCAACATGGCAAAACCCTGTCTCTACTAAAAATACAAAAATTAGCTGGGTGTGGTGGTGGGCACCTATAATCCCAGCTACTCGGGAGGCTGAGGCAGGAGAATCACTTGAACCCAGGAGGCGGTCGTTGCAGTGAGCCAAGATCATGCCATTGCACTCCAGCCTGGGCAACAAGAGTGAAACTCAAAAAAAATTATTTAATTAATAATTAGACAAGTGTGGTGGCATGTGCCTGTAGTCCCAGCTACTTGGAAGGCTGAGCTGGGAGGATGGCTTGAGCCAGGGAGGTGGAGGTTGCAGTGAGTGGAGATCATGCCACTCACTCCAGCCTGCACAACAGAGCAAAACCCTGTCTCAAAAATAAATGATAAAATAAGATAAAATGTGAAATGTTTTAAAAAGACAAATTGAGTTATTGTTAAGAAAAGATTGAAAGCTAAATAATAATACAAAATGTTACATCCATAAAAACCATATAAAGAGTGGCATAAACCGGGCAAGGTGGCACACGCCTGTAATCCCAGCACTTTGGGAGGCCGGGGTGGGCAGATCACAAGATCAGGACATTGAGACCATCCTGGTCAACATGATGAAACCCTGTCTCTACTAAAATACAAAAAAAAAAAAAATTAGCCGGGTGTGGTGGCGCACACCTGTAGTCCCAGCTACTCAGGAGGCTGAGGCATGGGAATCGTTTGAACTTGGGAGGCAGAGGTTGCAGTGAGCCGAAATCGCGCCACTGCACTCCAGCCTGGCAACAGAGCAAAACTCTGTCACACACACACACACACACACACACACACACACACACACAGTGGCATAATTAGCACATGGTACAAAAGAGCCAAAGGAGGAGAGGGAAGTGGGGGCCAAGTAGAGTAGGAGCCTTGCTGGAAGAGGGGAATGCAAAAGGATCTTGCAGCATGGAGAGATTTTAGACATACGTTTGGAGGGAATTCAGTGCAACCCACCAGGAGAAGGGCCATGGTGTGTGACTGGCCACACTCCTAAGTCTCCTCCTCACATGTGGCAATTATCCCAATTTCCCGAAAGTCACTTTATATTAGCATTTGGCAGAGCATGTTTCTCAAGAGAGTTAACATACACTCCAGACTAAAACACAAACAAACAAACAACAAATGAAATTGAAAATGTGGTTAAACAGGTGCCTTTATTGCAGAACTTCTCAGAACCCAAAGTACATCTGTAAATCTCTCCCAGATGATTAGGTCATAGATCCTATTTTCCCAAAAGAATCTCAAAGAACTGGTATTTTGGGAAGCACCACTTTAAACCTCCCAGCTATTGCTAGTGGGTGGAAAAGGGCAGCCAACCCATGGTAAGCAGCACGGTGGAAAGTACCGAACCAAAACAGCTGTCAGGCCTGACACTGTGCCTTCAGATCCCAGGACACTTGCTAATGAGCAGCTGGGGCAGGGGACAGTGACACAGCCAGTGAATAGTATTAGGGTATGGCTGACTCCAAAAAAAAATTAAGAGTATTATTGTCTCTATGTGACCCTATGCTAAAAAACTTCACCTCACAACACCCTTATCAAGTAGACTATAAAATCACTTTCACTTCAGTGCTAAAAAGGCTGGAGTACTTTGCTTAAGGTCACACAGCTAGTGACAGAACCAGGCTTTCATCCAGTGAGGGGGATGATTCCAAGAGCACTCAAGAGTCACAGCTTAGAGCAGAAATCAACTCCAGGAAGCAGCTGGGACTGCTCTACCATCTCAAGAAGAAGAACTAGTAAGTGTCAAGGCTGAGGTGAAAGCTCAGAAGCAGATGGTTTTATTAAAAATGGGCAGAACCAAAAACTGGGCTCAGGGTAGAGAAAGATGACGCAGGGAACAGAAGCACTTGGAGGTCAAGCACAACACAGTTTAGAGACTCACAAGCTCTGTGAGTGGTCGAGAACATTCTCATGGGGCAGCTGCCAGCTATTGCTTTTCCTGCTGGCAGCGTCCGCCACAGCAGCTGGAACACACTGATGTTTCGTGTGTTCCAGCCACAACAGTGTACGGTTCTCGTGAAAACTTACCCTCAAAATAGTTGATGCTACAATTATTTGTTTTGCGGTTTTACTTACCACAGTAGGTGTATGAAATACTTGCATCGGATGAGTTGCAGACCCAATACTGCTTCTGAGCTTCAGTAAATATGGAAGAAAACAGGGTGGAAAAAAACAGAAATGGTAACATGATTCAATATCTCCAAAGCTTTACAAATGCAAAGAGGATCAGTAACTAATCATCAGACTCTTCCTTTTCAGTAAGCAGAAAAGATTTAACTTAGTCATCAGTCACATGATTTCTGAGTTCCTATCCAACTGTTTCCTCTTTTTTTGTGTGTGTGTGCTCAACATTTGAGCACTTCCTGTAAAGGAAGAGAGAAAAATGATTTAGAATGTACTCTTCAAACACTTACTGTAAATGAGAGTGATCAAAGACTTAAAAATAAAACAAGACACTTTGGCCAGGCACGGTGGCTCATGCCTGTAATCTCAGTATTTTGGGAGGCTGAGGCAGGTGGATCACTTGAGGTCAGGAGTTCAAGACCAGCCTGGCTGACATGATGAAACACATCTCTACTAAAAATACAAAAATTAGCCAGGTGTGGTAGTGCATGCCTGTAATCCCAGCTATTCAGGAGGCTGAGGCAGGAGCTTCACTTTATCTGGGAGGCAGAGGTTGCAGTGAGCCAAGATGGCACCACTGCTCTCCAGCCTGGGCAACAGAGCAAGACTCCATTTCAAAAAAATTTTTTAAATGAAAAATAAAATAAAATAAACAAGACAATTCCCAGTCAACTGTAACAAAACCAGTCCCTAGGTCCCCCTGAAAGTCTCAACAGACAGGCACTCCTTTTCCCTCTGCATTATTCTTCTCTCCTACAGCTCTGTATAACAGCAGTCCCCAACATTTTTGGCCTCAGGGATCAGTTTCATGGAAGACAATTTTTCCACGGACTGAGGGGATGGGGAGGGATGGTTTCAGGGTGAAACTGTTCCACCTCAGAACATCAGGCATTAGATTCTTATAGGGAGCACGCAACCTAGATCCCTCGCTTGTATACTTCATAACAAGGTTCCTGCTCCCATGGGAATCTAATGCTGCTGCTGGTCTGACAGGAGCTGGAGCTCAGGTGGTAATGCTCGCTCACCTGCTGTTAACCTCCAGCTGTGCAGCCCACTTCCTAACAAGCCACAACCAGATTCCTAACAGGCCATGGACTGGTACTGGTCCACGGCCCCCAGAGGATGGGGCCTCCTGCTTTATAAAACAAATTCTCAGCTGGGCACGGTGGCTCATGCCTGTCATCCCAGCATTTTGGGATACCAAGGTGGGTGGATCACTTGAGGTCAGGAGTTCAAGACCAGCCTGGCCAACATGGTGAAATTCCGTCTCTACTAAAAATATAAAAATTAGCCAGGCATGGTGGCACACACCTGTAATCCCAGCTACTCGGGAGGCTGAGGCAGGAGAATCGCTTGAACCCAGGAGGCAGAGGTTGCAGTGAGCCAAGATTGGGCCACTACACTCCAGCCTGGGCAACAGAGTGAGACTCGGTCTCAAAAACAAACAAACAGGCCAGGCGCAGTGGCTCACCTCTGTAAATCCCAGCACTTTGGGAGGTCAAGGTGGGCGGATCACCTGAGGTCAGGAGTTTGAAACCAGCTTGACCGACATAGTGAAACCCTGTCTCTACTAAAAATACAAAAATTAGCTAGGCATGGTGGCAAGTGCCTGTAGTCCCAGCTACTCAGGAGGCTGAGGCAAGAGAATTGCTTGAACCGAGGAGGTGGAGTTTGCAGTGAGCCAAGATTATGTCACTGCACTCCAGCCTGGGAGACAGAGCGAGACTCCATCTCAAAAAACAACAATAACAACAACAAATCAAATTATCATGGCCCAGAGAGCTGCACCTATAGATCTGAAGTAAACAGTCTCATGGAAACTATTTCTTTTCAGCAGCAGGTTTAGTTACAGGACAGAACAGGGCCAGATAAGACCCCAAACAGGGGACACTAGCTGTAATTCTGTGCTGTGGGCAGGGACTCCACCAGTCTTAATAATGTATTCACCTACAACAAGCTAGAGCTCAAGAGAACATTTTGAGTCCTAATAATGAAATGTCATCCTTTTGTTATGACATGTATTTCATTTCAAAACTCTCACTCCATTTTAGAAAGACAGCTATTCCTTTAGATATCTTGCTACTTGAAATCCTTTACAGGATATAGCTTAGGGTTAGCAGCCAAAAATGGCATGGAGTTTTGGCCTAAAAATCTGCACACTTAAGAAGAAAATAATCATACGTTGGTAAAAATATTTTACAACAGAAGTGTGATTTTTTCCATTTTTTTAGAGATAAAGTCTCACTGTGTTGCCCATGCTGGGGTGCAATGGCTATTCTTAGGTGTGATTATAACACACTGCAGCCTCAAATTCCTGGGCTCAGCTGGGACCACAGGTTTGAGCCGTGGCTCTTGGCCCTGCCATTTTCAAAAAGGCAAAAGTCCAAGGGAGGAGGGGGAAATGGGGAGTTGTTCAATGGGCATAGAGTCTCAAGCTGACAAGATGAAAGAGTTCTAGAGATCTGTTGCACAACAAGGTGAATATAGTTAACACCACTGAACTCTATGCTTAAAACTGGGTAAGATGGTAAATTCTTTAAAAAACACAATTTTAAAATAAATTTAAAAGATGGAAAAAAAAAAGACAACCACCCATGAACACCCTTAGTGGTCTCAAAATACCATTTCCCACTATAAGCAACCAGGACTCCTTGGAGTCTGGGGTAGAAAATGTACAAAATGAGCCTAAAACACTTTGTTATATTAGATAACCAATTTGAAGACGGTTCCACTGAGCAAAGATAGGTGTTTCTAGTTTCCTATAATGGCTGTAACAAATTGCCAAAAGATTTTGTGGCTTAAAACAACATAGGCTGGGCACAGTGGCTCATGCCTGTAATCCCAGCACTTTGGGAGGCCAAAGCGGGCAGATCACCTGAGGTCAGGAGTTCAAGACCAACCTGGCCAACATGGTGAAACCCCATCTCTACTAAAAATACAAGAAATGAGCCAAGCATGGTGGTGGGCATCTATAATCCCAGCTACTCGGGAGGCTGACGCAGGAGAATTGCTTGAACCCAGGAGGCAGAGGTTGTAGTGAACCGAGAGATTGCACCACCACACTCCAGTCTGGAAGACACAGCAGGACTCCATCTCAAAAAACAAACAAAAAACTGTAAATATATTCTCTTACAGTTCTGGCGGTCTGAAGTCTGAAATCAGTTTCACTGTACTAAAGTCAAGGTGTCAACAGAGGTGGTTCCTTCTGGAGACTAAGGGGAAGAATCTGTCTCCCTGCTTTTTTCAGCTTTTAGAGCTACAATCCTTGTATTTCTCCATCTTCAAAATGCATCGCTTCAGTCTCTGCAATCTCTGCTTCCATCATCCCATCACCTTCTTCTTTTTTTTTTTTTGAGGTGGAGTCTCCCTGTGTCGCCAAGCTTGGAGTGCAGTGATGCGATCTCAGCTCACTGCAATCTCTGCCTCCCGGGTTCAAGTGATTCTCCTGCCTCAGCCTCCTGAGTAGCTGGGACTACAGGCACGCACCACCACGCCCAGCTACTTTTTGTATTTTTAGTATAGACGGGGTTTCACCTTATTGGTTAGGCTGGTCTTGAACTCCTGACCATGTGATCCACCTGCCTCCTCCTCCCAAAGTGCTGGGATTACATGCCTGAGCCACTGCACCCAGCCCATTTCATCACCTTCTGCTCTGATTTCATGCCTCCTTCTTATAGGGACCCCAGTGATTACAATGGACCCAGCTGGGTAATTCAGCACAATCCGAGTTAAAATCCTCAATTTAATCACATCTGCAAAATTCCTTTTGCCATGTAAGGTAATATTCACAGCTTCCAGTGATTAGAAGGTGAACATTTTTTGCCATTATTTAGCCTATCTCCATAACTATGTGAACATTAATAAGATAGTAACTGCAATAAGTTGAAATACTTTAATATATTTAAATCCATAAGCTCATAACATTATATGTATTTATCGTTTTGTGAGACAGGATCTACCTCTTTCACCCAGGCTGGAGGGCAGTGGCATGATCACAGCTCACTGCAACCTTAAACTCCTAAGCTCAAGCAATCCTCCCTCCTGAGCCTCCAAGTAGCTGGGACTACAGGCATATACCCCTATACCCAGCTAATTTTTTTAGTTTTTTCTTAGAGACAGGGTTTCACTGTGTTGCCAGGGCCAGTCGCGAACTTCTGGCCTTAAGCAATCCTCCCCTCAGCCTCCCAAAGGGGTGGGATTACAGGCGTGAACCACCGCGCCCCGCCTCATAACGTATTTTTTAAGTCTACTTATCAATAGATGATGCTAGGAAACCAAATCTATTTTTAAAACTGGCAAATAAAAGGACAGAATCAAGCATTTATACTGACTTTTCTATACAAACTGAACTGCTCGGTTACCAAATAGCAGAGACGGGCAAATTTCTCTTGCCTTCTTGTGCTTTTAGCTCTATTTTTAGAAGTATTTCAGTTAATAAGTGAAAAGGGAATAATAGAATATAACCATTTTTCAACATCGAATGAATTGGTGGACTTAGGCATTGAGCATCAATGGTTGCTACCATCACAAAGAGACAAAACAATATTACGTACCTCTTAATGGGAGAACACTATGGTGACTGGCCTCCAAATAGCTCCCAGTGAGCCTTACCTCCTGGTGTACATGTCCTTGTGAATCCCCTCCAACATCAAATAAGGCTGACTGTGTAACCAATAAAGTATTGTGCAATGACAGTGTGCAAATATCATGTAGGTCACACAACACATTGTATAACCTTGCTCTCTTGGATCACTTACTCTGGGAGAAGCAAGCAGTGCTAAAGAGAGATCCATATGGTGAGAAGCAGAGACCTCCTGCCAAAGAGCTTGTACCACACTGTCAGTCATGTAAGTGAGCCATCTTGGAAGTGGGGGTTCCTCATGCCACAGTCCAGCCTTCAGATGACAGCAGCACCAACTACCTCCTGAGAGAGCTAAAGCCAAAACCACTCAGCTAGGCCACTCCTCATTTCCAGACCTACAGACACTGTGCAGTGTTAGAGATGTTTATTGTGGCTTTAAGCCTGTAAGTTTCAGGGGTAATTCATTATGCAGCAAGATAACAAATATGATCATCTATAAAAGTAGTTTTGTCCAAAATAATCAAACCTCACTCTGATGAAGTTTTAAGATCTACTTACCTATTTATAGGAAGTATAGAAGACAGAGAAACATGTTAAAATACAGCTCAGGGATACAAGTAGAAAATCTAGACCATGAGAAGATCTAAGTGACAAACAATGATTTCTTCAACAGATAATTTGCAAGGGAAAAAAAAATGAAAATGGAAAGGCCTGGCCGGATGCAGTGGCTCACATCTGTAATCCCAATACTTTAGGAGGCCAAGACGAGTGGATCACTTGAACCCAGGAGTTCAAGATCAGCCTGGGCAACATGGTAAAACCCTGTCTCTACAAAAAAATACAAAAATTAGCCAGGCATGGTGGCACGCACCTGTAGTCCCAACTCCCCTGGAGGCTTCAGGTGGGAGGATTGCTTGAGTCTGGGGGGTGGACTCAACATCTAAATGTCTTCTAAATGTCTTTTAGAAGAGCCTTAAAAACCATTTAAACAATTGGTGTGTGTAAGATATGAAACTTATTTGGAGATATATATATATAATTTTTTTAACCAACTCTTCATTCTGTTCTGATTATTTGAATCTTAAATCAAACCAAATGTGGGAAAAAATTATGAAGCAATTGGAAATTTAAACAGACTGATAGATTGATGACATTAGGGCTGTGAGGTTGTTTTGTTTTTGTAGATCTGATAATGGTATTGTAGCTACATTTTAAAATAAGTCCTCATCTTGTAGAGTTACAAAAGTAAATATTTAAGAAAGAAATATTATTATGACTGGAATTTGCTTTCCCCAAAAAGTAGAGGGCAAATGATTAGGTCTAGATGAAACAATAGTGACTATAAATTGGTCATTGTTGAATCTGGATGATAGAGTCATGCAGGTTCACTGTACTCTTTTACTTTTGTGTTTGAAATTCTCAATAAAAATAAAAGCAAGTTCAAGGTGTTCTAAAAGAATCAGAATAAAATTTTTACAAATACATTCAAGCTAAGACTGCCATTCATATCTAATGGCCATCTTGTTACTTTTGCTTCCAAAAGCCTTTCAGTACAGTGAAATCTACATTAGAGAAAAGGATTGCAATATTTTATTGTTAACAGGGTTATTACCTGATGTAACCCAGATGTCAGCTAGGATCACCTTGCCTTTTCACATGCAAATAGGTGACTTTTGTGATGCAAATAAGTGATTCACCTTTGCTAGACAGTGAGAGATTCATTACCTTCCCAGTCTTCCTGAGATTACTCTGCCTGGGGTAGGATAGCAAAGTGGCATGAGGGAGGTGCCTATGTTTCTCCTCCTAACCTTGGCCTGAGTTGGTTCTGCTGATTATTTCAGTGATGAATCATCCTGTTATCCTATGCATGCTGATCCTTTCTCTGTCCTAGATTCTCACTCCATATCATGCCCTTGAGATGTCACCTTTCCCACTTAGTGAAAGCATATTTTTCCCCTAGACTACCAAGTTGCCTTCTGAAGAATTATTCTGATATCAACCAATAAAAACAAGTTTTTCACTCCACTACACACTGATAAAATGCCTTGAAATTTCTTTTTCATTGCATCCTTGGATGTTGCACAGATCATTTTACTTTTCAGAGGTGCTAGTTCTCATGCCTACAAAAAAAAAATCAACTCTTCTGTACTGGATTCTTTTGTTTCAAAGCTTGCATCATACAAAGCACAGCGACAATCTTTTTCAGGAAGCATTCCCACAAAATGCTTGAAAGGACCAGTTATGGTTACACCAACATCTCCAACCAAGATCTCTTTGCCTTCTTCTACAATGATGCACTTTTCGTCTGCACCGAGACAAAAAATGACAGCCTTCTTTCTTTTCTTGATTTCTTCTGGTGTGGAGCATTTACGAACTTTCATGTCATAAAAAATGCGACATACTTCATCAGCTACTTGCACTCCTGAGGCCATCTTCGCCTCTGGGGTTGCAGGGATGCGGGGGAGGGAGCCGGTGGGCAGTGAGTCTGCAGGGCATCCTCTTCACGGCTGTGGGACCGAGAGCACAGTCATAAAATGATCACATGGATATAGAACATGTAAATGTTAGATATGAGTTCTAAATTTCTCTTCAAAGAGTCAATATGTATGTTCAATTCTTTGCCTTCTACTTTTAAACTTAACTTCCTCGTAAAGCAACCTTTTCTGATTACCTGCTCCACCCTGACTCATTCCAATTACCTGCTCATTCTCCACAACCATTTTTCCCGCCAAACCACTCACCCTATCAGTCTCTTTAAATTAGCCAGTCGGAATTAGTTTAGCCTGTGCGGTCTAACCCTAGCCAATAGGAGAACAACAGAGCAGCAGGGGCCACATGTGTCAGGAATAAGACCCCCTTTTCCTCCCTTGTCCAAGTGTGCGCTCACCATTGCTCCATCTGTGAGGGCGCCCCCTTCTATAGAAGTAAACTGCCTTGCTGAGAAGAAAAAAATAAAATGTTATATTTGAGTGCTATTTCTTTTGCAGCACCAAAACTTTATTTATAACATAAAGAAATATATTGCACTTAAAACAAGTTATGAAGAGATGTAATATTGGAAGAGATCTTTAAAATGTAAACAATGCTATTTTTTCTAGGGGGAACTAGGAGTGATTTTTTCCTTTTTTGTTTTTGAGATGGGGTTTTGCTCTGTCACCCTGGATGGAGTGCAGTGATGTGATCCCAGCTCACTGCAGTCTTGATCTCCCAGGTTCAAGCGAGTCTCCCACCTCAGCCCCCCAAGTAGCTGGGATTACAGGCAAGAGCCACCACACCCAGCCTCTTTCTTCCTTCTACTTTCTAATGTATCCATAATAAACATTTGATCATAGAATAACTTTCTATAGAAAGATATCTCTTATCTTAGGGGTGTCCAATCTTTTGGCTTCCCTGGGCCACGTTGGAAGAATTGTCTTGGGCCACACATAAAATATACTAATGATAGTGATGAGCTTAAAAAAAAAATCTCAAAAATAAAATTTAAGTTTACGAATTTGTGTTGGGCCACATTCAAAGCCGTCCTGGGCTGCAGGCTGGACAAGCTTCCCTTATCTAGTAGGTTGCTATGAAAAAAATAGAAACACATCTCTCATTCATTGCTAGGATACATCTAGGGGACAAAGGACAGAGAAGCAAGCAGGCAAAAACCCACCTTGAGCAGAAGATGGCACAGAGGAATGGCGGTGGGAATTCTCAGTCTGGTGAGCTGGACAATCCAAGCAGAGGGCAGGCTCTACGTCTCAGAAAGACAGCTTTTCTGTCTTATCTCCTATGAATAAGTTTCGAGCAGCCTGGGAGTTGAATGATCTCTTTGAACAGATGTTCCTGCTGCTTCCCCATCAACCTCCCTCATACACATGTACGCCATAAAGTTTAAATTTACTATCATGGTGGCCATAGACAATGTTAGGTAGCTCCATAAAGACAGACGGGGTGTTTCATTCTTAACTGTGATCTTAGTAACTAGCACAGTACTGGGCACTTAGTAAATATCTACTGATCTAAATAGTGTGGTTTGAGGCCTCTTGTTCCTGGCTAAAAATCCTTGGCAAGAGTCAATCTCCACTTTACAATAGAGGTAAAAATCTTACAATGGATATTCTTGACAAAGCTAGCATAGAGACAGCAATTTTACACAAGGTATTTTTCACCTGTTTAATAACAGTGGTTTTCCTACACCCATAGGGTGCCACCAAGGGAGGAGTGCACAGTTGCAGAAACAAATTAAGATACTGAAGACAACACTACTTACCATTTCCCGTATAGCTAACCACCAGTTCAACTGTACATGTATGTTCTTATGGGCAATCATGCCAGGGGTTAGGCAAAAACCTGTGTTCTGAACCAAAGAAGACTTAAAACTGCTCCCATAATTTGTGAATTTCTTGAAATTTTGCGGTTTTTTGAAAATTTTTTAACAACTGGTAATCAATTTATGAAAACAGTTGACTTAAGCATTTGCAATGGTGACTTCCATCTCAACTCCTGGCTCAATACTGATGGAAGTAATCTGCTTAACTATCTGAGGACTGCGCAAGTCAATGAGTCGCTTGTGGATTCTCATCTGGAAACGATCCCATGCCTTAGAACCTTCACCGTAAGTTTTTCTTGTAGTGATTCTCAAAGTCTTGGTAGGCATTCAAACTGGTCCTTTCACTGATTCTTTTCCTTTGCTCCTCAGATCAAGTCAGCACACACCTTATCCAGGGATTTTACGTTGCAACTCGTTAGAGTGATATGAATTCGGTGAATTGCCACCTCTGACTCCACGGGTGTTTTTCTGGTATGTTTAAAAGCCATGGCTGCTGCAAGGCTTCCTAGCCAGCTTCCTGACAGACTTGGTCCTCAGGCAACAGCAAAGAGCAGTGAGTCAGGAGCAGGAGCAGGTGGACCACAGCTCCGCACCACCTATGACTGTGTCTTCCTCAAAGAGAAAATGTCTTTTAATGTCGGAAAATATTTATACACTTAGAAAAATCCATACACAAAGAATAAAGCAACTCTCCCATTTGCTACTGACATCAGATCCCCAGTTTAGAGTCAACCACAGTAACACAGAACTCTTATACTAGCATGAACATATTTATTCACATACCTTTCTAAAACACGAATGGTAGATACTACATTTTGGTTTTCAAACATAGCTTGTTTTATTATAAACAAACATCATTCTCTGGAAATTAAAAGCTTTGATAATTTCAAATTATTTTTAACAATCAGTCACTAACGGAATGCAAAAGGCAATTTTATTATTATACATTAAAACGTAAATCACATTTGAGCACGAACACTAACAAATAGGCTCATTTGTCATCTTTATGCCGTTTCTCTTCACTGGTTTCTTCCATATACAAAATAAATTCTTCTTTGTCATAACCCATTAGATGGATATAGTCTTCACGGTTTGGAAAGAGCACTGGATTAACTAACAGTGATTTTGTTTTAGCATAAAATGTGGTAAATACATGTTTAGCATCTGGAATCTTCACATCATTCTGGTGAAACACTGTACTCGTTTCTGCAAGCATAGCATTGTAGGTAATGGCTTTATAAGTGTCTGTTGTGGCCTCATGGTACAATCGAATGACATAGCCTTTTGTAATAAAGTGAAGCAGCACTGGGGTGATCACCGTAAAGCTTCCCATGATGCCATAGAATATGATTTGAATAGGCAGAGGCACACTTTCAGAAATAGCATTATTTTGTGTAAAAATGTATGGCAGAAATGTAAGGCCAATCAGACTCGTAGAATAAGAGAAACATTTCACACCTAAATGGGAAAAAAAGAGAGAGGATCAATACTTTTAAATTTTATAAAAGAATCAATCTATCCCACTAATTCTTCCATTTTTCTTCTTACTGTATCAGCTCAAGACAACAAAATCAAACCATAAATACAGTGCTTATTATATTCTAAGCTCTGTTTTAAGGACTTTACATATTTTGACTTCAATGTCCCTGCTACTGACCATTAGAATGCACTGCCTCTCCAGGCAGGAAATCTGCTTTAGGGTTTAAGTGGCCCTACCTCAGTTCCACAATAAAGTAGTTAATATTACTTAAAGATCCTTACTAATATTGTACTACAAAAGTTGATTCAGATAGCAGATTATCAAACAAAACTCTCTATTAACAAGCACTCCAGTATATCTAACATAAAATATTCAAACATGGGAAATTCTATCAGGCTAAGTGCCCAGGATTAAAACAGCAAATCACCAGAGAAATAAAACCAGTGGTTAAAAAACATATCGGACGGCCAGGCGCATTGGCTCATGCCTGTAATCCCAGCACTTTGGGAGGCTGAGGCAGGTGGGTCATTTGAGGTTAGGAGTTCGAGACCAGCCTGGCCAACATGGTGAAACTCCCATCTCTACTAACAATACAAAAATTAGCTGGGCATGGTGGCAAGTGCTTGTAATCCCAGCTATTCAGGAGGCTGAGGCAGGAAAATCCTTGAACCCAGGAGGTAGAGGCTGCAGTGAGCCAAGACTGCACACTGCACTCCAGCTTGGGAGACAAAGCGAGACTCCATCTCAAAAAAAAAAAACAGAAACATATGGGAAAGGTATTCAATTTCTTTAGTAAGGAAAGACATTCAAGTTAAAACAATGAGATAAGCAGCCTGGCCAGCATGGCGAAATCCTGTCTCTACTAAAAATACAAAAATTAGCCAGGCTTGGTGGCATGCACCTATAATCCCAGCTACTGGGGGTGCTGAGGCAGGAGAATTGCTTGAACCTGGGAGGTGGAGGTTGCAGTGAGCCCAGATTGTGCCACTGCACTCCAGCCTGGGCAACAAGAGCAAAACTCCGTCTCAATAAATAAATAATAAAAAATACAAAAAAAACACTGAGATACCATTTTTACCTATTACCTTAGAAAGATTAAAAATAAATGACTTCTAGCAGAGTGCAGTGGCTCATGCCTGTAATCTCAGCACTTTGGAAGGTGTAGGCAGAAGGACTGCTTGAGACCAGTTTGAGACCAGCCTAGGCACCATAGGAAGACCTGTCTCTACAAAAAAAATTTTTTTTAATTAGCCAAGGCTGGTCTGATGGTAATGAGTTATCAGAACTTAACACTGGCATCACTAAAGTTGGTATACAATGTCCCCACTGCTAAATTTGACTAGCTTAAAAAAAAAAAAATCAGCCAGGTGTAGTGGCACATGTCTGTAGTCCTAGCTATTTGGGAGGCTGAGGTGGGAGGATCACTCGAGCCCACAAGTTTGAAGTTGCAGTGAACTATGATCACACCACTGCACTCCAGCCTAGATGACAGAGACCCTGTCTCTAAAAAATAAAAATTATTTTTAAAAAATGGCTTCTAAACTGTATACTTCAAAATGATTAAAGTGAAAAATTTTATGTTTATCTAACCACAATAAAAAATGACTTAAAATGTAAATTTACCTTACCTTTAATTTATAATTTTAATACGATCCTAATAAAAAATACCATCTGTTTGGAAAATAAAGTTGAGATCCTAAACAAGTTGATTATAAAGTTTATTTGGAAAAACAAAAGCAGCAAAAAATAAAAAAATAAAGCAATGAGGGGAAGTTACCCCTTCGAAATATTAAAACATAATAGAGGCCGGGCGTGGTGGCTCACGCCTGTAATCCCAATACTTTGGGAGGCCGAGGTGGGTGGGTTACTTGAAGTGAGGAGTTCAAGACCAGCCTGACCAACATGGTGAAACCCTGTCTCTACTAAAAATACAAAAATTGGCCAAGTGTGGTGGTGCATACCTGTAATCCCAGCAGGAGGCTGAGCCAGGAGAATCGCTTGAACATGGGAGGCGAAGAGTATGGTGAACCAAGATCATGCCACTGCACTCCAGCCTGGACAACAGAGTGAGACTCTGTCTCAAATAAAAATCTAAAAATGCAAAGGTCTCTACATCTTATCAACACACCTCAAGAAAAAAAAATGAAAATCTAATTTTCCTTACGTCTTGTAATTAAGGGATGCCATAACAACAAGTAAGATATGGTAAGGATATTTTTACAATTAAAAGAGAAAAAAACAAAGTAAGTACACCCACCTCCAATTACTTACCAAACACTGCTCGGGCCATATTGCCAGTATAAATTAGCCTTCCATCTTCTGATTTGTCAGATGGCGTATTTAAGAATCGAACATATCCTTCCCAATAAACAGGGATCTATTGAAACAGGGATCATTATGGTCAACTAACCTTCTTAAATTTTTTTAAGTTTTTTTTTTTGAGACAGAGTCTTGCTCTGTCTCCCAGACTGGAGGGCAGTGGTGCGATCTCAGCTCACCATTGCAACCTCTGCTTCCCGGGTTCAAGCAATTCTCCTGCCTCAGTCTCCTGAGTAGCTGGGATTACAGGTGCCCACCACCACACCCGGCTAATTTCTGTATTTTTATTAGAGACGGGGTTTCACCATGTTGGCCAGACTGGTCTTGAACTCTTGACCTCAAGTGATCTGCCACCTTGGCCTCCCAAAGTGCTGGGATTACAGGCATGAGCCACCATGCCCAGCTTAAGTTTATTTTTAAAATTGTAATGCAGGTGCAGTGGCTCATGCCTGTAATCCCAGCACTTTGGGAGGCCGAGGGGGGCGGATCACTTGAGGTCAGGAGTTCAAGACCAGCCTGGCCAACATGGTGAAACCCCGTCTCTACTAAAAATGCAAACAATTAGCCGGGCATGGTGTCTGGCGCCTGTAATCCAGCTACTCCGGAGGCTGAGGCAGAAGAATCGCTTGAACCTGGGAGGCGGAGATTGCAGTGGTCCGAGATCACACCACTGTACTCCAACCTGGGCAACAGAGCACGACTCCGTCTCAAAAAAATAAAATAAAATTGTAATGAAAAGAACTTGTCACATGAGGTGACATAAGGAATTCTCCCAAATAATCTACAGAGTTAAAGAAATAAATTGGCTGACAGAATGGCTTGCCTTAATTCTAGTCACAAGTAGAAAACTGCAGAGCTGGAGTTTGTTAGCTTAGCATCCCAGCTCTCAGGTTTCTAGGTCTAGTGTGACCTTGAACAAGTAAAAATAGTAACAGTTTCTTCTACTCCACTGTTAATGACGACATCATTTCCATTCTATTTAAATGCAACACCTTTTCAAAAAATAAATACATTTAGCTGGTGTAATGGAACACGTCTATAGCCCCAGCTACTGGGGAGGCTGAGGTGGATCACTTGAGCCCAGGAGTTTAAGGCCAGCCTGGGCAACATGGCAAGACCCCATCTCTAAGAAATAAAATTTAATTTTACTAAAATAATTTAAGTAAAATACTCCGCAAACTCACATTATATTTAAAGTCCAGGCCTTTTACAAATACTGCTAAAATATTTATATGATAGTATTAAAGAGATCAAATCTTTCTCTAAAGACCTTGTAAATACCGTGTATCCCCTGGTCCTCTTATTTCTTGACAAGAAATAAAATTTGGCTGGGCACAGCGGCTCACGCCTGTAATCCCAACCCTTTGACAGGCCGAGGCAGGAGGATGATTTGAGGTCAGGAGTTTAAGACGAGCCTGGCCAACACGGTGAAACCCCGTCTCTACTAAAAATACAAAAAAAAAATCAGCCGGGGTGTGGTGGAGCGCGCCTGTAATCCCAACTACTGGGGAGGCTGAGGCAGGAGAATCGCTTGAACCCGGAAGGCGGAGGTTGCAGTGAGCCAAGATCACGTCACTGCACTCCAACCAGGGTGACAGAGCGAGACTTCACCTCCAAAAAAAAAGAAATAAAATTTACTTGAAATCCTACATCAAATTTCAAGGGAACAGAAGCGTTCCCCATACATCTGAAAATGAGTTTCACAGTGTATACACTTCAAAATGTAAAAGGCATGCCTAATTCCTCAATGCTGAAATGTAATTAGATTCCAATTTCCATTTTAAGCATTTCTTCCAAGTTTTAACCAGGTTTGCCAATCCTGATATTTTACAGAGTAGAATTAGAAGACAATTTATTCAGATCAAAATAAAAGAATTAACATCTGCATCCCCCTTTTCCCAGGGACCAAAGTAATTCTTAAAAGTACAGCCACCTCATAAAAGTAGAACAAGCTCAAAGTCAGGTTAACCTGGCTCTTTCGGTTCTATTTCCAGGTGCTGCATCCAATTTTTTGCAAATTAACACTTCTAAGCTTCTACTCAAGGGCAGAAAAGGAACTACATATAGTTGTCACCACAAACCCTCTGGATTTGGAACTACCATAAAAGTAAGCACTTTCCAGCCGTTCTCCTGGACTCGCGGAGGCTGAGGACCCCGGGGCCCTCGGCCTGCTACTTCTGCAAGCCCCGCAGAGGGGGCTCCTCCCGCGCTCCAGCCACGGACACCTGGGAGAGGTCGCGAAGAGCCGCTGGGGCTCCCCAGGCCCGACACGACGCCCGCCCTCCCCGCCTCACTTGGGACACCAGACCTCGGACGCCCTACCTGCGCTCGACCCGGACGCCGGAGAAGGCGCGCGGCTCCCGAAGGCCCCGTACTCCAGCCGGCTACCGGCCCCGAAGGCCCGCTGCTGGAGGACGCCCGGGAGACAGAGGCCCGGGGACCTCGGAGCGCGGCGGCCGCACACAATGCAGTCCTCCTTCCGCAGAGAGGCAGTTCGACCGCCCACGGGCTGCCCAACGCCAGAAACAGCATCACGCGGGTGACGAGCGGCTGCGGACGCCCCAGCTGCACGAGTCCACGACTGCGAGACACGGCTTCCCACCCGACTGCCGCACAAGTGGCGCATGCCCAGCCCGGGACGCCTGACTGGCAGCTGGGCTGCCTGCGCGTGCGCAGAATCTGCCGCCCGCCTGCCGCCCGCCTGCCGCCCGCCTGCCGCCCGCCTGCCGCCCGCCTGCCGCCCGCCTGCCGCCCGCCTGCCGCCTTCCCGGCCGCGCGCGTTATCCGCCAGCTGAGCTGGGAGCCCGCCGCTCTGTCCTTGGCTCAGCGGCTCCTCCTTCCTAGAATTTTACCTTCTTTATAACAGTGTGGAGGGGCAGAGGGCTGTACGAGAATGACAATGCCCAGAAGCCAGGGTTAAATATTTTTTTTTCTCGTGGACGACATCACTAAAAACTGTTTCCTTTGCGGAAAATGATTCTAGCCTGTTGGCACAGAAGAAAGAATATACGATTTGAACAAAAATGAGTGATAACTTAATTGAATCATCGGGTTGGAGGAAAATAAATGGAATTGTTCATGTAATATTGATAGGTGTTACCAGATTTGTCTTCGGAAATCATTCACATCCATATACACATTGATTCATTACTTGTTAAAGAGGTACTGAATCTATTGCCAGGACTGAGCTAGGAGCAGAGGATACAAAATACTAGATTAAACTGGGAATCCACAGTGCTTAAACAGTGGAGGAAAATACCTGAAAATTGGCTAGAATATAATGTAATACAATTGAGACACCGCAATATACAAAATGTGGCTGGCCGTGGTGGCTTACACCTGTAATCCCAGCGCTTTGGGAGGTTTAGGCAGGAAGATCTCTTGAGGCCAGGAGTTTGAGACCAGCCTGAGCAATACAGGGAGACCCCGTCTCTACAAAAAAAAAAAAAAAAAAAAAACCTAAAACAAAAATAAGCCACACATGGTAAGTGTGTGCCTGTGGTCCCAGCTACCCAGGAGGCTGACATGGTAGGATTGCTTGAGCCCAAAGTCGAGGCTTCAGTGAGCCAAGACCACACTACTGCACTCCAGCCTGGACCACAAAGTGACACCGTGTCTCAAAAAAAAGAACAAACAAATGCCACAGAAGTACAAAGAAGAACATGATTAATTTTGCCTCAGAATGTCTTCAGACTGGCTTCACATTTAGCTCAGTCTTGAAGGATGAGCATCTTAGTAATAGAAACACACTTTTGTTTACCACTGCAGAACTATACATGTTTTTGATTTGACATGTTATTTGCACCGGAGAGGAACAAATTCATAGTCTAAAATAATGTGTGGCCAGGGGCGGGAGCTCACGCCTGCAATTCCAATACTACGTGGAGGCCCAGGTGAGAGGATCACTTGATTCCAGGAGTTTGAGACCAGCCTGGGCAACAAAGTGAGACCCTGTCTCTACAAAAAATTTTTAAATTAGCTGGGCATGGTGGCACCTGCCTGTAGTCCCAGCTACTTGGGAGGCTGAGGTGGAAGGATCACTTGAGCCCAAGAGGTTGAGGCTGCAGTGAGCCCTGATTGCACCACTGCACTGAGTGACACAGCTAGACCCTGTCTCAAAAATAAAAATAAAAATAAATCAATAGAATATGATCATGTTGGCAACTCCAAATACTGTCTATTGGGGGGAGTATTCAGAAGGAGATAATGATAATACCTCTATATGGATAACTTTATTTTATAAAAAGTTAGCTTCTACTTACATTTTGTTTATTTTTATTTTAATATTTGTTTTAATAGTAGAGATGGAGTTTCACCATATAGCCCAGGTTGGTCTCAAACTCCTGAGGCTCAAGCTATCCGCCCACCTCAGCCTCCCAAAGTGCTGGAATTACAAGGGTGAGCCACTGTGCCCACCTTTTATTTTGTTTTTGAGACAGGGTCTTGCTCTGTCGCCCAGGCTGGAGTGCAGTGGCACCATCATAGCTCACTGCAGCCTTGACCTCCCAGGCTCAAGTGTTCCTCTCACTTCAGCCTCCCAAGTACCTGGGACTACAGGCCACGTCACCATGCCCAGCTAATTTTTGTATTTTTAGTGGATACAGGGTTTCCTTTTGTTGCCCAGGCTGGTCTTGAGCTCCTGGAATCAAGGGATCCTCCCGCCTGGGCCTCCCAAAGTGTCACAGAACCTGAGCTACCACACCTGGCCTATTTACATTTTAAAAACTCTTCTGTTTAGGGTAATTCACTCACAATCAATATTCACTCTATTATTTTGCTGATATATTTAAAATTTTCACATAAAAATGTTTTTCTTAACTATATTAAGAGAACTCAAATTTTTTATCTTCTGTAAAGCTGTTCCCCCTACAAATACTGTAAGTAAATGAAAATAAAAACTTTTGTTTGATCTATTTCTCAAAATTTCTAAATAGATAAAATCAGATTATAGTCTGAAAACTCTGTACCATAGATTTACATAGAATTGTTATTTATGTTAGATGGATTTTCCAGTTCCAGTAAGTTAGAGACATTTGTTAAATATAAACTAATGGGATTTTAGAATGATTTTAAGGATGTTTTTAGGCCGCGCGCAGTGGCTCACGGCTGTAATCCCAGCACTTTGGGAGGCCAAGGTGGGCGGATCACTTGTGGTCAGGAGTTTGAGACCAGCCTGGCCAACATGGTGAAACCCCGTCTTCACTAAAAACACAGAAAAAAGTCGCCCGGCGTGGTGGAGCACACCCGTAATCCCAGCTACTCAGGGGGCTGAGGCACGAGAATTGCTTGGGCCTGGGAGGTGGAGGCTGCAGTGAGCCGAGATTGCGCCACTGCACGCCAGCCTGGGAGACAGAGCGAGACACCCTCTCAATAAAAAAGAAGGAAAGAAAAGAGAAGAGAAAAGAAAAGGGGCCTACAGCCTCCTCATCTGCACCTCCATGCCTGTCCTCCCCACCAAACTCTACTTCGAGCTACCATTACAGCCAAAAAATCTTTGTTCTGATTTCTGTAAAGGCTTTAAAAAATTTATCCAAGACAATCTCCTTGATTATTGCAACTAATTATAAAAAACCAATGTCTTTTATCTACCAAATTAACTAAATTAAACAAAAAAAAAGCCTTTCTGGCAAGTCCTCAGTTCAACAAACTCTAGATAGCCTGTTATCTATTTTTTGAGCACACAAAGTGCCTCGTTGAGCACCTTGTAATGTTGTCTTGGCCCTACATACATTCTCTTCATGCCACACTCCTGGAAAACAGTAGAAGGTGAACTTTATTTAGCTGTTTCAGCCTTCCTGGAAAGGTGCCTGTATATCTTACCATAGGAAACGCGGGGGGGTGGGAAGCGGGGCGTGGAATGAGAAAGAAGTTCCCAAAAACTGAGTAACGGTTTGGCAGGCGCCTGGATTTTCTGTGCGTGAGCTCCGGATCCAGGACAGCTGAGCTAACCCAGAGGCAAAGGCAGGACCCTCGCGGGTGGAGTGGGGGACGTGGTTAGTTTTCAGTTAACATTGAATTCTACCGGGAAGAGAGGAAATGAGGCCAGCCGATTGCGCTAGTCGTTGCTGTGCTGGCTCTTCAGCACGCACAGCAACTTTTCACCAGGGACAGATGCTGCTTCATAAAGAGTACGATCTCGTTAGCAAAGAAACCGCCCTCCCACGTTTCAATCTTTCCTCAGCAGTCTCCCACCTCCAGGCGTAACCCTAAATGAGAGGTACGGACAGTCTCTGTAACCACCAAAATCTTAACACGCAGTGCGAGAAACTACAAGTCCCAGGATGCAGGGCTGCCTCGGTCCCAACGCCGACGGTATCCACCAGAGAAACTACAAATCCCAGAATGCAGTGCTCTCTCGGACTCCCGAGAGCCTCTCTAAGGATGCGTCTTTACAGCAATTGGATCAGGGTCTGCGCTGCATGCTGGGAATCCAGAAGAGCTAGACTCGGATTGGTCGAAATTTGCCGGTTGCGTTCATAGGCTGGCCTACTATAGGGGAAAAGAGTAGGGCGCTACGCCCTACCTCCAGACGGAAGTGAGCGACACACTCTGCGTCCTCGCCTCACCAGGTACGGATCTCCCGCGCGTCGCCGAAAGCGGCTCTGACCCAGCGGAAGTAATTCTTTCGACTGCCCCGGAACCCACCGGAGCAGGCAGCTGGGGGTGGGGGGGCGGCCCTGGGATAGGGGCTGTGGCAGTACGCGGGGACCCGGCTGCGGTGGCTGCGGGACTGACGAGTGAGTCTCGGGCTGGGGCGGAAACGGAGCTCCGGGTAAGGGTGGAGGGCGAGGGAGGCCGAGACGGGACGAGCTCGCAATCCCACTTCCCACCCCTTCCCTTCTAGGCGGGGAAGGAACGGAAGCTGTTAACCTCCTTGGGCCTCCCCAGCCCCTAGTTTGGGGGAGGGGAGAAGAGGGCGGCGGGACCTTTCCTGGCGCCGCTCGGTGGGTTTGGAAAGAGGTGGAAGGAGGGGCAGCAGCCAGCGAGACTGGGCCTTCTCCGGGCTGAGCGCGGGAGGGTGGAGTTAGGAGCATGGTAGCCCTGTCGCTTTTCCTTTCTGCTTGTTCCTCGTGTCCGCTCAGATTAGTTCTTTTCTTGAAGTCAGTCCCTAGCCCAGGGAGAGGTCTCTCGCTTCTTCTAGCTGCAGTACCCGAGAAGTTTACCTTCTGGGTAACTTGTTGGGTGATTCTATGCTCGACTTCATGAGTTGGGGGTATCGTGCATCTACTGGCCGTCCAGTCTTGTCTGAAAGGAGGTATCTAGTGTGAAATACTGTGCCCATTGAGTTTCTCTTAAGGAACTGAGATCTGTTAAGTAACATATAACTGTGGAGTTTGTGCCATTTAGCGTGAGCATTTCTACTCCACATTGCTTTTAGTGTAGAAAACCGAAATTCTTTTTTAAGGGGCCGGGGGAGACAGACTTGCTCTTGTTGCCCAGGCTAGAGTGCAGTGGTTCGTTTTCAGCTTGCTGCAACCTCTGCCTCCCAGGTTCAAGTGATTCTCCTGCCTCAGCCTCCCACGTAGCTGGGACCAAGGCGCATGCCACCACGCCTGACTAATCTATTATTAGTAGAGACGGGGTTTCGACATGTTGGCCAGGCTGGTCTGGAACTCCTGACCTCAAGTGATCCGCCCCCGTCGGCCTCCCAAAGTGCTGGGGTTACAGGCGTGAGCCACCGCGCCTGGCCTTGAAATTCTTTAGTGTCTTAAAACCTCACTTTCTCACTTTTTAACTGCCATATTTGCTTTTTTTCTTTTTCTTTTTTTTTTTTTTTTTTTGAGACGGAGTCTCGCTCTGTCCTGAGGCTGGAGTGCAGTGACTTGATCTCGGCTCACTGCAACCTCCGCATCCAGGGTTCAAGCCATTCTCCTGCCTCAGCCTCTGGAGCAGCTGGGATTACAGGCGCGCACCACCACTGCCGGCTAATTTTGTTTTTTTTTTGTTTTGTTTTGTTTTTTAGTAGAGATGGGGTTTCACCATGTTGGTCAGGCTGGACTCCTGACCTCAGGTGATCCGCCCGCCTCCACCTCCCAAAGAGCTACGATTACAGGCGTGAGCCACCGCGCTTGGCTCCATATTTGCTTTTTGATCCCCGAAAGTTGTTTCCTTTTCTATTCAGTTACCTAAAATGACATATGTCTGATCTCATTTACATTATAATCATGTTGAAACGTAGCAGTTTACATGTGGATTTATTCATTCTGGAGATACAATGGCAAGGAAACAGCTGTGGTACGTACTATAATGGATATTTATTGTTTCTTGCCAATGATGATTTGGGGTCCCTGTTTAATATTAAGTGACCGTTCCTCTTTTTCTTAAATATGAAATTTGATAACTACCATTCAAAAAATACACGTGTATGCATTGCCAGATGGTAATTCTGTAATATAATAGGCACTAGTTTACAGCCAGAAGTTATAGTCAGTCCTATACATCAAGTTCTAAAGTGATATTTAATTGTTTAAATCTTCTAAAATGTTTATCTTGGTTTTTTTGGTAGATTTTTTAGCACTGGAAAATAATCAGGGAAATCTTTGCTATTATGCTCATATTTATTTTTGAGTCAGAGTCTCACTCTGTTCTGCACTCCCAGGCTGGAGTGCAGTAGCACTATCACGGCTCACTCTAGCCTCAACCTCCTGGGCTCAAACCATCCACCTGCCTCAGCCTCCCTAGTAGCTGGGACTATAGGTGCCCACCACGACACCTAGCTAATTTTTTGTTTTGGGGGCTCAAGTAGGCTTCCTGCCTTGGCCTCCCAAAGTGCTGGAATAACAGGCATGAACCACCAAATCTGGCCAGCTATGGTCATATTTATGTGTTAATGCATTTCAGCTAAACTGCTGTCCTAAATTCTTTATTGTTGTTATTAAGTAAGAGCAGAAAAAGCCCATCCAGTAATGCCTGAATTTCAAGCCTCAGCGATTAGGAAAATAATAGTACATTCACTCAAGAAATATTTATTGAGCATCTACTAAGTGCCAGGCACTATTCTAGGCCTGCTGTCAAGAAACTTGAGGAAAGAAAGGATATGTGTAAGTAAGCAAGTATAGTTTCAGGAAGTGATAAATGTGAAAAAAATATAGCAAGGTTAAGGGTTAGAGTGACTGGGATGGGGTGTCTAATTTTGGTAGGATCATCAGGGAAGGAAGACCTCTCTGAGGAGTTGATGTTTTACCTGGAGACCTAAATGATGAGGATTTAAAAGCTTTTCGGACAACAGCAATTACAAATGCAAAGACCTTGAGGTAAGAGTGAACTTGACCGATTTCGAGGAATACCAAAAAGGCCAGTGTGACTGGAGCATAGTGAAGGAAGAGTGGTGGGAGACAAGATCAGAGTGGTAAGTAGGGAAGTAAATCAAATGTCCAGTTGAGACATGGTAGCTTGAACTAGAAGTGTGGAGTTGAAAGTGAGTAGTAGTCTGATTTGGAATGTAATTTGAAGCTGGAGCCAAATGGGTTTTGCTTTCTTCCCAGGAACAAAACGAACAAAAAAAAATGTTTTTTGAATAACGAATCACTTTTCCAAGAATCTGGGTAAACAGCAGTGCATGTACTGAAATGGGGAAGACAAAGGAAGGGAGTATCAGTTTCTGAGATTGATAAATCAGAAGTTCTATATGGGACTTACTGAGTTCGATAACTAGTAGACACCTGAGAATATGTGCAGTAGAAAAGTTGGATATTCACGACTGGCAC
This sequence comes from Homo sapiens, assembly GCF_000001405.40. Classification (NCBI taxonomy): domain Eukaryota; kingdom Metazoa; phylum Chordata; class Mammalia; order Primates; family Hominidae; genus Homo; species Homo sapiens. The sequence continues at coordinate 73,969,106 of NC_000008.11, read as the reverse complement.
TCGGGAGAAAAACTAGGGAGATGATCTGGGAGTCATATTTTATAGATGATAACCTCTGGTCTGGAGGACATCAAATAGGGAATGTTAAATGGAGAAGAAGGCAGATGACTGGGAGCACTCCAGTTAGAAGAGGAGCATACAGTAATGGAAGCAGAAAAGCCAGGAGTGTGTGACATCTGGAGTACTAAGGAAGAAATGTTTCAAGATGGAGGGAGTAGGCAATTGTATAAAACACTGCTAAATGAGGATTAAAAATTGACCATGTGACCAAGTGAAGTAGTTGAAATTTGATAAGAACCCCTAAAATGGACTGGTGGGCCAAAGGCTGATCAGAATAGGTTAAGAAGTGGATGGGAATAATGGCCATAGCAGAGTCTTTAGTTAGGTGACGGAATATCAATCATTGCTTAAGTGGAAAGGTTGACCTTTAGTAGGAAGGACAGTTTTTATTCAATATTTGAAATAGCAGGGTGGACAAAATATATAAACACAGGAATGCTGAAGATGGAGAGACAAGGCAACTGAAGTGATTGGTTTCAGTTTATTTTTAGCCTATCTTTCGAAAGGTTCTGTTAATATGTAGAATCTATGATTAATACACATTATATGTTGGGAATATCTGCTTATAATTTTAAAACTGAAACAAGGGAGTTTGGAGATATTATTTGAGAGAATAATTAGGTCGTTTGCAGGGGTGAGGCAGACAGACTCAGAACATGCAGCGCTCTGCAGCCCTTAAGTTCTGTGTTGTGGGAGGGCGACTCTGGGTAATAAACATGGGAAGCTGAGTTATAGGTGGTTGTCTGGGAAGGATGAATTTCAGATGGATTTAGTCATGAAATAGAGCCAGAATGGACTTTTGGACATAATTGAGTCCAATTGTCTCATTTGGAAGATGAAGAAACAGAAGTCCTATCACTTAATTTATCCGAGTCTCAAGATAGAAATGTCAAACAGAGTAGAAATTCAGATGTGGAGATGGATTCGGGTCTATATAAGGTAGCCATTGATTTTCATTCAACTGGGCTAGTTCTTAATTTATGATAAGAGATGAAAGCTGTGGACCTTCTCATGCCTCTTACTGTGAACTGCACATAGGCACAAAATTGTGCTTACAGATTGAAGGGTTTGGGATTCTACTGCTTATCTGTGAACCTCGAGGAATGGGGGACTGCAGATTAAGAACCTGCTAGAACAGAGTCAACAAGTTAGAACCACAGGCCACATCTGGCCCACTACCTGCTTTTATACTACCCGCAAGCTAAGAATGGTTTTTAAATGTTTTAATAGTTGGACAGAAATTCAAAGTAAATGTGTATTTTATAACATGAAAATTATAGGCCGGATGCAGTGGCTCACGCCTGTAATCCCAGCACTTTGGGAGGCCAAGGTGAGCGGATTACCAGAGGTCAGGAGTTTGAGACCAGCCTGACCAAATGGTGAAACCCTGTCTCCACTAAAAATACAAATAATTAGCTAGGCGTGGTGATGCATGCCTGTAATCCCAGCTACTCGGGAGGCTGAGGCAGGAGAATCACTTGAACCTGGGAGGTGGAGGTTGCAGTGAGCCAAGGTTGCACCACTGCACTCCAGCCTGGGTAACAAGAGCGAAACTCTGTCTCAAAAAAAAAAAAAAAAGAAAAGAAAATTATATAAAATGTACCCTTTTTTGCCCATAAATAAAGTTTTGTTGGATCATAGCCACACTCAATCGTTTACATCTTGTCTGTGGCTGCTTTTGCACTCCAGTGGCAGAGTTGGAGTAGTTGTAACAGAGACCTTACAGCCTGCTAAGCAAAAAATACTTATTTTTTGGCCCTTTAGTGTGTCAACCCCCACACTAAAAATGTAAATTCCAGGATACGGGTGGAGGAGAGGTTGTTGGATTTATTTTGTCCACAGATTCCTCCCAAGCATGTAGAGCAGTGCCTGGCACATGGTAGGCCCTTGATACATATAGAAATGAACCTCTGGTTCAAAAATAGAATAATGGCCAGTGTTTTAATGTGTGCTAGGCAGTATTCTGAGTGCTTTTATATGTAAAGCCATTTATTCTTCAGAACAGCTCTGTGAGGTAGATGCTGTATTATCCTCATTTTACCGTTGAAGAAACCAGGCAAGGAAAGATTAGGTTAGTTCTCCCGCAGTGACATAGCTAGGAGTTGACTGATTTTAAGCACTACATTATATGGAGGGCTGAAATCAAGTCTTCAGAAATGATAGCAGCAAAAGGATAGATAGGAGTGATGAAACAGGATAATGTAGCAAAGGAGGAATACATTCTTATGTAGTGTTGTTTACTATTATATTAGGCATTCAAGACCCATGTCTTGGGCTATGTGTGGTGGCTCACACCTATAATCGCAGCACTTTGGGAGGTCAAGGCAGGAGGTTTACTTGAGCTCAGAAGTTGGAGACCAGCTTGGGCAACACAGGGAGACCTCCACTTAAAAAAAAAAAAAAAAGAAATTTTAGCCGGGCTTGGTAGCAGGCTACTCAGGAAGAAGGTGGGAGAATCCTTTGAGCTCTGAAGGTTGAGGCTGCACTGAGCCAGGATTGCACAACTGTACTTCAACTTGGGTGACAGAGCAAGAACTTGTCTCAAAAAAAAAAAAAAAGACCCATGGCTTGGTCAGTATCTCAGTATGTGTTCCTTATGTGTCACTGTTCCCCTCTTTGATAAAGTCCAACTTCCCAAACTCTCACCTCTTTTCCTATCTTCCTACACTCTCTTCTTGACTCACTCATCTGGCCAGACTGTTCTCCTTGCCATTCTCCCTCCATAAAAAGCTGTTCCTTCAAATATCTGTGACTCATTCCCTTGCTTTCTTCAGATCTCTGTTAATGTTAGTTCTTCACCATGCCGTATGTATTATTTTGTTTTGGTTTTCTGTCCCCACCATTCTTCCCATTAGGTTGGAATGTTTGTTATGTTCATCTCTGTCCCCAGTGCCTAGGTGAGCATCTAGCATCCTAACCCTTGGTAAATATTTATTGAATGAATGAATCTGTAAACTGATTTCCAACAACACTGAGTTACATTGTGTGCCCCAAGCTGTCTGACTGAGGTCATACTGTTCACTTTGCCTGGATCTCCCTCCTTTCCAGTTTTGCCTGGTAAAAATACCTCTACCCATCGAGACCCAGATCAAAAGCTACTTTCCTTTTATAACTGTTCACTTAACAGATCTTCTGTTGTAGATTTGTAGTCTCATATTTCCTTTCTTTGGGACGACCAACTCTTATTCCTCCTCTGTTAGCATTTGCATAGCTAGAAAATTTGGGTTAATTTTATTACCGATGTCACTTTCAAAAGCTTAATTAGGCAGAAAACCATCCTAGAGTGATGATATCTTTGGAGTTAAGGTAAAATAAACTTCAGAAATGCTATCTTTTTTTAAAATTCTAGCTTTAACCTACATACAGTGAAATGCTAATTGTACCATTTAGTTTTGACAAATATATAGCAAGACATTTTTATCACTCCAGAATGTTCCTCTCTAATCACCTGCTGAGCTGTCACCATTGGTTTGTTTTGCCTGTTCTATAATTTTATATAAATCGGATAATACAATGTATACTTTTTTGTTTGGCTTGTCCACTTAGTGTAGTATTTTTATATTCTTCCATGTTGTATCAGTAGATCATCCCTTTTTGTGAATAGTACTGCTCTGTATGAATGTACCACAGCTTATTTATCCATTCTCCTATTATGATGGACTCCCCATCAGCAGTGTATGAGAATTCATTTGCTCCACATCCTCTCCAGCCTTTAATGTTCACAGTCTTTTTAATTTTAGCTATACTCGTGGCTGTATAGTAGTATTTCGTTGCAGTTTTGAGTTTCACTGATAAGTAATAATGTTGAGCACTTTTTAATGTGTTCATTCAATTCTTCTGCCCAACTTTAATTGGATTTTTTTTTTATTGACATACAGGAATTTTTTAATTTACTCTAGATGCAAATCCATTGTCAGATACGCGTTGTGAATATTTTTTTCCAGTTCGTGGCTTGACTTCATTTTTTTCATTTTTCTTTTTGGTTTTTGAGAGTTTTTTTTTTTTTTTTTGGTTTGTTTTTGAGACAGTGTCTTACTCTTGCTCAGGCTGGAATGCAGTGGAACCATCATGGCCTGCTGCAGCCTTACCCTCCTCGGGCTCAGGTGATTCTCCCATCTCAGCCTCCCAAATACCTTGGGCTACAGGTATGCACCACCATGCCCAGCTAATTTTTCTATTTTTTATAGAAACGGGGTTTCACCACCATGTTGTCCAGGCTGGTCTCAAACTCCTGGGTTCAAACAGTCAGCTTGCCTTGGCCTCCCAAAGTGCTGAGATTATACGTGTGAGCCACGGTGCCCAGCTATGGTATTTGATGAACAGAAGTTTTGTTTTGGAGAAATGCAGTTCATCAAGTTTTTCATTTACAATTTGTGCTTTTTGCATCTTTTCTGAGATTTTTGTTTTGTTTTTTGAGACAGAGTCTTGCTGTGTGGCCCAGGCTGGAGTGCCCGGCTGGTCTCAAATTCCTGACCTCAAGTGATCTCCCTCCCAAAGTGTTGCGATTGCAGGTGTGAGCCACTGCACCTGGCTGCTGAGAAATCTTTGCCTACAGTGAGGGTATGAAAATAATTTGTTTTCTTCTAGTAGCCTTATTTTGCATTTTAAGTTGAATTCTGTGAACCATCTGAAATTGATTTTTGTGTATGGTTTAACAGTGAGCTTCTTATCCATATGGATATTGTTCCAGCTTCCTTTGTTGAAGAGACTGTCCTTTCTCACCATACGCTTTGACCTTTGACTCACTTTTCCATATAAGGATTCAGGAAATCTGTGCTTATCTTTTTTTTTTTTTTTTTTGGCCATTTATAAGTTGATATGAAACAACTGTAGCCCACCAAAATATAAACTACAGAGAACCATCATTCACTATCCAGGGACCACTTAACATACTGTGATTACCTGTTGCAATCCACACTACTATATGTAATACTTTTTTTTTTTTTTTTTTTTGAGACGGAATTTCACTCTTATCGCCCAGGCTGGAGTGCAGTGGCGCAGTCTTGGCTCACTGCAACCTCCGCCTCCTGGGTTCAAGCCATTCTCCTGCCTCAGCCTCCCGAGTAGCTGGGATTACAGGCACCCACTACTACACCCAGCTAATTATTGTATTTTTCGTGGAGACGGGGTTTCACCATGTTGGTCAGGCTAGTCTCGAACTCCTGACCTCAGGTGATCCACCCCCTTCGGCCTCCCAAAGTGCTGGGATTATAGGCGTGAGCCATCACACCCAGCCCCATCAAGCATTTTTATACCTGTCTAAGCTAGTTGTATTCTTTTTTCTGCTATTTTTCCAGAGTTCATGGATTTTTATGGATATTTTACATTTGGCTCTTTAATCTGTAGTGTATTTTTGTGAGTGATCTGTTCTAACCTTATTTTATCCAAGTAAATAGCCAATGTAAAAAGACAAAAAGATATGAAGAACAGATTTTGCAGCAGTGTCTGTTATCTACTTAGGTAATTCAAGTAAGTCAACTGAAAAACTATTAAAACTTATATGAGTTCTGCAAAAAAAATGACGGGATGCAAAATCAACTTAGGACATTTTAAAGCTTTTAACAACACGAGCAATAGCCTTTCAGAAAATATCATAGTAAAACAGACCCCATTCATAATGGAAACTTAAAAGTACCTAAAAGTAGACCTAACAAGAAACATGTGAGAACAAAATGGAGACTTACCCAACTATTCCTGTACAGAATATAGTCTAGAATTTCATGTAGCAATATAGAATATGATAAAGGTAATATTTCAAATCAAAGGATAAGCTATTCAAATATCTTATAAATATTCACTGATACTAGATTCAACACTTAATTTCAGTGTAGGCCCTAGGCTCACCTAGATTTTTTAAGTATTTGTTATTAAACACAAACATACACAAAAAAACTTTAAGAGATTAATATTTATATGTAACACCTTAAAAGCATAATGACGTCTCAGGCCATTGTTCATGCTCTTTCTTCTGCCTAGAACTATTCTCAATCCAGCGGTTCCCCTACGAGTGGCTTTTACCTGCCCAATTCATATTTCCAGAATTCAGCTCTGTGATGGAATACATGTTCAAGCTGAAATTTTTGTCTCCTCAAACTTATATTTCTTTAGATAACTTATGGATTGGGTCCAAACTGAATCATATTTTAAATATTTCTAACTTCTACCTAAGAATTAGGAATTTTAACTCTTAATGTTGATTTTCCCTTTCAAAGGTGGGAGAAAGGGTGGGTCTCCTCTTCTCTCCTTAATCTCTGTTGTATAAAATGATGGAATTGATTTACTACATTAACTCTGTAGAGAAACTGTTGCTACCCAAAGGGCTCCTAAGATGTGACTTTGCATTGTTGCTTAGCTACTGCTAGTTAGATAAACATCCTAAATGTTTTATTCTAGGGATTTTCCAGATAAAAGAGTTGGCCCTTGAAATTCTTGTACTTCAAGCTTTCTCGCATTTGTTTTGTTTTTTTTTTTGTTTTGTTTTTTAAAAGAGTATTTACAAAGCAGTATAATGAAAAGAAAATAATAATGGCTCTCATGAATTTTTAAATTGCGTAGTATCATAAAATGACAGTACTATTTTTAAATTTTAGAGAACTATTTGAGGATTTACATCAGTAGCTGTTGGGAATTGTGGCAATTAAGTTTAACTGGAGCCAGAATTTTTTACTGTGGTAGTAGGCAATAATGGAAGGAGTGGAATGTGGGCTGTGAAGTCAGACCTACCTAGGTTTAAATCCTAACGCTGCCACTTAAGCTGTAGAAGCCTTCAACAAGTAGCAGACTCTTCCAGTGTTTCTCATCTCTAAAATCAGAATAATTCCCTTGTGGAAGAGTTGTTTTTAAATAAGATAGGCCAGGCACAGTGGCTCACACCTGTACTCCCAGCACTTTGGGAGGCTGAGTTGGGTGGATCACTTGAGGTCAGGAGCTCAAGACCAGCCTGGCCAACATGGTGAAACCCCGTCTCTACTGAAAATACAAAAATTAGCTGGACATGGTCCCATGCACCTGTAGTCCCAGCTACTCGGGAGGCTGAGGCACAAGAATCGTTTGAACCTGGAAGGCAGAGGTTGCAGTGAGCCAAGATCACGCCACTGCACTCCAGCCTGGGCCAAAGAGTGAGACTCTGTCTCAAAAAATAAATAAACAAGATAATGTATGTAAGGCATTTAGTACAGTGTTTACCGCTTCTTAGGCCTGCAAAAGGCTCATCAGATTTAATTGTTAGTGCTGCCTATTTTCTCTGCTTTATCTCAAATTAGAAATGGTACTTTGGGAGGCTGAGGCAAGTGGATCACCTGAGGTCAGGAGTTCGAGACCAGCCTGGCCAACATGGCGAAACCTGGTCTCTACTAAAATACAAAAATTAGCCAGGCACGGTGACAGACGCCTGTAATCCCAGCTACTGGGGAGGCTGAGGCGGGCAAATCATTTGAACCTGGGAGGCAGAGGTTGCTGTGAGCTGAGATCGTGCTTCTGCACTCCAGCCTGGGCAATAGAGCAAGACTGCCTCTCAAAAAAAAAAAAAGAGAGAGTGATGGTACTTTGAATATCTGTCTCCATGCCTAGCAAGTGTTCTAGACTAAGATTTGATTTCTGCTCCTGCTCTGTCGCTACCTGAAACAAATTATTTATCCTCTCTACATGGATGACATTATTTAAACCTGAGGCATTAGAGAGGTTACTTGCAAGTTCCTTTTCTGCGTTGAAGTGTTATGGTTCATTTTCTTGACCCTTCTCTTAAGGCCAGAACTAAAATTTGTCAGGAATTTCTTAGAGCATGATAGTTAGGAAATGCTTTTTTCCTGTTAATGACGTAAAAAAGAGTATCAGTATAAATGAGATCCCCTGAATAAATGCTGTAGTATGTTACTAAAATACAGTTACTGAGAAAGTGAAACCATTTCCTTTAGCAATCATCTTGTTATTTTGTCAAATTTATAATTTCTCAAAAACTTGTACATTTTTAACCACTTTATTGTTAAATTTCAAAACTTAGCCTGTATATGGAAGAGATGGAAGCATAAAAATATGTATGTGTACTTATCTAAGTAAAGAGCAAGACTTCTCTTTTTTCTTATTTATTTATTTATTTATTTTAGAGATAGGATCTCACTGTGTTGTCCAGGCTGGTCTCAGTCTCCTGGGTTCAGGCAGTACTCCTGCCTCAGCCATCCAAAGTGCTGGGATTACAGGTGTGAGCCACTGCACCCAGCCCTGTCTTTTTTATTCTCATGGAAGTTACTTCATGTCCTTGGTTATATCATGCCATTCATTCAAGCAAATATTTGCTTATTGTCTACCACTGTGTACTAAATACAAGATCCAGAACTTGCTGTGTCCTCACTGTTTTAAGTCAGTATGCATCATCCTTCCAGCATGTGTACCATAGCAAGGTGTACAGAGCATTGCTAACCTCAAAAGCTCACTTGAGCTTTGGTGTCCAGGGATTTTCTTGGGGTTTCATTCTGTAGACATGATTGATGAGTCATAAGCAACAAGGCTGAGCTGAGTCTTCAGCACCCCTCCAACTGGAGGTCATGTTGATATCAAAAAAGGCACCTCAAAGCTTTTTGTCCTGAGTCCTTTTGTTAGTTTAAACTATCCAAAGGCCCATTATGAGTTACCTGGTTAACATAAACTACCAGGACCCATGAAGAATAGCAAGGACTTGTATCACTAGGGAAATTCCAAGGATTTAGAGGCCACCTCTCAAAACGAGGATCAAAAACCAGCCAAATTCTTTATTATACAACAGGACCCATAGTTTTGTTTGGATTTTCAACGGAGGCCTTTATCCAGAAAAAGAATAAAGGACCTCTGCCTTAAAACACCTCAGTATGGCAGTTTTTTCTCGATAATTATGTTCCGTGTATGTATTTTAATGGAATGAACATTTTTACACGTCTGTTACTTTTAACATGTCACATTTTACAACCTCTTCAACAACCCCACCCCCAATCAATTTATAATGATTATATGTTATGTTTCTATTTTAAGTAATCTTTCTCTGATTCAGAAGTGCCAACTGATCAAGCTCACAAAGCATTTTGGTATTCTTCAATTGATTTTATAAAAGTACAGTGTTTTTGTTGTAGGAATGGTGAGCTCGTAATGTAACCAGGAGGGAGAGTTCTTAAACTTTTAACACCAAGGACATTAAATAACAGTGAATGAAAACTTGTCTCTTGCAACATTAATCTTAATATGATATTGTTATATTTTCAGGAAACTACTAAAGTTCCTGGGGAAGCAAAGTAGAATTTCATAAGAACAAAATGGGTAAGCTAAAGATAATTAATTTTGTGTTTTAACTAGTAGAAACTGGACTTTGTTTCAAAGATCTTTAAAATTCAGTGAACACAAGTAAAATTTCAGTAGACTGAAATTAGTTGTCCACATCAACAGCTTATGTTTACTACACAGTCATGCCCTACATAATGATTTTTCGGTCAGTGTTGGACCACATGTGTGACATGGTTTCATAAAGATTATAATAGAGCTGAAAAATTCCTGTGGCCTACGGTGACATCTTGATGATCTTGTCCTTGTATAGGCCTAGGCTAATGTGTGATTGTATCTTAGTTTTTAACAAAAAAATTTAAAAAGAACAAAAATTACAATTTTTTAAAATAGAAAAAAGCATATAGAATAAGGATATAAAGAAAAATAGTGCTGGGTGCAGTGGCTCACGCTTATAGTCCAGCTGCCTGGGAGGCTGAGACCAGAGAGTTGCTTGAATGAGCCCAGGAGTTCGAGGCAGAAATAAGCTATGATTGCACGACTGCGCTCCAGCCTGGGCAACAGGTAAATTTACTGTAGCCTAAGTGTACAGTACTTATGAAGTCTGTAGTAGTATAGTAATGCATTAGGCCTTCACATTCACTCACCACTCACTTACCAACTCACACAGAGCAATTTCCAGTCCTGCAGACTCCATTCATCGTGAGTGCCCTATACAGGTATACCTTTTTAACTCTTTTATGCTATATTTCTACTGTACCTTTTCTATGTTTAGATACACAAATACTTACCCTCATGTTACAGTTGCTTATAGTATTCATACAGTAACATACCGTACAGGTTTGTAGCCTAGGAGCAGTAGGTTACACCATATAGCCTAGGTGTAAATACACTCTAGATTTAGTAAGTACACTCTTAGGATGTTTGCATCATGATAAGATTGCCTAATGATGCATTTCTTGTCTTGGAAGGTATCTCCATCGTTAAGCAATGCATGACTATATATTCCCGACAGGCAGATCAGTAATAATATCGTGCTAACCCCAATTTGTGATTTTTAGTGAGTAATTTTACCTTAAGAAATTTGAAACTCTCCTGACAAACATACAATGTTTTCTGTTGCCAAAAATATTAGAAGCATAAATTGAAATAATAACCATTTTTATTTTTCTTTTTTGAGGTTGGCAAAAACTGCTAAAAATCTATATGCTTGAATAGTCTGTAATTTAGAAGCTACTTACATCTTTATGGCTCCTCCCGCTTTTTATGAAAAATTAGACAAAAAAAGATACTAACATAGCTTTCACCAGATTGTTAATGTTTTACCAAATTTGCTTTCGTGTGTGTGTATGTGTGTGTGTTCATATTGTAGAGTTGGCAAAACTCCATTCTAGTCTTCTTAGGGTCCTGGCTGGGTCTGAGAATTAAATCAATGTAACATAGATGAACATTTATTACATAACATAAGATGATGACATAACATAGATGAATATTTATTACAAGTTTTACATGGAACAGAAGCCATTTTTTAAAAAACAAAGACCAAAGCCAGGCATGGTGGTGCACGCCTATTTCCCAGCTACTTTGGAGGCTGAGGCCAAAGGATCTCGAACCCAGGAGTTGCAGGTTACTGTGAGCCATGATTGCGCCACTGCACTCCAGCCTGGGTAACAGAGCAAGGCCCTGTCTCTTAAAAAAAAAAAAAAAAAAACCATAAATAAATAAGTAGTCCGGGTGCAGCGGCTCATGCCTGTAATCCCAGCACTTTGGGAGGCCAAGGCAGGTGGATCACTTGAGGTCAGGAGTTCGAGACATCCTGACCAACATGGTGAAACCCCATCTCTACTAAATACAAAAATTAGCCAGCCGTGGTGGTGGGCGCCTGTAATCCCAGCTGCTCGGGAGGCTGAGGCAGGAGAACCTCTTGAACCTGGGAGGTGGAAGTTGCAGTGAGCCGAGATTGTGCCACTGTACTCCACAACAAAAGTGAGACTCCATCTCAAAAAATAAAAATAAATAAACAAATAGTTGGGTGGGTGGATGGATGGATGGATAAAAATTTTAAATGATCATAATGCATTAACTTGTCTCTTTAGTCTCCTTTAAATAGTTTTCTACTTCAAAGACTATTCCTCAATTTTAATTTGTCTGGTTGTTTTCTTGTGATTTGATTCAAATTAAACATTTTTGGCAGTGGGAGCACATGAGTGATTTTGATACTAATTTTAATTTTAGAGATTTCTGAATTAATTGTTTAACAAATGGATATTTGTGGCTGAACAGTACTTCAGCTTCATCCTTTCTAGGGCTTCCTGAGTTTTTAGAATAAACCTTAAGCTATTTTATTTCACATGTTAATAATTATAAAAATTAAAATTCTGTTACAGTACAAAATTGTAAAAATTAAGGAGATTTTTACTTGCATATGTAACTTTTACTCTATATATATCTGGCTACTGTGACTGAAGCCAGTACAGCAGCAATGGCAGTAGCAGAGTAACATCTGTGCACTCTGTCTCCTCATGTCAGCTTTGGGTTTTTTTAAAGACCAATATTTTGTCCATATTAATTACTTTTAATGCATGCATTTAAACCGAGTATTGTTTAAATGCATACTTTTTTTTTTTTTTTGAGACAGGGTCTTTCTCTGTTTCCCAGGCTGGAGTGCAGTGGCGCAGTCTCGGCTCACTGCAAGCTCCGCCTCCTGTGTTCATGCCATTCTCCTGCCTCAGCCTCCTGAGTAGCTGGGACTACAGGCACCCGCCACCACGCCCAGCTAATTTTTTTTGTATTTTTAGTAGAGACGGGGTTTCACCGTGTTAGCCAGGATGGTCTCGATCTCCACTGTGTTAGCCAGGATGGTCTCGATCTCCTGACGTCGTGATCCACCCGCCTTGGCCTCCCAAAGTGCTGGGATGTGAGCCACCGCCCCCAGCCTAAATACATACTTGATCATTATTTTTAACCATCAAGTGTGAAATGCTGAGTAAAAGAAGTCTTAACTTTTAGAACTTAGGACTTGTCAAAGGAAGTCGAGCTCTCATGGCATATAAACACTGATTTATAAATCTGCTATGCATCTTATTTCTAAAAATGAGTATTTCAGGTGATAGAATTAAAGTCATACTATTTAAATATTTGTCTTAGTCTTCAAATTTGAATGGGCTGCTTTGGTTACAAAACAACTGTTAACACCTCCTTGAAAAAACTAGTGAATTTTCACTGAAGTAGCATTCTTAAATCTACAGTTTATTCTGATAATGGAAGATGTTGATAGAGAAGTATAAAACAAGGAGTTAAAAACTGTTAATGTCTTGGTGACTATTATAATACCTTCCAGAAATGTTTCTGGTATGAGTTCTTCAAATATTAACCTTGTTAATAAATCTGTTTATTTTTTATTTTTATTTATTTTTTTTGAGATGGAGCTTTGCTCTGTCATCCAGGCTGGACTACAGTGGCGTGATCTCGGCTCACTGCAGCCTCCACCTCCGAGGTTCAAGTGATTCTCCTGCCTCAGCCTCCCGAGTAGCTGAGATTACATGTGTGCGCCACCACACACAGCTAATTTTTGTATTTTTAGTAGAGACGGGCTTGTTTGACCAGGCTGGTCTTGAACTCCTGACCTCAGGTGATTGGCCTGCCAAAGTGCTGGGATTACAGGCGTGAGCCACTGCGCCCAGCCAAACCTGTTTAGTTTTAGTACACTGTGTGACTCAAAAATTGTTTCACTACTTACTTTACTTTAGATGGAGAGGAGAAAACCTATGGTGGCTGTGAAGGACCTGATGCCATGTATGTCAAATTGATATCATCTGATGGCCATGAATTTATTGTAAAAAGAGAACATGCATTAACATCAGGCACGATAAAAGCCATGTTGAGTGGCCCAGGTAAGCACAGTTCTGTCTTTTTCTTCATATATTCACTTTTAATGTTTGATGGATGTTTTTAAGTTGAATTAATGATTCAGCATTTAAAGAGAAAATAAGTCTTCTAACATTGTTGTATGATTATGTTTTTGTTCTTTTGTTTGAGAGAGACAGAGTCTCATTCTGTTGCCCAGGCTGGAGTGCAATGGTGCGGTCTCAGCTCACTGCAATCTCCGCCTGCTGGGTTCAGGCAATTCTCCTGCCTCAGAGTAGCTGGAATTACAGGTGTGTACCACCACCCCTGGCTAATTTTTTTTTTTTTTTTTGAGACAGAGTCTTGCTCTGTTGCCCAGGCTGGAGTGCAATGGCACAATCTTGGCTCACTGCAACCTCCACCTCCCGGGTTCAAGCGATTCTCCTGCCTCAGCCTCCTGAGTATCTGGGATTACAAGTGCCTGCCACCACGCCTGGCTAATTTTTGTATTTTTAGTAGAGACGGGGTTTCCCTATGTTGGCCAGGCTGGTCTCGAACTCCTGACCTCAAGTGATCCACCCACCTCAGCCTCCCAAAGTGCTGGGATTACAAGAGTGAGCCACCACGCCCAGGTTTAACTTTTGTATTTTTAGTAGAGATGGGGTTTCACCATGTTGGCCAGGCTGGTCTTGAACTCCTGACCTCAGGTGATCCGCCTGCCTCAGCTTCGCAAAGTGCGGGGATTACAGGCATGAGCCTTTTGCATGCCTGGCCTTTTGCATGATTATGTTGCATTGGGGAAAAAAAATTGATTTCTGCCATGTTCTGTTTTCAGTTATTTATCCTATAAGTTTCAACAAGACTGAATTGGTTTTCCTACATTAGGTTCCATAGTCAGCCTTTTTTTTTTTTTTTTTTTTTTCCGAGATGGAGTCTCACTCTGTCACCCAGGCTGGAGTGCAATGGTGCCATCTCGGCTCACTGCAACCTCCGCCTTCCAGGTTCAAGAGATTCTTCTGCCTCAGCCTCCCGAGTAGCTGGGATTACAGGCACCTACCACCACGCCTGGCTAATTTTTTGTATTTTTAGTAGAGACGGGGTTTTCACCATATTGGTCGGACTGGTCTTGATCTCCTGACCTCAGGCAGTGCACCCGCCTCAGCCTCCCAAAGTGCAGGGATTATAGGTGTGAGCCACTGCGCCCGGCCCATAGTCAGCCTTTTAACCACAGACTGGTGATTTGTGTTCCTAGCTAGATAAAACAAGTTGCTACCTTCCAAATCTCTATTCTTTTTTTTTTTTTTTTGAGACGGAGTCTTGCTCTGCCGCCCAGGCTGGAGTGCAGTGGCACGATCTCGGCTCACTGCAACCTTCGCCTCCCGGGTTCAAGTGATTCTCATGCCTCAGCCTCCCAAGTCTGGGACTACAGGTGCCCACCACACGCCAGGCTAATTTTTTGTACTTTTAGTAGAGACGGGGTTTCACCGTGTTAGCCAGGATGGTCTCGATCTGACCTTGTGATCCGCCTGCCTCAGCCTCCCAAAGTGCTGGGATTACAGGCGTGAGCCACCACACCCAGCGCAAATCTCTATTCTTAAAATTTTTTTCTTGAAGTAAAATTCACATAATGTAAAAGCAGCTGTTTTAAAGTGTACAATTTAGTGGCGTTTACTGCATTCACAGTATTTTGCAGCCATCATCTCTATCTAGTTCCAAAACATTTTATTACTCCAAAAGCAAGCTCCATACTCATTAGCTGTCACTATCCCTTCCCATTCTCTACCCTCAGTGTCTGACTACCACCAGTCTGCTTTCTAATTTACCTATTCTGGCCATTTTGTATAAATTGAATCATACAGTATATGGCCTTTTGTATCTGGCTTTTGTTATTTTTCATGTTTTCAAGGTTCATTTATGTGGTGCATGTACAGCACTTCATTCTTTTTTATGGCTGAATAATATTTCATTCAGCCAGATGTGAATACACCACAATTTGTTTATTCATCAGTTGATAAATATTTGGGTTGTTGACACATTTTGGCTACCATGAATAGTTCTGTGAACACTTGTGTACAAATAATTGTTTGAATACCTGCTTTGAGTTCTTTTGGGTGTCTTCTTAGAAGTGCAGTTGCTTGATCATATGACAATTCTCTTTAACTTTTGGAGGAGCCACAGAACTGTTTCACGGTGGCTGAATTGTTTTACATTTCTACCAACGGTGTCCTAGGGTTCCAGTTTGTATACATCTTGGCCAATATTTGTTATTGTTTTTTGTTTTTTGGTTTTTTTTTTTTGAGACAGAGTTTCACTCTCGTTGCCCAGGCTGCAGTGCAATGGTGCAGTCTTGGTTCACCACAACCTCCACCTCCCAGGTTCAAGCGATTCTCCTGCAGCTGTGATTACAGGCATGCGCCCCCACGCCCAGCTAATTTTGTATTTTAGTGGAGACGGGGTTTCTCCATGTTGGTCAGGCTGGTCTCGAATTCCCGGCCTCAGGTGACCCGCCCGCCTCAGCCTCCCAAAGTGCTGGGATTACAAGCGTGAGCCACTGTGCCTGGCCACTCTTTTTTTTATCACTGCTATCTTAATGGGTGTGAAATGGTTATCTGGTGGGTTTTAGGTGGTTTGTTTGGTGATGGTGGTTGTTTTTTGAGATAGTCTCACTCTGTTACGCAGGCTAGAGTGCAGTGGCACAGTCTCCACTCACCGCAACCTCCACCTCCCAGGTTCAAACGATTCTCATGCCTCAGCCTCCTGAGTACCTGGGGTTATAGGTGCACACCACCATGCCAAACTAATTTTTTGTATTTTTGGTAGAAATGGGATCTCACTGTGTTGGCCAGGCTGGTCTTGAACTCCTGGCTTCAAGTGATCAGCCCACCTCGGCCTCGCAAAGTGCTGGGATTACAGACGTGAGCCAGCACACCCAGCCTATCTGGTGGTTTTGATTTGCATTTCCTTAATGACTAATGATGTTGAACATTATTTAATACACTTCCTAGACATTTTTGTATCTCCTTTGGAGAAATGTCTATTCAAGTCTTTTGCCCATTTTTGAATTGGGTGGTTTGTATTTTTGTTGTTGAATTGTGAGAGTTCCTTATTAATTCTCAGTAGTAGACCCTTATCAGATACATGATTTGCTAATATTTTCTCCCATTCCATAGATTTTTTTTTTTTTTCGAGACACCTGTTGCCCAGGCTGGAGTGCAGTGGCGCAACCTTGGCTTATTGCAAGCTCCACCTCCCAGTTTCATGCCATTCTCCTGCCTCAGCCTCCCGAGTAGCTGGGACCACAGGCGCCCGCCACCACACCCAGCTAATTTTTTTGTATTTTTAGTAGAGACGGGGTTTCACTGTGTTAGCCGGGAAGGTCTTGATCTCCTGACCTCATGATCCGCCCATCTCAGCCTCCCAAAGTGCTGGGATTACAGGCATGAGCCACCGCACCTGGCCAGTCTTTTTTTTTTTTTTAATGGTGTCATTTGAAGCACACTTTTATTTTTATTTATTTATTTTTTAAATTAATTAATATATTTATTTATTTTGAGACAGCGTCTTGCTGTGTCACCCAGGCTGGAGTGCAGTGGCTCAATCTCGGCTCACTGCACCCTCCACCTCACTGCACCCTCAACCGATTCTCCTGTCTCAGCCTCCTGAATAGCTGGGATTACAGGTGCCCACCACCACACCTGGCTAGTTTTTGTGTTTTTAGTGGAGATGGAGTTTCACCGTGTTGGCCAGGCTGGTCTCGAAATCCTAGCCTCAAGTGATCCACTGACCTTGGCCTCCTAAAGTTTTAATTTTGAAGTGTGATTTATTTTTCCTTTGGTTTTTGTGTCATATATAAGAATCTGTTGTCAAATCTAACCCTGTGTTTTCCCTTGTGTTTTCTTATAGGCGTTTTATGGGTTTGGCTCTTAAATTTAGGTCTTTGGTCTTAAGTTAATTTTTGTTTATGCTGTGAAGTAAGAGATCAGCTTCATTCTTTTGCATGTGGCTATCCCACTACCATTTATTGAAGAGACCGTTTCCCCATAGCACCCTTGTTGAAAATCAGTTGACTGTAGATTTGTGTATTTCTGGGCTCTCAATTCTATTCCATTGATCTATATGTCTGTCCTTATGCCAGTACCACACTGTTTTGATTACTGTAGCTTTGTAGTAAGTTTCAAAATCAGAAAGTATGAGGCCTCCAACTTTGTTTTTCTGTTTCAAGATTGTTTGGGCTATTTGGGATCCCTTGCAGCTCTTTCTGGTTTTGTCTGTTGTTTTGTTGTTGTTGTTGTTGTTGTTGTTGTTGTTGTGGGGTTTTTTGTTTGTTTGTTTTTGAGATAGGGTCTTGCTTGTTGCCCAGGCTGGAGTGTAGTGGCACAAGCCTTCCTAGGCTCAAGCAATCCTCCCACCTCAACCTCCTGAGTAGCTGGAACCACAGGCATGCACCTTTTTTTAAATTGTATTTTCTGTAGCGATGTTGCCCAGGTTGGTCTTGAACTCCTGGCCTCAAGCAGTCCTCCCAACTTGGCCTCCCAAAGTGCTGGGGTTACAGGTGTGAGCCACTGTGTGTGGCCACAATTCTTCTATGTTTTTACTATGGAGATTTTAAAACCTACTCAGAAGTAAAGAGAACTGTGTAATACACCTCCATGTGCCCATCATCCAGCTTCAATAGTTATTAACATTTTGCCAGTCTTTCGCTCTATCTCACAGGCTGGAGTGCAGTGGCACAACCTCAGCTCACTGCAACCTCTGCCTCTAGGGTTCAAGCGATTCTCCTCCCTCAGCTTCCTGAGTAGCTGGTATTACAGGCATGCCGCCACCACGCCCAGCTAATTTTAGTATTTTTAGTAGAGATGGGGTTTCACTGTGTTGGTCAGGCTGTTCTTGAACTCCTGACCTCAAGCAATCCACCTGCCTCGGCCTCCCAAAGTGTTGGGATTACAGGCATGAGCCACCATGCCCAGCCCATTTTGCCAATCTTAAGTTGTGTCATTATCCCTACTTTTTTGGAGTATTTCAAGCACATGCCTGATGTTGTGCCATTTCACTTGGAAAATCTGCAATAGTTCCCCTGCACCTTTTCTTTTATTTCCAGGCAGGCCATTAATTTTACAGAGAAGCAAGGTCATTTGTATGCTGTCCATATTTCATATTGAATTACATTTGAGCTTTATTCTGTAAACTCATAGTTAAAATTCCAGAGACTTGATTAGACTCTGATACATTTTTCTAAGCAAAGGATATTTGTAGGTAGCACTCTTGTATTCCTGTTCTATCATGTCTTTTAGCAGTGTCAAGCTTGATCAGTGGGTTCCAGGTTGTCAGGCTGATTCATCCATTAAAAATTCCCCACTATGATTTAGCATTCATTGTGATTATTGTTGAGATTTACTTTGAGATTACAAAACAGTGACTTTCCAATTCTGTAAAATTTTTTGCATTTATTAGCTAAAATTTTCCTATAAGATATTATTTGGTTACATTGAAATACAGTCTATATGGGAAAGATGATAAAGACTTGATTTTTTTCCTTTTAAATATAATTTTTCAGAGTAATGAATTGGTTCTTCAGCATCATCTAATAGTAAAGAGTGTTTTGTTTTTGTTTTTGAGTGAATGTCATCATGAATTCATGACTATATTTCATGTTTTTCAGTCTGTTGCAGTCATTCTTACTGGTGCTCAGATTGTTCCATTTGCTTCATTTTTATGTCAGAAAGAGCCACATTGTGTTAGCTTCTGTGTCCTTTTGACATGGCTCCGTTAGTCTTGAATAGTTATACTACTTTCTGTAATAAGATTTCTTAGGCATGTCATGAACATTGTTCCCCGATCCCGAAAACAGCTGTTTCTCCAAAAATCCCTGTTTTTAGTAGAAAATGGTATTTAGGGGCCCCAATCTGGGTGCTGAAGATACTCATTCCTCCTTGGTTGAATTGTACCCCCCACTCCTCATATACACACACAACATGGCTCTGATGAATCTGATGAATTGCTTTTGGGCTTTTCCACAGGACAATGCAAGGAAGTACTTTAAGGGGAAAAAAAATCACAAATGCCAACAGAATTTTAATTAAAATTAATTTTATTTTATAACAGCAGGCTAGAAACAAAGAGCTTTTGCTTTTTATAAATTTGATCTTTAGTTTAAACACAAGATTTTTATCTTGGAAAGATCAGAAAACATTCAGCCTCAAACTACTGTTTGCATGAAAAGGAGTGAAGTACTGATAGCATGCTACAGTCCGTATGCACCTCGACAGCATGCTAAGTAAAAGAACTCAGACACAAAATGTCACATTTGTATGATTCCATTTTTATGAAATATCCAGAGTAGGTAAATCCATAGAGACGGAAAGCAGATTGGTGTTTGCCAGAGGCTGGGGGGATGGGGAAGATGAGGAGTAACTGCTTAATGGATTATCGGGTTTTAATTTGGGATGATGAAAATGTTTTGGAACTAAATAGAAGGGATAGTTGCACAACATTGTAAATATACTAAATGCCACTGAATTGTACACTTTAAAATGGTTGATTTTATGTTATATAAATCTCACCTTTTAGAAAAATCACTGATGTTTGTCTAGTATCAAAGTCTTAATAAGTGCCTATAGGCAATATTTTCAGGCATGTATTTAAGAAAAGGAGTTCTAGTTATTGGCAAACCAAAATTTACCTCATTGTTGTGAATTATTTGCTGAGTCCCGCAGTACTCCTTTCTCCCTGCTACAGTATACCCCCAACCAACAGATATATAAAAGGCATTTTGTATATATTTTAGTATTTTAAAATACTATATTCTCAAAGTATATTTGTAGATGTGAAATGCCTTTTATATTCAGCATACAGTGCTAGTACTAGACTGCTAAGAAAATATTTTATCTCTATGTGTAAAGGCTAAATGATACAACCTTTGTGTAGCTACAGAAATTTTGAAGAATGACTGAAAAACTGTTTATGAAATGCTGTTAAACAAAGGAAAATGTCTTGTGAAGAGATCTCGTTAACATGATCATATTTTTAAAAAAACTAAAGGAGGAAACAATGGAATTCCTTTCCTGAAATGTTTCTTTTGCTTGCTTGCTTGCTTGCTTGCTTGCTTGCTTGCTTGCTTGCTTGTGAGTGACAGGGTCTCTGTCTTGCCCAGGCTGGAGTACAGTGGCGCCATCATGGCGCACTGCAGCCTTGAACTCCCGGGCTCAAGCAGTCCTCCCACCTGAGCCTCCCCAGTAGCTGAGACTACAAGTAGGTCTCCCAAAGTGCTGTGATTACAGGCATGAGCCACCATGCTCAGCCCATTTCTTTTAAGTAGTATTTTTCTTATTATTTTAGGTAAACAGTTAAATAGTTTAAATAGGTTTTTTGTTTGTTTTGTTTTATCTTTTAAGACGGAGTCTTGCTCTGTCACCCAGGTTGGAGTGCAGTGGTATGATATCAGCTCACTGCAACTTCCACCTCCTGGATTCAGGTGATTTTATATATTCACTAATTCTCAGAAAAGCCAAATCAGAAAACCTGTTATTTGCCCTGACTTTATTTTTACATGGCAATTCAGTACAACACAGGGATCCTAATGATCCATAAAGACTTGATTGCCTGGATTGATCTTTTTTAAAAATGATTTTACTTTTTCATCCTGCTCGCCAATCATACCACCAAGATTGTTAGGAAAAGCTACTTAAGTTTCCAACCCACAGGGAGAGAATTAGAATTTTAAAATTCAGTCTTGATGAATCTCAAGTACTATCTTTTTTTTTTTTTTGAGACGGAGTTTCGTTCTTGTCGCCCAGGCTGGAGTGCAATGGCACAATCTTGGCTCACTGCAACCTCTGCCTCCTGGGTTCAAGAAATTCTCCTGCCTCAGCCTCCCGAGTACCTGGGATTACTGGCACTCACCACCACGGCCAGCTAATTTTGTATTTTTAGTACAGATGGGGTTTCACTATGTTAGTCAGGCTGCTCTCGAACTCTTGACCTCAAATGATCGCCCACCTCAGCCTCCCAAAGTGCTGGGATTACAGGCATGAGCCACCCCGCCCGGCCCTCAAGTACTATTTTAGTAAAGGTTTTTTTTAATGTTGGCCAGGTGCAAGTGGCCAAGCCTGTAATCTTAGCACTTTGGGATTCTGAGGCAGGGGGATCACTTGAGTCCAGTAGTTCAAGACCAGCCTGGGCAACATGGCAAAACTCTGTCTCTACAAAAAATACAAGAATTATCCAGACATGGTGGCGCTCACCTGTGGTCCCAGCTACTCGAGGAGGCTGAGGTGGGAGGATCACTTGAGCCCAGGAGGCAGGGGTTACAGTGAGCCACAACCATGCCACTGCACTCCAGCCTGGGCAACAGATCAAGACTCTATGTCAAAAAAAAGAAAAAAACTTAGGTTAATACTAAAAAAATCAGAATTCCATAATTCATTTGGTGCTAATTGAGGTTATTTTAATGATGATTAGTTTGCTAGGGCTGCCATAACAAAGTACCACCCCTAGATGGCTTGAACAACAGAACTTTATTTTCTCACAATTCTGGAGTGTAGAGGTTGAAAGTAGAGTTGGTCTCTTCTGAGGCTCTCTTTTTGTCTTGTACATGGCCATCTTCTTCCTGTCTTCACACAGTTTTCCCTCTATGCCCATCTCTGTCCGGATCTCTTACGAGAATACCAATCATGGCCGGGCGCGGTGGCTCATGCCTGTAATCCCAGCACTTTGGGAGGCTGAGGTGGGTGGATCATGAGGTCAGGAGTTTGAGACCAGCCTGACCAACATGGTGAAACCCCGTCTCTACTAAAAATACAAAAATTAGCCGGTCGTGGTGCTGCACACCTGTAATCCCAGCTACTCAGGAGGCTGAGGCAGGAAAATCGCTTGAACCTGGGAGGTGGAGGTTGCAGTGAGCTGAGATCCCGCCATTGCACTTCAGCCTGGGTGACAGAGCGCGACTCTGTCTCAAACAAACAAACAAAAAGACACCAATCATATTGGATTGCCACCCTAATGACCTCTTTTAATTACCTCTTTAAAGAACTTATCTCTAAATACAGCCACATTCTGTGGTACAAGGGGTTAAGACTTCAACATATGAATTTGGAGGACACAATTCAGCCAATAACATACATAATTCTTTTGTTTTACAGGTCAGTTTGCTGAGAACGAAACCAATGAGGTCAATTTTAGAGAGATACCTTCACATGTGCTATCGAAAGTATGCATGTATTTTACGTACAAGGTTCGCTACACTAACAGCTCCACCGAGATTCCTGAATTCCCAATTGCACCTGAAATTGCACTGGAACTGCTGATGGCTGCGAACTTCTTAGATTGTTAAATAAAATAAATTATAATAAACTGTTAACTCTTTTCAGTATTTAATACCTGTAGTTCAGTTAGTAACTTTTTCATATATAGCATGTTGCCTGTATGCAGTTGAACTATATAAAGTTCATTGCAAAGCAGATTATCTTGTTTTTTTGCATAGCAATCAAAGTTGAAATTTGTTTGCTACATCAACAAATTAAGGACATTTTCACAAACTGAGAAATAAACAAATATGCCAATTCGTAGGTGGTTTTGCCTTATCCTTTGAATGTGACTTAAAATCAGCAATGATGATATAGTAAATACTGAAATTTAGGTGTAAATCAATACGTTCTACAGGGAAATAATGAGGCTAAGTATTTTTATGTTTTTAGTGGTTTTTTAGAAACCTAATCTTATAGCCGCCATTAGCATTACTAGAGTTATGCAAATAATTGCATTATAAACATGTTTATAACTTAGCCAAAACATTGATTTTTATAACTCTCCAAGTATGAGTTGAAATTTCTTATGTCTTTTGATAAACTGCAGTATTCTTTAAGTGTACTTTGTCCTTTTGTTTATTGCTACAATTTAAGAACTTTATTTAAAAACAATTTTGGAAGGTTACTAGGTACAGCTTTTGCAGAAGAAACTGAACTGTAGCCAGATGGTCAGCAAGTAAACTACATGACTTAGAGTTCTTGTGCATTATACATTTTGGGTAATTCAAAGTACTGTATTTGCATTGACTATAAAGCGTCGTTTGCAATATTTATTCTTCCTTCATAGTCCCTTGTTGTGATTATACTTCCAGTTGTTTAAATGTATTTTAAAAGACTCACTATTAACTTTATTCAGATCTTAAAAGCTACACCTTTTTGAACTATTCCAGTCTTTCTCCATCCAATTAGAATGTTATGGAATAACATGTGAAGAGATACAGTGAAAATCATATTATAATGCATTGAAGATATCCTACATGAATTATCTTCTATTAAAATATGTCCCAATAAATATACCCATAATCAGTGGGTCTTCTACTGAAATCAAGCTCATTCAGCTTTTCTATTAAGCAGCCAAAAAATTTTTTGAAAAAATATGACAGCATCATTCCTTATGCATGGGGAAAGAAGCACTGGAGATGGGTTTAGTATTGTCTTTATCTCAGAGGTGGAACAAAGTTGTCATTATAGGGTCTATAAACTTAAGTCTCCAGCTTATTTGAGACTGGCTTAATATGGCTGAGCCCGGTGGCTCATGCCTGTAATCCCAGCACTTTCAGAGGACGAGGCGGGTAGATCACTTGAGGCCAGGAGTTTGAGACCAGCCTGGCCACCATGGCAAAACCCCATCTCTACCAAAAATGCAAAAATTAGCTAGGCCATGGTGGCACACGCCTGTAATCCCAGCTACTTGTGAGGCTGAGGCATGAGAATCGCTTGAACCTGGGAGGTGGAGGTGGCAGTGAGCCGAGATCGCACCACTGCACTCCAGCCTGGGTGACAGAGCGAGACTGTCTCAAAAAAAAAAAAAAAAAAAAAAAAGACTGGCCTAATATGGACCAGCTTTTCTGGAAACTGCAAAAACCATACACAAAAGTAATTTTTCCTCTTATACCTAAACATTATACATTCCAGCTTATTGAAAGAAGTTAAATATAAATTATATATTTTTAGTAACTTTTTTTTAAGCTGCTCCTTGCAGAGCAGGGCTAACTTCCAGGCAGCGCGCCCAGAGCCGCCTTAGTAACTTCTTAAGCTATACTGGTACATATTTTAATATAGAAGATTATTTATCAAGTACAAGAATTATATTCTGCCATGTGGTGACAAATGATGCCAAGTATAAACCTAAATAGTGATTTCAAAAGTCAAGGTCAGACATGGTGGCTCATGCCTATAATCCCAGCACTTTGGGAGGCTGAGGCGGGTGGATCACTTGAGGTTAGGAGTTCCAGAGCAGCCTGGCCAACGTGGTGAAACCTCATCTCTACTAAAAATAGAAAAATTAGCCGCCTGTGGTGGCACGCATCTGTGATCCCAGCTACTCGGGAGGCTGAGGCAGGAGAATTGCTTGAACCTGGGAGGCAGAGGTTGCAGTGAGCCAAGATCGTGCCACTGCACTCCAGCGTGGGCAACAAGAACAAAACTCAGTCTCAAACAAAGAAAAATAGAAATAAAGTTTAACTTTGACCAGTTTTCATAGGTTATTTTATGTATTGGAATCAGAAGTAACCTTAAGTTTAAGACATTAAAACTGAATCAAAGACTAAGCAAGCCTGTTTATCTTGAAGCACATGGTACTTGCATGTTAATAAAGGCTGAGGTATGATGAACACTTGGTGTTTGATTTTTTTTAGCCTTAATTTTCTTTTGCCTTAATTTTCTGTTTTTTTTTCTGTATTTTAGCCATTTTTTTTTTAGCCTTAATTTTCTGAGGATTCGTTAAACTTTGCCTCAGGACATTTCTGCCATGTGTTTGAATATCAGAAATTTTTACTTGGTTAAATTTAAGATATAACACTGAGATCTTAACAGTTTTCTGACACTTGGTAATTTACTTTTCAAATTATGTGCAGATTCTATATTATTTTTTCTGCATAAAAAACATTACCACAAAATTCTTTGTATTATTCAGTTACTTCATTTTTACACTAGGTTATGCTTTTTAAATTGCTTATCTTTCATGCAGTTATTATCAAGATAATCTTCCTTTTTTAATTTAATTTTTTTCATTTTGTTTTTTAGAGTCTTGCTCTGTTGCCCACACTGGAGTGCAGTGTGATCACTGCTCACTGCAGTCTTGGCCTCCTGGGCTCAAGTGATCCTCCCAGCCTCCCAAGTAGCTAGAACTACAGGCATGCCCTACCATGCCGGGCTAATTTTTTTTCTTTTTAATCTTTTGTAGATACAGAGTCTCACTTTGTTGCCCAGGTTCATCTCAAACTCCTGGGCTCAAGCAGTCCTCCCGTCTCAGCCTCCCAAAGTGCTGGGATTACAGGTGTGAGTCACCATACCCAGCTAATCTCTCTGCTTAGAAAGTGGGGACATACTTGTTGATACTGTGAAAAAGAATTTATCTTAGGTGGCAAATTCAGCTCATGCTAACAGAGAAATACATTTAGAGACATCTTACTATGCATGGAGCTGTCATCTTAGTGTAATTTTGCTAAGCTTATCAATATTATTTGAAAATAGTGCACATAGTCTAAGAAATAATATAAAATTGTTGTTTAATGGCCAGGCGCAGTGGCTCGTGCCTGTTTTCCCAGCACTTTGGGAGGCTGAGGTGGGAGGATCACTTGAGGCCAGGAGTTCAAGACCAGCCTGGGGAACATAGTGAAACCCCATCTCTACTAAAAATACAAAAATTAACTGGGTGCAGTGGCATGTGCCTGTAGTTCCAGCTACTCAGGAGGCTAAGGCAGGAGGATCACTTGAGCCGCAGAGGTGGAGGTTGCAGTTAACTGAGATCACACTGCAGCACTCCAGCGGGGTGACACAGCAAGATCCTGCCTCTGAAAAAAAAATTGACCGGGCGCAGTGGCTCATGCCTGTAATCCAGCTCTTTGAGAGGCTGAGGTGAGCGGATCACTTGTGGTCAGGAGTTCAAGACCAGCCTGGCCAACATAGTGAAACCCTGTCTCTACTAAAAATGTAAAAATTAGCCAGGCATGGTGGTGCATGTCTGTAATCCCAGCTACTCGGGAGGCTGAAGCAGGAGAATCACTTGAACCCGGGAGGTGGAGGTTGCAGTTAGCCAAGATCACACCATTGCACTCCAGCCTGGGAGACAGCGAGACTCCATCTCAAAAAAATAAATTCTTTTTTAAATTGCTGTTTAAAAGTGAAGAGTGTTTACATAGATTATATTGATAGAACACTTAATGTCTGGTAGTCAGAGATGCCATTAATCTTTTGTGTGTTGTGTTTTATTTGCAATATATAAATCTGGTTTATTTCCAGGCCAGTCATATTTGTCATAAGGTTTTATATTCCTATTAGGCTTAACTCTTAAGTATTAAACCTAATGGTGTATTAATTAATTTATTTATTTTTGAGATGGAGTCTCACTCTGCCGCTAGGCTGGAGTGTAGTGGCGTGATCTCGGCTCACTGCAACCTCCACCTCCCAGGTTCAAGTGATTCTCCTGCCTCAGCCTCCCGAATAGCTGGGACTACAGGCACGTGCCACCAGGCCTAGCTAATTTTTTTGTATTTTTAACAGATGGAGTTTCACCATGTTGGCCAGGATGGTCTTCTCGATCTCCTGACTTTGTGATCCGCCCACCTTGGCCTCCCAAAGTGCTGAGATTACAGGCATGAGCCACCGCGCCCCAGCCATGGTGTATTTAAACAAATATTTATTAGCCTAGAAATACTGTGGTATATTAGCGTACCAACCTGAGAGTGAGAAAGTCGGGGATCTTGTGTTGATAGCCATGTGACCTTGAACAAGGCCCTGGGCCTCCATTTTACATCTATAGAATTAGGAGGTTGCACATCTATCTGTAAGGTAATGTTTACCAACTTTTAGAAAATTAATGAACAAGATTGTGTTGTGGATGTTGCTTAAGCCTAAAATTGTATAACATTCCAGATGGTCAGATTAGAATTATGAACTAGAGAGAAAATGGGGCTTTTTGCTGCCTCTGGATTAGGCATGAAATATTACAGTCATTACTAAATATGTCAGCTAGATGAATTTAGAATTCTTGTAGTTGTTTTTATTGCCTGCTATATAGAGAGAAAATCCTGTTTTAGCTCTGGTTGACAGTAACTGCTGACATAAAGGAAAATTTATGTGCTATGATTTCATACCAATGTATTTAATGCCAGGTGAACCTCCAACTTATTTTGCATTCATGTACTAATGTGGTAAGTTATCCTGAATTAGGCACATACATGATTTATCTCCTTTGTGGATCTCTAGCTGAAAACAGAAGATGAATTTTTAATGCCCTGTGGAGTATTCAGTTTACATCCTCCTTATTCTGTAGTTTGGTTCCTTCACCCTCAGGTTTTTTTAATTGGTAATTTTTTTTTTTTAATAGACATGGTCTCCACTATGTTGCCCAGGCTGAAGTGCAGTGGCTGTTCATAGGCACAATCATAGCACACTGCAGCCTTCCACTCATGGCCTCAAGCAGTCATCCTGCCTCAGCCTCTCATAGCTGGGACTAAAGGCACACAAAACTGCACCCAGCTGGGGAAATTTTAAAGTTGCTTTGAGATAGATCTCATGGTCTTAATCATCAAATTATTCTATAAATTTTGTATTTTTGTGTGATGGTACTCTCGTATAGGACAGACACAGGTACATCAGAATTTGATTTTTTCCTCTCTGTATTAGTCCATTTTCTGCTCATAAAGGCATACCCGAGACCGGGCAATTTACAAAAGAAAGGTTTAATCGACTTACAGTTCCATGTGGCTGGGGAGGCCTCACAATCATGGTGGAAGGTGAAAGGCACAAAGAGAAGAGAGCTTGTACAGAGAAATTCCCCATTTTTAAAACCATCAGATCTGAGACTTACTCACTATCACAAGGACAGCACAGGAAAGACCTGCCCCCGTGATTCAATTACCTCCTGCTGAGTCCCTCCCACAACACGTGGGAATTCAAGATTTGGGTGGGGACACAGCCAAACCATATCATGCCATTCCTGGCCCCTCCCAAATCTCATGTCCTCACATTTCAAAACCACTCATGGGCCAGGTGTGGTGGCTCATGCCTGTAATCCCAGTGCTTTGGGAGGCTAAGCTGGGAGGATCACTTGAGGTCAGGAGTTTGAGACCAACCTGGCCAACATGGCAAAACCCCGTTTTTACTAAAAATACCAAAATTAGCCAGATGTGGTGGCAGACATCTGTGATCCCAGCCACTAGGGAGGCTAAGACAGGAGAACTGCTTGAACCCAGGAGGCGGAGGTTGCAGTGAACTGAGATTGTACCACTGCACTCCAGCCTGGTCGACAGAGAAGACACTGTCTCAAAAAAAAAAACAACGAAAAAGAATCATGCCTTCCCAACAGTCCCCCTATGTCTTAACTCATTTTTCAGCATTCAGAAATCCACAGTCCAAAGTCTCATCTGAGACAAGGCAAGTCCCTTCCACCTATGAGCCTGTAAAATCAAGAGCAAGTTAGTTACTTCCTAGATACAATGGGGGAATGGGCATTGGGTAAATACAGCCATTCCAAATGGGAGAAATTGGCCAAAACAAAGGGGCTACAGGCCCCATGCAAGTCAGAAATCCAGTGGGGTAGTCAAAGTTCCAAAATGATCTCCTTTGACTCCATGTCTCACATCCACATCATGTTGATGCAAGAGGTGAGTTCACGTGGGCAGCTCCACACCTGTGGCTTTGCAGGGTACAGCCTGCCTTCTGGCTGCTTTCATGGGCTGGTGTTGAGTGTCTGCAACTTTTCCAGGCACACGGTGTAAGCTGTCAAGTGGATCTACCATTCTGGGGTCTGGAGGATGGCCTTCTCAGAGCTACTCTAGGAGTGCCCCAGTAGTGACTCCGTGTGAGGGCTCTGACCCCACATTTTTCTTTTTTCTTTTTTTTCTTTTCTTTCTTTTTTTTTTTTTTTTGAGACAGTTTCACTCTCCAGGTTGGAGTGCAGTGGTGCAATCTCAGCTCACTGCAACCTCCACTTCCTGGGTTCAAGCAATTCTGCCTCAGCCTCCCAAGTAGCTGGGATTACAGGCATGTGCCACCATGCCTGGCTAATGTTTTTGTATTTTTAGTAGAGATGGGATTTCACCACGTTGGCCAGGCTGGTCTCGAACTCCTGACCTCAGGTGATCCTTCTCGGCCTTCCAAAGTGCTGGGATTACAGGAGGGAGCCACCATGCCTGACTCTTACTTCACATTTTTCTTCCACACTGCCCTATCAGAGGGTCCCCATGAGAGCCCTGCCCTGCAGCAAACTTCTGCCTGGACATCCAGGCATTTCGATATATCTTCTGAAATCTAGGCAGAGGTTCCCAAACCTCAATTCTTGACATCTGTGCACTGACAGGCTCAACACCATTTGAAAGCTGCCAAGGATTGAGGCTTGCACCCTCTGAAGCCACGGCCCAAACTCTATGTTGGCCCCTTTCAGCCATGGCTGGAGTGGCTAGGATGCATGGCACCAAGTGCCTAGGCTTCACACAGCATGGGGACCCTGAGCCCAGTCCCCAAAACCACTTTTTTGTGACAGAGTCACTCTGTTGCCCAGGCTGGAGTGCAGTGGCACGATCTCGGCTCACTGCAATCTCTGCCTCCCAGATTCAAACAATTCTCCTGCCTCAGCCTCCTGAGTAGCTGGGATGACGGGCACATGCCGTGCTGACATGCCTAGCTAATTTTTGTATTTTTTGTAGAGATGGGATTTTGCTATGTTGGCCAGGCTGGTTTCAAACTCCTGACCTCAAGTGATCCGCCCACCTTGGCCTCCCAAAGTGCTGAGATTACCGGCATGAGCCACTGTGCCCACCCTGAAACCACTTTTTCCTCCTAGGCCTCCAGGTCTGTGATGAGAGGTGCTGCCATGAAGACCTCTGACATGCCCTGGAGACATTTTTCCCATTGTCGGGGATTAACGTCCGCTCCTTGTTGCTTGTTACTGCAAATTTCTGCCGCAGGGTTAGATTTCTCCTCAGAAAATGGATTTTTTTTTTCTGTTGCATTTTCAGGCTGCAAATTTTCTGAACTTTTATGCTCTGCCTCCCTTATAAAACTGAATGCCTTAAAAAAAATGCCTTTAACAGCACCCAAGTCACCTCTTGAATGCTTTGCTGCTTAGAAATTTCTTCCACTAAATACCCTAAATCATCTCTCTCAAGTTCAAAGTTCCACAAATCTGTAGTGCAGGGGCAAAATGCTACCAGTCTCTTTGCTAAAACATGTCAAGGGTCTCCTTTACTCTAGTTACCAACAAGTTCCTCATCTCCATCTGAGACCACCTCAGCCTGGAATTTATTGTCCATATTGCTATCAGCATTTTGGGCAACACCATTCAACAAGTCTCTAGGAAGTTCCAAACTTTACCACATTTTTCTGTCTTCTTCTGAGCCCTCCAAACTGTTCCAGCCTCTGCCTGTTACCCAGTTTCAAAATCACTTCCACATTTTCAGGTACCTTTTCAGCAGCGCCCCACTCTCTTGGTACCAATTTACTGTATTAGTCCATTTTCATGCTGCTGATAAAGACATACCTGACACTGTGCAATTTACTAAGAAAAAACCATGCAACTGGTGAGGCCTCACAATCATGGTGGAAGGTGAAAGGAACATCTCACATGCCAGCAGACCAGAGAAGAGATCTTGTGCAGAGAAACTCCCCTTTTCTAAAATCATCAGCTCTCATGAGACTTATTCACTCATGAGAACAACACGGGAAAGACCTGCCCCCCATGAGTCAGTTACCTCCCCACTGGGTCCCTTCCGCAACATGTGGGAATTCAAGATGAGATTTGGGTGGGGACACAGCCAAACCGTATCACCCTCTTTATAGTATTAGAGGCTTGCAGTTATTTTAATATAAAAAATACTTTGTTACATTTGACCTACATATATTTTATATGCTAAGACTTGAGATATGTTTTGTTGCTTCGTTATTTAGAAAAGCATGCATAAGATGACAGATGAGGATAAGAATTCAAATTTGGTTACTTTTTAATCAGAATTATCTAAGATCTCATCAGAGCCTCCTTTTTACATGAAGTAAAGCTTGTGATTAATCCTGCCTACACGTATTAACTGGCTCAGATCCACTGTTAGTTTTTTGTTTTTGTTTTTGTTTTTTTAATACATCAGTAGGATTTTAACTATAGGCATTTTGATGTAGATTTATCAAATGTCTTTTAAATCAGTGTAGTGTAATTTCTGCTGTAGAAAACGGCAAGAATGTGCCTTCACAAAGTATAATTTTGAATTGGAAAGTGCATTTTCTTCAGACCATCAAGAGCAATTTTTGTCTTTCCATAATTTCATTCAACAATTTGTGAAAATTCAGCTTTCTTTAGTTTCTTAAAGCCACCATTTGTATCCCATTATGTTCCCTTTTGATTTTCAGTGTGGAGGTTTCTTTTAAAAAACAAGGGTCCAAGACAAAACCATGAGAGTTTAAGGTCACAAGCTAACTTGCAGTGAGATTCTAGATCCAGATTGTAGTTCAGGTTAATTAGAACAAACATGGTGCTTAGATTTTAAAGAACCACTCCAAGAAGTGAAAGTCATCTTTGTTAAAGTATTCAAATACACAATATACAGAATATTAAAATGGCAAACTGAGGTCAGGAATTAATGCATGAGACGTGCCTATAACATAAATACTTTAAGAAATATATATGTATAATATTTCTATATAAATGAACATCATCCTTCATTTAGTAAGGCTATTGTTGCTCAAAATGTTTCTGGAACTGCCTTTAGAGCTTATAATAAATGCTCTTTTGAATAGCCTCAGTGGTGGGAGATACTTTTCTTTCAGTGTTTTGCAATAGTCGGTAAACTATTTTTTGTCCACACCTTCTGAATAGAGGTGAGTGGCCAGGCTGGGTTGGAAGAAGATGCACAACTAAAGGAATTAGAGTAGCTTTCTCACATAGCCAGTAACTGGCTCAGTTAGCCATCACGTCACAAAACAAAATTTAAAGTTGCAAGCCTAACTTTGGAAATAAAAGTAATGAATCAAATTGTCTTTAACATGACTTCAAATATTTCTTTCCAGTATATTTGTGAAAACACTAATTTCACAAGGTAACCTCTATTCAATTTTCTTTGGTAAAGCAGTCACCAAGCATTTGCTTTTTGAAGAAAGAAGCTGCATCAAAATTGTAATTCAAATGGATTTTATAAAACTGCTGTTGTACAATGCAAAACATTATCTCTGTTACTCCACTCAAAGTGGACAGGATTTAAGCATTGTGCTTCCAACGTTTTGGTATTTTTGTAACATCACACTGAAAGATTATTTTCCTCTTCTGGACAAGCATAGGATCTACCTGATAAAGTACCACCACAACAGTGGTGGTATTGTCTGATGAAAACCTATTCCTAAAGATTTGGGTCCATGAAGTGACATGGACTAGTGGAATGGCTGTACTTTGAGTCATAAAAGGCCAAAAGCTTATGAAACCACAATTTAAAGTTACATGATTTGTTTTCAAATGTAACTACATTTTCATTATTTTCCTAGTGGCAGTTTTTGTCCTATGTATATCTTCTAAAGACTAGATTGTAAGACAGCAGGAATGAGAGTAGGAGTGGGGTTTGTTTGTTTGTTGTTAAGATGGAGTCTCACTCCATTGCCCAGGCTGAAGTGCAGTGGTGCGATCTCCACTCACTGCAACCTCTGCCTCCTGGGTGCAGGCAGTTCTTTCTGCCTCAGCTTCCTGAGTAGCTGGGATTACAGGTGCCCGCCACCACACCCAGCTAATTTGTGTCTTGTTTTTGTTTTTGTGTGTGTGTGTGTGTTTTTGAGATGGAGTCTCACTCTGTCGCCCAGCCTGGAGCGCAGTGGTGTGATCTCGGCTCACTGCAACCTCCGCCACCCAGGTTCAAGAGATTCTTCTGCTTCAGCCTCCTGAGTAGCTGGGACTACAGGTGCACGCCGCCACACTCAGCTAGTTTTTGTATTTTTAGTAGAGGTGGGGTTTCACCATATTGTCCAGGCTGGTCTCGAACTCATGACCTTGTGATCTTCCTGCCTCGGCCTCCCAAAGTGCTGGGATTACAGGTGTGAGCCACCGCACCTGGACTTTGTTTGTTTGTTTGTTTGAAGTAGCATTTATCTCAGTATCTCCTCCAGTGCCGAGCACAGATGCTTTACACATAATGAGCATTCAGTAAACGTTTATGGGGTTAAATTAAGCTTATTGATGTGTAAGGGTAGTGTCTCAATTATATTCCTCTGGGTCCTTTGGTGTTACATCTTAACTATCTGTGTGTAAGTGCTGAAATAAAAGATTTGGTCTTAAGTAGCCTAACTGGGGATGTCTACGCATCATCCAGTCCCCCACTTTCAGGAAAGGATACTGAATTGGAAGCAGGAAAGCTGAGTTCTAGATTGTTAGTGGCTAATCTAGATATTTGGCATTCTATGAAAAATGATAGTGGCTTCTGAATAGTCATTTCGCCAAAGAAGATATACAAATAACCTCAACAATACATGAAAAGATGCTCAAGTCATGAGTCATCAGGGAAATTCTAATCAAAACCACAATGAGATACCATAGCTGCAATAGCAAATATTGTCCAGGATGTATGCATTGCTGGTGGGAATGTAAAATGGTCCAGCTGCTATGATAAAGTTTGGCAGTTCTTTTAAAAGTTAAATAGAATTACCATATGATCAGCAATTCTGCTAGGTATAAACTCAAAAGACCCCATTGAACATTTAAACATCAAAATAACTAGTAAAGAAAAGTGACTAAATTCAAAAAATCTGAAGAAAATGCTAAGGAAAGTAGGATAAAAGAATTAGCAAAAATAGAAACAATTAGAAAATAGGACTCAGTAAATCAGCAGAATATAAGAGAGCTGGTTCAAAACAGTAGATGAACTTGTAGGACATACCAAGGGAAAAATAAGAAAGCAAAAATGCATAGACATGTTGCTATGAGAAAGGTTATATACCCAGAAATAGAGAAAAGTTTAAGAGATCTCTTCCAAAGAGGCATGAGATGACTGTTTTATGGTTGAGTGTATTTTAATCTTTAAGTAACATGATTCCCACACTAAACTGTTCTAGCATATAGAAAAAAATGGCAAATTTCCAAGTCAATGTTATGAAGCTGACATAATCCTGATAAACAAACTGTGAGAATGCTACCCTCTAAAAAAGAGATCCACAGGCAAATAGAAGCAATAATCCTGAATAAAATACTAACAAATCAAACCCAGACTGTAGTCAAGGACCATTACACCATGATTAAGTAATGTTTATTTTAAGAAAGGAATGATGGGCCAGGCGCGGTGGTTCATACCTGTAATCCCAGCACTTTGGGAGGCCAAGGCCGGTGGATCACCTGAGGTCAGGAGTTCCAGACCAGCCTAAACAACATGGTGAAACTCCCTCTCTACCAAAAATACAAAAATTAGCCAGGCGTCGTGGCGCCCGTCTGTAATCCCAGCTACTCCGGAGGCTGAGGCAGAAGAATTGCTTGAACCAGTGAGGCGGAGGTTGCAGTGAGCCAAGATCGCGACACTGCATTCCAGCCTGGGTGACAGAGCGAGACTCTGAAAAAAAAAAAAAAAAAAAAAAGGGAAGGAAGGAAGGAAGGGAGGGAGGGAGGAAGGCCGGGCACAGTGACTCACACCTGTAATCCTAGCACCTTGGAAGGCCGAGGCGGGCGGATCACGAGGTCAGGAGATTGAGACCATCCTGGCTAACACGGTGAAACCCCGTCTCTACTAAAAATACAAAAAATAAAAAATAAAAATTAGCCGGGCGTGGTGGCGGGTGCCTGTAGTCCCAGCTACTCAGGAGGCTGAGGCAGGAGAACCTGGGAGGCAGAGCTTGCAGTGAGCCGAGATGGCGTCACTGCACTCCAGCCTAGGCAACAGCTACTCCGTCTCAAAAAAAAAAAAAAAAGTATATATACATACATATAGTGCCCATTGAGGGCAGAGCTTTGGATGCTTGCAATGCACCTATCAAAAAACAGGATAGGGCTGAGTGCGTAGCTCATGCCTGTAATCTCAGCACTTTGAGAAGCCGTGGCAGGTAGATCGCTTGAGCTCAGGAGTTCGAGACCAGCCTAGGCAACATGGCGAAACCCCGTATCTACAAAAAATACAAAAATTAGCCAGAGCCAGGCATGGTAGCGCACCCCGGAAATCCCAGCTACTTGGAGGCTGAGGTGGGAGGATTGCTTGAGCGCAGCAGGCAGAGGTTGCAGTGAGCAGAGATTGTGCCACTGCACTCCAGCCTCCAGCCTGGGCGACAGAGCAAGACCCTGTCTCAAAAAAATAATAATAACATAAATAAATAAAACAGGATGGGGTTGGGGGAGGGAGAGCATCAGGAAGAATAGCTAATGGATGCTGGGCTTAGTAACTAGGTATTGGGATGATCTGTGCAGCAAACCACCATGGCACATATTTACCTGTGTGCACATCCTGCACATGTACCCCTGAACTTAAAAGTTTAAAAAAAAAAAAAAGATAATCATCCTCCCCAAAACTAAACTGCCCTCATGAAACTAATAAAAGGCCACCAAGTTAGGTGAATGAGAGTAGCCTGAATTCAGCCATTATTCTAGAGGTCATAGATTTGCAACTTCCCCAATTACTCCTGTAGATAACATCACCATTGTAGAAATGAAGATTGGCCTTTGGAGATGTCTTTTCAGGCTTTTGCATTTCTAACAACCGGATGGCCCCATCTGGACCTGTGACTCCACTGGTCCTGTGGCTTCCACCCAGAAGCAGACTCAGTGCATGAGGACCATTTTTCACACCCCTATGATTGCATCCCCAACCAATCAGTAGCACCCATACACTAGCCAGCTGCCCATCAAACTGTTTTTGAAAAACCTCTAACCTTTGAGCCTTCAGCGAGGTTGATTTGAGTAATAACTCCATCTCCCAAGTGGTGTGGCTGATCTTGCTTCAATTAAACTCTTATTTAATGAAAAAAAGAAAAAAACCCAGGATGGAAAATGTGAAGAATTAACTTTCATAATTTATAGCCTGAGAAGTGAAATGGTTGCTTTTCATGGTACTGGATGGATTAAAGAAAGAGTATAACCTTAAATCTCTGAGTCTCTTTGCCAGGCACAGTCAGAATCTTCCTAGGAAATTTCTAGTACTCTTCTTCAGCCACAGACAACTTTCTGATAATTGAAAAAGCAAACTTGAAGTTTAATCAAATAAGAAACTGAATTAAAGTGTCAGTTGAGTTGATACTTGCCATGTAAAATATGGCACATTGATGGAGAAAAGAGTGGGAACCTCAAAAGTTAAACAGGATTCATTTTCCCAACCCAATGACTCTCCTCAACGACTAAATCTGCTGCCATCTTCTTGGAGTGAAGAAGCAGGAACACCCTTACCTGGAGTTACCTGCAGGGTGAGCTCATTACCCTGCAGGGAGAGCCCCAGCTACTTAGCGGGCTAAGGTGGGAGAATCACTAAGGTGAGGTTGAGGCTGAAGTGAGCCATTATTGCACCACTACACTCCAGCCTGGGTGACAGAGTGAGACCCTGTCTCAAAAAAGTAAATAATTTTTTAAAATTTAATAATTGGCCGGGCGAGGTGGCTCACGCCTGTAAGCCCAGCACTTTGGGAGGCCAGGGCAGGTGGATCACCGGAGGTCAGGAGTCCGAGACCAGCCTGGCCAACATGGTGAAACCCTGTCTCTACTAAAAATACAAAAATTAGCTGGGTGTGGTGGTGCAACCCTGTAATCCCCGCTACTCAGGAGGCTGAGATAGGACAATCACTTGAACCCGGGAGGCGGAGGTTGCAGTGAGCAGAGATCGTGCCACTGCACTCCAGCCAGGAAAACAGAGCAAGACTCTACCTCAAAAAAAAAAAAAAATTTAATAATTGCCAAGACATTCAGTTGCTCCTCTGTGGGGGTATGGCTGGCGCATTATTTATTACACAAGAATCATTACATTATTTTAGGCAGTAGCCTTTTTTTTTTTTTCCAGAAGTGCAAGTCTACAAGGGGTAAACTGTATTTGATATAGGAGGGAAATTTTGCTATCAGGCAGCTGAATGCTCTTTTATTTATTTATTTATTTATTTTGAGACAGGATCTCACTCTCACCCAGGCTGGAGTGCAGTGGCTCAATCATGACTCACTGCAGCCTTGACCTCCCAGGCTCAAGTGATCCTCCCACCTCAGCTTCTCGAGTAGCTGGCACTTGTGTGGCACCTACCACCACGCCTGGCTAATTTTTGTATTTTTTGTAGAGATGGGGTCTCACCATGCTGCCCAAATTTGGTCTCGAACTCCTGGCTTCAAGCAGTCTGACTGCCTCAGCCTCCCAAAGCGCTGGGATTACAATCTTAAGCCCCCATTTGCAGCCATTTCTGGCATTTTTTGCTCAGCGTTGTTTGTGAGATTCATCTCTGTGGCATTTAGAAATAGTTTTTTTGCACTGCTGTGAAGTATTTCATTGTGTGTGTGTGTGCGTGTGCATGTGTGTGACACAAGTTTATCAATTCTACTGTTGATAGACATTTAGGTTGTTTCCAGTTTTGAGCTGTTATGCATAAAGCTACTGTGAACATTTTTGTACATGACGTTTGGTGCTCAAATTATATGCATTTTGTGTAAATACTCAGAAATATCCAGAAGTAAAATTGCTGATTCATAGGGAATGCATATGTTCAGCCTTTTTTTTTTTTTTTTTTTTTTTTTTGGCAGGGTCTCCTGTCTCCCAGGCTGGAATGCAGTGCTGTGATCTCGGCTCCCTTCAACCTCCGCCTCCTGGGCTCAAGCAATTCTCCCACCTCAACCTCCCAAGTAGCTGGGAACACAGGTGCACACCACCACAGCTGGCTAACTTTTGTATTTTTTGTAGAGATGGGGCATCTCACTATGTTGCCCAGGCTGGTCTCAAACTCCTGGGCTCAAGCAATCCACTGGCCTCAGCCTCCCAAAGTGCTGGGATTACAGGCATGAGCCACCACACCAGACTGTTTTCCTGGTTTTCCGTTGGGTTGCCTGTCTCTTTCTCATTGGTTTGTAGGACTTCTTTATATATATACTTTTTGTTTTACTATATGTATTAAAATATATTCTATCAGTCTGTGGTTTGGCTTTCACTCTGTTAATGTTGAATTTTTGTGAACAAAAGTTCTTAATTATAAGATCATTTAGATTATTTTTTTCTAGGCCTGGCATGGTGGCTCATGCCTATAATCCCAGCAATTTGGAAGGTCAAGACAGGCAGATCACTGAAGGTCAGGAGTTTGAGACCAGCCTGACCAACCTGGTGAAAACCCATCTCTACTAAAAATGCAAAAATTAGCCGGTCATGGTGATGGCGTGCCTGTAATCTCAACTGCGCGGGAGGCCGAGGCAGGAGAATCGCTTGAACCTGGGAGGCAGAGGTTGCAGTGAGTGAGGTGGGGCCACTGAACTCCAGCCTGGATGACAGAGTGAGACTCCATGTCAAAAAATAATAATAAAAATAAATAAATAAATAATTTTTTTAGGCTGGGCATGGTGGCTCACGCCTGTAATCTTAGCACTATGGGAGGCTGAGGCGGCAGATCACCTGAGGTCAGGAGTTCAAGACCAGCCTGACCAACATGAAGAAATGCCATCTCTACTAAAAAAATACAAAATTAGCTGGGTGCGGTGATGCATCCCTGTAATCCCAGCTACTTGGGAGGCTGAGGCAGGAGAATCACTTGAACCCAGAAGGTCGAGGTTGCAGTGAGCCAAGATCACACCACTGTACTTCAGCCTGGGCAACAAGAGCAAAACTCCGTCTCAAGAAATACAAATAAATAAAAATAAATAAATTTTTTTCTTTCTGTTGAGTGCTTTGTTTGTTCTGTTTAAGAAATCTTTGTTTACCTGAAGGTCACAGAGCTATTCTCTTACGTTTTCTTCTAGAAAGTGTAGTTTTCCCTTTCACATTTAGAATTACAATCCATTTAGAATTAATGTTTCTATATGGTATTAGAGGTTGGCTAAGATTTATTTTCTTTGATATTAATATCCAGTCGACCCAGTATCATTGACTGAAAAGGCCATTCTTTCCCTGCTGTACTGCAGAGGTGCCTTAGGTTACTGTGTATGTGTAGGGCTCAAACTGGACTCCTTCAATTCTCATGAACTAGGGAACTGAGGCCCCTGCATCCTGTAGCAGCCCGTTTCTATCATTCCTTATTATTTCTTTCAGAATTATCTTGTTGGAGCAGATATGAAGGTGAAGTACTGGGATTGCTCCCTTGATTTGGGTTTTTTTTTTCTTTTCTTTCTTTCCTTTTTTTTTTTTTTTTTTTTTGAGACGAGTCTCTCTCTCTAGCCCAGGCTGGAGTGCAGTGGTGCGATCTCAGCTCACTGCAAACTCCGCCTCCCAGGTTCAAGCAATTCTCCTGCCTCAGCCTTTCGAGCAGCTGGGATTACAGGCGCCCACCACCACGCCTGGCTAATTTTTGTATTTTTAGTAGAGATGAGGTTTCACCATGTTGGTCAGCCTGGTCTCGATCTCCTGACCTCATGATCCACCCACCTCAGCCTCCCAAAGTGCTGGGATTACAGCTGTGAGCCACCACGCCTAGCCCAGGTTAAAATCTTCAATTAAATACCCCTACTGTAATACTGTAGGATATTTTTTTATCAGGCAGAAAATGATGGAAAATTTAGCATTCATTTATTTCCCAATTATTTATTTTTGGGTAGCTCAGGTTATTTAATATGTATTATTTTTTTTTTTCCTGAGACAGAGTCTTGCTCTGTCGCCCAGAGCTGGAGTGCAATGGCGCAATCTTAGCTCACTGCAACCTCCACCTCCCGGGTTCAAGCAATTCTCCTGCCTCAGCCTCCCAAGTAGCTGGGATTACAGGCACGTACCACCACGCCCAGCTAATTTTGTATTTTTAGTAGATACAGGGTTTCACCATGCTGGCTAGACTGGTCTTGAACTCCTGACCTCTGGTAATCTGCCTGCCTCGGCCTCCCAAAGTGCTGGGATTACAGGCATAAGCCACCACGCCTGGCCAACATGTGTTAATTCTATGTTCCTTTTTGTAGTTAAGAAAACTTTCTATTTAAAAAACTGTACTCTGAGACCACTCTGTGCTAGGTGCCCTTATACATATTATGTCATGTAATCATAAACTAGAAGGTATTTAACAATTCTCCTACCCCACCCTCCTTTGTTGAGACAGGGTCTTACTCTTTTGTGCAGGCTGGAGTGGCATGATAATAGCTCACTGTAGCCTCGAACTCTTGGGTTCAGGCAATCATCTTTCCTCAGCCTCCTGAGTAGCTCGGACTACAGGCACGTGCCACCACACCCAGATAACTATTCCCATGTTTTGCTGTTGAGGAAACACACTCAGAAATTAAATGACTTGGCCAAGGTCACACAGCAGGTAAATTAGTGGTACAGCCAATATTCAATCATGTCTTTTTCTCTAAATCACACAGCCCCATGGATATGCAATCTGTAGGTTCAACTTAGTTAAAGAGAGTAAATATTTATCAACTTGGCTGTGTACAAGTCTCTGTGCTAGGATTTATGGGAAATAAAAATGTCTAGTGTGCCACAATCTGTAAGAGAAACAGGCAAATGCAACTATGCAATGATATAGACACACATAATTGTAATTACTTATGATCTAAGGCTAATAGCAATACATGCTAAAATTGATGTACAAATAAAAGCAAATGAGAAGACCAGGCACAGTGGCTCACGCCTGTAATCCCTGCACTTTGGGAGGCCAAGGCAGGCAGATCACATGAAGTCAGGAGTTGGAGAGCAGCCTGGCCAACATAGTGAAACCCCGTCTCTACTAAAAATTAAAAAATGCCAGGTGAGGTGGCTCACACCTGTAATCTCAGCACTTTGGGAGGCCAAGGCGGGTGGATTACCTAAGGTCAGGAGTTCAGGACCAGCCCGGCCAACATGGCAAAACCTCATCTTTACTAAAAAATACAAAGATTAGCCGGGCATGGTGGTGGGTGCCTGTAGTCCCAGCTACTCAGGAGGCTGAGACAGGAGAATTGCTTGAGCCCGGGAGGCGGAGGTTGCAATGAGCGGAGATTGCACCATTGCACTCCAGCCTGGGCAACAAGAGTGAAACTCCGTCTAAAAAAAAAAAAAATATATATATATATATATGTGTGTGTATATATATATATACATATATATATATACACACACACACACATATATATATATATATAC
The DNA here is from genome assembly GCF_000001405.40 of Homo sapiens. Lineage (NCBI taxonomy): Eukaryota > Metazoa > Chordata > Mammalia > Primates > Hominidae > Homo > Homo sapiens. Next base: position 73,927,780 of record NC_000008.11, on the reverse strand, counting down.
ATATATATATATATATACACACACACAAATTAGTCGGCATGGTGGTGCACGCTTGTAATCCCAGCTACTTGGGAGACTATGGCAGGAGGATCACTTGAAACCAGGAGGTGGATGGAGGTTGCAGTGAGCCAAGATCACACCACTGCCTCCAGCCTAGGCAACAGCGAGACTCTGTCTCAAAGATGATGTTTTTTCTTTTTTTAGTTGGTTATAAAAGGGCTCTGAAACTAAATTCCATGAGCTTTTGCTTAGAGGGTTTTAAATTTGGGGTCACATTATTCTTTCTTTGGAGAATTTCTTTTAGATACTGGTTAACCGTTTTCTAGTAATACAATGGAGAATTTCTTTCTTTTTCTTTTTCTTTTTTTTTTTTTTTTTTTTTTTGAGTCAGTGTCTCACTCTGTCACCTAGGCTGGAGTGCAGTGGCATAATCTTGGCTCACTGCAGCCTCTTTCTTCCAGGCTCAAGCAATTCTCTTGCCTTAGCCTCCCGAGTAGCTGGGACTACAGGCATGCGCCACCACGTCCAGCTAATTTTGTGTTTTTAGTGGAGATGGGGTTTCGCCATGTTGGCCAGGCTGGTCTAGAACTCCTGACCTCATGTGATCTGCCCGCCTCAGCGCCCCAAAGTGCTGGGATTACAGGCGTGAGCCACTGAACCCAGCTACAGTGGAGAATTCTGATGCCAGACTGATTTGTTCTTGATTTTTTTTAAGTCAGTATCTATAGGAGTTTTCACTTATATTTAAATTTTGTTATTTGCATTAGGATAAGTTTCTGAGCTGATTGATCAGTATTATCCTAACAAAAAATGTTATTAAATTACTTTTTTTTTTTGAGACAGACACTCCCTCTGTCGCTTCTGAGCTGAATGATCAGTATTACCCTAACAAACAATTTTATTAAATTACTTTTTTTTTTTTTTTTGGAGACAGAGTCTCGCTCTGTTGCCCAGGCTGGAGTGCAGTGGCATGATCTTGGGTCACTGCAATCTCCCCCTCCCAGGTTCAAGCAATTCTCCTGCCTCAGCCTCCCAAGTAGCTGGGATTATAGGCGCCGCCACCACGCCTGGCTAATTTTGTATTTTTAGTAGAGACGGGCTTTCACCATGTTGGCCACGATGGTCTCGAACTCCTGACCTCAGGTAATCCTCCCGCTTCGGCCTTCCAAAGTGCTGAGATTAGAGGCGTGAGCCACCTTGCCAGGCCTAAATTACATTTCTTAATCTTTTCTCCCAATTTTTTATTATAAAAATTTTCATACCTTGAAAAAAGTTAAAAGAACAGTACAATGAATACTCTTCACTTACGTGTGTCAGTTAACATTTTGTCACATTTGCTGTATGTCTGTCTTTATATATACATATATGTGTCTGTTATGTATATATGTATCTATATTATTCTATCATTCAAGTTTTTCCAAAAAAACAGAGCCAAGAGACTGTATCTGTATCAATATCTATCATCTATCTGTATCTCTATATAGAAATAATTCTCTCTCTCAATCTGCATATATGTTTTAAGGAATTGGCTCATGCAATGTGGGGGCTGGCAAGTCTGAAATCTGGTGGGTAGGGTGGCAAGCTGGCAACTCAGGAAGGAGTTGATGCTGCAATCTTAAGGGAGATTATTCTCCAGGAAAAACCTGTTTTTGCTCTTAAAGCCTTCAACTGATTGAATGAGGCCTCACACACATTACTGAAGGTAAATTTTATGAAGGTCAACAGATTATACGTGTTAACTAGGTTTACAAAATACCTTCACAGCATCACCTAAATTAGTGTTTGATTGAATGTTAGGTACTATAGCCTGGAAGAATATACATTTGAAATTAACTATCAGGCCAGGTACAGTGGCTCACGCTGGTAATCCCAGCACTTTGGAAAGCCAAAGCAGACGGATTGCTTGAGCCCAGGAGTTTCAGATCAGCCTTGGCAACATGGTGAAACCCCGTCTCTACTAAAAATACAAAAATTAACTCAGTATGGTGGCATGTGCCTGTAGTCCCAGCTTCTTGGGAGGCTAAAGTTGGAGAATCACTCAAGCCTGGGAGGTCAAGGCTGCAGTGAGCAGTGATCGAGACACCACACTCTAACCTAGGCAACAGAGTTAGACCTTGTTTCAAAAAAAAAAAAAGGCAAGAAATTAACCATCAAAATTATCTATAGAGGCCGGGCGCGGTGGCTCACGCCTATAATACAAATTTCGTGAACACATGCACAAATATATGTATTTATATTATATACAATGAGAGATGGAGAAATACATAGAGAAATATATATATATATTTTTTTTGAGATAAGTCTTGCTCTTGTCCCCCAGGCGGGAGTGCAATGGCGTGATCTCAGCTCACTGCAACCTCCGCCTCCCGGGTTCAAGCGATTCTCCTGCCTCAGCCTCCCAAGTAGCTGGGATTACAGGCTCCTGCCACCACGCCTGGCTAATTTTTGTATTTTTAGTAGAGACGGGGTTTCACCATGTTGGCCAGGCTGCTCTCGAACTCCTGACCTCAGGTGATCCACCCGTCTCGGCCTCCCAAAGTGCTGGGATTACAGGCGTGAGCCACTGTGCCCGGCAATCCATTACCATTATTATTGCTTTGAATATCCAAAGCGTCTCAATATGGCCAATGGGAATCCCTTGAAGAGGGATCATGGGTCCTTTTAATATGTCCTCGTCATTTTGTGATCAATTTCCTACTTTCTGGCACAGAAACTATCAAGTAGTTTCTCCTGAGGGTAGGCCCTGTTAAAAAAGAACAGAATTGACTGGGCGTGGTGGCTCACGTGTGTAAGCCACGCAAGACTCTGTCTTCCCTACCCCCCCAAAAAAAGAAAAAAAATAATGGCTATTTGTTCAAGCTTACTTTCATGTCTTTCAGGAATGTTTTAACATTTTCCTCATATAGGTTTTCACATTTCTCATTAAGTATATGTTCAAGTATTTTTTCTTTTTGTTGCTGTGTACATGCATCTTTCTTTCATTATATCATTTGACTAGTTTTTTTCAATATTTTATACTGCAGTTAATGCACATAACACAAAATTTACCATCTTAACTATTTTTAATTGTATAGTTCTGTGGTATTAAGTACATTCATATTGTGCAACCATCACCACCCTGTATCTCCAGAGCTCTTTAAATCTTGCAAAACTGAAACAATATTCCCATTAAACGATAACTCTCTATTTCCCACTCCACCTAGCCCCTGAAAACCATCATTCTACTTTTTGTCTTAATTTATGATTTTTACGATTCTAAGTACTTTATTTAAGTGTAGTCACAGTAAGTCGTCTGTCACTTAATGACAAGGATACATTCTGGGATATGTATAGTTAGGCAATTTGTTGTGTGAATATCATAGAGTGTACTTACACAAACCTAGATGGTCTAGCCTACTATACACCTAGGTTATATTGTACAGCCTATTGCGCCTAGGCTGCAAACCTATATAGCATGTTACTGTACTGAATACTGTAGGCAATTATAACACAATAGTAGGTGTCTGTGTATCTGAATCTATCTAACCATAGAAAAGGTGCAGTGCAAATGTGCTATAAAAGATTAAAAAAAAAAATTGGCTGGGCACGGTGGCTCACGCCTGTAATCCTAGAACTTTGGGAGGCCAAGGCGGGTGGACACCTGAGGTCAGGAGTTCGAGACAAGCCTGGCCAACATGATGAAACCCCGTCTCTACTAAAAAAATACAAAAAATTAGCCGGGCGTGATGGTGGGCACCTATAATCCCAGCTACTAGGGAGGCTGAGTCAGGAGAATCGCTTGAACCTGGCAGACGGAGGTTGTAGTGAGCCCAGACTGCGCCATTGCACTCCAGCCTGAGTGACAAGAGTGAAACTCTGTCTCAAAAAACAAACAAACAAAAACCAGGGCTTGGTGCGGTGTCTCACACCTGTCATCTCAGCATTTTGAGGGCCCAAGGTCAGAGGATTGCTTGAGCCCAGGTGTTTGAGACCAGCCTGGGCAACAGAGCGAAACTCTACAAACAAACAAACAAAAAATTTACAAGAAAAAAATAAAATGAAATGAAAGACTGCAGCTTAAAAAAAAAAAAAAAAGATGGCCTGGCACAGTAGCTCATGCCTGTAATCCCAGCACTTTGGGAGGCTGAGGCCGGCGGAGCACTTGAGGTCAGGAGTTTGAGACCAGCCTTGCCAACATAGAGAAACCCCGTTTCTACTAAAAATACAAAAATTAGCCAGGCATGGTGGTGCACGCCTGTAGTCCCAGCTACTCGGGAGGCTGAGGCACGAGAATCACTTGAACCTGGGAGGAGAAGTTTGCAGTGAGCCAAGATTGTGCCACTGCCCTGCAGCCTGGGCGACAGAGCAAGACTCTGGCTCAAAGAAAAAGAAGAAGGAATCAGCAATTCTTGGAATCAGTGTGTAGTACTCACTTGAGCTCTTTGAGCTCCCTGCTTCCATAGCTCACCTTTTCCGCCCTGGTGAATCTTCTCCCAGGCCAAATCTTCCTTTTTTAGTAGAGGCACTTTGACTTCATTCCGGATTTGTTTTGGATATAAGGCAGCCTTAATATAAAACCTTAAATTTCTCCTAGGATGATTAAAGACTTTTTCTGTTTTCTGGCAAATCCATTCTGATATAAAGACAAAAGTTGGCTGGGCACAGTGGCGCAAGCCTGTAATCCCAGCACTTTGGGAGGCCGAGGCAGGTGGATCACTTGAGGTCAGGAGTTCGAGACCAGCCTGGCCAACATGGTGAAACCCCATCTCTACTAAAAATACAAAAATTAGCCAGGTGTAATGGTGCATGCCTCTAATCCCAGCTACACAGAAGGCTGAGGCAGGAGAATCGCCTAAGCCCAGGAGGCAGAGATTGCAGTGAGCCAAGATGACACCACTGTGCTTTAGCCTGGGTGACAGAGTGAGACTCTGTCTCAAACAAACAAACAAACAAAACAAAACAAAAAACAGACAAAAGTTCTTCTTATCTGAATACTCTGTTTACAGAATTTACATTCTGTCTCTGACACATGTCTTTTCTGGTAAATTTATTTTTGTTTCTACCTGCACATCTGATTTAATATTTTGATCTGCATGCCTGGGTTAAATTTTTTGTGAGCACTCTGATTTTGGTTTCATTTTGGTTTATGTGTGCCTCTAAATTATTTGTTTCTTTTTCCTTCCTTGTTTCTAATAATCTCCCAAGAGCAAAAACAAACATTCTCAATGGTGGGTGCAGTATGGCTAATTAAAAATGACTAGGATGATTGCCACCATCTAAAACATTGGTCCAACTTCTGACATTCTCTAAAAGGATTTATAGGATTTTCTTTGCTCTTGAGAACTTATAAGAAATAGGATGGGATTTTCAAACATTAAGGCATACTAGGTTTTCTGAGACTCCAGCTTGCTATATTGCAGCTCATTCTCATGCACATTTTAAAACTGATGGGTAGGCCAGGCATGGTAATCCCAGCACTTTGGGAGGCTGAGGTGGGTGGATCACGAGGTCAGGAGTTCAAGACCAGCCTGACCAACATGGTGAAGCCCCGTCTCTCCTAAAAAAAAAAAAAAAAAAAAAAAAATACAAAAATTAGCCAGGCATGGTGGCACGCACCTATAATCCTAGCTACTCAGGAGGCCGAGGCAGGAGAATCACTTGAACCCGGGAGGCAGAGGTTGCAGTGAGCCATGATGGCGCCACTGCACTCCAGCCTGGGTGACAGAGCGAGACTCTGTCTCAAAAACAAACAAACAAAACAAACAAACAAACAAAAAACAAAAACTGATGGGTAAATTACATCAGTGAAAATTCAGAGCTCATATGATCATTATTTGAATACGCTAAAGAAAGTCCTGCAACTATAGAGTTGGGCCTTCAAAGTTCTCTGTCTCTTTATTTCTTTATTTTTTTTCTGCCTACTTTGAATCAGCTGACTCTTCCTCAGGTGTTGAGGTGAAACTCACTGCTTATGGCATTCTAGCCAAGATTTTTTTTTTCTTTTTTTTTTTTTGAGACAGAGTCTTGCTCAGTCTCCCAGGCTGGAGTGCAGTGGCACAATCTTGGCTCAGTGCAACCTCCCCCTCCCGGGTTCAAGTGATTCTCCCACCTCAGCTTCCCACGTAGCTGGAATTACAGGCATGTGCCACCATGCCTGGCTAATTTTTGTATTTTTAGTAGAGATGGGGTTTCACCATGTTGCCCAGGCTGGTATTATACTCCTGACCTCAAGAGACCTGCCTGCCTTGGCCTCCCAAAGTGCTGGGATTACAGACGTGAGCCACTGTGCCTGGCCACATTTTTTTTTTTTTTTGGAGATGTAGTCTCACTCTGTAACTCAGGCTGGAGTGCAGTGGCATGATCATGGCTCACTGCAGCCTTACCTCCCAGGCTCAAGCAATCCTCTCACCTCAGCTCCCAAGTAGCCAGGACTACAGGTATGTGCTACCACACCCAGCTAATTTCTGGTTTTTGGTTTTTGTTTGGTTTGGTGGAGTGGCATCTCCCCCATGTTGCCCAGGCTGGTCTTGAACTCCAGGGCTCAAGCAATCCATTCACCTTGTCTTCCCAAAGTGTTGGAATTACAGACATGAGCCACCATGCCTGGCTTAAAAGTCTTAAAGTGCTTTGAAATTAATGGCTTTATAAATTACAACAACTCCATGACAACCAACAACCAGGAGACTGTTTGAAAATGTAAAAGTAGGTTTGCCTGACTAACAATTGCTTAGGGTAATAGAACAGTTAATTGAAGGATTGATATCCTAAAAAAAAAAAAAAGAACTAGATAATAAATATTTATAAAAGTTAGAATCTTAGATTAAACAGATTGAAATCTTGAGTTCAGAGCAATAATAATAAATCTCTGTCCAGCATAAACATTGTTTTGTCTGCCACACAGAGGCTAAAACAAGCAAAAGCCAATGGAAAAAAACTGCTAAAATGTTTCCCTGCCTGCATTGACTAGTCAAGCAAGCCAGACCAGTAAACAAAAGAAAGATTTGTTACGAATTCAAGGCCACTTGGAGATTTTGTATTTCTTACACAATTCAGCCAGTTTCAACTAAAATGTAAACATTTAAATATTTAACCCTAAACTCATTTGAAACTGTTAAAAGAGTAAAAAGTGTTTGTTTTTAATTGAAACTTCTATGGGAACTGTTTTGCCCAAAATTTTGGTTCACAGCCTTCATTAGGTTACCTTTCAGGTCAAATAAAAACTGAGCCATGTGAACAGGTCCCATTTTGTCAAAAAGTAATTTGGATCCAACTGTCTTTTTTGAACTCATGTTTGTTTTACTATCTTATGACTAAAATTCTAAAACGAAAGCTATCAGAGCCTTGTGTGTGTATATGTGTTTAGGTATGTTTATGTACATGCATATGTATTATGTTATATGTTGTGTTTACATGGTAAAATATGGCATTATCAAAGTTCCCTTAAGAAATTCTATTCAGATTGGCTTAGATAAATGAGCATTCAAGTAACATATATAATAATTAACTCAATGCCTTTTAATTAATGTGACAAGTAAATTTTGACAAAGAAGCTGATTTTAAATTTGGTAGTAGAATAAAAATAAAAATATCTTCGGAATTTTCAGTATACATTTTTGCCTGGATTTACTGGTCAGACAGTTTTATATTTGTTCCCACTAGATGTTTTAACTGTAAGGGCTTGTCACAAAAGTTATCAAACTATAAATTAAACCTAAAAACAGAATAGTCTTGTGCAATATTGTTGGTATAATGAAAATAACTGTATCAGGCTGGGCGTGGTGGCTCACACCTATAATCCTAGCACTTTGGGAGGCCGAGGCGGGCGGATCACCTGAGGTTGGGAGTTCGAGACCAGCCTGACCAACATGGAGGCAACCCATCTCTACTAAAAATACAAAATTAGCTGGGCATGATGGTGCATTCCGGTAATCCCAGCTACTCGGGAGGCTGAGGCAGGAGAATCACTTGAACCCGGGAGGAGGAGGTTGCAGTGAGCCGAGATCATGCCATTGCACGCCAGTGTAGGCAATAAGGGCAAAACTCCGCCTCAAAAAAAGAAAAGAAAAGAACTGTAACTTCTGAGTTGTAGGCAAAATACCTATATATTTAAATTTAAGGTTCTTAGGTGAACACCTGATGGTCACACTCTATAAAAATGGTTAACAGGGAAACAACTTGAAAAGATGACTAGTTTTATCTAATATATCAGTTTTCCTAACTAATCTAGGTATAATTGTTATAACAATTACAAATAGATTAATTAGGTAAATGTATATGAGATAAATGTTAATAAATTAAGTTTCCATGTAACTTGAAATCTTAATGTTATGTTAAATTAAGTGATAGGTACTCATAAATATCCAGATCATTTCCAAGTTTTGGGGCTCAAGCAATCCTCCTACTTAGCCTCCTGAGTAGCTGGGACTAACGCATGTGCCACCATGCCTGGCTAATTTTTTAAATTTTTTGTAAAGATGGGGTCTCATTTTGTTATCCAGGCTGGTCTTAAACTCCTGGCTTTAAGCAATCCTCCCACCTTGTCCTCCCACAGTGCTGGGATTATAGGAATGAGCCATTATGCCCAGCTGGGAAACATGTTTCTAAAATTATGAAATGGTAGCTTACGCCTGTAATCCCAGTGCTTTGGGAGGCTGAGGTGGGCAGATCACCTGGGTCAGGAGTTCGAGATTAGCCTGGCCAACATAGTGACACCCCATCTCTACTAAAAATACAAAAAAAAAAAAAAATTAGCTAGGCATGGTGGCGCATGCTTGTAATCCCAGCTATTTGGGAGGCTGAGACAGGAGAATCGCTTGAACCTGGGAGGCAGAGGCTGCAGTGAGCTGAGATCACACCACTGAACTTCAGCCTGGGTGGCAAGAGCAAAACTCTGTCTCAAATAAATAAATACATAAATAAAAATAAAAATTATGAAATGGTTCTCATCTATGAAATACTGATATGTGACAGTTCAAAATCTCTTGCTAGAAAAAAAAAACAGATAGCTGGCATGGTGGCAGGCACCTGTTATCTCAGCTACTTGGGAGGCTGAGGCAGGACAATTGCTTGAACCCAGGAGGCGGAGGTTGCAGTGAGCTAAGATCATGCCACTGCACTCCAGCCTGGGTGACAGTGAGACTCCGTCTTAAAAAAAAAAAAAAGTTATTGCTAGAAACTGAGGTTACTAAGAATTAAAAATTCATATATGTATAAATGTGTGTGTATTATAGATATAGATAGATAGATATAATTCTGTATATAAAACATACCAAAAAAAATTAGATTTTTTTTTTTTAGTCAAAGTCTCTTTCTGTCACCCAGGCTGGAGTACAGTGGCACGATCTTGGCTCACTGCAACCTCCACCTCTCAGGTTCAAATGATTCTCCTGCCTCAGCTTCCTGAATAGCTGGGACTACAGGTGCCTGCCACCATGCCTGGCTAATTTTGTATTTTTAGTAGACACAGGGTTTCATCACATTGGCCAGGCTGGTCTTGAACTCCTGACCTCTAGCAATCCGCCTGCCTCAGCCTCCTAAAGTGGGATTACAGGCGTGAGCCACTGCACCTGACCAGATGTGTTTTTAATTATAAAACTTATAAGAAAGGCATTAAAAACTGTGTTTTTTGTTGTTGTTGTTGTTGTTGTTGTTGTTGTTGTTGTTTCTTGAGATGAACTCTAGCTTTGTTGCCCAGACTGGAGTAGAGTCGTGTGATCACAGCTCACTGCAACTTCTGCCTCCTAGGTCCAGGCGCTTCTCCTGCCTCAGCCTCCTGAGTAGCTGGGATTACAGGCACCTGCCACCATGCCTAGCTAGTTTTTGTATTTTTTGTACAGACAGGGTTTTGCTATGTTGGCCAGGCTGATCTGGAACTCCTGATCTCAAGTGATCCACCTGCCTTGGCCTCCCAAAGTGCTGGGATTACAGGCATGAGCCACCACACCCAGCCAAAACTGTGTTCTTTATTGAGAAAACTAAAACTCTTTTCAAATCAGAGTTTATTTAAAAGTTGTTTCAAAATATGTGCTTAGGAAAGGAATAGAAAGAAGATAGAAAGAAAGCAGTTAAGTAGGAAGGAAATGTAAAGAAAGTTATAGGGAGGAAAAAGTATTTTGGGCAGGAAGGTTAAAAAGAAAAGAGGATAATTTTGTATGAGAAAGAATCTTATGTGGTCAGTTTTTGTCCTAAAGTAAAATGACTAGTTATTTAGAAAAGAGGAAGTATTGGAAAAAGCAGAAATTCTAAGCATGTCATTTAAGGTCTGTGCAGGTTGTAAAAGATCACAAATAATGGATTTATGAAAGAAATTCTGTGTGTAACCAAGTTGACTACAATAAGAAGGCAATTATTTGTCTTTTAAAGATTGAACTTTAATATTAAAAATACACTGGGCCAGGCGTGGTGGCTCACACCTGTAATCCCAGCACTTTGGGAAGGTGAGGTAGGTAGATCACCTGAGGTCGGGAGTTTGAGACCAGCCTGACCAACACGGAGAAACCCCATCACTACTAAGAATACAAAATTAGCCAGGCACAGTGGCACATGCCTGTAATCCCAGCTACTCGGGAGGCTGAGGCAGCAGAATCGCTTGAACCTGGGAGGCGGAGGTTGCGGTGAGCAGAGATCACCCCATGGCACTCCAGCCTGGGCAACAAAAGCGAAACTCCATCACACACACACACAAACACACACACGCACACACGAAAACACTGATACAACTAAAAATTTGGTCTCCTATGTTAGAACAATAATCTTTTCTCGAAATACTGATCTGCTGTTAGTAAAATTTGCAAGAGGCTTTGATTTTTAATTCTCTGCACATTTTTTGTTTTACATTTACATTTAATTTTCTTAATTCAAGGTTTAAACTGCTGTCTTTTTTATTTAAAATGGTAATTTCCACTTTGAGAGGCTGAGGCAGGTGGATCACTTGAGGTCAGGAGTTCGAGACCAGCCTGGCCAACATGGTGAAACCCCATCTCTACTAAAACTACAAAAAATTAGCCAAGCATGGTGGTGGGTGCCTGTAGCTACTCAAGAGGCTGAAGCAGGAGAATCGCTTGAACCTGGGAGGCAGATATTGCAGTGAGCTGAGATTGCACCACTGCACTCCAGCCTGGGTGACAGAGCGAGACTCTGTCTCAAAATAATAATAATAATAATAATGAAATAGTAATTTCATTTCTTGGGGTAGAGTTTTCCTCTTGGAGTTCCTCAAATTCATACCTCAGAAGTTCAAAGTTTGTGGTATCCTGCTACACAATTTGCAGGTCATGCATCATTGCCATCAGCTCTTCTTTCTCCCCTTCAGAAGCTATATATTTTTGCTCAACTTGGGTAATAACTCTCTTTTAACTCTTTAGTTAGCTCCTGTAACTTTTTTCTCCAGTTCTAACTCTGCTGTTATAACCTGACACTGAAATGTTCTGATGTTCTGTCTTAAAGTCTTAGAAAAGCAATATTTTTCTTCACTGTAAGTTGGTTTGTGTACTCTTGGCTTTTTTCTTTCTTTCTTTCTTTTTTTTTTTTTTGAGACAGAGTTTCCCTCTTGTCACCTAGACTGGAGTGCAGTGGCGCGATCTCGGCTCATGCAACCTCTGCCTTCCAGTTTCAAGTGATTCTCCTGCCTCAACCTCCCGAGTACCTGGGATTACAGGTGCCCGCCACCACACCTGGCTAATTTTTGTATTTTTAGTAGAGACGGGGTTTCACCATGTTGGCCAGGCTGGTCTCGAACTCCTGACCTCATGATCCACCCACCTTAGCCTGCCAAAGTGTTGGGATTACAGGCGTGAGCCACTGCGCCTGGCCCTCTTGGCTTTTTTCCATGTATCTGAATTGTTTCATGTAACCAAGAAATTTCTCATGGTTTTACTAAGAGCCACGTATTCCTCTGCTCAAGATACTAGTTCTTATTTATATTTTTCTTTCTTTCTTTCTTTTTTTTTTTTTTTTTGAGACGGAGTCTCACCCTGTCACCCAGGCTGAAGTGCAATGGCGAGATCTCGACTCACTGCAACCTCTGCCTCCCAGGTTCAAACAGTTCTCCTGCCTCAGCCTCCTGAGTAGCTGGAATTACAGGTGCCCGCCACCACGCCCAGCTAATTTTTGTATTTTCAGTAAAGATGGGGTTGACCCCATGTTGGTCAGGCTGGTCTCGAACTCCTGACCTCAGGTGATCCACCTTCCTCAGCCTCCCAAAATGCTGGGATTACAGGTGCGAGCCACCACACCCGGCCACATTTTTGTATAATATGCTGTATACATATAACCTTGGACACATATGTTTCCCGTGTTTGATTGAATTCAAGTACCTTCTCATCAGGTATGACTTTCAGGTTGTTGCAAGCTCGGATAAATGAGCTTCCAGTAAGGAGAAGCCTTAAAAAAGAAAGATTTTACATTTTGTCAAGATAATTTCCTGTTATATTTATTAGATTTTTTTGAGCTTTGAAAGGGTTAAGGATTTTACATCCACGTTATTTTCTGTATTGCTTTTTAAGTCTTTGATATCACTCTGGTTAAATGAATGAGTATTATTTCACAATGGCCTGTGGTCATGTTTTCATCAAGTGTTTTGAAGCTTTTGAATCCTTGGCAGACTTCTCTAAGATCAAAATTCTATAGTTTCTTTTTGATCTAGAGTTAACTTTGGCACCTTCCAGTTGAACCCCTGCAGAGTTTTAAAGGATAGTCCCGCTGTGCCTCCTCGCTGCCCTTGCTCCCTCCGTGCTGCCCTTGCTCCCTCCCAACCTGCGGCTGCCCCGGCTGCCTGCACCCCCAGCAGCACCATGACAGATCAGGCCTTTGTGACACTGACCACGAATGATGCCTACACCAAAGGTGTCCTGGCCCTGGGGTCATCTCTGAAACAGCACAGGACCACCAAGAGACTGGTCATACTCACCACCCCTCAGGTCTGAGACTCCATGAGAAAAGTTTTAGAGACAGTCTTTGATGAAGTCATCATGGTAGATGTCTCAGACGGCACAATTCTGCTCATCTAACCTTAATGAAGAGGCCAGAGTTGGGTATCACGCTGACAAAGCTCCACTGCTGGTTGCTTACACAGTATTCAAAATGTGTATTTATGGATGCGGATACTCTGGTCCTAGCAAATATTGATGATCTTTTTGAGAGAGAAGAATTGTCAGCAGGACCAGACCCAAGGTGGCCTGACTGCTTCAATTCCGAAGTCTTCGTTTATCAGCCTTCAGTTTAAATATATAATCAGCTGTTGCATCTTGCTTCTGAGCAAGGTAGTTTTGATGGTGGGGACCAAGGCTTACTGAACACATTTTTTTCTTTTCTTTTCTTTTCTTTTATTTTGAGACTGAGTCTCGCTCTGTCTCCCAGGCTGCAGTGCAATGGCGCAATCTCAGCTCACTGCAACCTCCACCTCCCAGGTTCAAGCGATTCTCCTGCCTCAGCCTCCCAAGTAGCTAGTATTAAAGTATTAAAGGCACCCGCCATCATTCCTGGCTAATTTTTGTATTTTCTTTTTTTTTTTTGAGACAGAGTCTCAATCTGTTGCCCAGGCTGGAGTGCAGTGGTGCGATCTTTGCTCACTGCAACCTCCGCCCCCTGGGTTCAAGCAATTCTCCTGCCTCAGCCTCCCAAGTAGCTGGGATTACAGGCACCTGCCACCGCTCTCGGCTAATTTTTGTATTTTTAGTAGAGACGGGGTTTCACCATCTTGGCCAGGCTGGTCTTGAACTCCTGACCTCATGATCCACCCGCCTTGGCCTCTCAAAGCACTGGTGTGTCCGGAGTTGGTTCCTGCCGGTGGGTTCGTGGTCTTGCTGACTTTAAGAATGAAGCCACAGACTTTCGCAGTGAGTGTTACAGCTCTTAAAGATGGCACGGACCCAATGAGTGAGCAGTAGCAAGGTTTATTTTGAAGAGCAAAAGAATAAAGCTTCCACAGCGTGGAAGGGGACCCGAGTGGGTTGCCACCACTGGCTAGGGTGGCCAGCTTTTATTCCCTTATTGTCCCCTCCCATGTTCCATTTCTGTCCTATCAGAGTCCCCTTTTTTTTCAATCCTCCCTGCGATTGGCTACTTTTAGAATCCTGCTGATTGGTGCATTTTACAGAGTGCTGATTGGTGCGTTTTACAGAGCACTGATTGGTGCATTTTATAATCCTCTTGTAAGACAGGAAAATTCCCCAAGTCCCCACTTGACCCAGGAAGTCCAGCTGCCCTCACCTGTCAATCCCCCCTCTAAACAGAATACCTCAACTGCTGTTGGGAATTAGGCAATGACCGCTCTAGCTACTTCCTGCTAGATAGGGGCAAAGAAGGGACCCTGCAGTTGTAGTGTCCTCCAGAGGGGAACTCTCTAGGCCAGTCAAAGGGCCAGTGGGTTGATCCAGGGGTCCTCGGTAGAAGTTGTGAGTTGAGCTCATTTGGGGTTCCATTTGTAAGACCATCTGTAGCTTGATGGCCTCAATCCTGGAGGAAACAAATTTGACAAGGAGGTTAAAAATACAGGGCCCAAAGGCGAGTAATAGCAAGAAGGCTGTCACGGGACCTAGAAAGGGGAGAAGCCATGTTGCCCAACTCCAGAGGTTGGTATAAGAGTTTGAAAGGCATTGTCTGATTTCAGAAGCCTTTTCCTGTAAATGCCAGGCAGCGTCTTGCACTATCCCTGACTGGTTAGTGTAAAAACAACACTCTTCCCCTAAGAAGGTGCAAAGTCCTCCTTTCTCAGCAGCGAGGAGGTATAGGCCTTGGTGGTTTTGGAGAGTCACTGCTGCCAAAGAGTCTATTTGGGATTGTAGAGTAAGGATAGATTTTGTTATTTCTTGCAAACTGTCTGAGAAATCCTTTGAGCGTGTGTGGTAGTAGGATAGTGAAGTAGATAAACTGGCTATTCTGGTTCCTGTAGCAGTGGCCATTCCTAACCCTATAAGTAGGGGTATTAGTTATATGGCCCTGTACTGATGGGCTTGAGCCTTGAGGGGCACTGATAGGGTCTGATTTCCTGGGGCAATGTCAATGTTGGGACTTAGGAAGACTAAGGTGCAGGTGCCTGTCCAGTTGGTGGGGAGGCAGATATAGGTTGAAGTTCCACATAAGAGGAATATGCCTTGGCTGGTTGTGTATGTTTAAAAAGTGTGTGAGTTTGTTGTTTTCATTTTCCCATACTCCTAGAGTACTTGCCAAGGTAGCTCTGGTGAGCAGCTAGAAAGGGGTATTGGGAGCAAACTGAGTGACTTTCTGTGTTCTATTTTCCCATTGGAGAAAAAAACATTTTATATCTACTAGGAATCATTCAAGAGAGTGATTGAAAGAGGGGATAAGAAGACATTCACTAGTGGTGGGGGCGCTGCTGCAGGGGCTCCAGGGGTGAATGGTCATGCAGGGAGTATGTTTGCCATTACAAAACCTAGACTGTTTGTTAAGCAGGGAGGTGGTGATGATTTTGGGGCAAACTGAGAAGTGGACAAGCCATCTGAATGGAGCTGTTTGGGTGACTCAGAAGTTACTATGATCAGTTGGGGCTTAAAGTTGTAGGGTGTAGTTACACTGAAGGGATAGTAGGTGCCCCATTTTGTGAGGAGAATTTTGGTTTCTCAACAAGGCCATGGGCAAGACAGTAGGCCATGGGAGACGAGTTTCTTGTGTTAGTTTCCTTAAGTGCCTCTTAAGTGTTTCATTTGCCTTGTCAACCTTCCCTGAGGATTGTGGCCTCCAGACACAGTGAAGGTGATATTGTATCCCTAGGGCCCTGGAAATTCCCTGAGTTATCATGGCTTTAAAGGCTGTACCATTGTCACTTTGTAAGCTTTGGGGAAGCCCAAATCCAGGAATTATTTCATGAATTAGGACTTTAACCATTTCCCGAGCCTTTGTCTGTCTTGCAGAGGAAGGCTTGTATCCAATTTGTAAAGGTATCAACACAGACCAACAAGTATTGAAATCCCCTTGACTTAGACATATGGGTGAAGTCTAACTGCCAGTCCTCTGCAGGATAGCGCCCTATTCTTTGTTTCCCCAGAGGGGCCTTACGATGGACCAAGGGATTATTCCTTTGTCACACCTCACAGGCTTTGACTACTTGCTGGATGGTCTGGAGGAGATTTGGCCCTATAATTAGGGATTTGGCCCTTTGATGAGTATTCTCAATACCCATATGAAAAGTTTGGTGGAGGGACTTAAGTATTTTCCACTGGCTGGCTTCAGGTATGAATACCTTTCCCTCTTCTGTCATTAACCACCCAGAGGGGAGAAAACTATGGCCCCATGAAATTCCCCATTCTGTTTTGGTCGGGGAATACTGCAGCTTAATCTCTTGGAGAGGGTTGTTCCATACCAAGGGTCCTTCCGTAGGTATTTCTAATGGGAGGTTCCGCTTGGCAGCAATTTTGGCCTCAGCGTCTGCCCAACAGTTTCCTTCTGCCTTTTCTTCTTCACCTTTTTGATGGCTTTGGCACTGTAAGACAGCCACCTCCTTGGGTTTTTGCACTGCGTGCAATAACTCCATGATATCCTTGTGGTATTTAATGGGGATTCCCCCAGAGGTTACGAACTCCCTTTCTTTCCATATTGCAGCATGGGCATGTAGGATTAGATAAGCATACTTGCTATCTGTATACACATTTATTCTTTTTTTCTTTCCCAGTTCTAAGGCTCGGGTAAGCACCACTAGTTCTGCTAACTGGACATAGGTCCCTGGGGGAAGAGGCTTACTTTCAAGTACTGTTACATCACTAACTATGGCATAACCCGCCCTTTGTATCCTATTCTCCACAAATGAACTTCCATCAGTATATAGGTTAAGGTCAGGATTAGCTAAGGGGACTTCTAAGAGATCCTCTCAGACGGCATAAGTCTGGGCTACAATTTGTTGGCAGTCATGCTCGATTGATTCCCCATCCTCTGGGAGAAAAGTGGCAGGGTTGAGGGTCACACAAGTGCATATTTGAAGCACTGGTCCCTCAAGGAGTAGTGCCTGGTATCTAAGCAGGCGGTTAAACTTCTTTTGGCACCTAGTATGCCATTTACATCATGAGTAGTCCAGTTGGTGAGATCCTTTCCTTGTATTATTTTGATAGCCTCTGATACTAAGATGGCCTCCGCCGCAACTACCCATAAACAGTAAGGCCAGCCTTTTGCTACTACATCAATTTCCTTACTTAGGCATGCCACTGGTTGTGGGGTTGTCCCACTAGTCTGAGTAAGGACTCCAAGAGCTATCCCTGCTCTCTCTGTGATGTATAAAGAGAAGTTTTTTCCTGTGGGAAAGCTTAAGGCTGGAGTTTGTACTGGGGCCTGATTTAAGGTTTTGAAGGCTGTTTCTGCCTCTGGTTCCCATTCTCCTAGATGAGTATTTGCCCTCTGGGTCTCCTTGATTAGAGTATAGAGTGGCCTGGCCATCTCATTGTATCCAGGGATCCATAGTTGGCAAAAGCCGGTGCTTCCAAGGAACCCCCGCAACTGTTTTAATGTCTTAGGGCAAGGATAAGCCAGTATAGGCTGAATTCATTATTTGCTGAGGGCCCTGGTTCCTCTGGCTAAGATTAGGCCTAGATATTTGACTTGTAGGCAGATCTGGGCCTTTGATTTAGACACCTTGTACCCTTGATTAGCTAGAAAGTTCAAGAGATCTAGAGTAGCCTGCTGGCATGAGGCTTCCGAACTGGTAGCCAAATGTAAATCATCCACACACTGAAGGACCAGAGTGCCTGGACTTGAGAAGTAGCCTAGATCTTGGGCCAGTGCCTGACCAAACAGATGAGAGCTTTCCCTAAACCCTTGAAGAAAGACCGTCCACATAAGTTGGGATGTGTGGTCTGTGGGATCCTCAAATGCAAAGAGAAACTGGGAGTCAGAGTGCAGGGGAATGCAGAAGAAGGTATCCTTGAGGTCCAGAACAGTGAACCATTCTCCTTCCTCTGGTGTTTGAGAGAGTAGGGTATAGGGGTTGGGTACAGCTGGACATAGAGGAATTACTGCCTCATAAATGAGTCTAAGATCTTGCACTAGTCTCCACTGACCATTCAGTTTTTGTGCTCCTAAAATTGGGGTTGCAGGAACTGCTGCATTCCTTACTAACCCTTGAGCTTTTAAATGTCAACAATATCCTGTAATCCTTTATGAGCTTCAGGCCGGAAGGGTATTGCCTTTGATAAGGAAAAGTGGTGAGGTCTTTTAGCCTGATTTGAACTGGGGTGGGGGGCATTTTTTGCCTTTCCAAATTGTCCTTCCAATGCCCAGACTTCAGGGTTGATTCCCTCCTCCAGTAGGGGACAACTAATGGGTAACTTGTCCCCCATATTCATGTAGCTAATAGCTCCAGCTTTGGCCTAATAAGGGTGTGGGACTTTCAGGCATAAAAAGAAAGGCATGTGAAAAGAGCAAAGTCTTCCAATTACAACCAAGGAGGTGGGAGAAATACCTGGTTACAGACTGTCCCAGGATTCCTCAGATGGTAACGGACTGTGAGGACAGCTGTCCGGGTCAGGAGATTAACACTGAGAAGGCTGTGACAGTGTCCGAGAGGAAGTCAATTTCCTGGCCCTCAATGGTTAAACTTACCCAGGGCTCAGTGAGGGTGATGACATGAGCTGGCACTTGCCCCAGTTACCTTCAGTCCTGTTGTTGGATCATCTGGTTGGGGGCTTCGGGCCCAGAGAACACTTGTCCTCTGGGGCAGTGTGCCTTCTAGTGATTGCCTTAACATACTGGACATGGGTGAGGGGGTGGCTTGTTTCTCATTGGAGAATCTTTTTTAAAGTGTCCCTTCAAACCACACTGATAACAAGCCCTACTGGGTGATTGGCCTGCTCCATTTTCTGTCCTGTCTGAACCACCAATGTTTGTTTGTCAGAGGGCCATGACTAAGGCTGCAGCCTTTCTCTTATCTTGCTTTTCCTTTTCGGCCTGTTCCTTTTGGTCCTTGTTATAGAACACTGAGGTTGCCAGGTTTAATAATTCCTCCAAATTTTGTTCAGGGCCCAGGGCTAGCTTTTGTAGCTTTCTCCTGATATCTGTGGTTGATTGGGTAATAAACTTATTTTTTAGGATCAATTGACCCTTGAGGGAGTCGGGTGACAGGGAAGTATATTTTCTTAAGGCCTCCCATAGCCACTCGAGAAAGGCAGTAGGATTTTCTTCCTTTCTCTGAGTTATGGCGGACATCATTGAATAATTCATGGGCTTTTTCCTAATTCTTCTTAGTCCTTCTAGAACACAGGTCAACAGATGTTTGCAAATCCAGTCCCCATGATCTGAGTCAAGGTCCCAGTGGGGATTCATACTGGGGACGGCTTGCTGATCGGTAGGGAATTTGTCCCTTTCTTCAGCTGTCATTCTATCATTTACTCGACTAAGATACCAGGTATCTTCAAACTGTCAGGCTGCAGCTAAAGCCGCATTCTTTTCATTAAAGGCCAGGGTTTGATCTGACAGTAGCATGTTATCTCTCCAAGTAAGGTCAAAGGTTTGCCCTAGACCCTGTAGGACATCTATATACCTATCAGGATCATCTGAAAACTTCCCCAGATCTACCTTGATCTGCTTTAAATCAGAGAGGGAGAAGGGGACGTGTACCCGGGTTGGGCAAAATTCCCCTCCCCCTACAGCTTGAAGGGCACATAACCAATAGCCCAGGGGTTTTTGTGGTCCCTTGGAGATTTCTTTGCTTGTTTCCTTCTGGGTGGGAGAGATTAGAGGAGGCTGATCATTAATAGGAAGGGGACCTGTAAGGAAGCTAGGATGTAGGGGTAAGCTGAGAGGTCCTCCTGTGGAATGTAGATTGCAAGCTTTGTGTAGTTGTGGATTATCCTTCAATGAAAAGAAAGTTTGGACATAAGGTATTTCACTCCATTTGCTTTCCCTCTTACAGAAAAGGTCAAGCTGCAGGATAGTATTGTAATTTATACTTCCCTCAGGTGGCCATTTTTCCCCATCAGAGAGAAAATATTGGGGCCAGGCTGTAGTGCAGACAAAAATAAGCCACTTCTTTTTCAGGGTTTATGGGCCAAATTGGTGCCAATGGCTTAGGATGCATTTCAAGGGTGAGCTTGTTGATGCCTGAGTGTTTCCCATCTAAAACAGAAAGAAAAAACCACCCGTGGTTTTTGTCTGTTTTTCCCCCCACCCAAGAACCCACAACAGTCCCTGGACCCTGCCGTTTGGAATAGTTGCGCTCACTGAAGCAGCAGTGGAAACCCTTGTTTTCCTCCTACAAAGAGGAAGGTCAGATTTAGTGGCCCTTACCGACACATTCTTGAAAACCTGTACACTTGCCTTTCCTCTTAGACCACAAGAGGACTGAGAAAGGTCAGATTTAGTGGCCCTTACTGATGCATTCTTGAAAACCTGTTAGAGTCCTAAGTGTTTTTTCCTGTTGTTATTGGGACCTTACCCTTGTCCTATAAAGATGACATGCCTCAAAATGGAGTGGAGGGCCATAACTTGAGGGAGGGAAGGGATCTCCAGGGTTGGAAGGGTGACGCCTTTTGTTCTCACTTCTCATCATATGAATAGGAAGCATATCCCCCCAATTTAGGAGTCTATAATTTCTGAGGCTCCCCATATGCTAGCTTTGGGAATAGCCTTTGTTAGTTCTGCTAGTCTGAGGAGGGATCCTAAAAGGATAGACGGTATTCCAGATAGTCCCCCCTGACGGGGCTCTGGTCAAAAATTATGTGCCCCAGGGTGCTTATTTCCCATTGAACAATTTGGGTTCTTTCTGATTGGTGAGCCTGGGTGCCTAAAGAAGGGAACAGAGTCCCAAAATCTATATTAGAAATCATCCTTATAGAAGAAACTAGGGAGTGATTTTCAGAAGCAGGACTAGCCTCAGAGAAGAGAGGCAACAGGAAGTTTGTCTGACAGGCGTTAGGACCCAGGAGGCAATGGTCATGATAGATAGGATAGATAGGCGAGTCTCACTTGGGTGACGTAACTTTGAGAGCTCTGCTCAGGGCTGCAGGGACAACCAACTTCTTCTTGGGACCCCAGAGCTGAATGGCTTTCCTCTCTGTTGACCCTCAGCTCAGCCTAGAAGTGCAGGAAAAGTGGAAGCTGGTTCCAGGCAAACCAACGCTCCTGATTCCGAAGAGTCGGGGGTTGTTGAAGAGCCCTTTCCCAGATAGCCTGAAACCCATGTCTTTAGTCTGGCAGCGCACTAGTCACTTTTAACTGGCCAACAGGTGCCCGGTGTTTAGCTCCTGAATTCTAAGGAAAAATAGGACAGAATAGCAAGTGAAAGGGGTCCGATGGTACCCAGACCATTGCATTGCAACATCGCAGACGAGCCCCCAAGATGTGTCCAGAGTTGTTTCCTGCCAGTGGGTTCGTGGTCTCACTGACTTCAAGAATGAAGCCGTGGACCTTCGCACTGTGTGTTACAGCTCTTAAAGATGGCACGGACCCAAAGAGTGAGTGGTAGCAAGATTTATTGTGAAGAGCAAAAGAACAAAGCTTCCACAGCATGGAAGGGGACCCAAGTGTGTTGCCACTGCTGGCTGGGGTGTCCAGTCCTTATTCCGTTATCGTCCCCTCCCATGTTCCATTTCTGTCCTATCAGAGTGCCCTTTTTCCAATCCTCCCCATGATTGGCTACTTTTAGAATCCTGCTGATTGGTGCATTTTACAGAGTGCTGACTGGTGCGTTTTACAGAGTGCTGATTAGTGCATTTTACAGAGTGCTCATTGGTGCGTTTTATAGAGCACTGATTGGTGCATTT
The DNA here is from genome assembly GCF_000001405.40 of Homo sapiens. Taxonomy (NCBI): domain Eukaryota; kingdom Metazoa; phylum Chordata; class Mammalia; order Primates; family Hominidae; genus Homo; species Homo sapiens. Next base: position 73,906,100 of record NC_000008.11, on the reverse strand, counting down.
TACAATCCTCTTGTAAGATAAGAAAGTTCCCCAAGTCCCCACTTGACCCAGGAAGTCCAGCTGGCCTTACCTCTCACTGGGATTACAGGTGTGAGACACCGTGCCTGGCCAAATTTTGTATTTGTGTAGAGACTGGGTTTCATCATGTTGGCCAGGCTGGTCTTGAACTTCTGACCTCAGGTGATCCACCCGCCTTGCCCTCCCAAAGTGCTGGGATGACAGGCATGAGCCACTGCACCCAGCCTGAACACATTTTTTAGCAGCTGGGCAACAACAGATATCAGAAAACACTTGCCATTTATTTATAACCTAAGCAGCATCTCTATATACTCCCATCTCCCAGCATTTAAAGTGTTTGGTGTAAGTGCCAAAGTTGTGCATTTCCTGGGACAAGTCAAACCATGGAATTATATATATGATCCCAAAACAAAAAGTGTCAAAAGTGATTCCCATGATCCCAACATAACTTATCCAGAGTTTCTCATCCTATGGTGGAACATGTTTACCAGCAACGTTTTACCTCTGCTTCAACAATTTGGCCTTGTCAAAGACACCTGCTCATATGTAAATGTGGAAGATGTCTCTGGAGCCATATCACATCTGTCCCTTGGCGAGATCCCAGCTATGGCACAGCCTTTTGTATCCTCAGAAGAATGGAAGGAGCAGTGGGAACAGGGCCAGGCTGATTATATGGGAGCAGATTCCTTTGACAACATAAAAAGGAAACTTGACACCTACCTCCAGTAGAAACACTGCATTTTCCTGTGGATGCATCCACTTCACAAGCCTTGTTTCAAATACTAAGTATCTAGAGCTGGGCTGAGAAAGTCTGTTACAGTTGGCAGAGGTTTTCACTAAAATTTATCAGATGAGAGGTTTTTGTAGGACAACAGGTGAGAACTGGGCAAAAGTTGTGAAGCAGCAATTCTGTTATATGGACAGTGTTCTGCTTTTTAATCCTATTTAGCTCATTTCAGAAATTCTCACTTTTGTTGATTGCCAACATACAAGGTAAGGGAAACTTAATATTAAGCTGTTAAGATGACTATAACAACTCTTAAAATCTGCAGAGCCTGGTTCCCAATCAGTCATGCCCTTTGGAAGCAGACATGGCATCTGTCCCTTGCTTGCTTGCTGGTTGTACCTACTTTTCATTAGACCTGCATTTTAGAATTGTCCAGTGCTGCCAGAGTCAGTAATTGTAGTTTTGCTTTCAGGTAAAGATAGCCTATATTAACACTATTGAGTGATTCATAAACGTATCAACAAATAGCATTCACTCATTTTATTTCCTGCTCTTAGTGTCTGAAGATGTTCACCAGTTTTCTATGTACAGTAAGATACCATAGACACCATGCTAAAATGCTTTTGTTCAGTTCTGTTTATTTGAAAATAGCAGTGTGTTCTCTGATGGTTACCTGTGGTGGCACCCTGTATGAAAAATGAAGAAAAATAAAATAAAGGATGTATCTCTCATTTTGTAGAGATGTTAAATAATTAAGCTTGTTTGATGTATTAAATTTATAGAAAGTCATTATTACTGTCAAATAATAAGTCATACTAGATTTTTTTCAGTTACATTTATGGGTATATTATTGATATAAATTTTCTAGAGTAATATAGAATTCTTAAAAGTCTAGTATATCATCAGTCATAATTTTGGTTATTAGGTTGTATGTCTCAAAAATGAGTACATTTACTTGTCAATTGCTGATTATAATGAATGTTCATCAGATTTTAAACATGGCTAGTCTGTCTCTATCATCCATGGTTTTGATTTTTCTCTAGTGGCATCTAATCAGATTCATGGAAAAGATTCTAACAAGTATTCCTAAGACAAGTTTCTAACAACTTTAAGATCAATAGACTAAATAAAAGTTTTCCAAAACTCTGATAAATTCACAAAACTGCTAATTAAGATCAAAGGAAACAAAAATTAATTTCATGAAATTGAATAACTGATGAAGATAATGTTTTTATGACTTTTATTTTAAAACTTGGTTTTTTACTTAAACTTTTTGTTTTCCAGATTTAAATAAATTTTCTTTTAAGCTATCTATAGTTTACAGCAATTTGGTAAAGTATACTTTTTGTGAACAAAGGTGGAAGCATGTGCTTTTTCTCCCTACTTGATCCCTCCAAAATTCAGAAGTTATTTGTGAGTTTTCTTATGGCAATATGGTTATTTGCATAAGTTCAGTAAAAATCTGTTCTCTCTTTATAACAGGATACCATTGGAAATATGGGTTATATTACCAATGCCTTGACTAAAATATCGTATTTAAAAGCGTGAATAGAATACCTGGTTTCAAGAGTTCTCAGCCTTACAGTGACATGAGTAAACTCTTATCACTTCCTGGCAGGCCCAGGAACCTTCACACTGGAGGAAAATCTAAAGTCTTCCTTGGTTTTGGCTTCTTAGCCCCAAGAAGTTTTTAAATCTGACATTTCTATGTGATCAATGTAGAGAGGAAATATTTCTAAAAGAAAAACTATAATACACCTGTTATTAGATTGTAGCCCTGTGCATTGTTTTTGAGTTCTTATTATCTACCTATAGCCAAGAGTAGATTCTAAATTCTTCTACATTCCTCCAATCCAACTTTCTTCCATGAAAATACTAAGAACAGGGCCGGGTGTGGTGGTTCACGCCTGTAATCCCAGCACTTTGTGAGGCCAAGGCAGGTGGATCACTTGAGGTCAAGAGTTCAAGACCAGCCTGGCCAACATGGTGAAACCCCATCTTGACTAAAAAAAAAAAAAAAAAAAGCAATTAGCAGGGCATGGTGGTGTGTGCCTATAATTCCAACAGCTACTTGGGAAGCTGAGGCAGAAGAATCACTTAAGCCCAGGAGGCAGAGGTTTCAGTGAGCTGAGATTGCGCCACTGCTCCAGCCTGGGAGACAAAGCAACACTCTGTCTCAAAAAAAAAAAAAAAAAAAAGAGAGAAAATACTAAAAATCAGAACTTTTCTGTTCCCGAAGCCCCATAATTCAAAACTAGATGAATTTTAAGAATAAGTCTTATGACTGATATATGGACCACATAAAAAGTTCACCACACTGCTCAATGCCATCATCAGAGATATTCATACTGCAAACCAGGATATTTTCATGCTATAGACCGCTTTTCTCAAGAGGTCAGAACAAGACTCCATATCATGAGACTCTTTTCTTTTTTCTTGTTCTTTTCTTTTTTTTTTTTTTTTTTTTTTTTTTTTGAGACAGGGTCTCATTCTGTCGCCCAGGCTGGAATGCTGTGATGTGGCGTGATCTTGGCTCACTGCAACCTCTGATTGTTGGGCTCAGGTGATCCTCCCACCTCAGCCTCCAAGTAGCTGAGACTACAGGTGTGCACCACCGGGCCCTGCTAATTTTTCTATTTTTAAAAAAGATGGGGTTTCTTTATGTTGCCCAGGCTGGTCTCAAACTCCTGGGCTCAAGCGATCCACCCACCTTAACCTCACAAAATGCTGGGATCACAGGTGTGAGCCAGTGTGCCCGGCCCATGAGACTCTTAATGCTTACCTTTCCACTTGACAGGATAACAGTCGTTTGATTCATTCAATTGGTTGCTTTTAAGCCTAGTTCATAGCTCAAAACCATTATGCTAACTGGGATTGTCATAACACTATTAGTTTTACTTTATATTTTACCTTTTAAAATTTGTATCTGTTACCTGTTAAACTTTTGCAGAAGTACAACTCCTAACAGAATAATTCTGGTCCTGAACTTTGAGGTTATAGCAAAAACTACAGAACAGACAAAATTGGACTTAACAATAAACTCCAGGTACACTTAGCCTGACAGCCACTCTTTTCAAACCTCCGTTGTTGCTCAAATGTGCCTTCAAAGGTTTTGACACTGACTCCTAGTCACCAATCACTTCTTCAACATGGGACCAGACCAGCAACCTGGGGCAGGTCCACCCTGGCACCAAGGGACAATCAAAACCTACCTACAGGATGATTGATCAGTGATGCTTTTGGAGAAAGATCTTTCTCAAAGAGGGGAATGTAAAAGTTCTCAGAATTAAAATAGAGTCACTTATGTTAAAAACAAAACAAGGCCCTGACAAATAGAGCCAGGGAAGGCCATGAAGGGAGGGTTCTCATGTACATATGCCTAACTACGGCAGGGTGCGGTGGCTCACTCCTGTAATCCCAGCACTTTGGGAGGCCAAGGCAGGCTGATCACGAGGTCAGGAGATCGAGACCATCCTGGCTAGCACAGTGAAACCCCATCTCTACTAAAAATACAAAAAAATTAGCCAGGCATAGTGTCAGGCACCTGTAGTCCCAGCTACTCGGGAGGCTGAGGCAGCAGAATGGTGTGAACCCAGGAGGCGGAGCTTGCAGTGAGCTGAGATCACAGCCACTGCACTCCAGCCTGGGCAACAGAGCAAGACTCTGTCTAAAAAAAATAAAAATAAAAATAAAAAAATAAAATAAAAAAATGCCTAACTACAAGAATTACCACAAAAGACTGCCAAACCCATAACCCTACACAAAGGCCATCACAACTTTACACAAAAATATACTTCTGTGAGGCTATCTGCCCAGCAACTGCCTATCCATTTGCAGGCATCACCCTGGTTATTGATCAGACTGGCATCGCCCTTGTTATTGATTCTTGTAGCCAAGGATAATCATCTCAAAACTATTAAGTAATCATCTTCTTCATTTTTCCTTTACCCCTTTTCCCACTTAGGAAAAAAAGGTGCAGCTTGCTGCCAGCACTCATTTAATTTTACATAAACAAGCTCATTGAGGCTGAAGCAAATCTGACTGATTTTCAATGTGAAAATAAAACATAAAAAGTATTCTTGGAGTTATTTCTAAACAGAACTAACATCAGAATTGTCTGAATCACCAGAATCGTCTATTTAGGAAAAATCAGATTCATCAAATAACTCTTCGGCCAACAACTGTTTGAGAACAACTAACATCACATATAGGAATGCTACATTTTCTAGGATTTGATTTTCAACCATCGAGAATTACTGTGTGTAAATCGAACTACCACTGTTAAAAACAGAATGCTACAAATAGAATGATGTCTTTTGTTTCCAAAATCAACACACTGGAGTGATGCAAACGTAATAATATTAATAAAAGCCAGATATTTTGTGGCAAAGTTATCTTGGGGTATGCTGCAGCCGCAAGCACTGCTGGCAAGTATTCTTGGGCCAAATGGGAAAAGAGTTAAAAAACCTTTGTCTTCCTTTACCTCCCTGAATACACACATAGTTTACTCTGGTACATGTATTCCCATTGCAATGCCCTATTCCAAAATAAACATTTTCTTTTCTTTTTTTTTTTTTTTTTTTTTTTTGAGACAAAGTTTTGCTCTTGTTGCCCAGGCTGGAGTACAATAGCACAATCTTGACTCACCGCAACCCCCACCTCCTGGGTTCAAGCAATTGTCCTGCCTTGGCCTCCCAAGTAGCTGGGATTACAGGCATGCACCACCACACCCAGCTAATTTTTGTATTTTTAGTAAAGATGGGGTTTCCTCATGTTGGTCAGGCTGGTCTCGAACTCCCGACCTCAGGTGATCTGCCCGCCTTGGCCTCCCAAAGGGCTGGGATTACAGGCATGAGCCACTGTGCCCGGCCACATTTTCTTTTAAAGAACTTCTCTCTGTTTATTATTTAGGTTGATAGCATTTACCATGAATGGAATTTGCAGGACTGAAAGTTGTTCTGTGTGAGTCAGTGAGTGTTGAGTGAATGTGAAGGCCTAGGGCATTGCTATACATATATTTTTTTTAATTTTTGACACAGAGTCTCACTGTTGTCCAGGCTGGACTGCAGTGGCGTGATCTCGGCTCACTACAACCTCCACCTCCTGGTTTCAAGTGATTCTCCTGCCTCAGCCTCCCAAGTAGCTGGGATTACAGTCACATGCCACCATGCCTGGCTAATTTTTGTATTTTTAGTAGAGACGGGGTTTCGCCATGTTGGCCAGGCTGGTCTCGAACTCCTGACCTCAAGTGATCCGCTCGCCTCAGCCTCCCAAAGTGCTGGGATTACAGGCATGAGCCACGCACCTGGCCTGGCTACTATACATTTTTATTTTATTTATTTATTTATTTATTTATTATTTATTTTGAGACAGAGTCTCGCTCTGTCGCTCAGGCTGGAGTGCAGTGGCGTGATCTTGTATCACTGCAAGCTCTGCCTCCTGGGTTCACGCCATTCTCCTGCCTCAGCCTCCCGAGTAGCTGGGACTACTGGTGCCCACCACCATGCCTGGCTAATTTTTTGTATTTTTAGTAGAGATGGGGTTTCCCTGGGTTCACGCCATTCTCCTGCCTCAGCCTCCCGAGTAGCTGGGACTACTGGTGCCCACCACCATGCCTGGCTAATTTTTTGTATTTTTAGTAGAGATGGGGTTTCCTTGTGTTAGCCAGGATGGTCTCAATCTCCTGACCTCGTGATCTGCGCACCTTGGCTCCCAAAGTGCTGGGATTACAGGCGTGAGCCACCGTGCCCGGACTACTATACACTTTTATATGACTGACAGCACAACAGATTTATTTATACTAGCATCACCACAAACATGAGTAATCCATTGAGCTACAAAGTTACAATGGCTACAACATCACTAGGTGCTAGGAATTTTTCAGCTTCATTATAATCTTATGGGACCATGATCATTCATGCAGTTCATCATTAACCAAAACGTTATGCAGCACATGACTGCCTTTTTGTAATTGTCTTATTTCACTTAGCATAATGTCTTCAAGGTTTATCCGTATTGTAGCATTTGTCAGAATTTCCTGTCTTTTTAGGGCTAAATAATATTCCATTGTATGTGTACACCACATTTTCCTTGTCTATTCATCTGTTAATGAACGCCTGGGTTGCTTCTACATTTAAGTTACTGTGAATAATGCTGCTATGAACGTGAGCGTACAACTTATCTTTGAGACCCTGCTTTCAACAATTCTTTTTTTTTTTTTTTTTTTTTTTGACACAGGGGTCTTACTCTGTCACCTAGGCTGGAGTGCAGTGACGCAATCTCTGCTCACTGCAACCTCCACCAGCCTGGGCTCAAGCAATCCTCCCACCTCAGCCTCCCAAGTGACTGGGACTACAAGGATGTTCCAATATATGCAGCTAAATTTTTTTATTTTTTGGTAGAGACAGGGTCTTGCCATTTTGCTCAGGCTGGTTTCGAACTCATGAACTCAAGCAGTCTACCCACTCTGGCCTCCCAAAGTGCTGGGATTATAGACATGAGCCACTGCATCCGGCCTGAGACCCTGCTTTCAATTCTTCTGGGTATATATCCAGAAGCCGAGTAGCTGTATCATATGGTAATTTTATGTATGTATATAAATATATATACAGACATATGTATGTATGTATATAAAATATATATACATATATATGTATGTATTTTTTTAATAGAGACAGGTTCTTGCTCTGTTGCCCAGGCTAGAGTGCAGTGATGAGGTCATAGCTCACTGTACCTTGATTCCCAGGCTCATGTAATCTTCCGGCCTCAGCCTCCTGAGTAGGTAGTACTACATGGGCATGCTGTCACACTCAGCTAATTTTTTTAATTTTTTGTAGAAATGGGGTCTCACTATGTTGGCCAGACTGGTCTTGATCTCTTTGCTTCAAGTGACTCTTCTGCCTCTACCTCCCAAAGTGCTGGGACTACAGGCATGAGCTGCTGCACTTGGCCTATATTTTTCATTTATGGAAAAACCATCATATTGTTTTCCAAAGTTAACTAGTTATTTTTTGCATATGTGAAGGTATTAATAGTTGTATGTTGATCTTCTATCCTTCTAGCTTACTAAATTACTTTATTCTGCTTTATCTTGAATTATCTTGGGTTGTTGGGGATGCCGTTATATCATCTACACATAGAAAGCTTAAACTTTTTCTATTCAATTATTATGCAAAATTAGGCCGGGCGAGGTGACTCACGCCTGTAATCCCAGCATTTTGGGAGGCCAAAGCGGGCAGATCACGAGTTCAGGAGTTTGAGACCAGCCTGGCCAATGTGGCAAAATCCCGTCTCTACTAAAAACACAAAAACTAGCGGGGCGTGGTGACAGGCACCTGTAATCCCAGCTACTTAGGAGGCTGAGGCAGGAGAATCACTTGAACCTGGGAGGCGGATGTTGCAGTGAGCTGAGATCACGCCATTGCACTCCAGCCTGAGTGATAACAGCGAAACTTAGTCTCAAAAAAAAAATTATGCAAAATTAAAACAATTAGAATTGCCTTCTTGTCTGATTAAACTGGCTAATACCTCAAATACAATGTTAAGTAGTAATAGAGATGGGTGCACCTTGTACCTGTTCCAGATCTTGGTGGGACTCCTGCTAGCATTTTTCCCATTTCCTTGGGTGCTAGTTTTATGACTAAGGGATATATAATTTATTAGGTTGCTCTGGGATGTTTTCTGGTACCAACAACCAATTCTCCGATTCTCTGGGCACCAAGCAAATATTCAACAACTCAATTTTGACAGTAACTATTCTGAGTTAGTGCAGACACCACAGATTGAAGCCTCAGTCACATGACACGGCCCCCACTTCTAATGCCAGACACACATCCCAGGCCTCCTGTCCTTTTGACCAACTGACTGTAAATCAGGGGGTCCCATGACTCCCCTTTCATGTTTTCATTTTCTTTTTCTTTTTTTCTTCTTTTCAGAGACAGGGTCTTGCTCTGTTACCCAGGCTGGAGTGCATTGGTACGACTATAGCTCACTGCAGCCTCAAACTCCTGAGCTCAAGCAATTCTCCAGCTTCAGCCTTCCTAAGTGCTGGGATTACAGGCATAAGCCACCTCCCCTGGCCTCCCTTCATGTTTTATAATTTGCTATAAGGACTCACAGAATTCAGAACATACCTTAATTATGTTTACCAATTTATTACAAAGTATACAAATGAACAGCCAGATGGCAAGGTCCGGAATGGCCCAGAGAACAGGAGCCTTTGTTCCTGTGGAGTTGGGGTGTGCCATCTTCCCAGCATATGGATGAAAATTTGGAAGTTCTCTGATCCCCATTGTTTAGGACTTTTTATGGAGGTTTTATCATGCAGCCATAATCAATTATTAACTCAATCTCCAGCTTCTCTCCTCTCCCTATACGTTTGGGGGTGAGGGGGGCTGAAAGTTCCAGGATTCTAATCAAGGTGCCATCTTTCTTTTTTGTTTGTTGTTGTTGTTGTTGTTGTTGTTGTTGTTGAGACAGAGTCTCGCTCTGTTGCCCAGGCTGGAGTGCAGTGATGCCATCTCGGCTCACTGCAACCTCCACCTCCCAGGTTCAATTGATTCTCCTGCCTCAGCCTCCCAAGTAGCTGGGATCACAGGCGCACACCACCACACCCAGCTAATTTTTGTATTTTTAGTATAGACGGGGTTTCACCATGTTGGCCAGGATGGTCTCCATCTCCTAACCTCGTGATCTGCCCACTTCGGCCTCCCAAAGTGCTGGGATTACAGGCATCAGCCACCGCACCCGGCCAAGGTGCCATCTTTCTAGCCTCCAACCTGAAGCTAGTTATCTAGGGGCCTGCTAAGAGTCACAATATTAGAACAAAAGGTGCTCCTATCACTCAGGAAATTAGGAGTTTTAGGAGCTCTGTGTCAGGAACTGAGGACAAAGACCAAATATATATTTCTCATTATGCCACAAATCTTTTACATATTTTTTCTGTTCCATTCATGTTATTTTTCTGCAGAAACCATCATCTATGCCTATATATTTAATAACACTTTTGTGACTTTCATATCTATCATATCTAATGTTCTTTTACTCTGTCTTTTCAAACTATATCCAGCCTGTGTTGAAATTTCTCCTGTTGGCCAGGCACGGTGGCTCACGCCTGTAATGCCAGCATTTTGGGAGTCCGAGGCGGGTGAATCATTTGAGGTGAGGAGTTTGCAACCAGCCTGACCAATATGGTGAAACCCCGTTTCAACCAAAAATACAAAAACATTAGCCGGGCGTGGCGGCGCATGCCTGTAGTCCCAGCTACTCGGAAGGCTGAGGCAGGAGAATCGTTTGAACCCAGGAGGCGGAGGTTGCAGTGAGCCGAGATCACACCACTGCCCTTCGCCTGGGTAACAGAGTGAGACTCCATCTCAGAAAAAAAAAAAAAATTTCTCCTGTTGTTTTAAAAATGTATTTTTACAGTTAGTTCTTTGAGTCAGGATCCAAACGAGGTTAACATATTGCATTTGTTTAATATGTCTCTTGGGTATCTTTTAATCTATGAGAGTTTCCCTCGATCTCCCTTTTATACCATTTATTGAAGAAACTAAGTCATTTGTTCTGTAGAATTTCCTATAATCTGACTTTGGCTGTTTGCAGCCTCTTGATGTGGTTTTACAAGTTCCTCTATTTTGCACTTCACTCACTCTGTATTTCCTATAGACTGATCATGAGATATAGGTCTTGATTACATTCTTTTGGTAAGAGTGCTTAATCTATTACTTCCTAACCACCTTCAGGAAGCACATAATATCTGGCTGTCCCACTTTTACTGACATTAAAATTAATCAATAAATTTATGTGTGTCCGTGTGATTCATCCATTATTAGACTCTTCCTCAACTTTTCAGCTAATGGTTTTAACACGAATTGAAGATCAATGCCAGACTCCATTATTTTACTAGGGTTTGCAAACTTATTATTCTTTAAATCTCTCATTGCTTTTATGTGCAATACATATTTATATTATGTATAGATACGTCTATGTATATAGTTATGTGTTTCATTTTGTCACATTCCTTATTTTGTTGCTCAAACTTATCTTCAGCCAGTAAGATCCCTCTTCAAGGCCAGCTTCTCTAATCCTTTTAAACTGTTATTTTTCATTTCATTTGATACAGCCAATTAAGTAAAAGGAAGCAATATGATGAAGTTTAACATCTACCTCAATGATTCTCAATTTCCACTGGAGTGTGAACTTGAATTCCAGAGTCTGAAGAACGCTCTGTTTTTTTGTTTTCTTTTGTTTGAGACGGAGTCTCGCTCTGTCCCCCAGGCTGGAGTGCAGTGGCGCGATCTCGGCAGCAAGCTCCGCCTCCCGGGTTCGCGCCATTCTCCTGCCTCAGCCTCCCGAGTAGCTGGGACTACAGGCACCCGCTACCGCGCCCGGCTAATTTTTTTTTTTTTTTTTTTTTTTTTTTGTATTTTCAGTAGAGACGGGGTTTCACCGTGTTAGCCAGGATGGTTTCGATCTCCTGACCTTGTGATCCGCCCGCCTCGGCCTCCCAAAGTGCTGGGATTACAGGAGTGAGCCACCGCGCCCGGCCCACTCTGTTTTAAATAACTTACCAAACAGTAAAATTCTTGTTCTACAGAGACGTACCATGTCTATCTTGTGGTTTTATAATTCCTATGTCATATCATAGGAGAATATGTCCCCCAGTCCTATGGTATTATAACATAAAAAGCTATTAGGAGTCTTCCTCCACCTCAAAACCAATGTACATCACCCACACAGCCTTCCATCTTCAGACTCCTAGCATTTTGAAACACTTCTCTCTCTCCTTATTCTTTGACCTCTCAGACTCTCTTTAGGCAATGAAAATGCTCAAATCTCTTTCTAAAATAAGCAAATAAAAAACTAAACTGTTCCCTACTCTTGACTTTGCATTTATCTCATTTCCCACTTTCTTTTCTCAGATTAAGCTTTTTTTTTTTTTTTTTTGAGACAAAGTCTTGCTCTGTTGCCGGGGCTGGAGAGCAGTGAGGTGCCCTGGTGCAAACCTAGCTCACTGCAGCCTTGAATGCCTAGGCTCAAGGGATCCTCCTAACTTAGCCTTTAAAGTAGCTAGGACTACAGGTATGCACCACCTTGCCCAGCTAATTTTTTATTTGTTGTAGATAGAGATGGGGAGAGGGGCCCTCCCTGTGTTCCCTAGGCTGGTCTCAAACTCCTGGCCTCAAGCAATCCCAATCCTCCCCTCCCAGCTGCTTCTTCTCTTTTTTTAGACAGAGTCTTGCTCTGTCGCCCAGGCTGGAGTGCAGTGGCAAGATCTCGCTCACTACTGTAATCCCCGCCTCCCAGGTTCAAGCGATTCTCCTGCCTTAGCCTCCCCCATAGCTGGGATTTCTGGCTCTCGCCACCATGCCCAGCTAATTTTTGTACTGTTTTAGTACAGACGGGGTTTCCCCATGTTGGCCAGGCTGGTCTCAAACTCCTGACCTCAAGTGATCCGTCCACCTTGGCCTCCCAAAGTGCTGGGATTACAGACGTGAGCCACTGCATCTTGCCCCCTCCCTGCTTCTTAAACTGTTGAATTTTAGGTGTGAGCCACCGCACCTGGCTTCAGTTAAGCTTCTTGATGTATCTATTTCTTCAGTTACCAGTTCACGCCACAACTCATTCCAACAGAAAATATGGTACTCGCTACTGAGTACTGATTCCTGAGGACCTTTTTTTGGCTTCTAAATGCTCATGTTCCCCTAGCTTCTGACTTCAGCATCATGTTCTTCTCTTTCCTAATCTGTATTGGGGTGATCTCTTTATTTTCCTGGTTTAAATGTAATCATTTTACTGAATGTGCTGGACTCCATGTGGTGCTGTTGCCTGTTATCCTTTCAAACCTGCTTGATGGGCTTTCTCTGCCCTGGATGAAATCTCAGAAAGTTGCCAGAACTGCTCTAGTCCCTCTATCACAAGAACAGCCTCTTATCAGACATTAAAATGTTCAAGCCATCTAATGTTATCACAATCAAAAACTTCTACTTAAATGAGAGTTTCTCCCCACCTTCTCTCAGCTTAAGGGCCGGAAACTTGTGGTGTAGAATTGTCTGCTGAATATACTGAATATATTCCTTGTAGTAGTGGACATCTGTAGTTTATGTTTCTCTGGCATCTCTTATCTCCTCCCATTTTAGTTTAAGAAGCTTCTTCCTTCTGGGATGTCTCGTTACACGTGACCTGGGCGGGGCTGACCACCCCCACACTGCAGCCACAATGCTGTAAGAGTCAGCCAAGACCTAACCAATCAGAGTAAATACCTCACTTCCTTCATCACTATGATGATTAGTTGAGAGATGGAGCTGATTAAAGCCAATCAGATCTTTGTAGCTAGAACTATCCCTGGGGCTGCTGAGCTGGTAGGAGGGATATGAGCCTGGAGACTGGGGGTTATTTTGTTCACACAGAGACACAGAAAAAGTGGCCCTCCACTTCAGCTAAGCTTCTGTTCCCACAATTTCTTAAGGAATTTATTTTCCCCTCCCTATTTGAATTCATTTGAGATGGGTTTTACAACTTACACTTGAAAAATACCTGACTGAAATAGATGACCTATAGGAAACTTGAAAATCTCAAACATGTCCAAAAGGGAATTCTTTTTTCTTCCTCTTCTACTTTCATTGCCTCCATTTCTACTAACTCCTCTATTTTCAAACCAGAAATCTAGCACTCAACTCTTTCCTCCTCCTCCTTCCCTACAAACAACAGATCTCTCAGTCCTGTCTGCTCTCCCTCCTGTCGCTAGAGCCCTTCCCTTCCTTTCCATACATGTCCTAGTCCATCCTCACTTTCTCACTCCTTGGCAATAGCTTACTTTCCTGATTTTTCTTTGCTGACTTTACCTGATCAAATCTGTTCATCCACTAGAACAATCATTCTAAAACACAAGTCTGGTTTATTGTTTTTGTTTTTGTTGTTGTTGTTTGTTTTTTGAGATGAAGTCTCGCTCTGTCGCCCAGGCTGGGATACAGTGGCATGATCTCGGCTCACTGCACCCTCCGCTTCCCGGGTTCAAGCGATTCTCCTGCCTCAGTCTCCCAAGTAGCTGGGATTACAGGCACGCACCACTATGCCTGGCTAATTTTTGTAGTTTTAGTAGAGACGGGGTTTCACCATGTTGGCCAGGCTGGTCTCAAACTCCTGACCTCAGGTGATCCACACTCCTCAGCCTCCCAAAGTGCTGGGATTACAGGCGTGAGCCATTGCACCCAGCCTGGTTTACCACTTTCTATTTGGAAATACCTCGAATGTGCCAAATGATCTCTAAGATCAAGTCCAGCCCCCTCATTAGCCAACAGAACCTTCCATGAAGGGCACATGTTCTGAGAATCACCTCAAGGCTGTGTCACAGGCTAAATAAATAAAACCTTCCATGACCTGGTCTTACTTGCCTCTTTGGTCACATCTTCCACTCTGTCTTTACAATTTCTGTTAGGCAATACCAATCTGTTTGTCATCCCTTGTAAACACCAATCACCTAGTTATGTTTCCTCTCCCAATTCCTTTCCTGTACCCCTTTGCACCTCTGCTCAGATGTCGGCTCTTCCAGACACATGTCCTTAGCTCCCAGGTGGGGTCAAATGCTCCTACCGTTTGCTTCCATCATAGCCAGTAAGTAACTTTTCCCATATTCTGTTAAATCCTTTCTTAGATCCATCTTCCTGAGTATAAGCAATGTGAGGGCAGGAACTGTATCTTATTCATCTCTATATCTCTAGTGTCTGGCATTCAATATAGGCTTGTTGGACAAAATTACATTTTTAAGAATTTTGTTGAACTGAAAATTCACCAATTAGATATATTTGGGGGCATAGATATCCTTGGTAAAACGTAAAATCCATCCTACCTTAAGTTTAACTTAAGTTTTGTAGTTCAAAATGAATAAACTTGATCAGTATTACTTTTTTTCTAAAACCTATTGATATGGGTCATTAAATGAAAGGATTCTGAAAGATAATATGTGCACTGGTTGGAGAATTCGATTTTTAGAGTCCTAGAGTTAGAATTCCCAAGGTAGATCCTTTGTGTGGACATCATTACAAACAAAAAGCAACATTAAAAAAAATAGAATTCCCAAGATAAAATTTGGATTTTTCTATTCATAAACTGGGTGACTTTGGCAAATTATTTAGCCTCTCTAAGCCTGTTTCCTTATTTGTAAGAAGGAAATCATTTTATGTACTTCATTGTACTGTTTTAAATATAAAATAATTGGCTGGGACAGTGGCTCAGGCCTGTAATCCCAGCACTTTGGGAGGCCTAGGCAGGCTGATTGCTTGAGCTTAGGAAGTTCGAGACCAGTCTGGGCAACACGGAGAAACCCTGACTCTGAAATATGACTGTAGAAGACCAGAATATGCCATCCTAAAATAGACTGTGGTTTTTGTTTTTTGTTTGTTTGTTTGTTTAGCATATTATTTTGGAGAACTGCAGACACAGAAGTTCTGAAAGGTTACCACTTGGTAAAGGAAATATAAAGTAAATTTTCATTTATAAAGGCATCTGTACCAGGAAGAGAGCTACTCTGAAACAACTTTTATCACCTGAGAGACTTAGCTGTATAACAAGGCAACCTTTATTCATCACGTTTCCTCCCATCACCCTCCCATAATTTGTCTCCACTCTCCCCACCAACCCCCAGAAACCTCTAACCCTTTTTGTAGCTCAGCATTACATAGAAGCCTCAATCATCTGGCCACTTCTTTAAGTCTCATTTTTGCAGGACTCCTGCGTGCAGGTGTGTAATTAAAATGGTTTTCTGACCAGGTGAGGTGGCTCACGCCTGTAATGACAGCACTGTGGGAGGCCAAGGTGGGCAGATCACCTGAGGTCAGGAGTTCGAGACCAGCCTGGCCAACATGGTGAAAACCCGATCTCTACTAAAAATACAAAAATTAGCTGGGTATGGTGGCAGATGCCTGTAATCCAAGCTACTCAGGGGGCTGAGGGAGGAGACTCTCTTGGATCCGGGAGGTGGAGGTTACAGTGAGCCCATATTGCGCCATTGCACTGCACCCTAGGTGACAAGAGTGAAACTCCATCTCAAAAAAAATAAATAAATAAATATAAAATAAAATGGTTTTTTTCTGTTAATCTGCCTTATGTCCATTTAATTTGTAGACCAGCCAAAGAATCTGAACCTAGGAGGGTAAAAGGAAGCACTTTTTCCCCCTACACAAGAAATACAAGGTGCCTCTCACAGTGCTTATGTGGCATATATAAATATTCAATCCAAGTTTGCTTTTAGCATTTTCATTAATAAAGGCGGGTCTGGGAAGATGCCATATGTAGGGAAGATAGAACAATAATGAGGCCACCTTTGCACACTGGTGGGTGAGGAGAGGCAACATCCCAACCTTAATTTTTTTTGTTTTGTTTTATTGTATTCTTTATTTATTTTTGAGATGGGGTCTCTGTCACCCAGGCTGGAGTAGGGTGGCACAATCTTGGCTCACTGCAACCGCCACCTTTCAGGCTGAAGCAATCCTCCCACTGCAGCCTTCTTGGTAGCTAGGACTACAGGCGCACACCACCACACCTGGCTAATTTTTGTATTTTTAGTAGAGACAAGGTTTTGCCATGTTGCCTAGGCTGGTCTCAAAGTCCGGAGCTCAAACGATCCTCCCATCTTGGCCTCCCAAAGTGCTGGGATCACAGGCACGAGACACCACATCTGGCCTGTTTGTTTTATTGGGTTTTTTAAATTGACAAATAATAATTGCACATATACATGGAGTACACAGTGATGTTTTAATACATATACTGCATGGTGATCAGATCATAGGAATTTGCATATCCATCATCTCAAACATTTATCCTTTTTTGTGGTGAGAACATTTAATATCCTCCTCCTAGCTATCTGAAACTGTTAGCAGTGGAGAATCCATAAGGGTTTGCAGCAACCTCAATTCTTATCTCCTCAGAATAAAGAATTCAGTTGAGGGGCATAAGGCAGAGTGAGAGCCTGAGGCAAGTTTTATTTTATTTTTGTTTTATTTTATTTTTTGAGACAGTCTCACCCTGTCGCTTAGGCTGGAGTGCAGTGGCGTGATCTCAGCTCACTGCAGCCTCCACCTCCTGGGTTCAAGCGATTCTCATGCCTCAGCCTCCTGAGTAGCTGGAATTACAGGCACCCACCACCACGCCTGGCTAACTTTTGTATTTTTAGTAGAGATGGGGTTTCACCATGTTGGCCAGGCTGGTTTCAAACTCCTGACCTCAAGTGATCCACCCACCTCAGCCTCCCAAAGGGCTGGGATTGGGGGTGTGAGCTACTGTGCCTGGCCCTTCCTTCTATTTTTTTTTTTTTTTTTTTGCGAGGCAAGTTTTAGACCAGGAGTAAAAGTTTATTTAAAGGTTTTAGATCAGGAACAAAAGGAAGTAAAATACACTTGGAAGAGGACCAAGCAGGCCACTTGAGAGATTCAAGTGCATGGTTTGACCTTTGACTAGGGGTTTTTTACATTGACATTCTCCGGGAGGGTTGCATCCTTTCTCCTGATTCTTCCCTTGGGGTGGACTGTCCACATGTACAGTAGCCTGCCAGCACTTGGGAGGGGCCACATGCACAGTGTTTACTGAAACTGTGCACATGCTCCCTTGAGGCATTTTTGCCTTACCAGTCAAGTGTTCCTAGAAGAAGGTCATATACCAGCTAAATACTCCCATTTTGCCTCTTAGTGTGCATGCTTGAGCCTACTTGCCCAACTCCTGAGATCTTATCAGGAAGCTACTGATCACCAGTTTCAGGTGTTTCTATCTATTGGGAGGCTGCCTTTCCCTGGTGCTGGCTGCGACCAATTGTTAGTTTAGAGAGACAGTTTAACAATGGCCTGACCATCACCTGATGGTTGCCTGACATTCCTGGTCGGGGTGGGGGGCACTTTCCTGCCCTGCTCATGTCTGACTACAGTGTAACAAAACTATATATTATTGTTAACTATAGTCACCCTACAGTGCTATAGAACACAAGAATGTATTCCTCCTATTGAGCTGTAATTTTGTATCTTTTAACAGATCTCTCCCTCCTTTCCTCCTACCCTTCCCAGTCTCTAGTATCCTCTGTTCTACTTTCTACTTCTGAAATCAATTTTTTTAGCTTCCACATATGAGTGAGAACATGCATTGTTTAACATTCTGTTCCTGGCTTAATTCACTTAACATAATGTCCTTCAGTTCTATCCATGTTGCCATGAATGACAGGATTTCATTCTTTTTTATGGCCGAATAGTATTCTGTGGTATATATGTACCATATTTTCTTTATCCAGTCGTCTGTTCTTGGACACCTAGGTTGATTCCCTATTTGGGCTCTGGTGAATAGTGCTGCAATAAACGTGGGGGTGCAGATGTCTCTTTGCTGGAATGACTTCCTTTCTTTTGGATAAATTCCCAGAAGAGGGATTGCTGGATCATATGTTAGTTCTATTTTTGTTTTTTTGAGGGACTTCCAGCCTGTTCTCCATAGTGGTTATATTAGTTTGTATTCCCACCAACAGTGTATAAAAGTTTCCCTTTCTCTGCATTTTTACTAGTGTTTGTTACTTTTTGTCTTTGATAGCCATTGTAACTGTGGTGAGTTGATACTTCATTGTGGTTTTGATTTGCATTTCCCTGATGATTAATGATGCTAAGCATATTTTCATATATGTGTTGGCCATTTCTTCTTTTATGAAATGTTTGTTTAGATCATTTGCCCATTTTAAAAATCAGATTGTTGGGGTTTTTTGCTGTTGAGATGTTTCCATTTCTGCTGGGCGTGGTAGCTCACACCTGTAATCCCAGCACTTTGGGAGGCTGAGGCAGGAGGATTGCTTGTGTCAAGGAGTTGAAGATCAGCCTTGGCAACATAGTGAGACTTCTCTCTACAAGAAAAATAAAAAATTAGCCAGGTGCAGCAGTGTGCACCTGTAGTCTCAGCTCCTCAAGAGGCTGAGGTGGGAGGATTGCTTGATCCTGGGAGGTTGAGGTGGTGAGCCATGATCGTGCCACTACACTCCAGCTTGGATGACAGAGTGAGACCCTGTCTCAAAAAATAAAATTAAGTTAAAAAATTTGTTTCTTGTATATTCTAGATATTAATTTCCTGTCAGATGATTAGTTTGCAAATATTTTCTCCCATTCTGTAGGTTGTCTTTTAACTCTGTTGATTGCTTTCTTTGCTGTGCAGAAGCTTTGTAGTTTATATAATCCCATTTGTTTATTTTTGCTTTTGTTACCTGTGCTTTTGAGGTCTTACTCATAAAACCTTTTCCCAGACCAATGTTCTGAAGCAGTTCCCCTATGTCTTCTTCTAGTAGTTTTATGATATTGAATCTTACATTTTGGTCTCTGATCCATTTTGAGTTAATTTTTTATAGGGTGAAAGTTGGGGGTCTAATTTCATAATTTCACTCAATTTTTTTTCTTTTTCTTTTTGAGACAGGGTCTCACTCTGTTGCCCAGGCTGGAATGCAGTGGCACAGTCATGGCTCACTGCAGCCTCAACTTCCTGGACCCAAACCATCCTCCTACCTCAGCTTCCGAAGTAGCTGAGACCACAGACATGTGCCACCATGCCTGGCTGGTTTTTTTATTTTTGTGGTGACGGGGTCTTGCTGTGTTGCCCAGCCTGGTCTCAAACTCTTGGGCTCGACTGATCCTCCTGTCTCAGCCTTTCAAAGTGCTGGGATTACAGGTGTGAACCACTGTGCCCAGCCTAGTTTCATTTTTTTGCATGTGGATATCCAGTTTCCCCAGCACCATTTACTGAAGAGACTGGCCTTTCCTTGGTGAGTATTCTTGGCACCTTTGTCAAGAATAAGTTGGTTGTAGATATGTGGATTAATTTCTGGGTTCTCTATTCTGTTCCATTGGTCTGTGTGTCTGTTTTTATGCCAGTACCATGCTGTTTTCGTTACTACAACTTTGTAGTATATTTTGAGGTCTGGTAGGATGGATACTTCCCGCTTTGTTCTTTTTGCTCAAGATTCCCTTGGTATTTGGGGTCTTTTGTGGTTCCATACAAATTTTAGAGATTTCCCCCCTATTTTTGTGAAGAACGCCATTGGGATTTTGATAGGGATTGCACTGACTCTGAAGATTGCTTTGAGTAGTATGGTCATTTCAATAATATTAACTCTTCTGATCCATGAGCATGGGATGTCTCTCAATTTGTATTCTCTTCAGTTTCTTCTATTTGTGTTTTGTAGTTTTCCTCACTCATTGGTTAAATTTATTCCTAGGTATTTTATTTTATTTTTTGTAGCTACTGTAAATGGGATTGCTTTCTTGACTTCCTTTTCAGCTAGTTGATTGTTCATGTGTAGAAACACAACTGATTTTTGTATATTTATTTTATGTTCCATAACTTTAATTTACCAGTTCTAAGAGTTTTTTGGTAGAGTCTTTAGGTTTTTTTGATATATAAGATCATGTCATCTGCAAACAGGGACAATTTGACTTCCTCTTTTCCAATCTGGATGCCTTTTCTTTCTTTCTCTTGCCTAACTGCTCTGGCTCCAACCTTGAAATTTTGTCGATAGCAAGCTCCGTTCAAAGTGTCTCAGTCCATTCGAGCTGTTATAACAAAATACCATCAACTAGGCAGCCTATAAACAACAGAAACTTATTTCTCACAGTTCTAGAGGCTGGCAAATTTAAGATCAAGGCACTGGAAGGTTCAGTGTCTAATGAGGGCTCACTTACTGGTTCATCAACAGCTATCTTTCTGCTGTGCCTCACACAGTGGGAATTATGAGGGTCTTTATGAGGTCTTTTTTTTTTTTGAAATGGAGTTTCCCTCTTGTTGCCCAGGCTAGAGTGCAGTGGCACAATTTCAGCTCACTGCAACCTCTGCCTCCTGGGTTCAAGTGATTTTCCTGCCTCAGCCTCCTGAGTAGCTGGGATTACAGGCTTGTGCCACCACGCCGGCTAATTTTGTATTTTTAGTAGAGATGGGGTTTCTCCATGTTGGTCAGGCTGATCTTGAACTCCCGACCTCAGGTGATCGCCCACCTCAGCCTCTCAAAGTGCTGGGATTACAAGCGTGAGCCACCGCGCCTGGCCTGCCCAGACTCTTCTATGTTCACAAGTGATATGAAATTTGAGAATATTGGCAGAGGTATTTTTCAGTCACTGTCATATACCCTATTCCTTATCTCCAGTCAACATTGCACCTGCTTACTGGACAAAGAGCACTGAGTAATGAGGAAGGAAAACTAGATATCGCTTCTCGTCAATGTGGTGCTATGCAATTCACAAAGATCCTTCACATCCATGATCTTATTTAGACCCCACCATAAACCATGTGTTGGAAATTTTGTTCTCGCTTTACAAATAAGGAAGCTAAAGTTTAATGAAGTTAAACGACCAACTCATTTGGTGTGATATTTCCATCACACCAAAAAGAAATCATTGAAATCATTCTACAGTGGTGAGTAAATAGCTATTGGCCTCAGACTCCCAAAGAACCTCCTATCCATAGCCTCTCAATCGCCCCTGCAACCTGGAATTCCCCATGGTCTGACTAAAGATACCCAGCCCACTCAGCAGAGACTTTTCAGGACCCCACACCAGTAATAAGCAGCCTCGTTCTGAATGGTTGGCACCTTTGCCACACCTGTTGTTAAACAAGTTTAGTATCACTCCTGGGAAGGATCAGGATGAGCACTCAACTCTTCTGGTTCCCAATCCAGGGTTTTTCGCACAGCATCTTGGTTTTCAGGAAGACCAGAAAACAAACAACTGAACAAGAAGAGAACAAGTGTTATGAAATTATGTCTCCAAAAAAAAAAAAAAAAAGAAAAGAAAAGAAAATTTTAGAAGGGCAAGAGATTGAGCTGGTATCTATCTTCATCTCTTCATGAAAAGTGTTTTTTTCCCCTATAATCCAGCTTTTTTGTTTTGTTTTGTTTTTGTTTGTTTGTTTTTTGTTTTGCGATGGAGTCTCACTCTGTCACCCAGGCTGGAGTGCAGTGGCACCATCTTGGCTCACTGCAACCTCCGCCTCCTAGTTTCAAGCCATTCTCCTGTCTCAGCCTCCCGAGTAGCTGGGATTACAAGTGCTCTCACCATGCCTGGCTAATTTTTTGTAATTTTAGTAGAGATGGAGTTTCAGTGTGTTGCCCAGGCTGGTCTCGAACTCCTGACCTCAAGTGATCTGCCTGCCTCGGCCTCCCAAAGTGCTGGAATTACAGGTGTTAGCCACCATGCCTGGCCTAAAATCCAGCTTCCACACAAAGGAAAAGTGGTCTTATCTTTTTTCTTTTTTTTCTTTTTTTTGAGACAGAGTCTCCCTCTGTCACCCAGGCTGGAGTGCAGTGGCGTGATCTTGGCTCACTGTAACCTCTGCCTCCCGGCTTCAAGCTATCCTCCTGCCTTAGCCACCCTAGTAGCTGGGATTACAGGTGCATGCCACCATGTCTGGCTACTTTTGGTATTTTTAGTAGAGGCAGGGTTTCACCATGTTGGCCAGGCTGGTCTCGACCTCCTGACCTCAGGTGATCTGCACCCCCTCCCCCGCCCCCAGCCTCCCAAAGTGCTGGGATTACAGGTGTGAGCCACCAAGCCCAGCCTTATCTTGAGGTTTATACACCTATGCTGCTGATCTGATGGATAAACTTTTTTTTTTTTTTTTTTGGGTCAGGGGACAGGGCCTCACTCTTACCTAGGCTGGAGTACAGTAGCATGATCACAGTTCACTGCAGCCTTGATGCCCTTGGCTCAAGTGATCATCTCAGCTCAGCCTTCCAAGTAGTAGGCATATGCCACCATGCCCAACTAATTTTTTTTTAGAGATGGGGTCTTGCTATGTTGCCCAGGCTAGTCTCAAACTCCTGGGCATAAGCGATCCTCCTGCCTCAGCATCCCAGAATGCTGGAATTATAGGCATGAGCCACCATGCCTGACCCTGATGGATGAACTTCTAAGGGTCAGGAAGCTTCCTGAAATACAAATTTTCATGGGTATATGTATTTTTCTGTGGAGTGGGTCCATGGCTTTCATTTGATTTTTAATGAGATCCATGGCAAAAATAAATAAATAAAAAGGAACCACAGTCTTTTCAAGTAACGGCTTGCTATGAACATGTTTGGTAAGAGGTTTAGGTGAGAAATAAACAGGGAATATCAAGGGCTGCAGACATGGGTAAAAGAACTCTTGCTAGAGAAGGGCAAAGATGGGGAATAAAGTAAAAGTTTTCCTGATTCACAGTTTTCTTTGCAAACTATATGTGTATATAAATCAACTATTTTTGACACGTAGAATAAGTCACACTCAAAATAAGTCACACTTACAAACCATTGTTATTTTGTTCATCTTCTTCATCCTTTATTAGAAGACTTAAATGAAATGACTGGGATTTAAAATTACTTTTAAAAACACACTTTTGCTTTATAGATATGCATTTGTTATCACTCTGAATTATGAATATAGAATTTTTGCTACTTTATGAAATCCCATCTATATTTCGACTGGATTGCATCAGCATTTTAAAATTGTTAATCAAAGCCCCCTCTACTTCCCAGTATTTCTACATAAATTGCAATAAAACCAAGTTCATTCCTTAATATATTTACAAAAGTGATTTTTAAACTCAAAATGGTATGTAATTCCCATTTCATTTTATCTTAGACTTTTTAACATGGTATTTTAGACAAATCATGCACAATTTTGATTCTCTTTAATAGATGCATGGAATTTGAAATTTGGAAGAAACCATAAAGATTATGCAGTCTGACTTGCGCATTTTATTGATAAGGAAAGAAACCCAGAAAGATTAGAAGCCTTACCTAAGCTTGTTAATCACAGAGCTAAGATAAGAATACAAGCCTTGGATTCTTACTTTGGTACCTTTTCCAAAATCCAGTAACAAACTGTTGGTGACTGAACTGTCTCCATTTCTCTGCTGAGATCAGCCCCTAGGAGACTAAGAACAAACTACTGGGTGGAGGCATAGACTCAAGCAAGGACTCATCAATTCTGCCTTTTCATGCTTCAACAAACAAATGTTCACAGGACTGCTTCTGACTTCCCAGTTTAATAAATCACTAGAACAAAAGCATTCATAAATCACATTACATTATCCATTATAGCACTTACCCAGTAGTCCCTTTGTGGGTCCTTTAATGTTACTATTTAGTTTCCCATATTTCCTTTTCTTTACTAGCAGAAAGTCCAGATGCTAATTTAGACCTGTCTCAGGCTCTCTCTTTACCTTGGAAGGGAAGATCTCAGGCACATACACAGCTTGGGTATGTCCAGATTTTTTTTTTCTTCCAGGGAAGTGGAGATGCAGGTAGTTTGTGAGATGAGGGAGAATCTCCTCGTAAGCTGATGGACATTTCTAATAGCTGTGGAAATGAAAAAGTGAACATCATTATCAAATCTAACAAAAATAATAATTCCTTAATATCCTCTAATATCTACTCTATATTTAATTTTCTCCAGGTGTCTCAAAAATATCTCTTTTACAGTTTGTTTGAATCTAGATCCAAACAATGTTAACATATGCATTTGTTCAATGTACTCTTACGTGGCCAAGCATGGCCTGTAATCCCTGTAATGCCAGCACTTTGGAAGGCCAAGGCAGGTGGATCACTTGAGGCCAGGAGTTCGAGACCAGCCTGGGCAACATGATGAAACCCCGTCTCTACTAAAAATACAAAAAATTAGCCAGGTGTGGTGGCACATGCCTGTAGTCCCAGCTACTAGGGAGGCTGAGGCAGGAGAATCACCTGAGCCCGGCAGGCTGCAGTTGCAGTGGGCCAAGATCGCGCCACCGCACTCTAGCCTGGGTGACAGACTGAGACTCCGTCTCAAAAAAAATATATATATATATATAAATATATATATAAATATATAATATATATATTTTATATTATATATAAATATATATATTTATAATATATATATAAATATATATAAAACTCATATGATGCTATTAAGAAGATCCAGTAAGGATATGGGAAACTTTAACTTCATTATTGCCGAACTATTTTCCAAAGTGATTGCACTAGTGTCACTCCTATAGAGTTTATGAGAGCTCCACTTCCTCTCTCACTTTTGGTATTGTCAGATATTTTTTTTGAGACAACAGGGTCTTGCTCTGTCACCTAGACTGGAGTGCACTGGCATTATCCTGTCAGACATTTTAACTTTTGCCTATCTGATAGTAATGATAGTAAGCCTCGCTCTGTAGAAATATGAGCCTAGTCTTCAAACATGGCATAATAGTGTTTTAGATATTAACATTACATGCTCACTGGAGATAATTATATACCCCCCATACCATCTGTAAGTCACTGTTTTGGCTCCTATGTCAGGATCTTTTTATTAAATATTAACAAAAGAATGGCCGGGCGCAGTGGCTCACACCTGTAATCCCAGCACTTTGGGAGGCTGAGGCGGGTGGATCACGAGGTCAGGACTTCGAGACCAGCCTGGCCAACATGGTGAAACCCCCATCTCTACAAAATATACAAAAAAATTACAAAAAATTAGCAGAGCGTGGCGGTGTGCGCCTGTAATCCCACCTACTCGAATCACTTGAACCTGGGAGGCAGAAGTTGCAGTGAGCCAAGATCGCGCCATTGCACTCCAGCCTGGGTGAGACTGAGACTCCGTCTCAAAGAAAAAGAAAAAAAAAAGAAGACAGGTTATTATGTGCTATTTAGTATTACCTAGAAAGGATATGACTGGCATTGACTTTTCCCTCCTGAGAAGATACTTCTAACATATATGAAACCCAAGGGACCAGATATTGGATCCACTGTGATGAGTGTCAGAATTCTTGTAACCTCTTTTTTCCTTATTAGTATCTGTCATGCCAGGTTGTTGGCTCTGATGATGTCATAATGCTTTGTTTGTAGGGTCATCCGATGCTACTGTTTCCACAGGAACAATCAGCTTTTAGGCAAAGTGAACCTTGGACGGTAAAAGCTGATCTTCTGAGGTCATAGGAATAAATATATCTCAAAGAAAATACACTGGAAACTTCTTCTTTAAGTTTTCCTCTTTCATTGGAATATGTGGGTTTCCTCACTGTTGTAATGTTGATGACACAACAAGGCTAACACCGGATATGCTTCTGGCTGATTCCGGTTTACCAAGAGCATCCAAACATCCCTCAAGGACACAGTCATTTTGCACAACAAAGGGAAACTCCGCTCATTTCTGGCATTAAGGTGGACATCTGAGAAAGGGGAGGGTATACCACCATAACTTCTCTAGTGATGAATAGTGTTTAATATTATACCATAGACTAACTGGCGTATTTTAAAGATCTTTTTCCTTTTTGAACACATTTCAGATTAGAGAAGTTCCAGAGAACGTAATCTATTTTAAGAGTGTGAAAGAGTGATATTCCACATTGCTTTTATATCTTAAAGAAATTTCTAAAAAGAAAGCCGAGTCAATAAAATGACAGATTTTAAGCCTTCATTCTGGTAACATAAAAGCCTTCTACTCATTGTGTCTGCCACCTTAATTTTTAAAGATAGAGCATGAGGTGTAAGCTTTTGGCTTCCATTTTCCTCTTATAAACCAATGACATCTTCAGTTCCAGAATAGCTTTTTAAAAACGTGACTTCTGATAAATGTTGGCAGAACTGGTGCATTCCTAAAATAAATTATGTATGCTCAGCTTTCCCTACCCAAGTTCATCCCTAAATGACCACAAAACTGCCCACCACGAACTATGCTTAAGAGAAGTCTGGACATAATGGTATAAGTGTATATAACACGACATTGGTATATTTAAAAAAAAATTCATGCCTAGGGTCAATTCTGATAATCAAATTTAGACTGCTGCAACAACCGTAACTATTGTTGATATATGCGCAGTTTAAAAGTGAAGGGCGGGGGTAAGGGGCAGAAACTGCACACAACAAACTTCCAAATTTTGTCTCCCTTTTCAGGCAAGTTTCAGCTCCACAAATCTAAATACCCTCGCCTTTAAAATATCAGTGTCGTTCTGCTCTTAAATCCTCATCCCGTTGTACAAGGAAACCTATGTCTCTCTTCCCCAAATTAAGAATACGAGAAGCCTTCCAGGTCTGCAAATACCAGAAAGCAGCTGCGCATGAAGTTTTATGGGGCCCCAAGGCTCTGAGAGTGGGCTTGGAGGTATGGAAAACACATCCCAAGGGAAAAATCTGTGAACCGCACAACTGTGGTTGGAAACGAAATAGGAAAAAAACTGCGCGGAACCGGACGTCATCAGCATTTCGCGGTACACACGAAGAAAACAACCGTAGTCGGGTCAAAACTGGAGCCGTGTCTCCTCAGTAACGAGAGTAAATGGGGGCCCGACGCGTGAGCGGCCAGCCGGACTGAGACAGAAAGTACTCAGAGCGCCATTTACCGCGCCCTCGCCCCGCCCCGTAGCCCCTCCTCCCGTCCGCCCTGCGCGCCAGCCAATCCCCTCGCTCCATCCCCTTCCCATCGCAGACCCCGCCCCCGCGCCCGGGATGTTGAGCCCCCGCGGCGTGACGCGAGCACGGCAGCTCCTCCCCCTGCGTCTCTGGCCTCGCCGGTCTTGGGGGGATGGTTCCATCATGGCGTCAATGCAGGTGAGAGGAGTTTGCTGCATCTGGGCGGGCCAGGGAGCCGCCGAGAGAGTGCCAGCGTTCGGGCGGGGGTGGCGTCCGCGATTCGGGGACACCCGGGCGGGTTCGGGATCGGTCCGGGTGGCCTGTTTTCCCTCAGCTCAGGGCGTCGGGGGAGGGGTAAGAGGCGGCGAGAGGCGTTGTGGGGGGTGCGGTATCCGTCGGTCGAAGCGGACACCAGCCGGCCGGGAAGTTGGGTGATAAAGGAGGGTTGGGGAAGAAAGGGCAAAGTCTGGCGTTGGCGGTCTCAGAATCGGCTCCCCGCACACACACACGGGCGCTGCCAGTCTGCTGCCCGCCAGCCCCAGGGTTGCCTTTACCCCCGCTGTCCCTGGCCCGACGGAAACAGCTGCGCCCGCGGTTGTTGCCGGGGCAGGGGCGGCGGGGGGCTGAGTGTGCGGGAGCCGAGAATGCGTCTCCGGAGAAGGCGGCTGGCTGCGGACGGCGCTTAGCGGCCTCTGCTCCGGCCTCCCACGCCGGGCCCCCCAGACTGCTCGGCCCCGTCCCTCTCTTCTTCCCTTTGACTCTTAATCCTGTGCCCGTGGGTATCTTCTATTTCCATCAGCCTCGGTATTCTCGCGGACATTCCTCCAGCAGTCCACTGTCTCCTTCCTCTCGAAGCTGCCCCGTGTCCACCGCCTGATGGGCGATCTCCCGAGAGCCGAGTCCTCAGCCCCCTTAAACCTCTCGGGATAGCTTGCCTTCTATTTTGTTTCCCACTGCAAGGCCCCACCCTTGCGGTCGCGATAAGGCTATACATCTCTTTGCCCTTATTCCCAGACCTTTAGTGGAACCTTAGTTTGGTAGGAGGCGTTTGTTAACCTGTGCCATATCCCCCCGACTTAGCAAGGCGTGGTTTTCTGGCTTTCCAACTTAATTTACTCCTTTTTCCCGAATCTAGGGAGTTGTGGGTTTTTTTGTTTTTTGTTTCCAGGCAAAGATGGCAACCACAATTGTAGTTGTGCAGGGATTGAGTGCGTTATCTGTAGCCTGCATTTAATTCACAGGTGAAGACTAGCGGTATCAAAGGCATTGGAAGAGAAAGTAGAACGCTCAATAGGAGTGTCAGCTGAGTACCCTTTAGCGTTTTCATAATATCCCCTTGGGTAAAGAGACCACATTTTCTTAGAAGTGTTTTTTGCTTTTGTTTCTGGAAGAAGCAAGTCTCTGTTCCTCCTCCATTTTTTTTTCTTTACTCTGCTAAAAGTGTTTTTCTTCCCTTTTCTGCATCTTCTTCCTCTTTTGTACAAATATAGCTTTGCTTCACATTTACTCCTGTGCTTTTATGTTATTCCCCTTTCAACCTGTTTTCCTTACAATATTCTCTTTACCTTGCTTCTCCCTCTGGACTTGCCTGCAGAACAGAAAAGTTTTATGTAACATTTCTAGTTGAAGAGATATCACGAATGGTGCAGGGAAAAAACAGGAACAATTTCAGGAAACATTATACTTTACACTAGTCTCCCCAGAGACGTTGGAGAAGTTTCGTCATTTGAGGCCAAAAAAGGAACAGTGGAATGCTAGTTGAACAGTAGATGCAATAGGCTACATTACCACTTAAAGATTTTTATCTGTGTTAAGATTAAAACATTTTTTATGACAAGTTTAAGATTATTATCTGTATTAAGATTAAAACATTATTTGAGGCTAAACATTAAGATTAAAATCCACAACACTTGTATTTGACAAGAGAACGTAGTGTGTCATCTCGTTAGATTTAGTATCTGGAAAAGGCAGATTTGTTTGTAAGAGAGAGGTTGGTAATCTTGAACTTGAACTTTACATGGTGTCTTTTTTCTTTTTTGAGATGGAGTTTCGCTCTTGTTGCCCAGGCTGGAGTGCAATGGGGCGATCTTGGCTCACCGCAGCCTCCACCTCCCGAGTTCAAGCGATTCTCCCACCTCAGCCTCCTGAGTAGCTGGGATTACAGGCATGAACCACCACGCCCAGCTAATTTTGTATTTCAGTAGAGACGGGGTTTCTTCATGTTGGTCAGGCTGGTCTTGAACTCCCGAACTCAGGTGATCCGCCTGCCTTGGCCTCCCAAAGTGCTGGGATTACAGGTGTGAGCCACCGTGCCTGGCCTACATGATGTCTTAAGAATTGGAAACAAATACTTGATTGACAGTGCAATAGTGCATTTTTCTGTGCCCTAAGTATTACTATCTCAGACTCTTACCACCCTTTTAAGTTTTTCCTTCACCTTGTTCCATCGAAATCTTATCACTCTCTATTCTTCTGTGTTTTCTGGTTAGAGGAATGGAAAACGGATGCTTCCTATATTTATTGAAAAGTCTTTCCCTTTTTATTTGTATTTTAAAATATCTAGTGCAGATTTGCTGGTAGTATCTTTAAGAATATTTTAATATATATGTCAAGCTTTTTGAAAGACAACCCTACTTTCTGTGTGGTTATTCTGTATCTTTGTTATACAGAATTTATATCCTGACTATCTTAATGGCAACATTTGGCTCTTTTAAGACAACTAGATTATACATAAATCTTCAATAAAATTATCAACTTTGTTTATTCACTGAGCCAGTTATCTTTTGGGGGACCTCTATGTGTCAGACACTTATCTAGTTGCTGTGGTTATAGCAATGAACAAAAGCAGACAAGATTTCTGCCCTCATGGATTTAATAATAAATAGTCTCATAAGAAGAGACAGATAAGAACAGCATATTTAAGTTAATTGTGTTTTGTTCTTGTTTTTTGTGTTGAGATGGAGTCTCGCTGTGTTGCTCAGGCTGGAGTGCAGTGATGCCATCTTGGCTCACTGCAACCTCCGCTCCCAGGGTTCTAGCAATTCTCCTACTCAGTCTCCTGAGTAGCTGGGATTACAGGCGCTGGCCACCACGCCCAGGTAATTTTTTTTGTGTTTTTAGTGGAGACTGGGTTTTGCCATGTTGGCCAGGCTGGTCTTGAACTCCTGACCTCAGGCGATCCACTCGCCTCGGCCTCCCAAAGTACTAGGATTACAGGTGTGAGCCACTGCACGCGGCCAAGTGTGTTATTATATTAGAAGGTGATAGTGCAGTGGAGAAAAAGCATGGAAGAAGACTAGGAAATTGATCATTTGGGGATTTCGATTAGGAAAAAATAAGCTGTAACATGGAATGACCATGTCCTTAACCCAAAAAGCTTTTAGTAGATTTATCTAACCCACACCAGGATGTTGCTGCTGCTGCTGAAGTTACTTAAGCTCTAAGAGGAACTGTATTTTTTTTAAAATGCCATATTATACAAATGTAACATGGGATTTCATTACTTGGTAATGAGTAAAACAAGTAAGGGTAGACTTTGAATTTCTTATTGGAGAGTATGTATTTTAAAGTTGAGCTAGTAACTGCTTTAATGTATTCTGTCAGTGCGTCTCAACCATCTTTTAGGTTCTGCCCACATAGAAAGTAAGTTTTGAATAGTACACTAAAGTAGATGAGATTGGGAGGCTAGAAGCACCTGGCAGGCAGCACCTCATGAAACTCCCGGGATGGGAGATCAATATTCTGGCACACCTGTAAATGCTGGGGACGCTCTACTCCCTAATATTGCTAGAGTTCTGCCATATACAATTCAAGATAGTGGTTTTCAGACTTATGTGATCCCTTTGAGACATTCTTTACTCATTTTCTTTTTTTCTTTTCCTTCCTATTGTTTCTTCCTAGAAAAAAGTAATGTATCACCAAGTAAGATTACAGTTAAATTATGTTTTAAGAAACCTTTTCTTTTTTGGAGACAGGGTCTCACTGTGTCACCCAGGCTGGAGTGCAGTGGCGCTGTCTCGGCTTGCTGCAGTTTCAACCTCCCTGGGCTCAAGTGATCTTTTCCATCTCAGCCTCCTGAGTAGCTGTGACTACAGGTTTTTGTATTTTGTAGAGACAGGTTTCACTATGTTGCCCAGGCTGGTCTGGAACTCCTGGGCTCAAGCAGTCACCTGCCTTGGCCTCCCCAAATCCTGGCATTACAGGCGTGAGCCTATGTGCCCAGTCTTAAGAAACCATCATTAAGAGAATGTTATATTTGTGGTGATACCTAAAATTGATAGGAGTTAAACAGATCTACATTTAATTTTGGTAATTCTAAAAATCTTTAAATATTACATGAAAAGTTTCTTGTAGCAAATTTTTAGTTTTAGCGTTTTAGGGACTGATTATTTGGTAGAAACTTTTATCCCCAAACTGCAGAAGCATTCTTTTATTGAAGTGAATTTTTATGTGATTCTAAACATTTTTGAAAGTGTAGCAGTATTGAGGTATTCTTTTCTCAGGTGAATCCTAAAATTGAATTTTTTGTTGTTGTTGTTAAATGCTTTTTTAAAATTTTATTTTATTTTATTTTTTTGAGACAGAGTCTCGCTGTCGCCCAGGCTGGAGTGCAGTGGTGCGATCTCGGCTCACTGCAGGCTCCAATCCCCGGGCTTCATGCCGTTCTCCTGCCTCAGTCTCCCGCGTAGCTGGGACTACAGGCGCCTGCCACCTCGCCCGGCTTATTTTTTGTATTTTTAGTAGAGACGGGGTTTCACTGTGTTAGCCAGGATGGTCTCCATCTCCTGACCTCGTGATCCGCCCGCCTCGGCCTCCCAAAGTGCTGGGATTACAGGCGTCAGCCACCGCGCCCGGCCGTGTTTTTAAATTTTATAACCTTTTTTCTTTCCTATGTATTATTTAATGTTATGAAGTACTTGACCTCCTGGATATAATTTCTGATTTTAGAATTTAACTGCTTCATTCAGACTTCTCGTAAGTTAGCAATTTTAACATATATGCTGTCTAATTTTCTAATTTGACATTCTAGAATTGTTAATTTTAGATAAAACCTCCTGTTACGTTGTGTCTTAAGATCTTAGAAAGTCAGTGCATAGTAGTTGATGTTTGTCAACTCTAAAAACAGTGATATAATTGAGAGAAATGGTCAGTTGAATTACCCTTGTGAAATTTCTGCATTTACTTCCTCTCTTACCTAGCTGGGTCTTAGACTGTTAACTGTCAATTTGTAGGGATGGAAGGAGGTTGAGATTTAATAACAGGAGATAAAGTATGAATGTGTGCTTATTTTCAGACTTAGAAATAATGCATTATTTTGGATTATTCACAGCTTTTAAAATTTTTTCTCTCTGAGACAGGGTCTCACTCTGTCACCCAGGCTAGAGTGCAGTGACGTGGTCTTGGCTCACTGCACCCTTGTCCTCCCAGGCTCGGGTGATCCTCCCACTTCAGACTCCCAAGCAGCTGGGACTATAGACACGCCACCATGCCTGGCTAATTTTTTTATTTTTTGTAGAGATGGGTTTTTTCCCTGTTGCTCAAGTTGGCCTTGAACTCCAGGACTCAGCCATCGGCCCACCTTGGCCTCCTAAAGTGCTGGGATTATTACAGGATGAGCCATTGCCCCCAGCCCACTGCTCTTTGCTCAAGTAATTGGCTATAGTGATTGAGAGAGATGGAACATGGACTCTTACAGACATTACTGTTGTAGTAGTCATGTTGCCTTGACAGTTAGATACGACGTCTGTTTGTTGATGTCAGTATGGAAGGGTTACAACATAATTAAAAGTTAGAAAATAGGCCAGCATGGTGGCTCAAGCCTGTAATCCCAGCACTTTGGGAGGCTGAGGTGAGTGGATCACCTGAGGTCAGGAGATCGAGACCAGCCCGGCCAACATGGTGAAACCTAGTCTCTACTAAAAATACAAAAAAAATTAGCCAGGCGTGGTAGAGCGCATCTGTAATCCCAGTTATTTGAGAGGCTGAGGCAGGAGAATCCCTTGGGCCCAGGAGGCGGAGGCGCCTTGCAGTGAGCGGAGATCATGCCACTGGACTCCAGCCTGGGCGACAGAGTGAGACTCCAGCTAAAACAAAAAAAAAAAAAAGGAAAAAAAAAAAGGATTATCTTTGAACAGTAAAAATTTACAATTATAATTTTACTCAGTACACAAGTATACACATGAGAACTTCTTTTTAAAATATGATACATAAAGTAACCTTGTGTTATAAACTCAGGAATATTTCTTCTTTTCTTTAGCTATAAAAACTATAAAGTAGTTTAGTAAATGCTTAATTCTTGACTGAAAAGTTACATAATTACACCAATGATTTCTCTGTGATGCCAAACTGTGTTCATTACTTACACCTTCACAGCATCAACAGATTTCAGAGCTTAGTTTCACTACTCAGTTACTGTGTAATTTTGAGTAAGTCACTTTCCAAATAAGTACATACTTACCAGCAGTTACTGCTATGTCTCTATTAGAATGAAATTAGGTTAGTTGACTTCCTTTTTTATAAAGAATATGAAGATACTATGAAGAACATTACAGTTATGGCAAACGCATGCAGCAAGAAAATAAGCCACTTTTTTGGTATATTATATAAATATGAATTTTAAATTATTCCTTTATAGGTACTGAACCTTACTATTGTAGAACTGCTTAATAGACTGACCTAAAATAGAATTAAACTAATGCAGAATTAGCTATTTAGGAATGCTTTTTGAAGTGTTAAGTAATGGACAAATATTTACGGTAGTCACTGTGTGCACATTTAAGGGATAGAGGGAAAGTATTTTTTCCTGCCTTAATGAAGCAGGAAATCTAAAGCAGAAAGTAATATCAGATTATCCTTCAAGGCTGGCCACCGCGCCTGGCCTTCAAAGATAATCTTCATTATCAAGGAGAGTTTTTAAGGTGGGATGATCCCAGCGTGGGACAAAAATTAGCTGGGTGTGGTAGCACATTCCTGTGGTCCCAGCTACTTGGGGGGCTGAGGTGGGAGGATCACCTGAGCTCAGGGAGTTCGAGGCTACAGTGAGCCAGGATTGTGCCACTCTACTCCAGCATGGGTGACAGAGTGAGACCCTGTCTCAAAAAATTTATATAAAAATAAAAAATAAAGTGCCGCTGCACTCCAGCGTGGGTGACAGAGTGAGACCCTGTCTCAAAAAGTATATATAAAAATAAAAAATAAAGGGATGATCTGGCATCTCTCTGAAAATATAGTTCTCCTTAGTATTTACCTAAATTAAGCATTTGTTAGATGAATTTTATTCCATCTTTATATTATTGCTGTCTGCTTCATTATGAGTAGTATCTGCAAAATACTTGTTCATGTTTGTCAGGTATTAAAGTGTCCTCATTTGAAAGCCTTTATTTGTGAATGTAGTTCTTGGATCACCAAAAAACAGCGCATGCTTTTGAGTTGTTTTATTCTAAGAAAATACTCTACTTTCATTTAGCTGCTTTTGTAAAACTTCATTAGAGATAAAGAACACAGGCTCTGTAATGAAAAGACCCAAATTCAGGTCCTGTTTCACTACTTTTTAAAAAGCTATATTGCACAGAAATCATTATGGAGTGTAGTGGGTAGACAAAAACAGATTAGCAGATAGATAAACATATAAAACTGCATTTTGTATTTATCTTACCCAAACTTGTTTTCTGTAGTACTCCCCATGTTGGTATATAGGCAACTTCATTCCATTTGCTCAGCCAGAAACCTTGGGTTCATTCCACCCTACAGTCAAACCATTAGCAAATTTCTATCTGCTCTGCTTTCAAAATATATCCAGAATTCAACTGATTTTCTGAATTCCTGATGTAAATACAGATGACATCCTCATTTCTTGCCTGGATTATATTAGCAGTGTCATACTGGTTTTCCTACTTCTGCCCTCATCCGTTTACTTATCTCTTTAGATTCCCAATAGATTCTTTCTAAACAAAAGTCATGTCATTTCATTCATAATCCTACTATGACTTCCCTCTCTTCCTCAGAATATAATCCAAAATCCATGTTATAGCCTAGGAGGTCTTAACCTCTCCCAGGTACTCATGTCTCTGTAGCCTTATTGTCCTCCTTGCTACTCCTGCTTGTTGTTTTCTCTATTTGGAATGCTCTTCTCACACATCTGGATGATCTGGATGGCTTCCTTTTTTTTTTTTTTTTTTTCTTTTCACTCATAGCTTTGTTCAAATATTTTTTTTTTAAGAGAGCCCTTCCTGACTACCCAATATAAAATAGCTCTCCCATCCCAGCGCTAATAATTTCCTTTACCTTGATAAATTCTTCATACCTTTGGCTATGTATTAATTAGCTTATTTTCTATTTTCTTGGATGTAACCTAGTGCCTGACATGTAGGAGAGTTCAGTAAATGTCGAATAAATGAATAAGTGAGCACAGCTTTTGGAATCAGATAACCTTGGGTTTGAATTCTAGTGTTGTTGTTTAATAGCTGTGTAACCTCCCACCTCCAAATATAAAATAGGGATGATAAAAACAGGTTATTTCATTTCCTGGATCTTTGGAATTGGTGAATTATCTTTTAATGCTATGTTTCCCATTTTAAGCTAGCTCTACTAGATGCTTTTGTCTTTTTTTTTTTTCTGATTTCTAGTCCCTGCACTAGCTATCAATGGAAAAAATAGATTTCCTTTATGACCATGTGTTACATGAGGTCTTTCTTTGTATTTTCAGACCACAGGAAGGAGGGTGGAAGTATGGTTTCCAGTAAGTGTGTGTTTTTTTGCCAATCCTCTTCAAAACTTGAGAATTAGTCAAATAAAATTGTGAGCTATTAAAGTCCATTTTGACATCCTTTTAATGCACAATTTTTTCTTCTAATTGAAATATAATCCACATATAAAACTTACCCTTTTAAAGTATACAGTTCAGTGGTTTTTAATCTGTTCAGAACCATCACTGCTGTTTGCAGAACATTTTCATCACCCCAGAAAGAAACTCCTTATCCATTAGCAGTCACTCCCTATTTCCCCCTTTCCCCAGTGTCTGGAAACCACTCATCTATTTTTTGTCTCTGGATTGGTCTATTCTGGGTATTTTGTGAGAGTGGAATTATATTATATATGACCTTTTGTGCCTGGCTTCTTTCACTTAGCTGTTTGTTTGAGACAGGTGAGACAGGGTCTCATTTTGTCACCCAGGCTGGAGTGCAGTGGCACAATAGGCTCACTGCAACCTCTGCCTCCTGGGTTCAAGTGATCCTCCTGCCTCAGCCTCCGTAATAGCTGGTACTACAGGCATGCACCACCATACCCAGCTAATTTTTGTAGTTTTTTTTTTCCCTGAGACAAGAGTCTTGCTCAGTCTCCCAGACTGGAGTGCAGTGGCACCATCTCGGCTCATTGCAACCTCCGTCTCCCAGGTTCAAGCAATTCTTCTGCTTCAGCCTCCCGAGTAGCTGGGACTGCAGGCGTGCGCCACCACACCCAGCTAATTTTTGTATTTTTAGTAGAGACGGGGTTTCACCATGTTGGCCAATCTGGTCTCTTACTTCTGACCTCAAGAGATCCACCTGTCTTGGCCTCTTAAAGTGCTGGGATTACAGGTGTGAGCCACTGTGCCCAGCTAATTTTTGTATTTTTGTAGAGACGGGGTTTAACCATGTTGGCCAGGCTGGTCTTGAACTCCTAGACCTTGTGATCCGCCCGCCTCGGCCTCACAAAGTGCTGGGATTACAGGCATGAGCCACTGTGCCCGGCCTTAAAAAAAGCTTTTATATAGACAGATTCACTGTGTTGCCGAGGCTGATCTTGAAACTCCCAGTCTCAGCACCCCTCCTGCCTAGGCTTCCCAAAGTGTTGCGATGACTGGCCTGAGCCACCATGCCCAGTTCATAATGTTTCTGAGGTTCATCCATGTTGTAGCTTGTATGAATACTTATTCCTTTTCGTAGCCAAGTAATGGCCCATTTTTTGGTTGTACTGCAGTTTATCCATTCACCAGTTATTTAAATATCAGATATTTGTGTTTCCTGTTTTCATTCATCAATGGATTAATTGACAGTTTGGATTGTTTCCCCTTTTTAGTATGAATAATGCTGTGAACATGTATGTACAAGTTTTTATGTAGGCTTGTGTTTTAATTTGTTTTTGTTAATATACCTTGCATGTAGGAGGACCTCAGTAAATGTTGAACAAATGGGTCATACAGTAACTCTGTGTTTTAACTTTCTAAGTCTATAGAGAAAAAACAATGATTTTTCTTATGTACTCGCCCACAACACTTGATTCTCCTTTTCTGACACCAGATATGTGGGTTTTTTTTTTTTTTTCACACCAAGCAATTTTTCAACACCAGCTGGGTGTTCTGCAGTTCATTTCTGGCACTAACCAGAGTTAAGGGCTCAGTCTCACAGGACTGGCCCCCACTTTAGACACCAGTCACAAGTTGTAGGTTCCCAGGTTACCCACGACTTGTGTCCGACTTGGCTACAAATTGGAGGTTCCCACAACCCCCTTCTTGGGTTCATTAATTTGCTAGATCAGCTCACAGAAACCGGGGAAGACAGTATACTCACAATTGCTAATGTATTATAAAGGATATTTTAAAGGATACAATTGAACAGACAGATGAAGCTATGCATATGTGAGGTTTGTAAGGGTCATGAACCCAGGAGCCTTTGGCCCCGTGGGGTATGTGGCTATGTTCTTATTCACCAATTCAAAAGCTCTCCAAACTCTCCTTTCGGGTTTTTACAAGGCTTCATTACTTAGGCATGATTGATTAAATCATTGGCTATTGGTGTTCCATTCAACCCTGAGCCCCCCCTTCTTCCCCAAAGATTGATGGGGTGGGGCTGAATGTTTCCACCCTCTAATCACATGGTTGGTTCCTTTGGCTGCCAGTCTCCCTTCTGAGGCTCTCCAGGAGCCCCCAGCCACCAGTCATGGTATTAACATATAAAAGGATATTTATAACTTCCAAGATTCCAAGGGTTTTAGGAGCTGGATGAAGATATATATTTCTTGTTGTAAATCGCAATACCACACTAAGGAATTGCCAAACTTTTCCACAGCAACTGCAGCATTATGCATTCCTGTGAGCACTGTGCAAGAACTCCAGTTTCTATGTTTGGCCAGTGTTTATTATGGTGGTTTTTTGATGATAGCATCCTAGTGTGAAGTGGCATCTCATTGTGGTTTTGGTTTGCATTTCACTAATGGCTAATGATGTATTAAGTGTCTTTTCTTGTGCATATTGGTATTTCGGTGGAGAAATATCTATGCAAATTTTTTGCCCAATAATTTTTTTTTTTTTTTTTTCTGAGACAGAGCCTCACTCCGTCACTCACGCTGGAGTGGCTGTGGCATGATCTTGGCTCACTGAAACCTTCACCTCCCAGGTTCAAGCGATTCTCCTGCCTCAGCCTCCTGAGTAGCTGGGAATACAGGCACGTGCTACCACGCCTGGCTAATTTTTTGTTTTTTGTTTTTTGTTTTTTTGAGACAGAGTCTCGCCCTGTTGCCAGACTGGAGTGCAGTGGCGTGATCTCGGCTCACTGCAACTTCTGCCTCCCAGGTTCAAGCGATTCTCCTGCTTCAGCCTCCCGAGTAGCTGGGACTACAGGCGTGTGCCACCATGCCCAGCTAATTTTTGTATTTTTAGTAGAGATGGGGTTTCACCGTGTTGGCCAGGATAGTCTCTATCTCTTGAGCTTGTGATCCGTCCGCCTCAGTCTCCCAAAGTGCTGGGATTACAGGCGTGAGCCACTGCACCCAGCCCTAGTTTTTATATTTTAGTAGAGATGGGGTTTTGCCATATTGGCCAGGCTGGTCTCGAACTCCTGGCCTTAAGTGATCCACCCACTGCAGCCTCCCAACATGCTGAGATCACAGGCGTGAGCCACCACACCTGGTCCTAAACAATTTGTCATTTCGTTGAATTATAAGAATTCTTTATATATTTAGACTACATGTCCTTTATTAGACATTATTTATTACATTCACAAAAATTTCCTCTTTTTTTTTTTTTTGGGACGGAGCCTCGCTCTGTCGCCAGGCTGGAGTGCGGTGGCGTGATCTCGGCTCACTGCAACCTCTGCCTCATGGGTTCAAGCGATTCTCCTGCCTCAGCCTCTTGAGTAGCTGGGACTACAGGTGCCTGCCACCACACCTAGCTGATTTTGGTCTCGATTTCCTGACCTTGTGATCTGCCCACCTCTGCCTCCCAAAGTGCTGGGATTACAGGCATGAGCCACCGCGCCCAGCCAATTTACTTTTTTTCTGTGGGCTGTTTTCATTTTCCGATAGTGTCATTTGAAGCACAAAAATTAATTTTGGCAAAATTTATGTTTTTTTCTTTGTTTATTTGGTGTCATATCTAAGAAATCATTGCCTAATCCAGGGGGTGATGGAGATTTGCATCTAAGTTTTTTTCCAAAAATATAATAATTCTGGCTTTTACATTTGGGTCTTTGATTCATTTTGAATTCATTTTTGCATATAATGTAGGGATTATTTAGTTTCATAGTATTAATATGGCAGCTTGTTTTCCATTTGAAGTTGTATAGGACCAAGCTGAGAGTCCATCAGGTTTGATAGTATCAAGTTGGATTCAGGTTACTTCTCTGGGTGAGTGGAGAGCTGTTCCTCAGATAAGAATTTATATTGCAGTCCTACTACTAAAAAATGTGATTGTAGTATAAAATATTGCTGAGTATATATATATATATATATATATATATATTTTTTTTTTTTTTTTTTTTTTTAGACCAAGTCTTGCTTTGTCACCAGGCTGGAGTGCAGTGGCACAATCTTGGGTCACTGCAACCTCCACCCCCCGGGTTCAAGCAATTCTCCTGCTTCAGCCTCCCGAATAGCTGGGATTACAGGCACGCGCTGCCACACCCGGCTAATTTTTGTATTTTTAGACGGGGTTTCACCATGTTGGCCAGGATGGTCTTGATCTCTTGACCTCATGATCCACCTGCCTTGGCCTTCCAAAGTGGTGGGATTACAGGCATGAGCCACTGCTCCTGGTCTGCTGAGAATATGTTTGTGTTCACCTATAAGCCTTTATTGTAATTAAAAGAGGCGTTATCAACTTCAGTCTTTAGACTTACAAAACCTTTGAGCCAGAGGGCATCTCAGGTGTTGTCTAGTATAACCACCTTGCCTTTTCTTTAAATATTGCTGCATTTTATGATTAGAGATAGTCCATAAGATAAAATTTAAAAAATTTTAAAATTAGAATAGTCTTTTGTACTACATGAAAGGAACATATATATATTAAGGAAATCGAGTAATAGGTTTTAAAAATATATAGAGAGATCTGATAAAAGAAAACTTGTTACATTCTTAGGAAAACCAATTTAAGGATTCTAGTAGAGAAAATTACCTTGTTGGGCATATTTTTTGTTCGTTTTGAGACAAGGTTTCACTCTCACCCAGGCTAGGGTATGCAGTAGTGCCGTCACGGCTCACTGCAGCCTTGGCCTCCTGGACCCAAGCGATTCTCCCACCTCAGCCTGCTGAGTAACTGAGACTACAGGTGCACACCACTACACCTGGCTAATTTTTGTATTTTTGGTAGAGATGAGTTTTGCCATGTTGCCTAGGCTGGTCTTGAACTCTTGGGCTCAAGCAGTCCTCCTGCCTCAGCCTCCCAAAGTGCTGGGGTTACAGACATAGAATTCATTTCTTTATAACAATTAGTTTAGGTTACCTTGATTGTTTCTATGGTCCGGCTTCATTATTCATGAGTTCCATATTTGTGAATTCACGTCTTCGTAACATTTGTTTGTAACCCTAAAATTGATACTCGCAGTGCTTTTTTTTTTTTTTTTTTTTTTTTTTTGACGTTTGCACACTTAAAGAGCAGTGAAGAATTTGTCATTCTATGCACACACTCCCAGCTGAGGTCAAACAAGACTTTTTGAGGTCTATTTTGTGCCACATTATTTCGCTTTTTTGTGCTTTTTGTTGGTAATTTCACTGTTTAACTTATGTGCTGTCTAGTGTTCCTTTGTATACGTGAAGGCTGTGCTGTGCCTTTTGGAGAAAATTTGTTCAGGCATGTGTTATAGTGCTTTTGGCTGTGAGTTTGATATTAATCAACAATATATAGTAAATAAGAGGCCAGGCATGGTGGCTCATTCGTGTAATCCCAGCACTTTGGGAGGCTGAGTTGGGTGGATCACTTGTCAGGAGTTTGAGACCAGCTTCAACATGACGAAACCTCATCTCTGCTAAAAATATCCCCTCAGCCCCCCCCGCCCCCCCCCCCCAAAAAAATTTGCTGGACATGGTGGCATGCACCTGTAATCCCAGCTACTCGGGAGGCTGAGGCAGGAGAATTGTTTGAACCCAGGAGGTGGAGGTTGGGTTGCAGTGAGCCAAGATCATGCCATTGCACTCCATCCTGGGCCATAGAGCGAGACTCTGTCTCAAAAAGAAAGTCTTTAGACAAATGCAAACAAGTTACTTTTGATTGGTTGAAGAAAATAATGTGACCAGAGGCTGGCAGGAATCTAACCCTGTATTTCCTCTAACCATGGATTCCATATTTACTTATTTAGTGTTTGCCACAACTTTGTAGAGAGCTTAACTACTGTGAATAATGAGAAATGACTGTATTTTAATTAAAAAAAATTTTTTTAGAGACAGTCTCACTCTGTCACCCGGTGCAGTGGCATGATCTTGTCTTTCTGCAACCTCCCAGGTTCAAGTGATTCTCGTGCCTTAGCCTTCCAAATAGTTGGGATTACAGTCATGTGCCACCATGCCTGGCTAATTTTTGTATTTTTAGTAGAGACGAGGTTTCGCCATGTTGGCCACGCTGGTCTTGAACTCCTGACCTCAAGCAATCTGCCTGTCTCAGCCTCCCAAAGTGCTGGGATTACAGGCGTGAGCCACTCTGCCCAGCTGTATTTTGATTTAAGTTTCAGTATACTTTTGATTTGGAAGTATTGAAGTCCTGTTAAAACTAGTAAAAGGTAATGTTGCTACATCCAGGTTTCTTGTTTGATTCTGCTTTCATTTTCTCATTTTCTACTGTAGATCATACTTTCCTCCTTTTTTTTTTTTGGTTTGTTTTTTGTTTTTTGTTGTTGTTGTTTTTGAGTTAACCATGCAGTTCAAACCAGTGGTTTCCAACTTTGATATCACATCGAAATCACCTGGGAAACTTTAAAAAAAATACCATCCCC
This sequence comes from Homo sapiens, assembly GCF_000001405.40. Taxonomy (NCBI): domain Eukaryota; kingdom Metazoa; phylum Chordata; class Mammalia; order Primates; family Hominidae; genus Homo; species Homo sapiens. Next base: position 73,863,829 of record NC_000008.11, on the reverse strand, counting down.
ACGTTATGATTTAATTGCTCTGGAATGCATCCTGGGTATTGTCATTTTTCTTAGCTCTTCAGCTAATTCTTTTTTTGAGATGATGTCTCTGTCACCCAGGCTGGAGTGCCCTGGCATGATCTCGGCTCACTGCACCCTCCACCTCTCAGGTTCAAGTGAGTCTTTTGCCTCAGCCTCCCAAGTAGCTGGGATTACAGGCACTCACCACAATGCCTGGCTATTTTTTGTATTTTTTTTTCTTTTTTTTTTTTATTATACTTTAAGTTTTAGGGTACATGTGCACATTGTGCAGGTTAGTTACATATGTATACATGTGCCATGCTGGTGCGCTGCACCCACTAACTCGTCATCTAGCATTAGGTATATCTCCCAATGCTATCCCTCCCTCCTCCCCCCACCCCACCACAGTCCCCAGAGTGTGATACTCCCCTTCCTGTGTCCATGTGATCTCATTGTTCAATTCCCACCTATGAGTGAGAATATGCGGTGTTTGGTTTTTTGTTCTTGCGATAGTTTACTGAGAATGATGATTTCCAATTTCATCCATGTCCCTACAAAGGACATGAACTCATCATTTTTTATGGCTGCATAGTATTCCATGGTGTATATGTGCCACGTTTTCTTAATCCAGTCTATCATTGTTGGACATTTGGGTTGGTTCCACGTCTTTGCTATTGTGAATAATGCCGCAATAAACATACGTGTGCATGTGTCTTTATAGCAGCATGATTTATAGTCATTTGGGTATATACCCAGTAATGGGATGGCTGGGTCAAATGGTATTTCTAGTTCTAGATCCCTGAGGAATCGCCACACTGACTTCCACAATGGTTGAACTAGTTTACAGTCCCACCAACAATGTAAAAGTGTTCCTATTTCTCCACATCCTCTCCAGCACCTGTTGTTTCCTGACTTTTTAATGATTGCCATTCTAACTGGTGTGAGATGGTATCTCATTGTGGTTTTGCTTTGCATTTCTCTGATGGCCAGTGATGATGAGCATTTTTTCATGTGTTTTTTGGCTGCATAAATGTCTTCTTTTGAGAAGTGTCTGTTCATGTCCTTCGCCCACTTTTTGATGGGGTTGTTTGTTTTTTTCTTGTAAATTTGGTTGAGTTCATTGTAGATTCTGGATATTAGCCCTTTGTCAGATGAGTAGGTTGCGAAAATTTTCTCCCATTTTGTAGGTTGCCTGTTCACTCTGATGGTAGTTTCTTTTGCTGTGCAGAAGCTCTTTAGTTTAATTAGATCCCATTTGTCAATTTTGTCTTTTGTTGCCATTGCTTTTGGTGTTTTGGACATGAAGTCCTTGCCCATGCCTATGTCCTGAATGGTAATGCCTAGGTTTTCTTCCAGGGTTTTTATGGTTTTAGGTCTAACGTTTAACCTGAGAAAAACAAGAAATGGGGAAAGGATTCCCTATTTAATAAATGGTGCTGGGAAAACTGGCTAGCCATATGTAGAAAGCTGAAACTGGATCCCTTCCTTACACCTTATACAAAAATCAATTCAAGATGGATTAAAGATTTAAACGTTAGACCTAAAACTATTTTTTGTATTTTTAATAGAGACAGGGTTTCACCATGTTGGCCAGGCTGGTCTCAAATCCTGACCTCACATGATCTGCCCGTCTTGGCCTCCCAAAGTGCTAGGATTACAGGCATGAGCCACTGCACCTGGCCTTCAGGTAATTTTAATGTGCAGCCAAAGTTGTAGACTCGTCTTCACTACAATGCAGGAATTTAGGTGTGCCAATTATGTAAATTGGGTAAGTTGTAATACATCTCCTTGTACCTGTTTTAGAGTTCAGGAGACATTTCAAAGTTTAATCCTCTTGAAAGATTTAAGAATCAAATTCGAGATTGGAAAGATCTATATTTGTTTTGTTCCTACATAATTATAGTTCTGTCAAAGACCACCCATTTCCTGTACATATCTGAGCACTTATTGACTGTCCTATCAGCTTTAGTAAAATGTTTTGTTTGATGGCCATTTTATACAACAAACAAAATAGCTGTCATGAGAGCTTTTTGTGGAGCAGTTTTAGTGAACTGAGTACATTAAGATGTGGCTATGGGGCGGTTCCATAGGCTCAGTTATGAGCTCAGTGATTCTTCTTTAATGCTGGTAGAGTCCACCTAAACAAAATTTAAAAATATTTTATTATATCATGAATCGTTGGAGTTGAATATGCATAAAAATCTCATTTAAAACGTAATCTGGGTTGGTCACGATGGCTCATGCCTGGGATCTCAGCACTTTGGGAGGCCAAGGTGGGAGGATTGCTTGGAGCCAGGAGTTGAGACCATCCTGAGCAATGGCAGGACTCCATCTCTACAAAAAATAACAACAGAAGTAATCTTAGGGGCCTGTATCAAACCATATCAGGGCCCCGTACCAAGAATAGTCCTTTCTAGGTACTTGGAATGATATTCTTGTTTTTAAGTCTTTTTGCCCTTCATTGGGGTCATTATTATTGCTAGTCCTTGTATCTCTCATTCTACAACCTATGCTGAACTTATCAGTTCACTAAAATTCTTGAGAATCAAGTTGTTTGACGCTGGCCCCTGGGCTTATATCTCTCTTGTCCTTATGGATATTACTGCATATGTGGAGATTCTGTCAGTATCCTTTACTTGCTAGGAGTATTTAGCAACTATTATTAGTGACTTTTTATGTTGAATTTCCATTTTATTTTTATTATTTTTTTAGAAGTAGGACCTCACTCTGTTGCCCAGGATGGAATGCAGTGATACAACTGTACCTTAACTGTAACCTTGAACTTCTAGGATCAAAGGATCCTTCTGCCTCAGTCTTCCAAGTAGCTAGGACTACAGGTACATGCCACCATGCTCAGCTAATTTCTAAAATTTTTTGTAATGTTGCCCAGGTTGGTCTCAAACTCTGCCTCAAGCGATCCTCCTCCCTTGGCCTCCTGAGGTGCTGGGGTTACAGGCATGAGCCACCATGTCTAGCCTGAACTTTCATTTTGAATTTTGGGCTGTTTTGATAGCTCCCTGTCTTGTTTTTTTGTTGTTCCTAGGTTTTTTGTTTGTTTGTTTTTAAAACTTACCTAGCAGATCATTTAGTTAGCCCCTCCACTCTTTGAACTTTCTTCCTGAATTCAAATTTTACTCAAAATCCACTTTAGTTCTTTGTAACTCAATACTTTGACATCATAAATCCACCAACCTTAGCCTCATCCTCACAGCTGTACATACTTTTTAGTACCTTGTGTGCCTCCGTATCATGTTTTACCTCTTTCGTAGGGTTTTTCACTTCTGCCTTGTAGCTATTATAAAGACACTTTGTCTTTATTAGATTTTTAACTCAATGAGGGCAGTGCTTACTGGCATCATCACTCAGATGTTTTCTGGGTTAATAAATAGAACAAAGATAAATAGTACTGTTTTCAAAATAGGCCAGAAGTGATAGGAAAACACAGTTGAGTATATTGCCTTCTTGCCTTATCTCTGATTCCATTGCTGTCTATCTTTTGCTTCTGCCTTGTCCCAGTTAGAGAAAGTAAAGAATTGGGTTGAAAAGGAAAATTTATACAGCATTTAAAAATCAGGGTAAGCTTCCTGTTAATGATACACATCTTTCAGCCCAGTTAATATTTGGTTGGTAATTCTTTCACTTTGCAGATAATGCTTCAATGAGAGTATCTTTTCTTCCCCCGCCCCCTGCCCCCCATAGTAGATTTTTTCTTAAGCTTCCTGTATGTAACCCTTACTGACAGCAAGTAATTTAGCAAGTAATTTTAGGTCTTGCTTCATTGATGGTAAGATTATGTGACTGCTTTCTTTCCAAACTCAAATGTGTTGTGTCTTTGTATACTTTTCCTCATTTCTGAAATGGTATTCCTTTTCCAAATGTTTTATTTTTAAGGTGTGTCTGAGAGTAGAACTGTGTGTGCTTAGGGGAGATGGGAGTATTTTGGTATAGGGAGTTTGTGTTTGGTTCTTTTAGATGTTGCAGAGGACAGAACATCTGTTAATGTCTATGAAATACAGATTGCGTTTCTGAAACATAGTTACAGCTTTTGCATGATGACAGAGCTTTACTTCAGATTCTTCTAATTTACAGTTAACCCTTGAACAACAGGAAGCCAACCACCTGTGCAGTCAAAAATCCGTATATAACTTTACTTCCCAAAAACTTAAGTACTAATAGCTTACTGTTAACTGGAAACCTAACCTATAAGATAAACAGTTGATTAACACATATTTTGTGTGATATATGTATTATATACTCTATTCTTACAATAAAGTAAGATAGAGAAAAAATGTTATTAAGAAAATCATGAGCGAAAATATATTTACTATTCATTAAGTACTCTGTCACCCAGGCTGGAGTGCAGTGGCGCAATCTCAGCTCACTGCAGCCTCCACCTCCTGGGTTCAAGTGATTCTCCTGCTTCAGCCTCCCCAGTAGCTGGGATTACAGGCTCGCGCCACCATGCCCAGCTAATTTTTGTATTTTTAGTAGAGATGAGGTTTCACCATGTTGGCCAGGGTGGTCTCAAACTCCGGGCTTCAAGTGGTCCCCCTGCCTCAGCCTCCCAAAGTGCTGGGATTACAGGCGTGAGCCACCATTCCCAGCTAGTCACAAAAATCTTTATCCTTGTTATAGACTGAGAAGAGGAAGAGGAGGGTTTGGTCTTGCTGTCTCAGGAGTGACAAAGGCAGAAGAAAATCCATGTATAAGTGGACCTGTGCAGTTCAAACCTGTGTTGTTGAGGGTCAGCTGTGCTTGAAGAAATTGCTCAGTTTAGAAGACTCTCACCAAAAAGAAAGCAAAAAAACCACCACACACACACACACACACACACACACACACACACACACGCAAAAACCCCCTGTGCTTGAAGAAATTGCTCAGTTTAGAAGACTCACCAAAAAGAAAGCAAAAAAACCAACACACACACACACACACACACACACACACGCACGCAAAAACCCCCCTAATGATAGAGAAGGTTGGTTCAGTCCTTGCAAGCCTTGCAAGTTCGTGATGAAAATAAGTACAAGTAACAGAAAGTTAAGACAGTTAATGGTGATGGCTTGGAAAGGACTACCCATGATCCTAAATAGTAAAAATAGTGTTAAAAGGTACTAGCTGCTGCTTTTTTTTTTTTTTTTTTAGCACTTTTTCTAACATTGACTTTTTTTTTGGTGTCTGCTTATGACTGAAGTCAGACTTTTCTTTTAAAAATATATTTTTAAATTATTTTAAATCTTCATGAACTGGCAACAGTTAATATACTGAATTTTTAAAAATTCAGCTGCTGTAGTTTTAATAATTGAAAATGATTGAAAGTTAAACTGATAATTTCTTGAATTGGCAACGTAGGATGTCAAAACTGATTTTATAAGTCAGTATTTGTACTTTTCATATTTCTTAATTCCTTCTTAGAATGAAACTTGTCATAAATATATTTTATGTTCTTTTTTTTTTTTTTTTTTTGAGATGAAGTCTTGCTCTGTCACCCAGGCTGGAGTGCAATGACATAATCTCGGCTCACTGCAGCCTCCGCCTCCCAGGTTCAAGCAGTTCTCCTGCCTCAGCCTCCTAAGTAGCTGGAACTGTAGGTGTGCACCACCACACCCGACTAATTTTTGTATTTTTATTGGAGACTGGGTTTCACCATGTTGGCCAGGCTGGTCTTGAACCCCTGACCTCAGGTGATCCACCCACCTCGGCCTCCCAAAGTGCTGGGATTACAGGCGTGAGCCACCATGCCTTGCCTAACTTTTGGATTTTTAGTAGAGATGGGGTTTCACTATGTTGGCCATGCTAGTCTCAATCACCTGACCTCAGGTGATCCGCCTGCCTTAGCCTTCCAAAGTGGTGAGATTACAGACGTGAGCCACCATGCCCAGCCGCTTAAAGGTATTCTGAAAATCTCAGAATCATTCTATGGCTACTTTTGGCAACTGAGGCCCAAGTTTATGTAAACTTTGAAGCAAAAGGTTTTTTTATTTTTATTTTTATTTATCATTATTTTTTAAGACGGGGAGTCTCACTCTGTCACCCAGGCTGGAGTGCAGTGGCGCGATTTCGGCTCACTGCAACCTCCACCTCCCGGGTTCAAGCAGTTTTCCTGCCTCAGCTTCCTGAGTAGCTGGGACTACAGGCGTCTGCCACCATACCTGGCTAATTTTTGTATTTTTAGTAGCGACAGGATTTCACTATATTGGCCAGGCTGGTCTCGAACTCCTGACCTTGTGATCTGCCCATCTCGGCCTCACAAAGTGCTGGGATTACAGGTGTGAGCCACTGCGCCTGGCCCAAAAGTTGTTTTTAAGAAGGCTTAGAAGATTGAACTTGCTCTTTATCAAAATACTGATCTTACATACTCTTACATACTTGCAATCTTTTATAATACATTATTATATTTTAGAACACATACATTGAAACTATTGTAGTGAAAAAAGTTGGTATTTTTATTTTGGTCAGTTCTCTATGTATGAGATACTTTAGTTTGCTATCTACCTTAAGTGCCAGGGTTTAAACATTTTTGCTGTATTTTTCAGCTTAGAAAATCTTCCTGTAAGAATTAAATGTGATTTTTTTTTTCCTACTTGTTGATGACTCTGACCAGCATATACAAGTTTCCACCTAGTATGTCAGGAGAAAGTATTGGTAAAATCCCTAAAATCACAGTATAGTATACCTGAGCATGATAAAGAAGAAAACAAATCACTTTCTTCCTTGAATTAAAAAGTTTCCCAAACTGTCTTGTTATTATGTGTGTATTTGGGCTTGACAAAGTAACTACCCTGGAACCATAAAGTTAGCGGTTCATTTTAAGATTTTAGGCTGGGCATGGTGGCTCACGTCTATAATCTCAGCACTTTGGGAGGCCAAGGTGGGCGGATCACTTGAGACCAGGAGTTTGAGACCAGTCTGGCCAACATAGCAAAACCCCCTTTCTACTAAAAATACAAAAAATTAGCCAGGTGTGGTGGCACATGCCAATAGTCCCAGCTACTTGGGAGGCTGAGGCACAAGAATGGCTTGAACCCAGGAGGCGGAGGCTGCAGTGAGCCGAGATCACACCACTGCACTCCAGTCTGGACAATAGAGCAACACCCTGTCTCAAAAAAAAAAAATTTATTCCTGCTGATGGAAATCTTCTGTGTAAAGAGTGCTTAGAAATGCATAAGTGTGGCCAGACACAGTGGCTCATGCCTGTAATCTCAGCATTTTGGGAGGCCAGGGCGGGCAGATCACTTGAGGTCAGGAGTTCGAGCCAGACCAGCGAGACCCTGTCTCTACAAAAAATACAAAAATTAGTCAGGCCTGGTGGCTCATGCCTGTAATCCCAGCTACTGGGGAGGCTGAGGCAGGAGAATTGCTTGAACCTGAGAGGTGGAGGTTGCAGTGAGCCAAGATCGTGCTACTGCACTCCAGCCTGGGTGACAGAGCAAGGCTCCCATCTCAAAAAAAAAAAAAAAAAAAAAAAATTCATAAGTGTATATAATTTGTCTATGTTTAAGTGGGTGTTTAAAGGTAGAAAGTGGGGAGGGGGGAGTTGTTTACACTGAGTAGCGTTTCCTACAATGTTAAATTGAAAATGGTAATCTATTTACTTAGGACAAGATACAAGGTAATGATGACATGAGTTTTAATCTATTTGTTATCAAAATGGTAATTTGTTTATTTGGTTGACTGAAACAGTTTGTACTAAAACCAAATTTATTACTTAGTTTTTTTGGAACATTTTAAACCATTATAGTTGTTTAAGGATATGGATATATGGAAATAACAATAGCATTAGACGAAGGTAATATAGAAAAGTACTAAAACATAATGAGAATATAAACTATGTATAAAACTATAGAAAAGTAATTACAGATACATGATTGAATTAGGCTGAACAATATGTAAAAAGACTCTCAATAAAGCTTTAACTTGTGAAAATGAGTAGAATAACCTAGGTTCTGGGATTTTTAAACTAAAAGGAACTTTAAGAATCATTTAATAAGTAATGATTTAATTAATAATTAAATGATTTTTTTATTAACAAAAAATTGGGTCCAGAAGGTAACAAAACTTTCATACCTACACACTTACAGACCATATACAGCACTGTTCACAGTCAAGAAATGTAAACAGGGCTGGGTGCTGTGGCTCACGCCTGTAATCCTAGCACTTTGGGAGGCCGAGGTGGGCAGATTACTTGAGGTCAGGAGTTTGAGACCAGCCTGGTCAACATGGTGAAACTCCATGTCTACCAAAAAATACAAAAAAAATTAGCTGGGTGTGGTGGCGTGCATCTGTAAGCCCAGCTACTTGGGAGGCTGAGGCAGGACAATTGCTTGAACCCGTGAGGCGGAGGTTGCAGTGAGCCAAGATAGCACCACTGCACTCCAGCATGGGTGACAGAGTGAGACCTTGTCTCAAAAAAAAAAAAAAAAAAAAAAAAAGAAAGTAGAATATAAAGATGAAGTATCAAATCATAACTGCATCAAATTTCATAATCACCTTCTGTTGCTATTGCTGTGAGCTCAAGTGTTGGGAATATCCACTTAACATGCTGTATGACCCTCTGCATGAGCAGTTTGTCTCGCATTTAAATTGCATATCACAGTAAAAAGTGCTCTCTCACTATTCTGGTGTATTTTTCATTGTGTTTTAGTGCAATACTGCAAACTTTGAATCAAACACTATGGAATCCATACAAAATGCCACCAGTGATGCTGGAAGTACTCCAAAGAAGCAGAGGAAAGTCATGACATTGCCAGAAAAAGTTGAACTGCTTCATACATACTGTAGATTTACAGTTGTGGTTGCCCACCATTTCAGATAGATGATTCCATCTTATAAACAGATGACATAAATTTACCGTATTGATAAATACAGCACAGTGCTGTAAATGTATTTTCTCTTCCTTACGATTTTCTTAACATTTTATTTTCTCTAGCTCACTTTATTGTAAGAATGCAGTATATAATATACAAAACATGTTAATTGACTTTATGTAACTGACAAATAACAGAAGGCTTCTGGTCAACAGGTTTATTAGTAGCTAAGTTTTGGGGGAGTCGGAAGTTACATGTGGGTTTTCGACTGCTTGGGGCTTGGTTCCCCAACTCTCAAATTATTCAAGGGTTAACTGTATTTGTAATTCATACTTTTCAGAGAACACTACTTACTTGACAGAAGAAAAATGTTCTCAGAGAATCTATGGTACCAATTTTATCCATCTGAGATGAGTTTATTAGAAAACTAGATTTTATGTTCACTGGAAAATATTGACCTCAGCAATAAAAATGGCAATGACAATGCAGTACATCTTTTCTAAAAAATAGATTTATTAGAAGAATGTTCTAACAGTAATGCTCATTATAATACAAATCACCAGATGTTTATTCCTTTGAGACTAAATCTACTAGAAGGAAAGATCTAACCTAGATTTCTTTTTAAGTCATAGAACTTAAAAGCTCTGGAAGCTGCCTTTTGATTGGTAAAGAGTTGAGCATCAATATTTATTCTAACAATATGCCATGATCTACTGTTGTTTCCACTTTATTTATTTATTTATTTATTTTTTACTCCTAGGCATTTGTATTGCCTCCCCTAATTTTATGGTATTCTTTAGTATAAATTTTTAAGAATGGTGTTACTAAGTCATAGAATCAATATTTTTCTTTCTTTCTTTCTTTCTTTTTTGAGACGGAGTTTCATGCTGTCACCCATGCTGGAGTGCAGTGGCACAATCAGGGTTCACTACAGCTTTGACCTCTCAGGCTCAAGTGATCCTCCCTCCTCAGCCTCCTGAGTAGCTGGGACTACAAGCGTGCACCACCACGCCCAGCTAATTTTTTATTTTTTGTAAAGATGGGGGTCTTACTATGTTGCCCTGGATGGCCTTGAACTCCTAGACTCAAGCGATCTTCTCACCTTGGCCTCCCAAAATGCTGGGATTACAGGCATGACCCACCATGCTGGCTTTATTTACTTTACAAGAAAGTTGGTTAGGGTAAACTGTTTTAGGATCATCTTTTCTTTTTATTTCCCATTTTATTTTTTTCCTTATTGTCATCTGTGAATATTAATACTACTTTAATATGTTTATTTGGAACTTTAAGCTTGAAAATAGTTGTATCTGCCAGCCCATCTCATTGTGTTCTTTCAATAACAATCTGAGGTATTTAATTATGAAGATACTAAGGTACACATTGTTACTTATCCAAAGTTGCATGTATTATACACTCCTACAAATCAGAGATTGAGTTTCCAATTAAATATATTTTGCTGGGTCAGGCGCAATGGTTCACATCTCTAATCCCAGTGCATTTTGAGGCTGAGGCAGGAGGATCGCTTAAGGCCAGGAGTTAAATTCCAAACCTGGGCAATATAGCAAGACCCTGTCTCTATAAAAAATAAACTAGCTGGGCATGGTGGCACGCACCTGTAGCCCAGTTGCTCGGGAGGCTGAGGCGGGAGCATTGCAGGGAGCTATGATTGTACCACTGTATTCCATCCTGGGCAACTAAGACTTTGCCAAATAAATAATCCATCTAACCAACTATTTTATCTTTCTTTTCAGGCTGCTATACCTCAGTACCTTAGACTGAGTAATTATAAACAACAGAAATTTAATCCTTACAGTTCTGGAGGCTGGGAAGTCCAAGATCCAGGGTGCCAGCAGATTCAGTAGTCCAGAATGGCACCTTCTGACTGTATCTTCACATGGCAGCAAGGCAAATTAGCTCTCTGCCTTCTTATAGGCACTAATCCCATTCACCAGTTTTCCACCCTTATGATCTAGTTACCTCGCAAAGGCTCCACCTCTTAATTCCAATACTTTGGGAATTAGATTTCAGCATATGAATTTTGGAGGGACATAAATGTTCAGACCATAGAATATCCCTTACAGCACCTAACTTACAGTCTTAAAGTTTGCATTTTGCTTACATTTTGAAGAAATACATGACATGACATACCCTAGTATACTAATACATAGTTTACATAGTTCTTTCGTGAGATTTGTAGTTCAATTTGTTGGTCAAGTCAAACTTCCCACCTTTTGAAGGTGGCGTTATCAGTCATTTTATTCAGCGTATCTAATACTTTGTGCTAGACCCTGGCTGTAGATTTTTCACCACATGCTTTATGACATTTATGTAACTCTTAATTTATATATATCAGAATCTTTGAAGGTAGCTAAGCCTGCTGAAACCTGGAAGGTAAAAAAATTTGAATTGTATTTTTACAAGAAAAAAAATTTATTCTTCCAAAGTAAAATAAAAATGGTTGGCTTAAATGAAACATTAACTCTGTCAGGCTTAGTGCTAATTACTGCTTTTCATCTATGGCATGAAATGCAGGGATCAATGAGAGAAAGATACAGAACTGTATTTTATTTCATTCTGAGTCAAGGTTTTCAGAAAACAAATATTTCATTTGGAGTGTTCATTTCCTGAATACTAGACAGATAACTTCTGAACTAGCTTGAGAAATTAAAATTTGATTCTAGGGTAGTAAACTCTTTGCCTCTTGGAGCCAAGCAGGTTTAAGGTACATGTACATACATTGGATTCATGGTAGACAGCATACCCACCCTAAAGAGGGCAGCTCTATTTAAAGGGAATAGTCATTGTTCATTTCTGGCTGGTTCCGTTGTTTTGTTCTGTCAATCTCAATGTTCACAGGGAACTTGAACTGGTCAGGTCCAAAACTAATCTTAATCTCAGTTGCCTCCAACCCTTCATAAACAGACCAGCTATCTGTATTGCTCCTCTTTCCTCTCCCCTCCCTCTCCTTTCTTCTTTCTCCCCATCCCTCCTTTTTCCTTCCCCCTTCATTTTTGTCTTCCCTTCCTCCACCTTCTCTTTCCTTTTTTTTTTTTTTTAAAAAAAAAAAAAAGAGAGACTGGGTCTTACTGTGTTGCCCAGACTTGTCTTGAACTCCTGCCTCAGCCTCTCAAGTACTTGGGATTATAGGCCAAGAAGCCACCATGCCTAGCTTCTTCCTGTCATTGATCCAGACTAATACTCTGGGGTCAGCCTCATTTCTTCTCTTTCTCACTTTGCACATCCACTTGTCACCAAATCTAGTTCATTCTGCATCCTAAGTAAGTCCTTTGATTCCTCCAGTTGTTCATTAGTAATGTCTCAAATGTAATTTTTTTCTAGTAGTTTTCAGCCTGTCTTTCCTGCCTTCAGTCTTAACTTCTCCAGTACATATGCCACATTGTTGTCAGCATGATCATATTTTTATTTAAAAATACTTTACATATGTTTATTGCCAAATATTAGAAAATACAGATTCATGGAAAGAAAAATCACTGTCCCAAGGAGATCACTGCATGGTGAGATTAAGGGGTGATTTTAATTTTTAAAAATGTATATTTTTTCCTGTGTAGAGTAGTAACACCCATTGAAAACACAATCCCTTGTAAAGTCTCTAATTCTGTACTCCGCATCTAGCTGATCTCTTCTTTCTCAGATATTTTACAATTTCATTTATCACCACCTTTCTCTAGCCTTTACCCGTCTCTTCAATATTTACATATGCAGAAGTTTCTCCTAACAAACACCTGCCTCTGCCTCAGTTCTGCTACCACCCTGTTGCTTTCTTTCCCTTCACAATCAAATTTAAGAGTGTCAAAAAAAAAAAAAGATAATGAAACATGCATACAGAAGAATTTAAAAATCATAGGTGACGCTGGGCATGGTGTCTTACACCTAAAATTTCAGCACTTTGGGAGGCTGAGGTGGAAGGATCACTTGAGCCCAGGAGTTCAAGACCAGCCTGGGCAACATGGCGCAATCCTATCTCTACAAAAATTAGCAGGGTGTGGTGGTGCATGCCTGTGTTTCCAGCTACTTGGGAGGCTGAGGTGGGAAGATTACCTGAGCCCAGGAAGCAGAGGTTGCATTAAGCCGAGATTGCGCCACTGTACTCCAGCCTGGGCAACAGAGTGAGACCCTGTCTCAAAAAAAGTTAAATAAAAATATAAAAATAGAAATCATAGGTGAATATTTTAAAGAATATTTATAAAATATTCACATTGCTTAAGGAATAAAAGTTGCCATTACCTTTGAAGCCCCTTCTGTGTCCTGTTTTTTTTTTTTTTTTTTTTTTTTTAATGTCCTGCTGATTGTACCTCACTATTTCCTTCCCACAGTAAATTGCTGTCTTGGATTTTATGTTTGTAATCCTTTATTTTTCCTTATATTTACTTTAAACAATATATTTTGTTTGTTTTTAAACTTTAGGTAAATGGACTCATACTGTTAGTAATTCTTTCTGACTTTTATCATTTCAAGATTAATCCATCTTTGTAGCAGTATATTTTTAAAGCTAAGTAAGTGGTATTTCATGGTATAAACTATCACATTTGATCAGTTTTACTCCTAACATGTTATGAACAGTGCTGGTTTAAATGTTGTAACACATTTTCATGGTTTTCTCTTAGGGTATTGACCTACAAATGCAAGTGCTAGGTTATGGCATGTCTGTTCCGTTTTACTAGATAATGCCATCCTGTTCCAAAGTGATTACATCAGTTTATGCTCTTACTGATAGTACATGAGTTCCAGGTATACCACATTCTCCCCAACACTGGACTTATTTTGGTGAAAGATACTCCTTATGGTTCTATTATATTTCCTTAGCTAATAAGAATAATTGAGTATAATTGTATGTGTTTTGGGGCATTTGTGGCTCTTCTATTAAATGTCTATTCTTAACTTTTGACTTTCTCAATTCGGTTATCCTTTTGTTTGCTTTTTGGTCTGCTTGAGCTGTTCATTACTTTGAGAGGTGTTACTAAAATCTTCTATGAAGATAGACTTGTAGATTGTCCTTTGCTTATCTATTTTGAGGTTGTTACTAAGTGTATACAGGTTTTATGCTCATGGTGACTATATCATTATATAGTTATTCTATCTTTTATTATTTTTGGCCTTAACATTTGTTTCACTTGATATTAACATAGCAATGCCAGCTTTGTTTCTTAAAACTTATCCTAGTATCTTTTTTCTATCCTTTGACTCTGAACCATTCTGTACTCTTAACATTTTAGTAATATCTTTTAAAAAAACTCAAATAACTATACTTTTTAACCAATCTAATATTCTTTACTGTTTACTAAAGAAGTTAGTCAAATTTTTAATGAGTAATATAATAGGATTTATTTCTTTCCTTTTAAGTACTTTTCATTTGTCTTTTCTTCCTATGTCTGTGTCTTTCCTTATTTTGGATTGAGTTCTTTTTCAGTTTTCTTATTCTATTTTTCATACCTCTACTAGTTTGGAAGTTACACACAATTTTTTTTTTTTTTTTTTTTTTTTTTTTTGAGATGGAGTTTCACTCTTGTTGCCCAGGCTGGAGTGCAGTGGCGCGATCTTGGCTCACTACAATCTCCACCTCCGCTGTTCAAGCTATTATCCTGTCTCAGCCTCCAAAGTAGCTGGGATTACAGGCACCCGCCACCATGCCCAGCTGATTTTTGTATTTTTAGTAGAGACGGGGTTTTACAACGTTGGCCAGGCTGGTCTTGAACTCCTGACCTCAGGTGATCCACCTGCGTTGGCCTCCCACAGTGCTGGGATTACATGAGTGAGCCACCGCTCCTGGCCTACAATATTTTTTAGATGTTACTGTAGCTGTTTTTTTGCACTTATTTTACTGTTATTTTTTATTGAAAACTTTTACGAAAAATCTCAAGCATGCAGAAAAGTAGAAAGAAACAGTGTTAACACCTCTGTAGCTTTTGTGTAGATTCAACAATTAACATTTTCCATATTTGCTTTTTCTTTTTTTGTTTAATAAACTTTTTTTTGCTTTTGTTGACAGCTTTATTGTGAACCAACTCACATAATATACTCATCCATTTAAAATGACTTTTAATATATTCGTGGAGTTATGCAACTATCACCAGTCAATTTTAGATCAGTTTGATACATGTTTTTACTGAAATACAACAAACAGGAAAATGCACAAATCTACATGTAAAGTTCATATATTCACAAAGTGAATACACCTTTGTAATCACCATACATGAAAAAATAAAATGGTAGCTCCACCTTGGAAGCCTCCCTTATGTCCGTTCCTAAGCACTACTTCCTCCCTCTCCTAAAGGTAATCACATCCTGATTTCTTTTTTGTTTTTCTTTTGAGATAGGATCTCACTCTGTCACCCCTGTTGGTGTGCAGTGGTGAGATCACGGCTCACGGCAGCCTCCAATTCCTAGGCTCAGGTGTTCCTCCCACCTTAGTCTCCTGTCTGCTGAGTAATTGAGACCACAGGCACACACCAGCATACCTGGCTAATTTTTTTTATTATTTGTAGAAACATGGTCTCCCTGTGTTGCCCAGGCTAGTTTCAAACTCCTGGAAAGCGATCCTCCCACCTCAGCCACCCAGAGTTCTGGGATTACAGGCATGAGCCACCATGCCCAGCTTACATTCTGATTCTAATACTATAGATTGCTTTTGCCTGTTTGTGAGCTTTACATAAATGAAATTATACTGTATATTTATTTTTCTGTCTGACTTCATTTGCTCACATTAATTTGTGAGATCTATGATCTGTGTTGTAATTCACTTTTATTGCCATGTATGAATATACAATTTACCAATTATTTATTTATTTATTTATTTACTTATTTATTTTGAGACACAGTTTTTCCCAGGCTGGAGCGCAATGGCACGATCTTGGCTCACTGCAACCTTGGCCTCCCGGGTTCAAGCGATTCTCTTGCCTCAGCCTCCCGAGTATCTGGGATTACAGGCATGCGCCACGACACCCAGCTAATTGTGTATTTTTAGTAGAGATGGGGTTTCTCTGTATTGGTCAGGCTGGTCTCAAACTCCCGACCTCAGGTGATCCACCCGCCTCAGCCTCCCAAAGTGCTGGGATTACAGGCATGAGCCATGGTGCCCGGCTGTTTTTATTTTTTTTTTGAGACAGAGTTTCACTCTTGTTGCCTAGGCTGGAGTTCAATGGCACAATCTTGGCTCATGGCAACCTCTACCTCCTGGGTTCAAGCAATTCTCCTGCCTCAGCCTCCCGAGTAGCTGGGATTACAGGTGCCTGCCACCATGCCCGGCTAATTTTTGTATTTTTAGTAGAGATGGGATTTCACCACGTTGGCCAGGCTGGTCTTGAACTCCTGACCTCGGGTGATCCACCTGCCTTGGCCTCCCAAAGTGCTGGGATTACAGGTGTGAGCCACAGCACCCGGCCGCAATATACCCGTTTTACCGTTGATGATGGACATTTGAGTTTTTTCTTGTTTGGGCCTGGTCACATATAATGCTGCTACAAACATCCTCCTTGTACCTGTGTTTTGTTGAACGTATATGCTGGGTATACCTTGGAATGGAATTGGTGGGTGAGAGCATATTTCTATATCCAAGTTTACAAAAAAAAGCAAGTAGTTTTATAAAATTGTTTACCAGTTTATACTTCTACCAGCCATGTATGAGAACTTCAGTTCCCGTACATACCTACCAAGCTGGTCTTACCAGTTTGTTGAGTGTTAACCATTACTTATTGTAGTGTGGCTTTAATTTGCATTTATCTGATAACCAGTGAGGTTGCGTTTCTTTTCCTGTTTTTATTAGCCATTATGGTGTTTTTGTGAATTACGAATTCTAGACTTTTGCTTATTTTTCTGTTTGGTTAGTTGTTTTTTGAGACAGAGTCTCACTCTGTCGCCCAGGCTGGAATGCGGTGGCGCAATCTTGGCTCACTGCAACCTCTGCTTCCCTGGTTCGAGCAATTCTCCTGCCTCAGCCTCCCAAGTAGCTGGGATTACAGGTGCGTGCCACCACGCCCAGCTAATTTTTTGTATTTTTAGTAGAAATGGGGTTTTGTTAGCCGGTATGGTCTCAATCTCCTGAGACTTCGTGATCCACCCGCCTCGGCCTCCCAAAGTTCTGGGATTACAGGCTTGAGCCACTGCACCTGGCCCAGTTAGTTTTTTATGTTAATGATTTGTAGCCATTATGGTAGCTAATTTAACATACTTATTATAATCTAAAGTTTATCTGCATGTTTGCACTCTTCTTAAACACTACGACCTTAAAATGCTTTAACTCCCCATCACCTGCTTCCAAATTTATGTGTTGAATGCCTTGTAATTTCGTTCTGTCTTGTTTTATTTTACAAATTAGACATTTTGTGCTCATATTCTTATCCCATCCAAAATTTAAAAAAGATCTAAAAACCAAAAATTTTTTTTGTAAGTTGGTCACAAACTTTCCTGGTGGCAAAGCCTGTGACCTTGGGGCATTAGATTGCAGTATTCCTAAAAATCCTGTATATTTTAAGTATTCACATATTTTAGTGCTGATTACTAATGTGTTTGGTGGTGTGCTGCTTTATAAAAAATTTTTTTAAATCTAAAAAATTTTTAAGTCTGAAACATCTGCCCCAAAGAGTTTTTTCTTTTTCTTTTTCTTTTTGAGATGGAGTTTCGCTCTTGTTGCCTAGGCTGGAGTGCAGTGGTGCAATATTGACTCACTGCGACCTCTGCCTCCCAGGTTCAAGCAATTCTCCTGCCTCAGCCTCCTGAGTAGCTGGGACTACAGACATCAGTCACAACACCTGGCTAATTTTGTATTTTTAGTAGAGGTGAGGTTTCACCATGTTGGTCATGTTGGTCCTGCTGGTCTCGAACTCCTGACCTCAGGTGATCTACCCGCCTCAGCCTCCCAAAGTGCTGGGATTATAGGTGTGAGCCACTGTGCCCATCCAAGAGCTGTTTCGTAAGGAACTGTGGGCCTGTATTGTTTTATTCATTGTTTAGATGTACACACTTTAAGTATCTGCCCACCATTCTTTCATCTCAGATCTGTCCCTTGGGATCATTTTCCAGAAGGAATTCAGGGTTTAATCTTTTGTTGGTTACTGTTGGTAGTAAAACTTTTGTCTGCACATATCTTTATTTCATCCATTTTTTTTTAAACTTAGTTTTGCTTGGTATAGGAGTTTAAATTGGTGGTTTTACTTACATAAAATATATTTTTACTGATTTCTAGTGCTGACATCATTGTTCTTAAAATGGTAGCCTTCTAATTTCTATAACTTTGTAGCTAATCTATCTTTTGTGTATGGCATTAGAATTAGCTTTTTTTTTTTAAATTTTTTTAGTATTTATTGATCATTCTTGGGTGTTTCTCGGAGAGGGGGATTTGGCAGGGTCATAGGACAATAGTGGAGGGAAGGTCAGCAGATAAACATGTGAACAAAGGTCTCTGGTTTTCCTAGGCAGAGGGCCCTGCCGCCTTCCGCAATGTTTGTGTCCCTGGGTACTTGAGATTAGGGAGTGGTGATGACTCTTAACGAGTATGCTGCCTTCAAGCATCTGTTTAACAAAGCACATCTTGCACTGCCCTTAATCCATTTAACCCTTAGTGGACACAGCACATGTTTCAGAGAGCACGGGGTTGGGGGTAAGGTTATAGATTAACAGCATCCCAAGGCAGAAGAATTTCTCTTAGTACGGAACAAAATGGAGTCTCCTATGTCTACTACTTTCTACACAGACACAGTATCAATCTGATCTTTCTTTTCTCCACATTTCCTCCTTTTCTGTTCGACAAAACCGCCATCGTCATCATGGCCCGTTCTCAATGAGCTGTTGGGTACACCTCCCAGACAGGGTGGTGGCCAGGCAGAGGGGCTCCTCACTTCACAGACAGGGCGGCCGGGCAGAGGCGCCCACCACCTCCCAGACGGGGCGGCGGCCAGGCGGGGGCTGCCCCCCACCTCCCAGATGGTGCAGCTGGCCGGGCGGGGGCTGGCCACCTCCCGGATGGGGTGGCTGGCCGGGCGGGGGCTGCCCCCCACCTCCTGGACGGGGCGGCTGCAGGGCGGAGACGCTCCTCGCTTCCCAGACGGGGCGGCTGCCAGGCGGAGGGGCTCCTCACTTCCCAGACCGGGCGGCTGCCGGGCGGAGGGGCTCCTCACTTCTCAGACGGGGTGGCCCGTCGGAGACGCTCCGCACCTCCCAGACGGGGTGGCGGCGGTGCAGAGACACTCCTCAGTTCCCAGACGGGGTCGCGGCCAGGCAGAGGCTCTCTTCACATCTCAGATGGGGCGGCGGGGCAGAGGTGCTCCCCACATCCCAGACGATGGGCGGCTGGGCAGAGACGCTCCTCACTTCCTAGACGAGATGACGGCCGGGAAGAGGCGCTTGTGACTTCCCAGACTGGGCGGCCGGGCAGAGGGGCTCCTCACATCCCAGACGATGGGCGGCCAGGCAGAGACGCTCCTCACTTCCTAGACGGGGTGGCGGCCGGGCAGAGGCTGCAATCTCGGCACTTTGGGAGGCCAAGGCAGACGGCTGGGAGGTAGAGGTTGTAGTGAGCCGAGATCATGCCACTGCAATCCAGCCAGGGCAACATTGAGCACTGAGTGAGTGAGACTCTGTCTGCAATCCCGGCACCTCGGGAGGCCGAGGCTGGCAGATCACTCACGGTCAGGAGCTGGAGACCAGCCCAGCCAACACGGCGAAACCCTGTCTCCACCAAAAGATACGAAAACCAGTCAGGTGTGGCGGCGCGCGCCTGCAATCCCAGGCACTGGCAGGCTGAGGCAGGAGAATCAGGCAGGGAGGTTGCAGTGAGTTGAGATGGCGGCAGTACAGTCCAGCCTTGGCTTGGCATCAGAGGGAGTCCGTGCAGAGGGGGAGGGGGAGGGGAATTAGCTCTTTTTAATTGGTGTTTTATGCTTTCACAGTGATGTTTAAGTTTGGATTTCTTGTTTATGCTGCTTAGAATTAATTGGGCTTCATTGACCTGAAGGCTGATGTCTTTAACAATTCTGGGAGATTCTCAGGCATTATTATTGTTGTTACTATTATTTTTTTTGAGATGGAGTCTTGCTCTGTTGCCAGGCTGAAGTGCAGTTGCGCAGTCTTGACTCACTGCAACCTCCGTCTCACGGGTTCAAGCAATTTCCTTGCCTCAGCCTCTCGAGTAGATGGGACCACAGGTGTGCACCACCACACATTATTATTTAAGAAACATTTATAGAAAATGTTGCTTTCTGTTCTCTAATTTTTTTTTTTTTTTTTTTGGTGTCTCTACCTTTCATATTTTCATTATCTGTTTCTCTGAGTTATATCCTGGGTAATTTCTTCAGGCCATCTTCCTAAGTAGAAATTCTTTCTTCACCTGTGTTTAGTTTCTTTACTCATTGAGGTTTTCTTTTTTCTTTTAAAGAGACAGGGTCTCTCTCTGTCACTCAGGCTGGAGTGCAGTGGCTAGATCATAACTCACTATAACCTGAACTCCTGGGCTCAAGAAATCTTTCCCCCTCAGTTTCCGGAGTAGCTAGGACTACAGGTGCATACCACCACCATGCCGGGCAAATTTTTTATTTTTTTGTAGAGATGTGGTCTCGCTGTGTGGCCCAGGTTGGTATTATACACCTGGCTGCAAGTAATCTTCCTGCCTTGGCCTCCCAAAGTGTTTGGATTACAGGCACAAGCCATTGTGCTCGGTGAAAAAATTTTTATTTAGATGTAATTTACATGTCATAAAATAGTCCCATTTCTACACTCGATAATTTAAATTTATTTACTCTGTTGTGCAACCATACCCTTAATCTGACTTTAGAACATCTTTATCATGCCCAAAAAGCAACCTTTGTGTCCATAAGTAGTCACTCTCCATTCTCCTTTCCCCAGCCCCTGGCAATCACCAGCTTACCTTCCATCTCTACAGATTTGACTGTTATAGACATTTCATATCAGTGATATCATACAATATGTGGTCTTTTGTGACTGGCTTCATTCAAAAACATCATAATGTTTTCAAGGTTCATTTGTGTTGTAAAATGAGTCAGTACTTCATTCTTTTTGAAGGCGAAATAAAATTCCATTGCATGGTTGTCACATTTTGTTCATTCTTCAGTTAGTGGGCATTTGGGTTGTTTTTTGGCATTATGAATAATGCTGCTATGAATGTTTGTATATATGTTTTTGTGTGAATGTGTTTTCATCATCCATTGAGTTATTTTTTAATTATACAAAAAATACACTTCTACATTTTTGTAAAACAGCCAAATAATATAAAGGCATGTAGTGCAAACAGTATGTCCTCTTTCTCCACTGCCATTTCCAAGTACAAAATAATTGAATGTGTTTTTGGTCCTTTGTGTGCATTTATATGTTGTGTAATTACACCTCTTTTATTTTAACAAATTACATGTATTTTTGAGGCTTGCTTTTTCTTTATTTCAGTAGGTTTTGGAGTTCTTTATTATTTTTTTTGTCAGTACTCACGTCCACGTCATTTTTTTTTTTTTTTTTTTTTTTTTTTTTTTGAGACGGAGTCTCCCTCTGTCGCCCAGGCTGGAGTGCAGTGGCACCATCTCGGCTCACTGCAAGCTCCACCTCCCGGGTTCACACCATTCTCCTGCCTCAGCCTCCCGAATAGCTGGGACTACAGGCGCCCGCCACCACGCCCGGCTCATTTTTTGTATTTTTAGTCGAGACAGGGTTTCACCATGTTAAGCCAGGATGGTCTCAATCTCCTGACCTCGTAATCCACCCGCCTCGGCCTCCCAGAGTGCTGGAATTACAGGTGTGAGCCACTGTGCCCGGCCCCACGTCATTCTTAACGGTTGCATAGTCTTAGTTTGCTATGCTATAATTTGTATAATTTACCTATTGATGGATATATATTTCTAGATTTTGTTTACAGTGAAGCTATTTTATATGTATCTTTCTACGATTCTGAGCAGTGAAATTGTTGCCTCAAAGGACAGAACTTGGATTTCTCCAGGATTTATATTTGTGTTCGTTTCTGCTGGTTGCTTTGAGGCCACCACTTCCTGGACTACTTTTTATTAAATCCTTGCTTAATGTTCTCAGGTAGCAGGAATTCAGGCTATGAATCCATGTGGGTTGAGGTTATGAAATTTCAGGGGAGAATTTTTTTCAGTTTAAAGTAGGCAAATTTCATTGTTGTCTCTTTGCCCATTTTCTTGTTCACCTTTACACTGAGGGATCATAGTTTCAGGTAGCTCCTCTGTTAGCATCTTCACTTTGGTTTTGCTATTGGATTTGTTTGAAATCTCCACGGCAAAATCCAGTCCTAATCCTTACATTTCAGAGTTCCTGCGTTCACTTTGTCTTTGTTTTCTCTGTAATTATCCGGGGTATATACTCTGCCATTGTGCTGGAAAAGAAAGTCTGGTTAGTCCTTGAAACATATTCTTCCTTGGCTTTGTGCATACCACAGTCCTGGTTTTTCTCCTCTTACCACTCTTCTTTTGGACACTACTGTACTCTGAAAGCATGGAGAAATTATTGGCACATTTGTCTCCTTTTGTGGGCTGTGGGCTCTTAAGAGCAGAAATCATTAAGTCTTGACACTTTTTCATTTGTCAGAATTTTAAAAAGTTTAGCTTAAACTAAGAATGAATACCTACATTGCATTCTCTTTCCTGAAAGGGAAAACAGTTTTAATAAGTAACTGTTAGAAATGTCATCAGAATTCAGTAGGAGGGAAAATGCTTCCTTACTCAGCCTGAGTTTAGTTCTGTTTTAAAAAAAAAATAGTAAATTTAATACATTGCCTCACATTTCCCTCTGAAAGGAGAAGTGGCCACTGTTAGAATTCTGTTTCTTAATGTTGTTAGGGAAAAATAATATCTACTTATTAGTGCAGTGCTATTAATATTAATGTGAATGGTGTTTCTGTTTTTTCCATCATACCCTCCTATTTTTAACTTTCCATCTTTAGTTGGTTGTTAGATGAAATTGGAGAAAACATTCTTGGTCATTTTATATACAGTTGTATTAGCAACCATTATATATTCCCACATTTTTTAATGTTTTTTCTTCTCTTGTTTGTACTTTTAACTTCCCTGAATGAGGATTTCTACCCTTTAGGATAGTTTCTCAAAATGTCAAGTTGAGATAAAACTTTACAAAATGTGAGACCTCTATACCTCCCCCATCCCCTTAATTTGCTTTATTTTTCTTCATATTTTAATATATCATATAGTACAGTAGAGCCTTGAAACAACACGAGTTTGAACTCTGTGTGTCCATTTCTATGTAGATTTTTTTCCTCCAATTGCCAGCATTTTATACCTGAGTATCGGAGAGTTGACTTACCTGTATGCGGGTTCAGCCCCTGGGATATGTGGATTTTGGTATGCAAAAGGGGCAGGGCTGGAATCAAGCTCCTGAGGATACAGAAGAACAACTGGATACTTACTTGCTTTGTTTTTATTTATTGACTATCTCTTCCCTCACTGGAAAGTAAGTTTTTTACAAAGTAAGGAATTTTATCAATTTCTTGGTTGATATTTTGCCATTATTAGCATCTCAGAAGGATATATTCTGTTCTTCCAGTTTTGATTCATAACCACAAGAGTATCATTTGAATTTTTTGTGCTTTAATTTTCAAAATGTGTTAATGTGGGATAATACTTTCAGAAATGAATTAGCTTAGAAGCCAGACTAATTTAGAAATGAATGAGCTTTGGCTGGATGTGGTGTCTCATGCTTGTAATCCCAGCCCTTTGGGAGGCCAAGGCAGGCGGATCACGAGGTCAGGAGATAGAGACCATCCCGGCTAACATGGTGAAACCCTGTCTCTACTAAAAATACAAAAAATTAGCCAGGTGTAGTGGCAGGCACCTGTAGTCCCAGCTACTCAGGAGGCTGAGGCAGGAGAATGGTGTGAACCTTGGAGGCAGAGTTTGCAGTGAGCCGAGATCGCACCACTGCACTCCAGCCTGGGCGACAGAGCAAGACTCCTTCTTGGGGGGAAAAAAAAGAAAAGAAAAATGAATGAGCTTTTGGCCAGGCACGGTGGCTCAACACCTGTAATCCCAGTGCTTTGGGAGGCCAAGGCAGGTGGATCACTGGAGGCCAGGAGTTCGAGACCAGCTTGGCCAACATGGTGAAACCCCATCTCACCATGTTTAAAATACAAAATTTAGCCAGGTGTGGTGATGCATGCCTGGAGTCCCACCTACTCGGGAGGCTGAGGCATGAGAATCGCTTGAGCCCGGGAAGTAGAGGCTGAGTGAGCAGAGATTGCACCACTGTACTCCATCCAGCCTGGGTGGCAGAGCAAGATTCTGTTTCAAAAAAAAAAAAAAAAAAAACCAAAAAAGAAATGAATGAGCTTTTTAGGATGCTATTTTGAATACTTGTGGGTTTTTTGTGTTTTTTTTTGAGATGGAGTCTTGTGCTGTCGCCCAGGCTGGAGTGCAGTGGCGTGATCTCGGCTCACTGCAAACTCTGCCTCCTGGGTTCAAGAGATTCTCCTGCCTCAGCCTCCCGAGTAGCAGAAATTACAGGCATGTGCCACCATGCCCGGCTGATTTTTTGTAATTTTGTTTAGTAGAGATGGGGTTTCACCATGTTGGTCAGGTTGGTCTCAAACTCCTGACCTCAAATGATTCACCCACCTTGGCATCTCAAAGTGCTGGGATTACAGGTGTGAGCCAATGTGCCAAAATACTTTTTTTTTTTTTTTTTTTTAACTAGGAGCATTTTAAAAAAATGTCTTCCATGATTCAAAATAACCAGGATCATTTCATTTGATGTAGTAGTATTCATTCTAAACAGTAATGTTCCCTACTGAAGAACCAAGTAGTAGTGCTTTTTCAGTACTGATGTACCTATCATCGCAGCTCTCTGAAATAGCAAACTTAAACTAATATGTAAATATGGGCATTTGTTACCGGTGGAGGGTGTCCAGGTTCTTGGCATTTTGAAGAAAGAATTGGACAAAATGCACAAAGCAAGGAAAGAATGAAACAACAAAAGCAGAGCTTTATTGAAAATGAAAGTACACTCCACAGGGTTGGAGTGGCCAGAGCAGCCGCTCAAGGGCCCCAGATACAGAATCTTCTTGGGTCCAAATACCCCCTAGAGGTTTCCCATTGGCCACTTGGTGTTCACTTCATGTAAATGAAGTGGTGGCCCACAATCAGTCTGATTAGTTGCAGAAAGCAGTCAATCAGAGGCTGAAGTGATGTTACAAAGGTTACAGTCCTGTGCAAACATCTGATTGACCTTTGATGTGAAGCAACCTTTACAGTGATTCTTGGAGAGGTGACAGTGCAAAATAGGGAGAAGTGGGTATATTAATCTCTTGAGCATCCTTTTGATGTTAACTTAAATTTACACCTCAACCCCTGTAGTAACTCCCAGTCATAGGGGAGAGTAAATTTCAGGAATAATCCTTCACATGCATTCAAGCAGAAAAAAGTTTTAGGAACTGAACCCGTGTCATCTCTTTTTCTTTCCCTAGAGACGTGGTCTCACTTTGTTGTGCAGGCTGGTCTCGAATTCCTGGGCTTAAGTAATTCTCCTGCCTTGGCCTCCTAAAGTGCTGGGATTACAGGTGTAAGCCACTGTGCCTGGGCTGGTGTCACTCTTAAGTTTAGGGTCGCATATCGCAGGCTGTTGTAGTGATCTAGAGTAGAGATTTTCAACCAAGGTATTATGACATACAGATCTGGCATTCCGTTTTGTGGTATGTCCCAATACATTGACAATAGTTAATTATGGAATTTGTCAATGGTTTTCTTACCGGGGGGAAAAAAAGGAATAAATTAGTGTGGTTTCATATCATTTATTTTTATGATGAGGAAGGAGAGAAAGGGAGCTGGCTGCTAGCTGGACTATAAAATCACTGAAAAGCCGAGCCAGTTCTGAAAGTATGTAATCATTTACATACCATTATTGGTATTTAGATGTATCAGAATCCTTCTTACTGAATTTGTAAACCTTGGGTATCTTAGAAGAGCTCAGATTCTTGGGTGCTTTGCAGACTTGAACCAACACAAGGTAAGGGCTAGAGTTTTCAGGTTTTCTCCAGATTTGAGATGCTTCAAAACATTTACATTCTGGACCTGACTGGCTTTTTTGGATGGAAGAATAAAAAAAAGGAAACAGCCTCTTCTGGAATGAGATTCTTTTGCAAATAACTTTAGGCCTTTTCGCCCTGGGGAGGATAGATGTCTGTGCACTCCTATGCAAATTCTGGGAATAAAGTGCATATTTAAAGATTTGCTGAAGTCATGTGTTTTGGGGTAGGTGTTAAATACCAAGATAAGAATCAGTTATTAAATTTACTCAGGGCTGGGGGTGCAATGGCTTGCGCCTGTAATCCTAGCACTTTGGGAGGCTGGGGTGGGAGGATCACTTGAGACCAGGCCAGGCAGCACAGCTAAAACCTGTCTCTACAAAGTATATATTTTTAAATCAATTTTAAAAAGTTAACTCAGAAACATACTCGAAGTTTTATTTTTCAGTAGACTTAGGAAAATTAAACTCTTTAATACCACTTCATAATTTTTTTTTTTTTAAGACAAGAGTCTCACTCTGTTGCCCAAGCTTGAGTGCAGTGGCACGATCTTGGCTCACTGGAACCTCCGCCTTCTGGGTTCAAACATTTCTCCTGCCTCAGCCTCCTGAGTAGCTGGGATTACAGACACTTACCACCACGCCTGGCTAATTTTTATGTTTTTAGTAGAGACAGGGTTTCACTATGTTGGCCAGGCTGATCTCGAACTCCTGACCTCAGGTGATGCACCTGCCTCGGCCTCCCAGAGTGCTGGGATTACAGGCATGAGCCACCGCACCCGACCCACTTCATTTTTTTAAATGCACTTTTTCCATATTTTAACATCTTTCAAATCAGGATATGTGTTATTGAAGGTGTGTCATTGTTTAATTGGCAGCAGTTTTTCTTTCCTAGTGACACATAAAATGATGATGCATCTTACAATTGATGGCGTGTCTTAGATTCAGAGGAGAGTAGTATATTTGTGGTTAATTTTCCCATACCTCACCAATTTTGGGACAGACAAGGGTAATATTTGGCTATGAACCACTGGAACCTAATTTCTCATGTCCTCTTCTCCCTTTTCCCCCATGGTTTCTGGGTGTTTCTGCTGCTTTACTTACAGTACTTAACATTCTGCAGTTATTTTCCATTTTGTAGTTATCTCAATCTGTAGCTGCCATTTTCCCTACCACTTGGGAAAGCAGGCCAGTATGGCCATGATGGTTTTATAAGCCAGTGGTGTCATACCTTTAGCAAGTGTTCTGTCCTAAATACTAGTGTTTCTTAACAAATTTGTTAATACTTTGTCTTCATTTATAGGTGAATGCAGCCTCATGTGATTATAGCTTTCTGGATTGTGTGACCTCTAAAAGGTCATACTAGTTCTTCATATTTACAAACAAAATGTGAATTTTCATTTATCTTTACATGCAGCTCTTTAAATCATTTTCTTTCAGCTCTTCCATGTCTACATTTGGGAAACTTAGAACTAGTTTTTTAGAATCACGACTTCAGGATTTTTCCTGCCCTGTCTAATGAACTGTTGTTCTGGGAAGAATGCAACTAAGGGTGAATTCTGTTTTTGTGAATCTGCAGAACAGATACTACACATTGCTTGACCTTTCACTGTTTGTATCTTTTTAAAAAATGTTTTATTTGTGAATGTAGTATGTACTCATTTAACCCCCCAAATGCTGGCCCTTCTCTCTCACTATTTCAGGGGATGTGAATATGCAAGGCAGTTTATTGCCTAGTAGCTAAGAAGGCTGGGGGCTGGCATGAATTGTCTTTTTTTAATGTAATAATTCCACCCCCTCAGTAAAAAAGCATGGTCCAGTGAATGTCTTAGATTGTGACTTAGTGATATTGATGAGGAAGTAGATGACAGTCCCTTCTGGGATGGAGGGGAGGATGGAGCAGTGGTCCTGTATTATCTATCAGTGCGTAACAAACCCTTAAACTTAGCGATTTAAAACAACAAATGTTATTTCACAGTTCCGAGGGTCAGGAATCAGAGGCATAGTTGTTTGATTCTGGCTTAGGGTCCCTCTTGAGTTTGCAGGTAAGGTACTGGCTAAGATAGTAGTCATCTGAAAGCTTGATTTGAATTGAAGGATTTGCCTACAAATCATCACATGGTTATTGGTAGGAGGTTTCAGTTCCTCACTATGAAGGCCTCTGAATTAGGCTGTTCTCAACATGATAGCTTGATTCCTCCAGAGCAAGTGATTTGA
Source organism: Homo sapiens (assembly GCF_000001405.40). Taxonomy (NCBI): domain Eukaryota; kingdom Metazoa; phylum Chordata; class Mammalia; order Primates; family Hominidae; genus Homo; species Homo sapiens. The sequence continues at coordinate 73,835,798 of NC_000008.11, read as the reverse complement.
GAGAGAGAATTACCAAGACAGAAACCATAGTGTTTTGTTTTGTTTTGTTGTTTTTTGAGGCAAAGTCTCGCTCTCTCGCCCAGGCTGGAGTGCAGCAGCTTGATCTCACTCACTGCAACCTCTGCCTCCCGGGTACAAGCAATTCTCCTGTCTCAGCCTCCCGAGTAGCCGAGATTACAGACGCATGCCACCACGCCCAGCTGATTTTTTGTATTTTTAGTAGAGACAGGTTTTCACCATATTAGTCAGGCTGGTCCCGAATTCCTGACCTCAGGTGATTCACCCACCTCGGCCTCCCAAAGTACTGGGATTACAGGCATGAGCCATCGCACCCGGCCACAGAAACCATAGTTTTTAAAATAATCTAATCTTGGGAGTGACACACCATTTCTGCTGTATTCCATTGGTCACACAGATCAGCTCTGAGGGAGGGAACTACACAAGGGTGTGAATACTAGGACCTTTAGAGTTTGTTGGGAATTATCTTGAAAGTTGGCTATCATAGGTCCCTTCCTTTGTGGAGATGAAAGAAGTCTAAGGGTAAGGAGAAACTTTTTTTTTTTTTTCTATAGAACCCTTTTCCATTATGTTCAGGAGACCAGGGATGATATACCAATAAAGCGCTTTTTTAGTTTAGTTTGCTTTTGTTGTCTTGTGTTTCGCTTGGTAGTTATGCAGATTGATTCTCCTTTATATTCTTGCTTCTCCTACTAAGAAGGATTATCCTTCTTGACTTAGTAAAGTTCTCAAGATCTGGAAGATTTCTGCAGCAGTGTTTCCCAAAATATGGTCCTTGAAACAAGGCTTGAGACGCTCTACAAAGGGTTCTATTATCTTTGGAAACCTCTTTTTTGTTGTTGTTGGGAGTTTTTTGTTTATTTTATTTTATTGAGATGGAGTCTCACTCTATAGCCCAGGCTGCAGTGCATTCGCGTGATCTAGGCTCACTGCAACCTCCGCCTCCCGAGTTCAAGCTATTCTTGTGCCTCAGCCTCCCGAGTAGCTGGGATTACAGGCGCATGCCACCACTCCTAGCTAATTTTTGTATTTGTAGTAGAGACGAGGTTTCGCCATGTTGCCCAGGCTAGTCTTGAACTCCTGACCTCAGGCATTACATGCTCCTTGACCTCCCAAAGTGCTGGAATTACAGGCTTGAGCCACTGTGCCTGGCCTTGTTTAATGTTATTAGAGACAAGTTCTTGCTGTGTTGCCCAGGCTGGACTCCAACTTCTAGACTCAAACAATTCTCCTGCCTCAGCCCCCTGAGTAGCTGGGACTACAGGCATGCATCACTGTGCTCAGCTATTTTTGGAAACCTCTTTATGTCATCTTGCCTTTGGACAATGACTGTACAAGTTAGTATATGGAAAGTTCTGTTGAAGAAGCCAGTTCTTTGTTTGACCCAGTTTTTAAAAAAATGTACGTGATCACAGAACCCTCATTTGTGAATATCAGTAGAAAATAATTAAAACCTTGTTCAAACAGAAATTTGCATAAATTTGTCTTTATTCAAAACAAATTATTTAAGCAAATTTAAAGTCCATTACAGTGATTCACAACACAGTTTTCTATCTGTAGTGGTGTTGGATGGCTAAGCTTATTTTAAGTGACATAAATTGAAAAGACGTAGAAACATTACTTACTGATAGTAATATTTCATTGTCCAGAAAAAACAGAAACCAATTTTTAAGCAGAGTACTCTTAAGAAATGAACAGATATCCATACTTGTCTTCTTCACTTTAAGAAAAGACTTACGCTGGGTGTAGTGTAGGTGCCTGTTGTCCCAGCTATTTGGAAAGCTGCGGCAGGAGTTCTGGGCTGTCATGCACTATGTCGATTGGGTGTCCACATTGAGTTCGGCATCAATATGGTGACCTCTCGGGAGCGAGGGACCACCAGGTTGTCTCAGGAGGAGGGGTGAACGATCCAGGTCAGAAACAGAGCAGGTCAAAACTCCCATGCCAATCAGTAGTGGGATTGCACCTGTGTACTCCAGCTTGGGCAACATAGCGAGACCCTGTCTCTGAAAAAAAAGTCATATTAAGACCCTTTATAATCTTGCATGCAATTTTAATAACATTAGTTATTTGGTTTTAAAATTCATAAATTAGGGACTACTGTGTTTTGTTTTGTTTTGTTTTGTTTTTGCCTGGTTGTACACTGAAAAAGTATGTCCACTGATGATAACAAGGGAAGAGGTGTACAATAAAAGCTGTACAAATAAGCGTGCAAAATACGTAGCCATTTTAGGATACCTAATATGTAGGAAGAAAACCTTAACATATCTCAGATCATAATATGTTGTATTCTGATGTTCTACTATAAACGATGTTCATTAACAATAACCTTGAAATATTAAACTGTGCAGGTGATCATTATATATTAAAATTACTTTAAAATTTTTTAAAAATTATACATATAAAATCATTTAAAATTTTATTAATATTTTCTTTTCTTTTTTCTTATTTCATTCTCGTCACAAGGCATAAAATTTTTGAAAGGCTTTTTGCATAAAGGGTTACTTTTAGAGTTTCTCTGGAAAGCTTGTCTGTGAAATGACATTCTTTAAGGATTATGGAGAACTATGGCTTTTTTTTTTTTTTTTTTTTTTTTGAGGTGGAGTCTCACTCTGTCGCCCAGGCTGTAGTGCAGTGGCGCAGTCTCAGCTCACTGCAACCTCTGCCTCCCGGGTTCAAGCGATTCTTCTGCCTCTGCCTGTTGAGTAGCTGGGACTACAGGCACGCGCCACCACGCCTGGCTAATTTTTTTAGTATTTTTAGTAGGGTTTCACCATATCGGCCAGGCTGGTCTCGAACTCTTGACATTGCGATCCTCCCGCCTTGGCCTCCCAAAGTGCTGGGATTACAGGCGTGAGCCACAACGCCCAGCCGAACTATGGGTTTTATAATTAGAAAGCAGCAAAGGAAGCACTGCTAAAACTTTTAAGCACTTTTAACTCAAGCTGTTAAGACCTTACGCAGGTTGAGCATCCCCAATCTGAAATGTGAAATGCTCCAAAATCTGAAACATTTTAAGTAGCAACATGACACTCAAAGGTAATGTTCATTGGAGCATTTCAGATTCTGGCTTTTTAGATTTGGGATGCTCAACCAGTAAATCCGAAACAGTTCTGGTCACAAGCAGTTCAGATAATGGCTACTCGACCTACAACCTCAATATAGTAGCTATGATGTCTTGATGTTGTATAGGTAACTGCCTATTCGTCATAACTGCTTTACAGCATCAGTGTTGAAATATTTTTTCCAGTGTGGAAGAAATCGATTCGTTTTGTGAACCGAAACTTCAAAGCTATTTTTTTAATGTAAGATTAGCCATTATGCAAAACTTACTGGTCAAGCAGTTAATAAAATACACGTATCCCATTGAAGAGAATACACATATCCCATTCAGTTTTTGTACATAACAAGGCAATTAGAAACCCTGAAAGTTTATTTGCTTCTTTTTGTTATGATTTTTCTAATTTTTGTTTTATTTTTGAGACAGAATCTCACTCTGTAACTTAGGCTGGAGTGCAGTGGTACAACTATAGTTCACTGCAGCCTTGGCCTCCTGGGCTCAAAAGATCCTCCTACCTTATCCTCTGAAGTACCTGGGAGTACAGGTGCATGCCCCTACACCTGGCTAATATATATATATATATTTATTTATTTTTTTTGTTTGTTTGTTTTTGTAGAGACAGGGTCTCACTATGTTACCCAAGCTGGTCTCAAACTGCTGGGCTCAAGCATTTTCCCCGTCTCTCCCTCCCAAAGCGCTGAGATTGTATTCATGAGCCACCACACGTAGCCTACTTTCTTTCCTTCATAAATCTGCCAGTCTTTGGGAACTCGTGTTAAAAATTCTAGAAGCTTTTCTAGCTGTAGTTTGAGCATCAGGTTGAACTTTCTCTTCTTTTGCAGTTTGCTTGTATTTTAAAAGCAAATCAGGGCTGGCACAGTGGCGCACACCTGTAATCCTTTGAGAAAGCAGGGTGGAAGGAGCACTTGAGGCCAGGAGTTTAAGACCAGCCTGTGCAACATAGTGAGACCCTGTCTCTACAAAAAAAAAATTTTTTTTTTTAATTAGCCAAGCATGGTGTTGAACACCTGTAGTCCTAGCTACTCAGGAGACTCAGGCAGAAGGACGGCTGGAGCCCAGAAGTTCCAGGCTGCAGTGAGCTAGGATTGTGCCACTGCATGCCTGCTGGAGTGACAGAGTGAGGCCCTGTCTCTTAAAAAATAAACAACAACAAACCTAGTCAAACTTTAAGCAGCTACTGTAGCTGTTGTACTTCGTGAGATTGAAAATCCAGTCCTGGAGTTCCTGGAACATCAGAGGATGTGGTTCTTCCAGGATCTTTTTGTTGAGTGAAAAGATCTTTTGTTGAGTGAAAATATATTCTTTTTGACTTGTGGCGAGGCCTTACTGGAAAGAAAGGTCATGTAGACCTCCTTTGCCTTTTCTTGCATCTGCTTATCTTGCATTAAAAAAAGAAATCTTTACATGCTAGCCAAAACAAAATATTTTCTTCATTGAATATCTTTTTAAAAAATTTCCTTAATCTTTTCATGCCTTCTAGGTCTTCCAGCAGATTCTCCAGGAAAGCCACCCATTTGGCTGTGCTCTTGAGGCTCTGGTGGCTGCTGCCAGAACTACTATTACTGCCATAGATGTATTTACTGGTTTATAGGAAAGAATATTATAATGCATACAGATGAAGAAGTACATGAGGGAAGGGATGTGGAGTTTCCATGTTCCGTTCCAGATGTGCCACCCTCCAGGAAACTCCATACATTCAGCTGCCTGGAAGCTCTAGTGTTGAAATAGTTTGACAATAGATTGTGAATTATAGGACAGGCTATTCAAATTTTGAGCAATATGTATATAGAATATATAAGGGGCTAGTAAAGAGAAAGGTATGAACATTTGGAGGAAATTTAATGATTTCAGATTGTAGAAGGATATTATCAAGGATAACTGGAAAGATGTTATGTTGTTTTTTTAAAAGTGCAGGCTGAGTGTGGTAGCTCACACTTGTAATCTCAGCACTTTGGGAAGCTGAGGTTGGGAGAATTGCTTGAGGCCAGGAGTTCACTACCAGCCTGAGCAACAAAGTGAGAACCCCATCTCTACCAAAAAAAAAATTAGCTGGGCATTGTGGTGTGTGCCTGTAGTCTCAAGCTACTTGGGAGGCTGAGGTGGGAGGATTCCTTGAGCCCAGGAGTTTGAGGATGTGGTGAGCTGTGATCACACCACTGTACTCCAACCTGGGTGACCCAGACCTAGTCTCAAAAAGGACAAATTATTATTGATGTTCTTTTCTAGAAACGACTACAGAAAGAACTGTTGGCTTTGCAAAATGACCCACCTCCTGGAATGACCTTAAATGAGAAGAGTGTTCAAAATTCAATTACACAGTAAGTATTTAATTTTAAAAGGGCTCTTTGTTTTATTACCAATAATGTATGAATGTTCACCCGCTTTTTAAAACTACAAAATTATTTTCACATTTCATTCTTTCACCAAGAGGTAAATAGAGTAAACAGATCTTATTCTGTGCATTTATATATATAATCAATTTTGTTTTACGGCATTATAAACATTGTTGCATAATTTGTAAAGCTGTTTTTAAACTATCTTTGGTACATTTTTAAAAAATTTTGTTTAACTGAGTAGCACTGACTTTGTTTATGAAGTGATTCTCATCTATAATATTAAAGAACTGTTTGGTGTGAGGTTTTATCAAATTAAAAATATGTATCTATTTAGGCATATGAAGAGAGTAATAGTCAAAAGGTATCCCATGCCCTAAAAACATCAATTGCGTCCTGTACAGAAGGGCAACAAAGTGAAAGTGTGACTCTCAGCAGTCATTTAATAATTTTATTAGACAGTGGTAAATGTTCTGAAATCATGGAGAAATCTAAAATAATTTATCCTCCACTTAAAAAAAACCTCTAAAAAGAAAAGGAAAAGTGGCCAATAAGATAAAAATTGATTGTAAACCAACTTGTAGGACAAATGAGCCAATTCAAATATTTAGTGTAGTCTAGGTCCAGGGAGTGAAAGTGACCAAAATTCATATAACTTACCCTTTCAGAGGAAACAGTTTTGGGTACCTTTGACTTTGGCATTTGTATCAGTACCTAAGACAGGGGTCAAAGCTTTAAGAACAAGCATATTACGAATGGATGTATAGACTCTTTTGGAAAAAAAAAAAAATGTAATACACATCTTTAACTCTGTAACAATCACTTAAAAATATTGTTGAGTTCTAAACTGATTTTTTGTATATATCATACATAGAAAATATTAAACTCTTGTTCTAAAACAACCAAAAATGGAGCATACATTTAGAGTGGCATTTGTTGCATATTATTAAACAAATGAAACTGACTCTTTTTTCATCCTGATGCAGATTATATCCCATTTTAATCTTTTTCCTCTCTCCTTTTCTTAACCTACCTCAGAGTATCCTGTAACAGCTGTCCCTATAGTTCTCAAGGAAAGTGATAATAATGAGATTACTTCTTCTTTCATCGTTTATTTTTTTGGGAGGATGGGGAAACCACACAACACAATAATTTATAAAAAGTTAAAGGACTGTTTTAAATTTTTACAAATAGAAACATTTTAATAGATTACCAGGTAGTTATACCACAAATTATAACAGCCAAAGCAACAATACCTTTGTTGTAGAGTAAATCCTATTATATCGAGATATTGGTCAGGCAAGAATTTTTCTTTTAAAATAATTTATTGTAAATGAACCATAAAATTTTTACCTTTGTGCCATCTTCTAGGCTATAAAATAGTCTTATAAAGAATCAGATTGTTAAGAGTATATGAAATGTGGATATGGATGTGGAAGATCCATAACGAGGATGATGAAAGCACATTAAGAAGCTTTCTGATGGGTACAAAAAATAGAATGAAGAAGATCTAGTATTTGAGAGCACAACAGGGTGACTATAGTCAACAATAATTTATTGTGCATTTTCACATAACTAAAAGTATAATTGGATTGTAACAGAAAGGATAACTGCTTGAGGTGATGGATACCCCATTTACCCTGGTGTGATTATTATGCATTGTGTGCTTGTATCAAAATATCTCATGTGCCCCAAAGATATATACACCTACTTTGTACCCACAAAAACAATTTTTTTAATTTTCTGGAAGAAATTTGGTAGCATATATTGAGACCTTAAAAAATATGAATACTATCATGTTTGACCTACCATACACCATCCTAGGAAAGTAACAGATCTAGAAAAAGACTTAGAACTAACTATACTCATTTCGACATTGCTAATTCTAGGGATAATTTGGGAATAGTGTAAATGTCAATAATATGGAAAAGGTTTGTCAAGGCAGTGCAGTGAAATGGCATCACTTGAATTATAGTCTGTAGTCAGCATGTAAGGTAAAAATTTTGTATAGTTATAATTACCTTTGAAAAATCCTTTAGGAAGACCTTACTGGTATGTATCCTCTTTTAATAAATCCACCAAAGCCAGTTTTTCCTCCAGAGTGGAATAGATGGTTGTGTCTTTGATTAAGAACCATGATATGTGAAGAAATAAAAAAAATTCTAATGCTTAAACATTAGAATTACAGAGTACTAGGTACTCACGGGTGTTAAAGAACTGAGACTAATTGAGAGAACAACACGTGTAGTCTCATTGCATCCTTACTCTGGGGCATATGCTTGTGATTGGAATCATAAACCCTGATGGTTTAAATTGATGTAATTTAAGTGTGCACAAAATGCAGCTACTGGGCTGCCATTTCATATAGGCTTCGATGGTATAGGAAACAGCAAAATGACTAGAATGAAATATACCCCCAAAAACTTTAACAGTGGTTATCACTGGGTGATTTTTGTTTATACTTTTCTGAAGTTTCTACAATGAACATATCTTAACTTTTTTAACTAATACAAACTTATTAGTCCTGGCATGGTGGCTCATGCCTGTAATCTCAATGCTTTGAGAGGCTGAGGCGGGGCAGGAGGATCCCTTGAGCCCAGGAGTTCAAGACCGGACTGGGCAACATAGGGAGATCCCATCTCTACTGAAAAAAAGAAAAAAATTAAAAGTTGGCTGGGCATGGTGGTGTGCACCTGTGGTCCCAGCTACTTGGGAGTCTGAGGTGGGGGAGTCACTTGAGCCCAGGAGGTCAAGGCTGCAGTGAGCCCTGATTGCACCACGGTACTCCAGCCTGGGTGACAGAGTGAGACCCTGTCTCAAAACAAAAGGATTATTAGAAAGTACCATGCACAGGCCAGGTGCGGTGGTTCACACCTGTAATCCCAGCACTTTGGGACGCCGAGGCGGGCAGATCACCCGAGTTCGGGAGTTCGAGACCAGCCTGAAAAACATGGAGAAACACCCTCTCTACAAAAATACAAAAAATTAGCCGGGTGTGGTGGCTCATGCCTGTAATCCCAGCTACTTGGGAGGCTGAGGCAGGAGAATCACTTGAACCCAGGAGGCGGAGGTTGCGGTGAGCCGAGATCACGCCATTGCACTCCAGCCTGGGCAACAAGAGCAAAACTCTGTACCAAAAAAAAAAGAAAGTACCACGCACCATGTTGAAAGTTATGCTGCCTTTGACCTCGTGTCAGTATCTGCATGTCATGCAGATATTACAAGGATTGATGAGATACTTGCTTAGCTCTTTATTTTTAAAAGCTGTGCTTGTTTGTATAGGTTACATGTTAATTTATGTTATGTGTCCTAAAATTACCATATAAACAGAATGAAAGACCACCGTTTTTCCTGGGAATATCACTGTGCCTAGTGGATGTGGGTGGAAAAATAAGAAAGGAATTTCGAAGATTAAGAAGGACCTAATATATAAAGAGATAGTTTTTTGTTTTGTATGCAGCTTTTGCATTGCATTTAATTTACCATGTATTGACTGAGTCAGGAATGTGCTAGGTTTTTTACGTATGTAGGGTCATTTATCTTTCCAACAACACTATGAGGTGATTATCTTCTGTTTTATTATTGAGGTAGTTAAAACTGGAGAGATAACATAACTTGTTCACACAATGAGTTAAGATTAACTATAACTGCGACTTCAGTATAACTTCAGTTATAACTGTCTAATTTCACTATAAAATATTGTCTCTTGGGTCTGTGGTCGTATCTTTTATTACCATGTATGGTACTCAGCGTGCATTCTTAAAATGAATAGCCATGCTCTTAAGAGTCTGTATACTGTAGCTGATTTCTTTTAGAGAATAGGTACATTTATTATTTTACATAATCCAAGGTTCATAGTATGCGTGGTGATGACTAGAATCCCAACACTGTATTTTCTATCTTCCTTTTGTTTTCTTGTATTTTAAATACAAGAAAGTTTAATAACTGAAAAGTTCAAGAGAATTGCCCAGGTGTACAAGAATTATAAGTGACAGAGCTATAATTAGGAACACATTGTTAATGACTTCAATTCACTTTTGCTTCTAATGCTGCCCTGTTATCTTTGCTGTCATTATCCCTTATTCTTCCCATCTTAAAGAAAATAACAAGAATAGTATATAAACTGTAAATAACACATTTATGTTTATGATTGTTATATATGAAAACAAAGGCTTGCATAGATGGCATAGAAATGGGCTTTATTAAACAATTGAAACATAGTGAGAGATAAAGGAAAGTCACCACAAAGCCTTGCTTAATCATCAGAGTAAGTGGACTGATGTCAATTTAGCTCCCCTTGCCCTGTTAATCTTCTCTAGGATGTTGATGAAAAAAATAAGTCTGACAGCTACGGTTCTCTGTGGTCATTGTCTATACGTATTTCTCCATGGCTTCCACCAGTAATAATCAGAGGCAGTTGCTTTGTTTGATGTTATGTATAGAATACGTAATATCAGCATTGTAGAAATGGTACTTTGAAAAAATAAGGTAGTATAAATCAATTAGGAGGAGCACAGGCTTTGGTGTCAGTGCACCTTAGTTTGAGGTCTGTTTGTTTGTTTATTTTGAGACAGTCTTGCCCTGTAGCCCAGGCTGGAGTGCAGTGGCATGATCTTGGCTCACTGCAACCTCTGCCTCCCGGGTTCAAGCGATTCTCCTGCCTCAGCCTCCTGAGTAGCTGGGATTACAGGTGCACACCACCATGCCCGGCTAATTTTTGTATTTTTAGTAGAGACCGGTTTCACCATGTTGGTCAGGCTGGTCTTAAACTCCTGACCTCGTGATCTGCCTGTCTTGGCCTCCCAAAGTTCTGGGATTACAGGTGTGAGCCACCACACCCGGCCTTGGGTTTTATTTAGTTTGCTTTTTTAGACCTGGCTCTGTCTTTTGCTAGCTGTCTGACCTTGATCTGGTTATTTCACCGCTGAGTGTCAGAGAAGGGGATAGGTCATGAGAATTAACAGTAAGAGAGTTATTGGGAGGCTGGCATGTGCTGTTACACATAACCAACTCTTGTCCTAGTGCTTAGTGTATAGGAAGTACTTGGTGTCCTCTTTTCTCCTCCTTACCCCAGTCTCTATTATCTTAAGTTTTTAATTTGCCTTTTCTATTCTAGGTGGATTGTAGACATGGAAGGTGCACCAGGTACCTTATATGAAGGGGAAAAATTTCAACTTCTATTTAAATTTAGTAGTCGATATCCTTTTGACTCTCCTCAGGTAATTGCCTTGCTTTAAATTTTTTTTTTTGTATTTTTAGATAGCTAAATGCCAGAGATGTTTGACTCAGTAAAAACATATAAATCAGTTATACGTATGTAGATGGATTTGTTATTTCATTATCTTATTTGTCATATAATCAAGATATGAACATTACACTTTATTGGGATTAGGGCTTTACTGCATTTTGCTTCTAAAATTGTTTCATTTGTTGCTTATCCATAAATGCTAACAGAAAAGGGAATAGAAATCTAACCAGGCCTCTAGGCCAGGGGTCCCCAACCCCCATGCTGTGGACTAGTACTGGTCCATGGCCTGTTAGGAGTCGGGCCACACAGGAGGTGAGCAGCATTACTGCCTGAGCTCTGCCTCCTGTCAGATCAGCGATGGCATTAGATTCTCATAGGAGTACGAGCCTTATTGTGAACTGCACATGTGAGGGATCTAGATAGCACGCTCTTTATGAGAATCTAATGCCTGATGATCTGAGATGGAACAGTTCCATCCCAAAACCATCATCCAATCCCCAACCCCATCCATGGAAAAATTGTCTTCCATCACACCGGTCCCTTGTGTCAAAAAGATTGGGGACCACTGCTCTAGGCCATCGGAGAAGTTGACATTTTGGAATAACTGGAGGCACTTCTCCTAGGTCAGATGGTAGAATCACATGGTGAAGAGAAAAGTTCTCTGTTGGAAGGAGTACTATGATTTTGCATTGACATGCTGTCCTTGCAGCCTTTTAGTACAGGAAGGGCAGAGTACATCATCAGATGTTAAATATCTAAACATCAGCACAAAGTCTGATTATTATAATTTGATGCCCAGTGAGTTTAGTTAATAGCTTAATACTTAGACAAGGGATAATGGTGGTAGAGAAATGTTTTTTGAGAGCTATTTAACTATAGTAAATGATTAATCAGGTTAGAGAAAGGAAGACTCTAGGATGACTTCCAGGTTTCTGGCTTGGTAAGATAAGTAAATGAGTTACTATAATTACTTATTCTTCAGAGAATTATAACAAAGCACTTCATTTTTAAAATTTGAGGCTTGTGAGATCCGTTGGCTAAAATGGTAAGACATGATGCCAGCTCTCTCTAGTATTGCTAGCAAATGAGCTATTCTGGAAAATACAACCAAATACCTGAAATATTTCCCAGATACTGAAAATTTTGCTTGTTGGGTGCTGAAATGTACTATTTGGAGGAAAATCATATTTCATTGTCACTTTAAACAATATACCAAACACAGCTTAATCTTTTCTTAGTTATGTAAGAGAAGAGATAAAGTCAGTTATTGTATCATGCTATAAGTAAAGAGATAATTGTTTTAAAGCATAGATTTAAATGGATACTGACTCCTTAAGTTCTAAAATTTTCATATGAGCAGAAAACTACCAAGACTTTTAGGACTTATTTTTATCATTTTCATAAAAGTTAAAGTGAAAGGGTATGTGCTATTGTGACCTCTAGATGTCTACAATAAGCATTTGTAGACTATAATAAAAAGAACAAACATCTTCTCTCCAGAAGATTGTCATCACTTTTGTTGCTTTCTGGCTGGCCAGCATCATTTCTGACTGTAAATGTGTGGAGACAACAGGATCTCAGTCTGTTTTCATCATCAGCCTATTTGTCTACCTTCAACTAAGTTCAATGATGGTATGGGAAGGAAGAATATTTCACACCAATTCAAAAGCTTTTGACTAGGGAGATATTGGGGGAAGGCTTACTCTGGGAGCTTACAGATTTTTCACCAGAGGAAAATAATATTTCTGTAAGCATGAAACCAAGTCAAAAATGTGTTCTCTAAACTCTTTCCTTAATATTTAATTCTAAATCAAATATCAAACTTAAACATTATGTTGAATTTCTTCTTTAATATTTCTGTAAGTTACAGCATTTGTAATAAATTCTCCCTATTGTCCTATTTCAAATTCATTTTATCCTCCTTCCCTGATTTTATTTGTCTGTTCTTCTAACATTGGTGTTATCCAGGTTCTTTATTCAGCACTGTGTTACTCTTCTCACTCTTCTTTCACCTTCAGTCACCTTAAGCAGCTAACTCCCAGATCTACAGCTCTGGGAACACTTCTTTTTTTAAGGCTTAATTTCACACCCTTGTTGAAATACTTGAGTACCTCCAGACATCTCAAATTTAACACAACTAAACTTGATCTTTCCAATAACAAAGAACATTTTGTTTTTCTTTATCCTGGGTTACTGTCCACCTGTCTATTTTTGTGCTCAGTTTTTCTCTTTTCCACACTCCTCCCTCCTACATTTGAAAGGTAGCCCATTCTTTTCTTAATGTCAGTGCTGTAGTCTGGTTTTTTGTTTGTTTGTTTTTGTTTTGTTTTTTTTGAGACAGCGTCTCGCTTTGTCACCCAGGTTGGAGTGCAGTGGTGCAATCTTGGCTCACTGCAACTGCTGCCACCTGGGCTCAAGTGATCCTACCATATCAGCCTCCGAAGCAGCTGGGACTACAGGTGCATGCCACCACACCCAGCTAATTTTTTTTTTTTTTTTTTTTTTTTTTTTTTTTGCAGTTGCAAGATTTAATAGAGTGAAAACAGAGCTCCCATACAAAGGGAGGGGACCCAAAGGGGGTTGCTGTTGCCAGCTCGAATGTCTGGGTTTATTTCCTGATCGTTGTCCCTCCCTCTGTGCTCTCAGGCAACAGATGATTGGCTATTTCTTTACCTCCTGTTTTTGCCTAATTAGCATTTTAGTGAGCTCTCTTTACTATCTGATTGGTCAGGTGTGAGCTAAGTTGCAAGCCCTGTGTTTAAAGGTGGAAGCGGTCACCTTCCCAGCTAGGCTTAGGGATTCTTTGTCGGCCTAGGAAATCCAGCTAGTCCTGTCTCTCAGTGCCCCCTCTCAACAGGAAAACCCAAGTGCTGTTGGGGAGGTTGGCCGACAACCACTCTAACTGCTTCCCGCTGAATTGGGACGTAGTAGGGGTTGTGCAGTTGAGATTTCCTCAGGAGGGGTGCCTTCAATGTCATTAACATTGGAGCATGGGCTAGCAGGCCGGTCCAGGGGTCTGTGGTAGATTTTAGTCATGGACTGTCTGGGGCTCCATTTGAAGAACGATTTGTAGTTTTACAGCTTCAATTCTGGAAGAGACAAACTTAACAAGGAGGTTAAAGATAGAGGGATTGAAATGTATGGCCTGCAGTGCAGGGGATTATTTCTTTGGCACACTTTACAGGCCTTGACTATCTGCTTGATAGTTTTGAAAAGGTCTGGTCCAGTAAATAATGATTTGGCCATCTGATGGCACACCCAGCTAATTTTTATATTTTTTGTAGAGATGGGGTCTTGCCATGTTGCCCAGACTAGTCTCGAGCTCCTGGGCTCAAGCGATCAGCCCACCTCCTTGGCCTCCCAAAGTGCTGGGATTACATGTGTGAGCCACCATGCCTGGCCTAGTCCAGGTTTTTATCTTTTATTTGAACCATTACAGTAGCCTTTAGTTCTTTGAATTCCTACATCCTTTCACGGTGCCAATAGATTTGTTTGAAGGCACAGTTATCTCACTGGTTACATACCACACACATGGACATGCACACACATCCCCCCCCCCCCACACACACACTCCCACACCCCACTCCACCCCCCCACCACACACACACTCTGTCTCACTCCACCATCCCCAGAATTCCTCACCCCCTGACAGTAAAACCTCTTAATGTTTATTTCCTATGGAATCAAGTTTTTAGCCTGGCATTCAAGTCCCTGTATAGTCACATCCAAACTTAACTTTTTCTGCACCTGCATGCATTCTGTATGGTAATATTTCTATATAGTACTTCATAATTTAACTTCCATTCTGATTTTGTTTTCTAACATCTTTTAATGAAGTGGTTAGGGGAGGTAGATTCATCCTCATTTTATATGTGAAGAAATTGAAACTTGTAGAAGTGAAGTGCCTTGTTCACGTTTTAATACCTAGTTTATAGGACAGTCAAGACCCAAACCCAAGTCTTTCCTTTCCTCCTTTGCCATACTGCCAATTAGATGCGAGTACCGGTGTGGAAAAAATGCCTATTTATCTATGTAGTAATTTTCTCTCTGAAAGTGAAAGATTATATGTGGAATGAATGGTACCTTTGAAAGCTCTAGGTCAGTTATTCTCACTCTTTTTGAAATATAAGGATTCCTTTTTTAATTTACTTTTTGGTGGGGTGGGGGTGCGGAGACAGAGTCTCCCTTTGTCATCTACCTATGCTGTGGTGTAATCATAGCTCACTGCAGCCTCCAACTCCTGGGCTCAAGTGATCCTTCCACCTCAGCCTCCAGAGTAGCAGGGACTACAGCCATCTGCCGCCATGCCTGGCTTGGTTTTTTTATTTTGTTTTTTTGTTTGTTTGTTTGTTTGTTTGTTTGTTTTTTATTTTTTTGAGACAGAGTCTCGCTCTGTTGCCCAGGCTGGAGTGCAGTGGTGTGATCTCTGCTCACTGCAACCTCTGCCTCCTGGGCTTAAACCATTCTCCCACCTCAGCCTCTCTGAGTAGCTGCAACTACAGGTATGCACCACCATGCCTGGCTTATTTTTTTTTGTATTTTTGGTAGAAACAAGGTTTCACCATGTTGGTCCAGCTGGTCTTGAACTCCTGTCCTAAAGTGATCTGCTCGCCTCGGCCTGTCAAAGTACTGGGATCATAGGCACGCCCAGTGAGGATTCCTTTTTAATATCAGTTAATTCTGTAGTCCCTCACATGGCATAGAGGTTGTATATTCTAATATCCATTGATTGGGAAAATGGCAGAACTACTCTGAGGCCAGTAATACGTTAAAATTTTTTAAAATGTATTTATACATAATCTATATAGTTTTAACATAATTATAATGGGTCAAACATCAATGCTTGATGTGCTTATAGACTTCAAGATTTTTCCAATAACTGAAACTTTGCAGAGATCCACTGCCCTGGGAAAGTGGCTAGAACCAGTCCTCTAGGGCAGTAAAATTCCCCCAAAATTTTATTTGATGAAACTCTGTAGCATTAGCACTTGTTACCTAAATTAGTCTTTCATCTTTCTGGCTGGGCATGGTACTCATGCCTGTAATCCAAGCACTTTGAGAGGCCAAGGCAGCCCAGGAGTTTTGGGACCAGCCTGGGCAACGTAGGGCAACCCCATCTCTAATAAAAAAAAGAAAGAAAAGTCTTTCATCTTTCTATGCAATGAACAGTACTGAGTTTATCACTAGTTACAAGAGTAGAATTTGGAAAATATTTCTAGAATAGATGAATCTCATTGTGAAATTACTGCTTTTGTACCTGTAAATGAGATCAGTAAGACTGTCACACACCATTATGGTTTGTTGTGTTTTTCTTCCTGCCAGTTATATTTTATGTCTCATGTTGTGTCCTGCCTTATAATGAAAAAGTTACCTCTCTAAAATATGTTTGGCTCAGTCATTTGCCTTAAAAGAAAGAATAACAACAAACAATTTGTCTGTTAATATGGAAACAGAGATGAGGCATCTTTTCATCACTGCTTGCCGCTAATGTACACTTACTGTCAGCCATACAGAAAATAGCTTTCTATGTACATATTCTGCTTTTTTATGCTAGGATACAGGTAAATGGTTGGTTAATTCAACATGTATTGGGCATGAATTATGTATCAAATACTGTTTCTTGAGAGAGGGGAGAGAGTACAGAGTTTTAAAAGGCATTGGGCCTGCCTTTAAACAGTTTATAATCTGTTTAGTATTTGGATAGGTAAATATTCATTCCGTATTTCTTGAGGATGTGTCATGGGACAGACACTGTGCTGGGTGCTGGTGATTCAATGATGACCAAAACTGCAACAGCAACAAAAACCCTGCTTATATGGAGTTTGCATTCTTGTGGGGAGAGACAGTAAGCAACGAGTAGAATACATATAGTATGGAAGATGGTGAGGGAAAAGTACAGAAGGGGAGATGAGGGTGTTGAAATATTGGATAGAGTCACTGGGAAAGATTTCACTGAGAAGGTGACATTGGAGGAGAGATCTGAAAGATGTGCAGGAGTAAGCCATTTGAAAGGGTTGAGAGAAAGAACAGATGAAGACAAAATGCAAAGGCTCTAAATCTGGAATATGTAGGACGGGTCCCTGGAGTGGTGTATAAACAGGAAGGGGAGTGTAAGGCTTAGGTCAGTGTATTAGGCCATTTTTGTACTGCTATAAAGACCTGAGGCTGGGTAATTTATAAAGAAAAGAGGTTTAATTGGCTCACAGTTCTGCAGGCTGTACAAGAAGCATAGTGCCACCATCTGCTTCTGGTGTTGGCCTCAGGACGCTTACCATCATGGCAGAAGGTGAAGAGGGAGCAGTGTCTCACATGGCGAGAGTGGGAACAAGAGTCAGTGGCGAGGTGCCACACATTTTGAAACAACCAGATCTCAAGAGAACTCATTCACTGTCGAGGACATCACCAAGCCATTCATGAGAGCACACACCCAGAGTGACCCACACACCTCCCACCAGGCCCCACCTCCAACATTGGGGGTTACATTTCAACATGAGATTTGGAGGGGACAAACATCCAAACTGTATTAGTCAGAGAGATCATTTGGGCTGGAGCGGTCATCACAGATTATATAGGACATTTATAGCCCCTTGTAAGAATTTTGACTTTTTACTCTTAGTGAGATGGGGAAGCCTTTGGAAGGTTTTGAGCAGAGGAACGATATAGTCCTATTTAAAGTTAAAAGGAACAGTCTGGCTGTTGTGTGGCATATAAACCGTTCAGGGCATAAAGGTGCAGGGAGATCAGATAGGCCGTTAAAGTAACCCAGGTGAGAGATGATGGTGACTTGCACCAGAAGGGTAGCAGTGGACGTTTTGGAAGGTGGTCATGTTTTGGACCTGTTTTAAAGGTTGAAATCAACAGGATTTGCTAATGGATTAATTTGGAGTATGATTGAAGGAGGGGAGGAGTCAAGGAAGACTCCATGATTTTTGGCATATGCAACTGTACAGACAACTGAAGTGTGAATTGTATGCTTTGGGGGCAAAAGGGAAAGCAACCAATTTAGAATATTCTAAGGGGGCAAAGAAAAACCTATTTGAACTGGTAGAACTGGGCCTTAAAGGACAAAAAGAGTTTATGTGAAAAGTATAGGGCAAGGTGTGAAAGGACTTGGCCTCCTTACATTTGTGAGCATGGGCTCTTGTAGTTTTATGTGTCGATACATGGGGGATTACAGCAGGAGATGAGAGTGGAAGGTTATTTTGGGGCTTATCAAAAAGGGTCTTGCAGTGTGAAAGAAGTTTGACGTTTCTATCATAGGTATTAGGAGGGATGGCCCATCTCCATCAAAACTCTGAAGTCCACAACTGGGCGTGGTGGCTCATGCCTCTAATCCCAGCACTTTGGGAGGCCAAGGCAGGCAGATCACTTGAGGTCAGGAGTTTGAGACCAACCTGGCCAACATGGTGAAACCCATACTAAAAATGCAAAAATTAGCTGGGCATGGTGGTGTGCACCTGTAGTCCCAGCAATTCAGCAGGCTGAGGCAGGAGAATTGCTTGAACCTGGAAGATGGAGGTTGCAGAGAGTCAAGATCATGCCACTGCACTCCAGCCTGGCGACAGAACGAGACTCCATCTCAAAACAAAACAAAAAAAACCTCTGAAGTCCTCAAGCTTAGTATCTTGACTCTATTACTACTTTTCCTTTCTATATCCAAGAGAAAGTTCTTCCATTCCTTTACATATCCAGTATTTGTACCCCTTTCCTCTGTTAAAGCATTCTATTTGAGTGAAAGAAATCTGAAATACATCTATTACATTGATTTATTAATTATCATTATTATTTTTGAGATGGAGTTGCGCCCTGTCACCCAGGCTGTAGTGCAGTGGCATGATCTTGGCTCATCGCAACCTCCGCCTTCTGGGTTCAAGTGATTCTCCTGCCTCAGCCTCCTGAGTAGCTGGGATTACAAGCGTGCACCACCACACCCAGCTAATTTTTTTTGTATCTTTAGTTAGAAATGGGGTTTCACCATGTTGGCCAGGCTGGTCTCAAACTCCTGACCTTGTGATCTGCCCGCCTCAGCCTCCCAGAGTTCTGGGATTATAGGTGTGAGCCACCATGCCTGGGCACTTTTTATTGAGACAGAGTCTCACTCTGTTGCCCAGGCTGGAGTGAAGTGGCGCAATCTTGGCTCACTGCAACCTCCGCCTCCCGGGTTCAAACGATTCTCCTGCCTCAGCCTCCACAGTAGCTGGGATTACAGGCGCGCACCACAAAGCCTGGCTTATTTTTGTATTTTTGTTAGAGACAAGGTTTTGCCATGTTGGCCAGGCTGGTCTGGAACTCCTAACCCCCCAGTGATCCGCCCACCTCGGCCTCCCAAACTGCTGGGATTACAGGCTTGAGCCTCCGTGCCCGGCCTTGTTTTAGAGACTTTTAGCTAATTTTTGATGAAGACGTTTTCAGTATTTTAGAAATAGGGAAAATGTTTATTTTAGAGGGAAGGGGACAGTGTCTCTTTGATTAGAAGCCATTTTGTTGCTAAGAGTGGTGCTGAAAGTACAATTGCCTTGATTGTAAAGCTTTAAAAGTACTGAGGCAAAAGAGTAATTACCTTCCTCTTCATCCTCATTCCCCCCTCCTATTCATGCCTCCTTACCACGGACCCTTTTCTGTTGCTCAAAATTCATTCTTTGCAGAGATCCAGAACCTATGTTCGTGATGTCCTCATCTTGTCTTTTTTTCCTGGTCTGATTTTCCATCCTCTTTCATGGGTGATGTTCAAGCTTTCCAAAGTCTTTGAATAACAGTTTTTATTGCCTTAAATTGACAAGCGTCTTGGACACCTGACAAGAAGGTTAACAGTGAACCCTATTCACTGAAGCCTTGGGGGTCAAGGGGAAGGAAGATAGAGGATTAGACTAGTAGGCTAAAAGAACATAGAGTATAAAGGGAAGAGAATGATTACCATCCAAGACAATCCAAGTTTAGTTTCGTTGTGTCCAATAATTTTGTCTTTGCACTATAGCTGCATGGTACTCGTTATTACAGAGTATCAGGGAACACTTATGGATGCTTGCTGTGTATGAGAGGACTAAAAAGGGAGAATTGAATGGAAAGCTATGCTAAGATTCCAATCTCCAGTCATTTTTGTCAAATACCGTTTATGGTAGACTACCTATATTGTATGTTATACATAAATATCTGATTTAGTTTCCATTACAACAATAAACTGATTGCTTGTATGTTCAGTTTATGTAGTTACACATTAAGTACTGTTGTCTGCATTAAATACTATCTTATAATAATTGTAATCAGAGAACATATTTTCCTCATACTGTCCCTGGAAAAACCTTGGTATCCATATTGTAGATTGGCTTTTATAATTATATTCTGTTTTTTACTGCTCGTTTATATACACTGTGTTTTGACCTAGCTTGACACCATGTTAGGTTATAGACTTTCTAACTACCTCTGCAACTCTAGTCTGAACAGTAGTTGTGCCTCCTTCGTGGTAAGATCTCAGTACCATAAGGCCTTTCAGTATTGGGCTTGATGTTTGAAAATTCTTGAATTTCATATTAGAAAGGTACCTGATACCCATCCTTTATTTTGTTCTTAGCAATAATGCAGAGGTTTTTGGTAAACTGTATAAACATATAGAAGTGTACAATTACAAGTCTACTTTCAATTATTGATTTTTATTAAGTCATTATAAATATTGGTAGCTATAATATTGAGCTATTTCTCTGACTACACCAACTTTGAGTGAGGTTTTTTGTTTTTTGTTTTTTTTCCAAGACAGGGTCTCACTCTGTTGCCCAGGCTGAAGTGCCATGGGCTATCGTAGCTCAACTGCAACCTCAGACTCCTGGCTCAAACAATCCTCTCACCTTAGCTTCCTGAGTAGCTGGGACTACAGGAGCATGCCACCACATGCGGCTAGTTACTATTTTTTTTAGAGATGGGATCTTACTTTGTTACCCAGGCTGGTCTTGAGCTCCAGGGCTCAAGTGATCCTCCCACATTGACCTCCCAAAGTGCTAGGATTACAGGTGTGAGTCACCATCCCCAACCCCTGTTCATTCTTATTTTTTATTTTTATCACTATGGTGGCTTTCAGTGTAGATTTTAGTAGTTTTATGAAAGGCACTACATTCACAGTACCCAAAAATTACCCAGAGATTGGCCTGCTTAAAATTTCAGGTTGGTTGTGGGATAAACATACTTATCTCCAAAATGATACATACCCTGAGCATAATTATTTCTCTCTTAGCTCTCACTTGCTTTTGAATAAGCCATACTGCTCGGGAGATGTTTGGAAAGGTAGTAATAATTAAAGACTGCTTCCAGTCTGGGTGCAGTGGCTCACGCCTGTAATCCCAGCACTCTGGGAAGCCGAGGCGGGCGGATCACAAGGTCAGGAGTTTGAGACCAGTCTGGCCAACATATAGTAAAACCCCATCTCTACTAAAAATACAAAAAATTAGCCAGGCGTGGTGGTGTGCGCCTGTAATCCCAGCTACTTGGGAGGCTGAGGCAGGAGAATCATATGAACCCAGGAGATGGAGCTTGCAGTGAGCAGAGATCGGGCCATTGCACTCCAGCCTGGGCAACAGTGCGAGACTCCATCTCAAAAAAAAAGACTGTTTCTAATGCAACTTCAAACTTGATTCATGTACATTCGGTCTAAGATCCTTTTCTAAAACTGTATTTCCATCAAATCGTTCTTTAAAAATCTGTAATTCCATTTTACTTAGTGTAATTTACGCAGCGAGGAATGTCCGTGGTCTCCATCGTTGGCTGTTCATATGACTATTTTGAATACATTCGCAAAGTTGCTATGGTTTCAAATTTATTGTGTTCAGTTGTTTTGTCACATCGGTTCTAGTCAGTTTTGTCAGCTACTTGAAACTCCAAAAAAATTTTTTTGAACCTTAGAAACAACTTAATAATTTCTTGTTTGTAGAAACTACTTGACTGAGTTAAAAAACTGAAACATTCACTTTCTCCTTTGGCTTGTAGTGAGTATTAAATAAATGAGGATGGCTAACAGTATGCAGTTGAAGAAATTCTGCCTTGGTTACTTTCCCCATGCAGAGAACCAGATTAGCAAAGTTTACATTAGAACAATCTGTGGGCCGGGTGCAGTGACTCATGCCTGTAACCCCAGCACTTTGGGAGGCTGAGGTGGGTGGATCACCTGAGGTCAGGAGTTCGAGACCAGCTTGGCCAACGTGGTAAAACCCCATCTCTACTAAAAATACAAAAAATTAGCTGGGTGTGGTGGCAGGTGGAGGCTGAGGCAGGAGAATCACTTGAACCTGGGAGGCGGGGATTGCAGTGAGCCAAGGTCGTACCATTGCACTCCAGCCTGGGCAACAAGAGCAAAGCTCTATCTGGGGAAAGAAAAAAAAAAAACCATCTGTGGAAACTATGCTTATTTGCCCCTTATGTGAATGAACTATTGAAAAAAATTTCCTTTTATTTCAGAAATTCACCTCTGGCATGTAAATTCACCTCTGGCATGTAAATTCACCCTTTATATGTTTAGACAAACTTCTAAAATTCTGTATCTGGCAGGTTAGGCCCTAAGGGTTACCTATTACATGCAATTCCCCTGGTTTTGGTTGCTAAAAGTTTTAGGGTGGCTGCATTTGCCCTGCATGCAGTATGTTAAAAAGCCCCTGCTGTTTTATTTAAAGGTTATTGAGATCTGAATTATTTTTATCTCAGTCCTCTTCTACTTCACAGTTGTTTCTGTCTTCTTCATTACTGGTTCTCTTTGCTTACAGAATATCTGCTGCATCTGCTGTAGGTGTTTTCTACTGCTACTCATCGCTTTTCTTTCTCTTCTCTCCTGAGTACCTTTTGGTTCATGCCTACTTACTGGCTCTCAGGCCAAGTGATTTAGTTTATAACCATTTCTCTTTAGGAAAAATACTGTTCTCCTTGTGCTCTGAATTGGCTGGGTGAAACATGATGTAGTAACCTTCGTGTTGCTATTTTCTTTAAAGGTTGGTGATTCAGTTTTGCCAAAGAAGATAATTTGGCAGTTGTTCTTTTTTTTTTTTTTTTTTTTTTTTTTGTGGCACTTTCAGATCACTATTCTTCTTGACTTCTTGATAGAGACCTTACTGGGAAAAATATCTTTTTTTTTTTTTTTAAGGCCGAGTTTCGCTCTTGTCGCCCAGGCTGGAGTGCGGTGGTGCGATCTCAGCTCACTGCAACCTCTGCCTCCCGGGTTCAAGCAATTCTCCTGCCTCAGCCTCCCAAATAGCTGGAATGACAGGCACGTGCCACCGCTCCCAGCTAATTTTTTGTATTTTTTAGTAGAGACGGGTTTTCGCCATGTTGGCCAGGCTGGTCTCAAACTGCTGACCTCAGGTGATCCACCCACCTCGGCCTGCCAAAGTGCTGGGATTACAGGCATGAGCCACACCGAAAAATATCTTTTAAAAAAATAATTGTGGCCAAAGAAGAAACTCTTGGGTATTGCTTGTGTTTTAATGAAAATATCCTACTGGTCAAATGGCTTTTTATGGCAAAATGAATACCTCAAGGTAGATGTCCGTAAGATTTGTAAACTCCCATTCTGTACATCTACAACACATGGGAGTATCAGATGCATATGATGTAATAAACTATAGTTCATATTTATGAAAAATAAAATTTCATTAAAAAACAGTTGTGGACAGACTCCAGTGTGGAACTATAAGACCATGTAAGCATTTGTTTTCTTTTACAGAGCAATACTTTTTTTTAGCAAAAAGTAATGAAGAGGGTACTAGCACCGATAGATGTAATTGAGATAAATGTCATGCATAGAGCGTAGCCATTACAAAATCAAAGTCCTTTCAGGGAGTCTTCTGCAATTAGGTAGGATAAGTGACTTGATTTCTCTTATTTTGAGACTTTACTTTTGTTTTTTAGCTTTTTTTTTTTTTTTTATTAGTGGGAATGGAGAGTTGATGTCCAGAATTTAAAGAAAAAAAAGAAATAGATGCAAGTATGGAAAATCGTTCCTTTGGGAAAAAAATGCCTTTTGCTGTCTTATCTAGTCTTAGCCAAGGAAATGTGTCCCATATGTTAGTTAATATATTTGAAATATTAGAAGACTCTACTCATATGAAAGACTGCTTTATTAACATGTAAATCTTTGTAAAATTGTAACATTGTAACAAAATCAGATTCATAGCTAGATATTTAAAATATATATAAAACTTAGCTTATGGTAATTTCCTATAACATATTCCATATTAAACTATAGCATACCTTATTCTATTCATATTTACCTCACTGGTTCTTTTTTCTGCTCTATAAAGAGAAAAAAGGGTATGCCTAAAGCAATACTGTATATCTTTTATCAGTTTCTGCTATAACTTAAGGTAAGATTTCTCCTTACTGATATTCTGTTGTACTTGGGTATGAGGCAGTTTGCAGGGCTGAGATACTGTAAATCTGATTTAGGAATTGTTGGTTTATATCTGATGGGTTTTATAAAAATCTAATTATACTTACTAAATTAGAATCTGTGAAAGCAGGACACTTGAATTTGTATTTTTAAGCAGATCTTCCAACTATGTGTTCTTTTGTTTTTTTGTTTGATTTTTGGCGAGGTCAGGAATTAGGAATTACTGCTAACCTGTAGAATAAATATAGTACACAGTGTAAACATAAGACTTCTGCTTTCTTCGAGCAACTTTGGACTATGCTTACAGATTCCTCAGGATATATGAATTTATTCTCCTGCCTATTTGCTTAGGTAAATAAGTTTAAGAAAAACTACTTTAAGATATTTGTTGAATTATTAGAGCAAAGGAAGGAAATAATAGATTTATTACCATTCAAAACATTGCTGAGACATGATAGAGAAAGGAAAAACAGTGTTACAGAAGAATTGAGTAAAAGGGAAAGGAGAGTAAAACTGCAAATTGGGAGACTTGGTCAACTTTTGTATTTTTCGTCTAGGCACATAGTTATTTACTGATTAACAGCTAGTAACTTGTACCCATCATAATGGATGTGTAAGTTTAGAGGAGGTGGAATATATAACAGTCATTTCCCTTTGCACATGTGCCTTAGAGCTAACATTGTTAACAGGTAGTAGTAGGAGGAATGTTCCTACCACCTGTCATTCATATTTTCCCAAAATTGAATATTTTTGTTTGGAATTTTATCATACTTGATTTTTATATGCAGAGAGCAATGAGCAAAATCTGAAAAATCATTCTTATAAATGTAGTTGTCTTTCACTAGTAAAAAATACGTAGTTTAGAATTTTTAAGGAGAATTTATCAAAAATAACCGAAATAAAAAATAATTTGGCATCTTTTCCCTACTATGTGGTTATTCGTTCAGTGAAACCAATACTTACTGAGTTAATGAGAGTAAACAAATAAGCAGTTGTTTATCATGTTCCTGGCACTGATTTTGGTGGTTTTTTGTTTTTTTATAATCAATATTTGTTATATGTGGAGAATATTTTAGTTTTTGGTAGTAGAGAATATTTGAGTTTTAATGGAATTTTATTCTCTCTTAGGTCATGTTTACTGGTGAAAATATTCCTGTTCATCCTCATGTTTATAGCAATGGTCATATCTGTTTATCCATTCTAACAGAAGACTGGTCCCCAGCGCTCTCAGTCCAATCAGTTTGTCTTAGCATTATTAGCATGCTTTCCAGCTGCAAGGAAAAGGTAAGACTTTTCAGAATTATTCCAGATAATATCTCTTCTTTCAGTTAGGTAGATAAATAATTTTAATATGTAATTATTTTTATTTGGAGGAAGGATTTATGCTTTTTATTTGAAAATTATAGGGAATTTCATGTTTAGTAATAAATTGGAAAGTTATTTTGATACCTTTCATTCCAAATAGAAGTTTTACATGTTGAATGGGGTAGAAGCCAGACTTACTGTTTTATATTCTTTTAAACAGGAAATGTACGGTATTTTCTTAAAGCTGATTTTATTCCCAAAAGCATGCACAGGTAAAAGTATACAAGAAATTCTTTTTGTAGATTTCACAGTGGAAAGCCTCAGAAAAGTGCATCATAGCTTCCTTCTCCCCTCTGCCAGCTCCCACCCGATCAACCTGTTTCAGGGAATTTTTCAGGAACCAGAGCTTCCCTGTCCTAATGATTAGGTTGAAGGAGGAAGACCAGTTTACCAGTCGAATTTTCAGGGCGTTTCTTCCTGTTCTCCTTTATTAATCCACAGATTCTATGTCTGATGGAAGTGGGGGGAAAAAAAACAAAAAGAAAAAAAATCACTTAATTAAACTTAAAATGTAGGCTGGGCACGGTGGCTTACACCTGTAATCCCAGCACTTTAGAAGGCCTAGGCAGGTGAATCACCTGCGGTCAGGAGTTCGAGACCAGCTGGCCAACATGGTGAAACCCTGTCTCTACTAAAAATACAAAAATTAACTGGGTGTGATGGTATATGCCTGTAATCCCAGCTACTCAGGAGACTGAGGTAGGAGAATTGCTTGAACCCAGGAGGTTGCAGTGAGCCAAGATCATGCCACTACACTACAGCCTGGGTGACAGAGCGAGACTCCATCTCAAGAAAATAATAATGAAATAAATTTAAAATATACATATAAATTTAGGATACCCTTTAAATGTATCTGAATCCTCTGTACACTTCTGACACTCTTGTCATTCCTGCTTAAGGGTTAGTATAGCATAACATTTATGTATTTCTACATTTTAAAACCCCTCTTAAATCCCTATGAGGGTTTTCCTTTTGCATTCTGTTTAAAGGAGAAACAGCTTTGCCCTAGAGGTTAGGGAGTTATTTGTGTTTTACAGTTTTCTTTCCTTTTCTCCAAATTGAACTGATTGTCATTTTTATTAAATTAGTATTTGGAGAACTTTTAAGATAATAGTTCATTTTTTAATGATAGGTTATTTAGAATCTGAAGCACTCTAAGCCACAGCATGTGAAATAATAGGTTAAATTGGTTTTGTTTTGTTTTTTTACTCATTTGTTGCTTATTGCTGTTATATTTTCTCCTCTCACCCACCCCCAACACACACACACGTTTTAAACTTTTATGTGTAGGGCAAAGCAGTTTGTGGGTACAAGGCCTTCTATGTTCCTGTTACGCTTAAAGACTATAGAAAGGTGAGACGGTAACAACAGTATTTAATAAGAAAGTTATTAAGAGATTAATGTCAGCGATATCTGTACATAGTCTTGCATGTGCCTCATGATTATTAGATTTTATTTACATTTAAATATAATGATTTATTATTAAAAACTAGAGAATGACTATATTCTGTGTACTTCCTTCATCTTCCTCTAACCCTCACCATTCCCCTTACATTCTAGTTGTCTGCTACTAGTGTTTCTTGTACACTTAGTATAAGACTAATCATTCCATTTAAAGCACTAATAAACTATGTTTTTACTGTAATAGTTGTATAATATTTAACCAAGATGATAATACAGAAATCAAGATTTCCATGAAATACGATAAAATTCAAAAAACATTTACTAGGTACCTAGTATGTGCTACTTTTACTGTGCTAAGTGATAAGTTACAAAGATGAAGAGGAAATTTGCCTTGGCATTGAGACGATCTGGCATTAGAGAGATCTAAGCTCCAAAGAAACCTTAAAAAGTGTTTTAGGCCAGGTGCAGTGGCTCACGCCTGTAATCCTACTACTTTGGGAGGCCGAGAAGGGTGGAGCACTTGAGGCCAGGAGTTCAAGAGCAGCCTAGGCAAAATGGCTAAACCCTGTTTACTAAAAATAGAAAAATTAGCTGGGCGTGGTGGCGCATGCCTGTAGTCCCAGCTACTTGGGAGGTTGATGCACAAGACTTGCTTAAACCCAGAGGCTGAAGTTGCAGTAAGCTGATATCACGCCACTGCACTCCAACCTGGGTAATAGAGCAAGACTCTGTCTCAAAAAAGAAAAAAGAAAAGTATTTTAAATACCCATCTACACGTTTTATTATTATTAAAACGGGTAAATTTTATTCCGTAGTGGACATGGTTCTATGGGCTTTACTTTGTTAATTCTACTACTATTAAATATTTTACTTTAGGTGTTTGGGACTTTAGTCATAATTCTTCTATTCCAATTTCCTTTTACACAGTCAGGAGTGGTTCCATAAACTGAAGGTATTTAAATCCAGTATGTCATTAGATTGTAGTGGATTAAAGATAATTTCTGATATTGAGATCACAGGACTTTCAGTAAATTCCACTTTATTTGCATGCCTTTGTAATATATTTACATTGTTCAAACTTTTCAGTTTGTATCCCATTCCTAAAACAATTTCGTAAGACTTCTTTTGTATAGTTTCTTTTCCAAGAACTGTATCTCCCTGATCATTTGTCAGGGAGATAAATGATTTAAGCAAATAGAATTGAGTATTTCTTTTTTCTAAATATGTATTTTTTGAAGACTTTTCTGATGATTCTTGGGTTCTAATCAACATATACATAAAATGAGTTTGTGAAAGTATCTGCTCTAGTAGTACCAATTCCATATGAACATAGATTTAACTTTGTAGAATCATCCCTTCCTTGAAGTAGTCAGGCATCTAATTTCATAATATTCATTTTTTAGGAATTTTCTCAAATTGTGTCCACAGATTGACTTGGAATACCTAAATGTCTTGACTGTCTTATGCTCTAATGTTTCTTTTTGTTAAATGAAATTACTAATATTAACACATAAGAGCATTGTGAGGCTCAACTAGACTGATAGTTACATATATGAGTTTTAGAAGTGCCAAATGGACTAACTGTTTTCCTTCCTGCTATCACAGAGTCCTACTCACGATTGCTTTCTGGTTAGACTTTCCTTAAATGATGTCATACCAAATTCACTTATTTTCATTAGCCTCAGGTAGAGGAGAGGATTCCCTTAATCTCTCATTTTCATTAGCTTAGCTAAGCAGATTTAAGTCTGAAAATAAATCCTGCATATACACTATACAATATTTAATGATAGGAAAATAATCAAGTTATTGGAATGATTCCGAAAGGCATAAAGGAGACTAAAGGATAAGGATATCTATCATAGTATCTATAAACTTTAATATAGCTTTAATATAAATTTGATGTTTCCAAGTCTTTGTAGAGGGTAACATTTTCTTTTGTCTAGGCAGTATGCAACAAATTTCAGGAAAAGTCTCTTCCATAATATATCTTCAGTGTTGTTGGCATCACTTTATCTGCGGTAGCTCCCTTGCGGAGCTGCCATATATTTCTCATATATTGTTCTAGTCAGGGCATATGTTCAGCAGAAAGGCCAATTATAGTAGAAATGCCAATATATATTTTTCCCATTTTTTCTCTTAAATATTGTTTAGAAACTGAATCTTCTGGTCTATCTTTGATGGTATTCTATTACAGTAAAAACAGTTCTTTGTGGAGGTTTGTACATTGCTATACTTCTCCCAACAAATCTAGTTTAGTAGACTTTTCTGTTTTGTTTTGAGACGAAGTCTGGTTCTGTCACGCAGGCTGGAGTGCAGTGGCGCAATCTCGGCTCATTGCAAGCTCCGCCTCCCAGTCTCACGCCATTCTCCTGCCTCAGCCTCCTGAGTTAGCTGGGACTACAGGCGCCCGCCAACACGCCCGGCTAATTTTTTTTTTTTTTTTTTTTGTATTTTTAGCAGACAGGGTTTCACCGTGTTAGCCAGGATGGTCTCGATCTCCTGGCCTCGTGATCCACCCGCCTCGGCCTCCCAAAGTGCTGGGATTACAGGCGTGAGCCACCGCGCCTGGCCCTTTGTTTTATTATTTATTTATTTTTTGAGATGGAGTCTCACTCTGTCACCCAAGCTGGAGTGCAGTGGCACCATCTCGGCTCACTGCAACCTCCACCTTCTGGGTTCAAGCAATTCTCCTGCTTCAGCCTTCCAAGTACCTGAGATTACAGATGCCCACCACTGCGCCCGGCTATGTTTAAATTATTATGTGAATTTGACTTTTCTCATCAGTCCTTTTTCATTCCCTTTATAATTTATTTAATTTTTTGTTTGTTTGTTTTGAGACGAGAGTCTCGCTCTGTTGTCAGGCTGGAGTGCAATGTCACAATCTTGGCTCACTGCAACCTCTGCCTCCCGGGTTCAATCAATTCTCCTGCCTCAGCCTCCCAAGTAGCTGGGATTACAGGCACGCACCACCATGCCCAGCTAATTTTTTTGTATTTTTAGTAGAGACTGGGTTTCACCATGTTGGCCAGGCTAGAACCTAACACAGACCACACTCAAACACGCTTATTATTCCTTTTTTAAATTTAGGTGTTAAGCATACACATTTCCTGGAATACATTTATAGTTTTTATTCTTTTAGATATACTATTCATGTTTATATTGTTTTTTATGCATTCTGTTAATTTTTCTTAAGCTTTTATTAAAACTGTCACCCTCTCAGTTTTTCTGTTTTTCAACCTATTTAAATTATTTTTTGTTTCAGAGACGACCACCGGATAATTCTTTTTATGTGCGAACATGTAACAAGAATCCAAAGAAAACAAAATGGTGGTATCATGGTAAGCAGTTTGAATTTGTAATAACTTTTTAGCATTTTGATATGAAGATTATATATATTTGCTATAAGACTTGGGAAAAAGAAGAGAAGCTATAATTGGTGTTATATTTATGTTATATGAAGAAAATTCTTTAAAATATTCTAATATATTTAATGGATGAATTACCCTAGTTTTTTTTGTTTTTTTTTTTTTTTTTGAGATGGAGTTTTGCTCTTGTTGCCCAGGCTGGAGTGCAATGGTGTTATTCTTGGCTCACCACAACCTCTGCCTCTTGGGTTCAAGCGATTGTCCTTCCTCAGCTTCCCAAGTAGCTGAGATTACAGGCATGTGCAACCACACCCAGCTAATTTTGTATTTTTAGTAGAGATGGGGTTTCTGTGTGTTGATGAGTCTGGTCTTGAACTCCTGACCTCAGGTGATCTGCCCACCTGGGCATCCCAAAGTTCTGGGATTACAGGCGTGAGCCACCACGCCCAGCACTACACCAGATTTTTAATGGGGCAAACAAAATCATAGCCATCATAAAAGTAAAATGTAAAATTACTTTGACATTCGGAGACTCTACCATTGTATTACAGAAAAGAAGTTGTTAATAATCTTTAGATCAAATTAGAACTATTTACTGGGAGCCCAGGCATGGTGGCCTACGCCTGTAATCCCAGCACTTTGGGAGGCAGAGGTGGGCAGATCACTTGAGGTCAGGAGTTCAAGACTAGCTTGGTCAACATGGTGAAACTTCGTCTCTACTAAAAGTACAAAAATTAGATGGGCGTGGTGGCTTGCAGCTAATTCCACTGGAGGCTGATGCATGAGAATCACTTGAACCCTGGTGGCGAAGGTTGAAGTGAGCTGAGATCACGCTACTCTACTCCAGCCTGGGTGACAGTGATGGAATGAGACTCTATCTCCAAAGGAAAAAAAAAAAAGAACTAGTTACTGGGAAGTCTGTTGTTTGAAATAGAAGTTTTGATGCCTTGTTTGTTCATTTAGTTCTGGTAGTATTCATGGCCGGGAGGAGGCGGGAGTCACAGTAAGGGGTACCTCATTAAATTAGAAAGCTCTCTATTCTAATCATTATCCCTTAAAAAAAAAAAAGTGAGATTCTGCTGATTGTAGTTGTATTAATAAAGTACTCTCTAATTTTAAATTTCTATTGTATTTGTTGGGATGGTAATGATAATTCAGAGCTGCTAGTATTTCTAAACTAACCTTAATGCTTCCCTGAAGAGTTATTTGAAATTAAAAACAAAAAGTCTGTATTCTTCAATGTAGTTTTTGAAGCAAGTAAACAAAAACCATCCCCTGTGATTTTTGTATACATAAGAGTATTGCCTTTGGGGTTTTTTATGTGTGTGGGTTTTTTTTTTTTTTTAATGTTAACCTGATAATAAATTAGAACTAGCAAAAACTAATTGAACTATGACCTTCTCCCCGTATCTTCTATCCAGTGTGAAGCCTTCTGTATCCTCACCTAAATTGAGTGAATTAAAAACTTAAAAGTTCCCCAGGTGTTGAACGAAAAGATGACCCGAGTCAGTGCAATAGAACTATGCCAGTAGTTAAAAATTAGAAAACACAAAGAAGTGGCCGGGCGTGGTGGCTCATGCCTGTAATCCCAGCACTTTGGGAGGCTGAGGTGGGTGGATCACGAGACCAGGAGATTGAGACCATCCTGGCTAACACGGTGAAACCCTGTCTCTACTAAAAATACAAAAAATTAGCCGGGCGTGGTGGCAGGCGCCTGTAGTCCCAGTTACTCGGGAGGCCGAGTCAGGAGAATGGCATGAACCCAGGAGGCGGAGCTCATAGTGAGCGGAGATCGCGCCACTGCACTCCAGCCTGGGCGACAGAGCAAGCCTCCGTCTCAAAAAAAAAAAAAAAGAAAAGAAAAAAGAAAACAAAGAAATATGCTGTTCCTGAGAGACAGAAATGTGAAAATTTGGGGTAATATCAATAAGAAATACATATGACTTAGAAGAAGAAGAAAATGGCAAAACTTTAAGAGCTGTGAAATAAAAATACGTGTATTTTACAAACTGTAGGTTCGATGGAGTTCATTACAAATCCAGTGAATGATTGTGGGGGTGGGAAGGGAGATAGGTGTTTGAAAAGTTTGGGAAAAAAATAGTAGATGAGAAGAACAAAGTTTGAATTTTGAGCCATAAAGGTAATGGAGAATTAATCTACCAGACAGGACACTAAAAATACTAATAGAAGAACAGATCATTGAAATACAGTTCCTCTTATTTAGGCCCAGTTGAATATAACATTTGAATATATGATAAGGCATTACAAATCAGTGATAAGGGGAAGGATTATTTAGTAAGTAATCATCTTGGAAAATCTGTAATCCTTTGGAGAAGGAATATTTTCACTGCATAAAATATTTCTTGTGGGTTCAGTATTTGTATTTATTTATTTTTTATTTATTTTTTGAGATGAAGTCTCGCTCTGTTGCCCAGGCTGGAGTGCAGTGGCGTGATCTAGGCTCACTGCATCCTCTGCCTCCTGGGTTCAAGCAATTCTCCTGCCCTCAGCCTCCCTAGTAGCTGGGATTACAGGCGCGCCACCATGCCCAGCTGATTTTTGTATTTTTATTTTTATTTTTGTTTATTTATTTATTTATTTTGAGACGGAGTCTTGCTGTCGCCCAGGCTGGAGTGCAGTTTCGCAACTTCGGCTCACTGCAAGCTCCACCTCCCAGGGTTCACACCATTCTCCTGCCTCAGCCTCCCGCGTAGCTGGGACTACAGGCGCCCGCCACCTCGCTCGGCTAATTTTTTGTATTTTTAGTAGAGACGGGGTTTCACTGTGTTAGCCAGGATGGTCTTGATCTCCTGACCTCGTGATCCACCCACCTCGGCCTCCCAAAGTGCTGGGATTACAGGCATGAGCCTCCACACCCGGCCAATTTTTGTATTTTTAGTAGAGACGGGTTTTGCCATGTTGGCCAGGCTGGTCTCGAACTCCTGACCTCAGGGTGATCGCCTGCCTCAGCCTCCCAAAGTGCTGGGATTACAGGCGTGAGCCACTGCGCCTGGCCTATTTTTAAAATATAACCAAAAAAATGTTTTTTTTCAATGTTGGGTATCAGCTCTCTGGAGAAAGGAAGAATTTCTGAATTTAAAAGGAATCACAAAGAAATTAAACATTCAATTATATGAAAATGTACAGCTTCTTTAACTTTAAAGCACTATCGTTATAAAGTTTGAAAAAATTTTGAAATGTTTATAGCTTATTAAAAATAAACCGTTTATGAAAGTTACTTAAGGATAAAAAACAAAATAGGCAAAAAAGTGCAGCTCAGTAAAATAATTACCAGTTTAAGATTTTGAAACAGTTTCTGAATCTGCAGAGTTTTATAAAACAAATGCAATACTGAAGGGGAGAGTAAAGGGTAGAATAAAATTGTTTTCATACTTGCTGGCGGTATGTAGCAAGTTAGTGTAATCCTTTAAGGAAGCAGTTTAGCAGTATTTAGCAAGCTTAAAATTCAAGAGCAAACATTTGTCTTAGTTATTAAACTTCAGAGAATCTGTCCTAAAAAACATCCTTAACACAAGAAAAGTTTTATTTATGAAATATTCAGTGTAGTACTTTATTATTATATACTCAGTTTCTTAGTCTGCCATCTGTTACCTCTACATGTGCTATTTGCCTCAAATTAATTCTACTACACACACAACTCCTCTCTTCTTAGGAGCTCTTTCACCAAAGCCTTGTTAAGTACTCCCTCCTTTGAGGAACCTAATAAACTTGAATGCTGGTTTTGTTTACATTAAGATACCCTCAGATAATTCTGATGTAGCTAGTCTTCTGAGAACTATTGTTTCTGAGATTATTTGACAAGGTTTCCAAATAGACTCATTAATTAACAGGCCTAATTCTTTCTTACATTCTTTTGCCTTTTAGGACCAAACACTAAGCCGCTTCTTCATGCCTTTACAAAAAAGCCTTAAAAAACAAACAAAAAAAATCCTTGAGTGTCAGAAACTCCTTTATCTTACTATAGTGAGTTCCCACATGCATCAAAAATTAAGATTAGCCAATTAGGAATATTGACAAACATAGTTATTTTTAAGTGTCAGTGTTTT
This sequence comes from Homo sapiens, assembly GCF_000001405.40. NCBI lineage: Eukaryota > Metazoa > Chordata > Mammalia > Primates > Hominidae > Homo > Homo sapiens. The sequence continues at coordinate 73,801,556 of NC_000008.11, read as the reverse complement.
TAAGACTCTAGTAATTCTGGTTCAGATAGATTCAATCTCACTAGTAATTGAAAGATTCTTCTTTTTTACAAGTGTTTTTAAACCACCTTGAGGTTTTTCATGCAACTTCAGGGGACATTGTGTTTTAGAAGATGAGTTTTTTTAAAAGTACACATTTTTTAAAGTACAACCCTCTCTCCTACTTTCTCATGCCATTATTAGAGGGTATTCCTATTTTTTCCTTATTTACTACTCCCTAGTGGAGAAAGTTCAAAAAGATAATCGGTTTTCTAGCCCCTCTAATGCTGGGTTATATGGTTGAAAGGATTTATGAGAAGTCTTTCATCTAAGAATACTTCAGAGTTTCTTCTTACCTGCTTTTGAATAAGAAATGGGGAAAGATAAAACCAGAAATATAAGGATTAATTCTTTAAATTAGAATTTATAATAGAAATATAAGTTCTTATTCTTTTTCTTTTTCTTTTTTTTGACGGAGTTTTGTTCTTGTTGCCCAGGCTGGAGTGCAGTGGCGCCATCTTGGCTCACCGCACCTCTGCCTTCTGGGTTCAAGAGATTCTCCTGCCTCAGCTCCCGAGTAGCTGGGGTTACAGGCATGTGCCACCACGCCCGGCTAATTTTGTATTTTTAATAGAGATGAGGTTTCTCCATGTTGGTCAGGCTGGTCTTGAACTCCCAACCTCAGGTGATCTGCCCCCTCGGCCTCCCAAAGTGCTGGGATTACAGGTGTGAGCCACTGCGCCCAGCCAATAGAAGTTATTTTTCTTAGAGTTAACAGTTTTTATGTTACTGAGAAATCCATACTTTGCTGACTGAAGTAGAAAGTTCTTTTTAGTAGTTTGGAGACACGTAATCTCCAAGTAAGCCGAGAAGTACCAAAAAAATAGGCTTTCAAACCAAATTAACCTTTCACATAATATAAAATAGTCTGAAGTTCATACAGTAATTAGTTTTTCCAATAAACAGATTAAAGTTATCCTTTCCTCTTTCACCTCTCCCCGCTCCCCCAATGCAAATGAGCTATTTTTAAAAGGCACTGGATTCTTACTCACCTGAATTATGACTGTTCTACTCCAGTCCCCAGTCCTGGGTACATAAATTTTTTTTTTTCATTTACAGATAATTTTGTTTAAAATATCCTTGGTTCATTGACTTGCGATGACCATTCTTATCTCTTAATATATTTTCTCCTCTTGCTTGAATGCTGAATGTTTGAATCATTCCCCTCCACCATTCTCCTTTTAAGGGACAACTTTGTTTTGAAAGTGAGTTTCATAGCAATCAAGGAATGGAAATATTTGTTACACATTGAGATGGTAAAGCAGCTGTTCTGTCATCCAACTAGGATGGCTGCAGAGAATCTTCTTTGAACTTTTTCTTCACTTTTTTTTCCTTCACTTTTAAAAAGCTAATGCATTTCAGCTGTGTAGCACATACTGTCTTCTCCTTTATATATATCAGAATAGCAGTCACAGGCAATGTGAATAATAGCTTGTCCTGGCATTATAGGTAAATTTGGGTAATCTTACAAAGATAATCATACGCTTGTAAAAAGTATAACACATTAATTTTCTTATTAGAACTTTCCACAAGTCAGTATCTTTTCCTGCTTAGCTCTAGGTGTTATACTGCTTTGTTCCAGTATAACACCTAGTTACCAAGACATATGGACTCTTGATGTTTCTTAGCATCATCTAATTTTCAAAGGCTTACAGAACAGGCCAGTTTCCTTATGTGACTTTCAAGGCTAGGCAGAAAGATCAGAAACTGAACAAAAGCTTACTAAGAATTGGATAAACTCACTGAAACACTTAGCATTTCAGTTTCTAGAAACTAAGTGGAATTGTGTGCCTCAGGTCTCAAGCTCCACAGTCCTCCTGTGTGGTGCTTCCTGACATACTTGGGTCAAGGTGAGTCAGTGTTTGTCAGATCTAAGCAAAGAGGCAAGAGAGGTTTGGTTTAGATTAGTGATTGTATATATACTTCCTGGATGCTGGATGCAGGATGGAGGCACAGTTAATGAAAAACAACAAATCTGAAATTTGCTTCATTTCCTGGTTTTATAAGAGGAGGACTCTGCTGACATGCTAAAGCTGAGCTGCCAAATACCAGTGTTAAAGTTCTTGGAAGAAGACACAAGGGCTCCATAGCTCAGGGGTTAGAGCACTGGTCTTGTAAAGTTCTTGGAAGAGACCTCTCTCAGCTTAAATTTGTGGTTTTCTACATTATTAGTTAGAATCCCTTAAGAATTAGGCCAGTCACTGTTTACCCCACTGTTATTGTCTTTGCTTGCATCATAGCTTGTATTTATTTCTTTTGAGGTTCTTATTTACCACACAGTGATTTATTACCATGTAAAAAGTCACCTCATTAGTGTTTAGAGGTCTTTGGATATATTAAATAAAAAGTTGTATTGATAGTGACTGCACATTTCTTTATTACTTACTTGTAGTTGACTATCAATGTGTTTTCCAGAATTCCTTTATAGTTTCTATTCACTAAGAAATTGAAGTCATACCTGCTTTGAAATGCAAATTTATTCATTGCCAGTTAAGGCAGTGCGGGAGTGGGAGGGGATTCTTATGCTTTGAATAATCCATTGAGCAGGGAGAATAGGGTTAAAAAAAAAACAAGCCTAACCAAAATAGGTATGCAAAATAGACAACTCACCTCAGCATATAGATGGGCTAAGGAATTTTCTTATGATTCAGTGCTAGAATCTTCCTTAGAAAACAGATCTGCATACAGTTCTATGCACCAATAAATGAATGATTGAGGCCTCAGAGTTCTATATCATAAAACAGACATGATAATTGTTCTTGGGAAAGATAGAAAGTATCTTTTGAATGTGTCTCTTTGTGAGACCATAAAAATAATTTCAGTGAAGTAGCCAACTAAAGTCCATTAGTTGTATGGTCCATTTGTTTTCTGAGGTCAGTATCAGGCATATACAACTTAGTTTCATAAATGATTTGCTTTCCACAGCGGGGAGGACAGATCTGTGGCTGGCTGGAACCATTCTCCTTAAAGTGTTAGAAAATTGAATGGTTGGTTATAAACTGTAGGTTGAATATCCCTTATTCGAAATGGTTGGGACCAGAAGTGTTTTGGGTTTCAATTTGTTTTTCTCGAATATTTGCATATACATAATGAGCTATCTTGGGGATGGGAGCCAAGTCTAAACATGAAATTTATGTATGTTTCACATATACCTTAAACACATATTCTGAGGGTAATTTTATACAAAACTTCATTTATTTTTTGAGACAGAATCTCACTCTGTCACTTAGGCTGGAGTGCAGTGGTATGATCATGGCTCATTGCAGCCTCAACTTCCCGGGCTCAGGTGATCCTCCCACCTCAGTGTCCCGAGTAACTGGGACTACAGACAACGTACCACCATGCCTAGCTAATTTTTGTATATTTTGTTGGGGGGTATAGATGGGATTTCACTATGTTGCCCAGATTGGTCTCAAATTCCTGGACTCAAGCAATCTGCCCGCCTCAGCCTCCCAAAGTGCTGGGATTGCAGGCATGAGCCACCACACTGGACCTATACAGCATTTTAAATAATTTTTTGCATGAAACAGAGTTTTAACTGTTTAACATCATGAGGTCAAGTCTGGAATTTTCCACTTGTGGTGTCATGTTGATACTTAAAAAGTTTCAGATTTTGGATTTAGGGATGCTCACCCCGTGTAACTTAAGGCTCCTGTTTGTTGAAGATTGGTTTCAGAGACCTAAGCTCATAGGAAATGAATTGGCACAATGTTTAGATGGCATATCCAACAAAATGAGTCTGTAATTTGGGGAAGGTGTAGAGGAATATCGGTTTTTAAAAACCATGGACTGCATTCTGATTCTGTTCAGCTGGAACATTTCTATAGAAGTATAAAGACTACAAGAGGGCAGAAGCATAAAATTGTCTCAGACTAGTAGTATCAAACTCCTTTTCTTCCTGCTGTATAGTTGCTGTCCATAGATTTACCTGTGTTGTGAACTTTTTTATTTGTACCAGCTTTTGGAGTTATAAAACCATTTACTAAATTCCTGAGTCCAAACTTTTACTCAGTTTGTTTGTGCCTTCTGTTTCCTGCTGATTAACAAGTCTTTGTCTGCCTACTTTGAAATATCTCTTGAATTGGTTCGTTAAAGGAAAATTTTAATTCCCTAAATTGTTGAGAGACAAAACTAAATATTTTCTCTTTCTTGGAGGTAGCATCCACTTCATATCCACTGACCTGTATTACTGTGTTCCTTTTTTTTCTAGTCTTCTGTCCCTGGGGATATCCAAGGAGATGGGTTTCCATGATAGTTGGAAAACTATATGATAGTTTTTATTCTCAGGAGAAAACTAAATGACCTTCTTCTAATATAGTTCTTTCTCATTTACATTTCTCAGAAGCCCAGTGAAGTTAGCCATGGTAGGTGTCACCTCTTTGAAACTGGCAGCTTGTATGTTATATTTGAAAGTGTAATTTTAGTAGAGGCTTCTGAATTTCCAGGAAAAATATAAATGGTTAATAATTAGATTTTTCTTCAGGCCATTATCTTGTTACAAATGCTTTAACCAAGAGATTAAATATACCATTCTTTTACCACCTTTTGTCAGCCTGTATTTGTCTTGACCCAAAATGGGTTACTCTGATTTTTTTTATTTTTTATTTATTTATTTTTGGTTGGGGGGTGAGTTTGTCCTGGTATCCAATAATACTTTCATCTGGCTAGCAAACTATGTTCTTTCTAGTAACGGATAAGTTTTTTGCTTCTTAGTTATGGCCATCCTATTTAGAAAAAGGATGGCGATGGCTTTGGCTCATAGTTGTATCTATACTTAAAGTTTGCTTATAAACTCTTGATTACATATAGCCATCATGGATTCGTAGTCCCGCAAGTCCCTGTTGATCTAGCTGTTACAGATCATTTGTTTCTTCAAAACGAGGGTATTCAAAGGTGGGTAGTATCATATCAGTCAGAAACAGGGATTGGGATCTGGAAAGTAGCTTCACAAAGATTTCCTAATCATTTTGGTAGCACGTTCTACAGAAAACCTACTATACTAAAAACCTTCTGCAATGAACAAGTTAGTAAATAAAGATGCATTTGTGCTACCACCTGTCAAAGATGGTATGTCTTTGGAGATACAAGTTTATTGGTAGTTAACTGGATAACATTATGTTCAAATTGAATTTTATCTGTCACTTTTCTTATTGTATATATTGTTATCTTGTATCACCTTAAAATTTATCCCCAGTAGTTTGACATATTAGGTAGAATTTTAGTGCCATCTTTTAGCTTAGAGATTTGAGTATGATTAGTTTTAGTGTTAGTTTCAGCGACCAACCCTATTGTTACTCTATTGCAGAAGCGATGTTTTAAGGAACTTATTAATATTCCTAAGTTTGTTTTATATCCATAACAAGTATATCTTCTCTGTCTGTTTCAAGTACCACAATAATTTAAAGAACATCCCCCTTTTTTTTTTTTTTTTTTTTTTTGGAGATGGTGTTGGCTAGGGATCACGGCTCACTGCAGCCTCAACCTCTGAGACTCAAGCGATCCTCCCACCTCAGCCTCAGCCTCCCAAGTAGCTGGGACTACAGGCATGCACTACCATGCCAGGCTAATTTTTGTATTTTTTGTAGAGGCAACATTTTGCCGTATTGCCTAGGCTGGTCTTGAACTCCTGGGCCCAAGCAGTCCATCCACCTCAGCCTCCCCAAATGCTGGAATTACAGGCGTGAGCCACTTTGCATTGCCAAGAAAATTGTGAGTGAACTTTAGAGGATATAAACTACTTGTTTTCTTAAAGATACTATTCTTATTTATTTTAAGGCGTCTAATGAATTAGGGATGATTTATTTTTAAACTCCAGTCTGTTTCCCCCTTGAAATTACTGGATCATGGAATACTCTATGAGTTTGCCCAGCTTAGAAGTCAGATTTTACTGGTTTTTAATTAGCAGTATATCAATTCTAACATGAGATAGTGTATTAATCTGTTTTGTGTTGCTCTGAAGAAGTACCTGAGACTAATTTATGAGAAGAGAAGTTTATTTGGCTCACAGTTTGGAAGACTGTAGAGAAGCATAGTGCTGGCATTTGCTTCTGGTGAGGCCTCAGGAAGCTTTTACTCATGGTGGAAGGGTGAAGGGAGAGCAGGCAAGTCACATGGCAATAGAAGGGAGCAAGAGACAGGAAGGAGGTCCCAGCCCCTTTAACAGCCAGATCTCATGTGAACTAATGACTGCAAGGAGGGCACCAAACCATTCCTGAGGGATCTGCCCCCATGACCCGAACACCTCCCCATTAGGCCCCTCTCCAACATGGGGGATCACTCATTTCAACATGAGATTTGAAGGGGCAGATATCCAAACCATATCAGTCTGTAAAATATTTTGACTAGGATTTCAGAATTTTTTCCTTGAGTGCTTTCACAACTCTTGGCCACCAGTCTTAGTTTCTTTATGTAGCTTCCTTCTGAAGAATAACTCATCCTCAGAATAAATCTTTCAGATATGTTTTGTGAAATAAATTTTGTAAAATAAATAATCCTAAAGTTGTCTGTGTTACATATATATGTGTTGAGGCTACCAGAAGTTATTATTAAATAATTTCATGAGTTTTTTAATGACCCCATTTGCATATGTATCTATACTTGCTGAAAGCTTATTTTCTTTTTTTTTTTTTCTTTTTTTTTTTTTTTATGAGACAGAGCCTCCCTCTGCCTCTCAGGTTGAAGCGATTCCCTTGCCTCAGCCTCCTGAGTAGCTGAGACTACCGATGTGTGCCACGACGCCCAGCTAATTTTTGTATTTTTAGTAGAGGGAGGGTTTCACCATGTTGGCCAGGCTGGTCTCAAAACACCTGACCTCAAGTGATCCGCCCGCCTCGGCCTCCCAAAGTGCTGGGATTACAGGTGTGAGCCACCGTGTCCGGCCTGAAAACTTATTTTCTAAAGGGAAATTAATCTTAACTGTTTATTGATTTGGAGATTGTATCTCATTGGTAAAGAACAGTTACTTCCTTCACAGTCTAAAGACAAATTGTGTATTATTCTGTGTTAAATAGCATGGCACTGTTGATCAGGAGTTTACTTCTGTCTCATTACAATGTGAACTTGTTGCCCATAAAATAATTCTCTTAAGATTGATACATCCTGACTATGTACTAACATGTCATGTCAGTTTATTATTTTAAATAGAATGTGCTAATAACATATCATTTTAAGGTTTATGTGAACTATTTCTCTGAAAGAATAAAAATTTGTCACTGTATAATTGAACATATATTGCACTTTGTATTCACAGGTTTGGGGGAGGCAGATCAGACATGTAAACTATGTACTTCTTGCTAATTGAAATTATTTCTACATTAAACAGACTTGTAGAATTTACTTATACATGCTTGACTTTTTAATTATCTTTTTTCTCCTTTTCTTAAAGATGATACTTGTTGATGCCACTGTTATCATCCTCCTAGCAGAAGATAGTCCTACTGAGAAAATGAGCACTTTGATCATTCAGTCTTTGAACTTTAACCTTTGACTGGAAGTGACCTATAGGCAATGAAGACTACTTCCTTTTACTGCATTTTTACTCGTGTGCATTCTGGGCGCATGTTGATCGCTGGTTCAGTCCAGGCAACTGACATGCTTTTATTAGTCATACAGTATTAATGCAGGTGTCAGGAAATGTCAAATATAATTCCATTTTTTATTTTTATTTTTTTAAGCTTTTGGAAAAGCTCCAGGTCCTCATGTATTGTGCAATAACAATGACTTCCTTGGCGGTTTTGGTACGTTCATTGCCGGCAATGGGCGTTGTAACAGGAAAAGTTTTCATTAACTCCTGCCATTCAATGATTAATGCATGATAGGGCCTATGAAATGAACTTACTGGTTATAGTGGGAATATAAATAAAGTGAGGGATCCAACATTACTTTAAAAGTCACCCCAACTGTTTATATTTGGATTCTATGCACTGTGATCCTAAGGTTAACAGCATGAATTAACATGCGTCTTTAAAGGACTGTAATGAAAGATCATTGCATATTTATTGAATTGTTTATATCTACTGTCAAGTTGTTTTGACATGGAAGATTTTCAAGTAACATTGGCAGAGAGGTACAGTATGTTATCCCTATGGTGAAAATAAATTAATTTGTTGTATATAGTTCCTCAATCTCTGAAGTAAAGGTATGAGTAATATAGGGTATGAATGGTTTAATCAAGGCTTTATTTTGGAAGTAAGAAAAATGGCAGTGATGATTAAATTGCTGCAGTCCATAATTTGGGCTTGTTATTTGTACATTAAAGATTTTTTCCAAGTAAGTTACACTCTGTTAACTTCCTGCTAGCCATCAGCATGAGCCCTACTGCCTAAACACTATTTCATTTATTTATGTTTGGAAACCCCGTAAACATTTTTGTTTGCAATCTTGTTTCTTTTGTTATAAGTCAAGTTTGAATGTTACAATACTTTTATTGAAACTTTTGTTAAGTTTTTTCTTGTAAATTTTCTTTACTTGTGAGTATCATCTTGTCCTTTAATCCTGTACCCTAAAATAAGAAATACATTTTTGACAGAGGCTTAATGTTTTAACAAAAGAGTGTGGACATTTTTATTTTAAAATTTAGGCAAAAGTCACTATCAAATGGTTGCTTATTTGTCTCACACAGCCATATAGTTTTTCCTGGAGGGTTTTGTTTTGTTGTTGTTGAAAAGACTTTGCTTACAGCTAGATGAAACTTTCTATAGAAAAAAAAAATTGTTGAAAGGTCCAGTTCTCAGTACCATGTGAGTTAATGATACTACAACTAAGTTCTTTTTAAAAAGTGATTAATGTATTTTATAAATTACCTTTTCACATATGCAAAATCTGTTTCTACTACAATGTTATTTTTACTAATGCCTTATTGTTGCACTCTTTTTGAAATATCCTGCAGTGAATATATGAATCAATTTGGGCTTAAAACTGAAAGCCAGTTGGCTGAAAGGTTTGAAATACGTACCCCAGTAAAACCATTCAATCAATAATTGGTAAATAATATTTTAAAATTGTTTTTAATCTGTATAGATGACATTTTGTAGCTTTGTACATGTTGTTAATTAAGGGCATATAATTTTACACTCAAAGTATAATTGCTGAACTCAGGGGTGGGTAGACTTCAAAAATATGTCTGCTATAGAAATAACTTGAAAAAAAAAATTAAAACCGTGGCCAGCCACCAAATTGTGGACACTGTTTATATACTGCTAGTTAACAATTACCACTTTTAAAAAATTATAACCGTTTTTGTTCTATCTTGACTAGATAAATTCTCACAATGATCTCTGTCAGTTTTATTAGTTGGCCTGTTTAACCAAGACAGAAAGTCTTTGAATTACTCATAGTTTTAAACTGCTTTTAATATGAAAATTGCAGCTGTAAATTATGTATTTTCATATTTTGCGTAACTGCTCTACACTACTGTTTGACTTGATCTTCTTCTGGGGGTTAGGGAGAAATCTGTCTCCATATTGCTGGTTCTCTTACCAAAATGCTTTTATAAAGAAATGACCGGTGACATTTATTCACCAAAGGAATTAATATACTGAGTCAAAGATTAACAATGCTATACTATAGAGTAATAGGTCATATATAGCCTCAATTGAGTTTTTTATGACAATATTTTAACATACCTCTCTCTCTACATATAAATACCATAAAGTAAACTAAAATGACACAGAGGAAAGTAGAGGAAAATGAAATAATTTCGGTACATCTTATGGTTTAAAGAGTAGAAAATAAGATGAAATATCCTAAAATATAGGAGCACAGACATTTAAAATTCATAATCAGGCTAACAACACTCTCTTGAATTTAGGAATCATTGAAAACTCCTTGCACTTAGATTTAATTTATATGTTAGTTACATTATTAAAAGTCATAAGGCATTTATCTGAGTCATTGCTCTACAGAGAGCAATTAATGGCTTGTAATAATAAAAAGAATATTTCTCTGTAATGCATTGTTGAAAGACAACCAGAATATCAAGAAAATGTATATAGGAATATGCTACTTGCCTCCTCCCTGCATTTCCTCGTGGGGCACTATTTGCGACATAGGCCTACAGAATTAGACTTTCATACTTAGAAGATAAGGTACACTCTTCTTCTTTTATTTATTTATTTATTTATTTTTAGGCCATTCTTCTGGTTTGCCAAATTCTATTAAGACAGTGATACATTTGCTTCCTTATTTATGCATGCTTAGATCATGAACATGATGCCCTTCTTTTTTTTTTTTTTCTTTGGTCAAGTAGGGATTAATGCCATAGGTTTAGAGAGAAGGATTGTTTTCAGTTTTTAAGAGAATTTTTTAAAAATACATTTTATGGTTCTCTTAAGGAATTAATATTCACTTCTGAAGGACTTACTTGTAATATATAATTTATCATTTTAGCCAGCAGGGAAATAAATCATTTTTAATCCCCAGAAGAAAGTGCTGGAAATAGCTTCTATATAGTCAGCAGTTCACCTGGAGAAAGATCTTAATTCCTTGTTGTTTTGACTAGGAATATCAATATTTGGTATAAAATAACTAGAATAGTTTATTACCTTTTCCCTCATGAAATTTTAAATATATGCAAATATATATATCATTAGATTCCTGTGGTGGATAATAATTTCTTCAGATTCTAAAACAGGTGTCTAGTGACTGCTTAATTGTTTCCAAGTTGCATCAAAGATGAATTGGTAAATAATGGAAATGAGTAGTGATATGAAAATGGTTATGTAACTACATATTACTTGTTTCTGGTAATCAAGTCTTATTTTTTAAAAGCCTATTGTTTTTCAGAATTGAGATATTTAAAACTTGTTATAACTTCTTCCTAAAAATAGAAGAGAAGAGGAGGTACTGTGTGTTACAAAAATTTTTTTAAATAAAGAATTCAGTGTCACTAGTTCTAAGCCTTTATGGTTACTGCTGCTTATATTTCTTGATCTCACTTTCATTAATTTTTTTGTACATATCTTAGCTGAATGCTTAAAATTTACAATTATTTGTAATTGTGTATGTAAATTGCTTTTCAAAAAGAACTGAAGCTTAACCATATTCTTCTTTTCTGAGGATTCATTATCAGAATCAGCTACTATACTGTTCTGTGTTATAGTAATGCCGTTACTGCCTGTGCATGATTGAGGTCTGTGAAGAAGGTGTCTTTTAATCTGCACCAACTGGCCCCAATCCTCTTTGTAGTCCTTTTTAAATTGTTTTAAATCTGTCCTTTATTTTTCTTCCTATTTTTCTGCCTCTTCCCACTGATGTCCAATGTGTCAGTCTTCCGCAGTTTCCTTTTCTCACTTCTAATTTATTCTCTCTTTTTTTTTTCTGAGGTTAGGGATTCTACAGAAGGACGATTATTAAAATTATGCCATGAATTTTTGAAAAATTTAAAATGCTCTCCTACAAATAAAATACATGGAGTTTCTGATACTAATTTCAGTTTGTCAGTAGATGGCTAAATTTGTTGAATAATTGACTACTTGGTAAATGAGCTGTTAGCTGTAATTAGTTCTTTAGTACTAATATTAAGGAAATTTTGTTATTTTCGGATGAGGACTCTCCCAAAGCCAAATTATTGTCCAAGCAAATTATTTATTTTTTCCATTTAAATTTCTAAGTCATTTTGAGATGTGGAATGATTATTTTTATTATTTATTTATTTATTTATTTTTGAGACGGAGTCTTGCTCTGTCACCCGGGCTTTAGTGCAGTGCACGATCTTGGCTCATTTCAATCTCCACCTCCTGGGTCTAAGCGATTCTCCTGCCTCAGCCTCTTGAGTAGCTGGGATTACAGGCATGTGCTGCCACACCTGACTAATTTTTAGTAGAGACAAGGTTTCACCGTGTTGGCCAGGCTGGTGTTGAACTCCTGACTTCAAGTGATCTGCCCACCTCAGCCTCCCAAAGTGCTGCGATTACAGGCATGACCCACCACACCCAGCCTGGAATCATTTTTTAAAAATAATTTGTGGGAGACTTGCTTTCTCAACATAAATTGTGTGTGGGTTGTTTTTTGTTTTTTGAGACGGTCTTCCTCTGTTGCCCAGGCTGGAGTGTGCAGTGGAACAGTCATTGCAGCCTTGACCACCTTGGCTCAAGCAATCCTCCTGCCTCCCGGGTAGCTGAGTCTACAGGTGTGTGCCACCATGCCTGGATGGATAGAATTTTTTTTTTTTTTTTTTTTTTTTTTTTTTTTTTTAAAGACACGAGGTCTCACCATGTTGCCCAGGCTGATCTTGAATTCCTGGGCTCAAGCATTCCTCCTGCCTCAGCCTCCCAAAATGCTGGGATTACAGGTGCAAGCCACCATGCCTCGTCTGTTTGCCGATTTAAGACAGGTTTATGTACATCATTATCATTAGAGGCACATAGAATCTAGACATGTACTTGAAACTTAGCTCTCTATCCTGAAAGTTGAAGTTAGGGTTCTTTGATCCTGGTGAGATGTTAATTGTAATTTTAATTTTCATATGTTAATATTGTGACTTGTATTTTGTGATGAGTCTCTAGAATGATTAAATGACTATTTTTTTATGAAAAATTTTTTGTTAATAAAATATCTGAGGGTATTTTGAGTATGTGGAAGGAATGCCTGAATAGAAGCTGATCTATCTTAACATACCTCAAGAACTCCAGTTTTAATATGGTGAGTGAGGAGTTGACTGGGAAAAGGAGAGATCCAATTCTTGTTCTAGTCCTTGGCACATACACTCTCTGGGTTTTGAGAAAAGGATGGTCCTACAACGATTCTAAGTTGTTTTCTCATTGGTCCTACAACAATTCTAAGTTGTTTTCTCAAAGGCAAAAGCATGATTTCAAAATGACATCACTTGTCAGATTTTCTGGTGTATGGAAAGATTTAATAATCCTGCCTCTTTTGAAGCCTGAAACTTACAATTTAAAGCCTGAAATCTACCATAAGGAACTTGGTAAATTGTGTCAGATACCATGAAAATGCATCTTTTCATAGTTAACCACAGATTGTTTATGTAAAGGCAAATTGGTGGTCAGGTTCAAGGTAAAATGGATTATTGGGTTGATTAGTAGCCAAAAACTAAATGCATGTTCAGGTCAAAATGAATTTGTTTGTTTTAGTTGGTGCCATTTTCCTTTTATTATTCAGAACTACAGAGTGTGCATTTTATTAATAGGAATGAAAGCTCATGCTTGAGGATTTGAATAGGGTGGATGTATATATTTTATAAACTCAAGTTGCAAAATATGTAAAGTCACTACTTTTTAAATAGAATATAAATGTTAAAACAGACAAATCTATGTTATATATTTTTTAATACATGTATCAGACTTGTTAGTTGAATGCAGATTACTTTGCTTTATGGAATTTCATAACTTTTAATAATAAAGCAGTTGTTATTGGATTTTTTCTGTAGACTTGAATACTAAATGGGATAGATACCAGACCTCTTTTTGGTTTATGACGTAAAAGTATTTGTACAGTAGTTTCTCTTCACAAAAGACTGAATTTTAAAGGATTATAGAAACAGGAACATGTCCATTTCCAAAATGAGTGCAACAGAATGAAGATAGTCACTTAAACCATCTATTTAACACATCACCTTTATGTAATATGTAGCTAGTTTTAGTGTTTTAATAAGTCCCAACTAAAGACTGAGTGTTTTCAGTGAAGATGGAAATGGAGACCCAGGCACTTGCTTAGAGTTATCGTGAGTCCGATGTTCCTGAACTTCAAGTTGTACAATTAAGGGCATACTCTAAGAACTTCTGGATGCTTTCTGGAGTATACAAACAGATCAACTAATGACTTAAATGAGTGACTCTTGAAGCTGCAAGAAGAGGAAAGAAATAACCACAAGAAGGGGCTATCTCAGCATCTGTTATTCCTGACAGGAGGAATTAAATATGCTCTGCTGGTAATTCTAAGCTTTTCTGCAGGGGATCTGCTTGCCCCAGGAGCACCTTAGTCCTCATTGAGGCAGCCATTCTGCCATAAAAACGATCATGTCTCAAGCTGTTCCTGCCGTCCTACACAACTATGTTAGTAGATGGTTAGATAAATATATGAACCATCTTTTGTACTTTGATGATGCCCTTTTCCTTTATTATAATCCTTAATTTCTACTTTCCATAGTAGGATTTGACTTTTCTCCATTAGTTTAAGCTACCCTGGATAAGTGACTCTGTTTATGTCCTCCCTATATTTCTTACTCATTTTCACACTAACATAACACGTAACAAAATTAAACATAAGCTAAATTGAAGAAGCAAGTGAGACAGCTAAGAGTTTTGTGTACTTGGACAACAAAGCTCAAAGCCACTGTGGTTATCTGTCCTGTTGGGAGCCCCTTTCAACCATTTTTTTAGTTGCCTGTAAGATTTATTTTTAATGTTTGCCTGCATAATGCAAAATACATAAGTGGGAATCCCTACGCCCTTTACAGTTAAGTGGATTATGGAAATAATAAGGAAAGTTTATCAACTAAGGTAGGAAATATCTTCTCATGTCTGTATCTGGCCTTCAGGGACTTAATGTGGGTGAATATATGTCATTAGACAAGATCCTAATATAGATGGCTGTATCCTGCAGATAGCCAATTCAACATTAAAATTTTATGTTTCCATACCTCAATGAAAACATATTTCTTTTATCCTGTTATAATTTAATGACATTCCCATCCAACTTAATCAAGCAATGATACTCAGTAGTCCTCTCCTTGCATTTTTCAAGTCCTGTTGAGTGTAACTTTAAAATGTCTCTGAGATTTCTACCTTCTCTCCAGTCTCCTTACCATTAGGGCCTTTCACTACCTGGCCTTGGTGTCCCTAGGCTGCTCTTCAGCTGTCCACAAACCTTGTTTCATAAGCAGTAGCAATGCAAGCTTCCACTGCCGTCTGCTAATGTTCTTCCCTCCTAGAATGTTCATGATCTGCGTTTCTACCTGAAAGGTCTAGTTCAAAGGTAGCTGAAAGGTTATCATCCTTGTCCTTTCTTCTCTCCCTACCAGTCATCTATCCTGAACTTTTTAACAGTAGGGACAGTGTTGCAATTGTGTTTGTGTCCCCAGCACGTAGCACACAGTACCTAGTATACAGTACCTGTAGCACATAGGCATTTAATAAGTGTGTATTGAATTAACTTGGTTATGCTTGTATTTTTATCCTAGCTTTCTCAAAGAAACTTAGGTGCTAGCTATTTTGAAACATATATCCAGAACCACCACCTGAGTAAAATGTATAACAGGACCCTGCTCTTTCTATCCCAGAGAGTTTGAGAAAACTACTTTTAAATAAATCATTAATCATTCTTCATTGGTTTTGGCTTTTTTTATAGGTGTTTCTCATATCTTTATCTCTGAGGCAAATTGCTTGTCACAAATTAATTGTTTTAAACTAAATACATCTCAGGAACCATAAAATCATAAAGGTAAACCTGACATAGAGTTTAAAAACCAGCATTAAGCAGATAATTATTGTGTGCCTTTCATATGCCAAGAAGGATGGCAGATGAGGTATATATCTTCAAAGGGCATATGTAATAAGGGAGATAATAAATAGAAAAGCATATCATATAAAATGTGACAAGCCTTAAGAGGTGCAGATAGTTTCTGATTATCAAAGAAACATGTCTGTGAAAAGTACTGTCATGCATAAAGATGGGCCAGGCACAGTGGCTTACGCCTGTAATCCCAGTACTTTGGGCAGGTGGATCACGTCAGGAGCTTGAGACCAGCCTGGCCAACATGGTGAAACCCCGTATCTACTAAAAATAAAATAACGGCGTGGTGGTGGGCGCCTGTAATCCCGGCTACTTGGGAGGCTGAGGCAGGAGAATAGCTTGAATCCGGGAGGCAGAGGTTGCAGTGAACTAAGATCATGCCATTGCACTCCAGCCTGGGACAGAGCGAGATTCCGTCTCTAAAAGAGAGTGGATGGGTGCCAGGGTTGGAAAAACTACATATTAGGTACTGTGTTCGCTATCTGGGCGATGGGTTCAATAGAGCCCAAACCCCCAGCATTAGGCAATGGATCTGTGTAACCAACCTGCACGTGTACCCCCTGAATTTATTTTCTTTAATACTGTCATGGGCTAGGCATGATGGCTTATACCTGTAATCCCAGCACTTTGGGAGGCCAAGGCAGGCGGATCAGTGAGGCCAGGAGGTCGATACAAGCCTGGCCAACATGGAGAAACCCCATCTTTACTAAAAATACAAAAAAGCTGGGCATGGTGGCACATGCCTGTAATCCCAACTGTTTGGGAGGCTGAGGCACAAGAATTGCTTGAACCCGGGAGGCAGAGGTTGCAGTGAGCTGAGACCACACACTGCACTCCAGCCTGGGTGACAGAGCAAGACTCCATCTAAAAAAAATAAAAATATTGTCATGACCTGAAAAATGTAAACTTTGTAGATGGGTTTCAGGCAAGAACAGAGTTCCCAAGTACAAAATGCTAGGACAGGAGAGGAGTTTGCATGAAGATCAGTACAAAGGACTGTGGGACTGGTTCAGGATGAGCAGAGTATTTGGAATGATGTAGGTCCTTGTGAGTCAGGGTAAGATTGAAGTTATTTGGTCCTTCAGTTTCCATTAGCTGAGAGATGAGCCCAGCAACTAAGAGTTGCTTTTGTCCTCAGGAAATTTATCAATTGGGAAGAAATAGTTATGAAACTGAGCTACTGTGTGGGCGGTATCACAAGGATAGTTGCCCAGGATATGCCTAAAACAAGGAGTCTGAAGTACTACCCCAGCATCCCACCCACCAAGAAATAATTTAAAGCTAGACCCAGTAGGTCTACTTCATAGTAAAGATCAGCTAAGTAAACCAGCCATCATTCAGACTTGCACCCACTCTAGGGTGGTTCAGGGAATGTCAAGCCTTGGACTTGGATTAAGGTGTGGTCCCTGACTGGCAGTGTCCTCAGGAGATGACATGCAGAAGCAAATGAATATCCTCTCTGGAGGAAGATACTTTCTTCCTAGGACATAAAGTTATCACATTCTAGGAAATAAGACACCATGATTAACAGCCAGCAGAAATATAAACAGACCTAGAAAGCATTAGAGGAGTTTGACATGATCTGATATGGTTTGCTGATCTGCCTGGCTTAACTTGGGATCTTCTGAAGAATGAGAACCTATCTTGTTTGTCTTTATACTCATTTAAATATTGAATGCCTACTGAGTCTCAAGGAACTATGATCAGGCAGGGAAGGCAGACAGGTAATTGAAATACAGTTTGACACTTGGTATCCTGGGGTAATCACAGAGTGCTGGGTGAGCATCAAGGCAGGAAAAATCAACACATGGAGTCCAAGAAAGAATTCAGGGAACATGACAAACTGCAGGATGAGTATTTGCCAGGTAAAGGTGGGAGAGTGAAGATGAGGGCATGTATAAGCACACACTGCAAAGACCCGGGTATGATAAAGAACAGTGTGGTGGGAGCATTGAATTAGAGTGGTAAAAAACCATGTTATGGCCAGGTGTGGTGGCTCACACCTGTAATCCCAACACTCTGGGAGGCTGAGACGGGCAGATCACCTGAGGTGTGGAGTTTGAGATCAGCCTAGCCAACTTGTCTCTACTAAAAATACAAAAAATTAGCCAGGCTGGTGGCATGTGCCTGTAATCCCAGCTACTTGGGAGGCTGAAGTGGGAGAATTGCTTGAACCAGGAGACGGAGGTTGCAGTGAGCCCAGATCGCACCACTGCACTCCAGCCTGGGCAACCGAGCAAGCCTCCATCTCAAAAACAAAAACCATGTTATAAAGTTTTGACTTAATATTGTGTGGGCAAAGGGACTGGTGGAATGAGATTTGCACTTTGGACAAATTACCTTGGCCTTGGCTGTAGTCTGGAGAATGGATTGGAAGAGTCACAGAGCTGGGGATGTGGGGATGGGAGCAGAACCCAAGAGGCTTTTTCAGTAATCCAGACAAAGGATGATGGCTTGAATTGATTATAATATGAACTACTGGAATAAAGATAGACATAGTGGAACAGAATAGAGAGTCCAGAAATACGGTCAATTGATTTTCAAAAAAAGATGCCAAGGCACTTGTGGGTGAAGCAATACTCCATCGAACGAAAGGCATTAGAACATTTGGAAAGCCGTATGCAAAAAACAAAAATCTTACCTAACACTGTATACAGAATTAGCCCAAAATGAATCATAGACCTAAATTGAGAGCAAAAACAATAAAACTTCAAAAAGGAGAAAATCTGAGGTCTTGGATTTGACAAAGATTTCTTAACTATGACACAAATTCTAAAAGAATGAGTTGGACGCATCAAAATTTGAAACAGGTTCTTCAAAAGACAAACTATGAAAACAAGACAATATCTTTGCAAATATATCTGATAAAGGATATATTTATAATTTTTAAAGAACTTAAAATTCAGTAACAAAACCCAATGAAGTAATGGGTGATTTTGTTTTTTACTCGAACTGATATGTAACCAAAGAGAATATAGGAATGGCAAACAAACACGTGGAATGCTGCTTAACACCTTTAGTCCTTAGCAAAATACAAATAAAAACAATGATAAAAACAATGATGAGATACCACTACACACCCACTGCATTGACCATACCAAGTTGTGGCAAGGATGTGGAGCAATGGAAACTCTCCTACACTGCAGGTGGGAATTTAGAATTGTATAACCACTTTGGAAAATAATTTGGCAGTTTCTTTAAAAGTTATGCACATACCTACTATACAAATCAGCCATTTCACACCTAGCTATTTGCCCAAGAGAAAAGAAAGCATATGTCCACAAAAGGCCTTGTACACTAATGTTTATATGAAACATAAAACATTTTATGTTTTATGTAATCTGCCCAAACTAGAAACATCCCAAATGTCCATCAATAGGTGAACAGATAAGCAACTCTCCATACAATGGAATAATATTCAGTCATAAAATAGGAACAAACTATTGATACATGTAATGAAGTTGATGAATCCTGATAAATCTCGGTTATGCTGAGTGAATATAGCCAGGCCAAAAAGCATACATCCTGTATGGCTTTATTTACATAAAATTTTAGAAAATGCATCCTTAGTTACAGTGACAGAATCAGATAAATGTTTGCATAGGGAAATGGGATGGCGGGAAGGGGAGATTACAAAGGGGAAGAAACAAACTTTTGGGAATGATACATATGTTCATTATCTTGATTGTCTTGGTTTCACAGAGGTATATGTCAATCTCATCAAATTATACACTTTATTTGTAGATTATTGTACATTATACCTCAATTAAAAAAAAAACACAATTGGCCAGGCACAGTGGCTCATGCCTGTAATCCCAGTACTTTGGGAGGCCAAGGCAGGCAGATCACGAGGTCAAGAGATCGAGACCATTCTGGCCAACATGGTGGAACACCGTCTCTTCTAAAAATACAAAAAAAAAAAAATTAGCCGGGCCTAGTGGCACATGCCTGTAGTTCCAGCTACTCAGGAGGCTGAGGCAGAAGAATCGCTTGAACCCGGGAGGTGGAAGTTGCAGTGAGCCAAGATCATGCCACTGCACTCCAGCCTGGTGACAGAGCGAGACTCTGTCTCAAAAAAAAAAAAAAAAAAAAAAAAAAAAAAGGAGGCTTTTAGTAATAAAGACAGGATGATGGCTGCCTGAAATAAGGTATGAGAAAGTGGACAAATTCAGCCATAATCAAATTGTCCAAAATCACACACTTTAAATGTGATGGAGCTAGAATTTAAAACCTGAGTCTAGCCTGGGCAACATGGTGAAACTCCATCTCTGCAAAAATATAAAAATTAGCTAGACATGGTGGTCTGCACATGTGGTCCCAACTACTTGGGAGGCTGGGGTAAGAAGATCGCTGCACTCCTGCCTGGATGACAGAACGAGACACTGTTTAAAAATAAAAAAAAAAAAAAAAAACCCAAACCTGAGTCGGACAAATTCCAAAATCCATGCTGAAAGTCAGTACACTTATACTTGAGATAACCACTATGTTTTGGGCTTGGACAAATGAGTTGAGGGTGATAGTTTTCACCAAAGTACAAAGAGAAGAAGCAGGTTTGGGAGAAAAGGAGATGTGTTTGCATTCCCCCGTTGCACCGAGTATGGTAGCTTATATAGTCAATTAGTAAGTGGAGACGGGAGCTGAAGTTTTTAGGTAGCAATGATAGTGAAATATTTAGTGTGATGATTTTACTCAGTTTATGGGTTAATTGCCCATTAACTAATAGCTGGAAAGGAATTTAATACTTTTTTTTTTTTTTTTTTTTGAGACTGAGTCTCATTGTGTCGCACAGGCTGGAGTGCAATGGCGCGATCTCGGCTCACTGCAACCTCCGCCTCCCAGGTTCAAGCAATTCTCCTGCCTCAGCCTCCTAAGTAGCTGGGATTACAGGCGCATGCCACCATGCCTGGCTAATTTTTGTATTTTTAGTAGAGACAGGGTTTCACCATGTTGGCCAGGCTGGTCTTGAACTCCTGACCTCAAGAGATCCAACTGCCTCGGCCTCCCAAAGGGCTGGGATTACAGGCGTGAGCCACCGCGCTCAGCCAGGAATTTAATACTTTCTAGTCCAAAAGCCTAATCAATGAATAAATTATTTCTGAATGTCTTTGAAGCGATCACCCTGATCACCTTCATTTACAGGGATTAACCTAACTCAGAAAATCATTGCACTTTTGAATAAATCTGATTATTAGAAAGTTATTTCTTCCAGGTCAGGCGTCGTGGCTCACACCTGTAATCCCAGCACTTTGGGAGGTTGAGGCAGGTGGATCTCTTGAGTCCAGGAGTTCGAGACCAGCCTGGGCAACATGGCAAAACCTCATCTCTACAAAAAAAATACAAACAAATTAGCTGAATGTGGTGGTGTCACCTGTAGTCCCAAGTAGCTGGAAACTAAGGTGTGAAGATTGCTTCAACCTGGGAGATGGAGGTTGCATTGTGCCACTGCACTCCAGCCTGGAGATAGAGTGACATACTGTCTCAAAAAATAAATAAATAAATAAATTTTTTTTTCAGAACTGAAATCTGCCTTCATACTATCTATTACGGATTGAATCATGTCCTCCAATAAGATGTGTTGAAGTCTTAACTCCCAGTACCTCAAATTGTGACCCTATTTGGAAATAGAGTCATTGCAGATGTCATTAGTTGAGGTGAGGTTATACCGAAGTAGAATGTGGCCTTAATCCAATATAACTGGTGTCCTAAGAATTGGAGAAGAGACTCAGACACATGGGGAGAAGACCATGCAGTCATGGGGTGATGTATCAACAAGCCAGCAAATGCCAGGGATTGCTGGGAACATCAGAGGCTGGAAGAGGCAGGGAAATGTTCTTCCCTAGAGCTGTGGGAGAGAACATGATTCTGCTGACACCTTGATCATGGACTTCCAGCCTCCAGAACTGTGAGACAATAAATGTCTGGTTTCTTTTAAGTCATCCAGTTTGAACTACTTTGTTATAGCAGCCCTAACAAACACACACACACTATCTCTTTTTTCTAGTTCTGTCTTCTGGAAACACGGAATAAGTCCTGGTTTCTTTTCCATATATTTTCAGGTGTTTTGAGAACATATTTCAAGAACATATTTCATGACACAGTGAGGAAAACATTTCCTTTACTGGTTTTTAATATGATACATTTTCAAATCCTTGCATCATTCTTTTGTAGGGTCAAGATTTTCAAAGATGCTTTAAAGTGTAGTAACCAGAACTGATCTTACCACTTCAAATAGTCTAAGATACAAAAGAGAATAGAACTTGCTCTGTGGTTTAGAGCAAGGATTTTCAAGCTGTTTCTCAGAGCTTTAGGAGTTTCATGCAGTTACCTCAGGGGCACACGTGAGTATATTTCATATTGATATTCTATAGACGTTTGCATTAGGAGAAAGTGTTTGCTGTTGAAAACAAGCTCAAAAAACATTTCTTTTTCTTTTTTCTTTTTTTTTTTTGAGATAGAGTTTTACTCTTGTCGCCCAGGCTAGAGTGCAGTGGCGCGATCTCGGCTCACTGCAACCTCCTCCTCCCAGGTTCAAGCAATTCTCCTGCCTCAGCCTCCCGAGTAGCTGGGATTACAGGCATGTGCCACCACGCCCGAATAATTTTGTATTTTTAGTAGAGATGGGGTTTCTCCATGTTGGTCAGGCTGGTCTTGAACTCCCAATCTCAGGTGATCTGCCCGCCTCACCTTCCCTGCCCTCCCAAAGTGCTGGGATTATAGGCATGAGCCACTGTGCCCAGCCGAGACAGGGTCTTGCTCTGTCACCCAGGCTAGAGTGCAGTGGTGTGATCTCGGCTCACTGCAACCTCCGCCTCCTGGGTTCAAGTGATTCTCCTGCCTCAGCCTCCCAAGTAGCTGGGATTACAGGCACGTACCACACCTGGTTAATTTGTGTATTTTTAATAGAGACAATGTTTTGCCATGTTGGCCAGGCAGGCCTTGAACTCCTGACCTTAGGTGATCCACCTGCCTCGCCTTTTCAGTGTTTAAAAGCAAAGACATAAGCCTACAGCATACCATTTATTATCTCATTTAGTGTCTTCAGCTCAGCATATTATTTAAGCATTGTAACTACTATCAAACATCATGCTACTATCACTCGGGTCATCTTTCTATACAGTAGCCCCCCTTATTAATGGTTTTGATTCCCATATTTGCAGTTGCCCACAGTCAAAAATAGGTCTAAAAATAGGTGAGTACAATACAATAAAATATTTTGAGAGAGAGAGAGACCACATTCACAAATAACTTTTATTACAGTATATTGTTGTAATTGGCCTATTTTATTATTAGTGATGATTGTTCATCTCTTACTGTGCCTAATTTAGAAGTTAAACTTTATCATAGGTATGTCTATGTAGGAAAAAGCATAGTATATAAGGGATTTGGTACTATTGGCAGTTTCAGCAATTCACTGAGCGTCTTGGAACGTATCCCCCGTGGATAAGAGGGAACTGCCATGTAAATTTAGAAAGGAGATACTGGTTGTTCTGGTGTGGCTTGTTTTTGGTGAGTTCAAGCAGGTTCCAAATAGTCATTCCTTTGCTTTCTATTTGAATTAGTGAACTCCACACATATTGTTTTCCATTTTCTGGTCTGTTGAAATATACACATTCTAGTATAAGAAAAAAGTGTCTTGAGTGAGTGTGAGGCGAGTGCAGCAGCTGTGGGGACCTGCCTTGCCCTGCCTCCATGAAAGAACTTGCTGGAAAGCTGCAGGCAGTGCGGCAGCTGCTGTGGGATCTGCCTCAGTTTCAGAGCCATGGCCACACTTCTTCCACACAGCCCCCAGCCAATGACTGAGCATGGTGGGGGCCTGGCCATTTCTGCTCAGCGTGGCACTTCTCTAACACGTAATCCTTGCTCTAAACCTTCACATTGGCTGGCGAGAATTTGTCAGATCTGCCTTCCAGTCCAAAGCTCTGTCTGCCCAAATTTGCCTCTTCTTTACCTTTCCAGGTTTCAGATCTGCATCATTGTTTGGTTTTCTTAGCCCAATCCTCTTCCTCTGTCTTTCACAAACTTACTCCCCTAACAAACCTCTTGCCCTCCTAACTCCAGTGTCTGCTTCCTGGAGGACCCAAATCAACACAGTTGGCACTGGGTGTGGTGCACGAGGAAGGTGCTAAATGGGGCATTGAGACCTAATCACTCACTGTCTGTCTGACAATGAGGACTCCATTTCAGAGGGCATGTTTTTAATTACAAACTTCTATATCGAGCCGAGATGAAGCAACGGGGACTGGATTTAAAGAACTAAAAAGCCTGAAAGAACTAAAAACTCAGATGAAATATATGAAACAATAATTTTCAAAACACTGGCTAGCAAGCAAAAAAGGGCATCAGTCACTGAACGAAGGAAAACAGATGGAGTGAGCCCTACACCTGCTTCACTGCTGGATCGCAGGGAAGCAGGCGTAGCCCAGCCATCCTCCTGACCTGGGGAGACAAAGCCGGAAGTCCAGGGAGGCCCAGGGTGACTGGAGTCCTCAGGTGGGAGTACTAAAGAGGAGAGGGCTTTCTAGAAAGAGGGCCCCAGGGATCTCAGAGGGCAGCCAGTGCGGCTTCAGCATGTGTGGGGGCTGTGAAGCTGGGGAAGGAACCAACCAAAATGAGCGATAGGCAGAGATCACACAAAGCTGGGAAGAGCTTGTGTTCCTCCAGCCAGAATGCAAAACCGTGCAATTCAGGGGGCATAGGGTGGAATATTCAGAAAGCATTGCCTATTATTGAGGAAAAATTAATCCTTAATGAATTCTCTAAAAAAACATAAAAAGCAAGTCTCAAGAGGATTACACTCTTCCCACATAACCAGACTACATTGCAGAACAAAGCTCTAGAATATTTCTAGCAAGTATTTTATGTATATAATATATAAATAATTATAATTATATATAAATTCATATATATATATATACACTCAGGACCCAACATTCCAGCTGATATCACATTATCTACATTGGGATCCTTTTGTCCTAGAAGGATGTTGTGGGTTGAACTGTGTGCCCTTCAAATTTGAAGTGAGATGCCTTCTCCATTAGTTCGTGTGGTCCCTGGCTATGCCCTTCAATTTTGTGTTGAAGTCTAACACCTAGTACCTCAGAATGTGATCTTATCTGGAGACAAAGTCTTTACAGAGTTAATCAAGTTATTATGAAGTCATTAGAACAGGCTCTAATGCAGTGGGACTGGTATTCTTTCTTTTTTGGGTGGGGGAACAGGGTCTTGCTCTGTTGCCCAGGCTGGAGTACAGTGGCACAATCTCAGCTCACTGCAGCCTTCGACTCCCTGGCTCAAGCAATCCTCCCACCTCAACCTCCTGAGTAGCTGAGACTACAGGTGGGCACCACCATGCCTGGTTAATTTTTTTGTAGAGATGGGGTTTTGCCATGTCACCCAGGCTGGTCTTGAACTCCTGGACTCAAGTGATCCACCCACCTCAGGCTCTTAAAGTGCTGGGACTACAGGCATGAGCTACTGTACTCAGCCTGGTGTTCTTATAAACAGGGAAATTTGAACACAGAGACATACACAAAGGGAAGAAGATGTGAAGATACAGGAAGAATGTGAAGATGGTCATCTATAAACCAAAGAGAGGCTTGGGACAGACCCTACCCTCTCAGTCTTCACAGGACAACAACCCTGCCCGCACCTTGATCTTGGACTTCTAGCTTCCAGAGCTGTGAGAAAATAAATGTCTATTGTTTAAGCCATCCAGTTTGTGGTACTTTATTACAACAACCCTAGCAAACTAGTACAAAGGGCATGCAATTCATTCTCACTGGAATAACACTGTCTGGGTATTTGTTTACCTTTTCTGCCTGTGCAGTCTATCAGCCAGCATCACTGTCTGGGGTCTTATGGAGTGCCTGATTCACAGGCATGGATCCCACACAACAGAGCATCTGACCAGGACACTTACTTCACAGCAAAGCTCCAGAGGTCACCTGTCCCTATCACACAGCACCACCCAAAGTAATCAACCTGAAAGAACATTAGCACTGCTTACTGGAGGAACAGCTGACTTATCGGTTTGGAGGCAACACTCTCCAAAGATGGGTGCCATCTTCCAAGATGCTGTATTTGCACTTGACTCACAGGCCTATTTATGGGGCATTGTTTCTAATAGGGAGAATATATGGGTCCTGGAACAATGGCCCCCACCCAAGGGGTTCCATTCTTGCCAGGAAACACCGCAAGAGTCCCATTGAGGCTGGGCGTGGTGGTACACACCTGTAATCCCAGCTACTCGAGAAGCTGAGGCAGAATTGTTTGAAACTGGGAGGCGGAGGTTGCAGTGAGCTGAGATTGCGCCACTGCACTCCAGCCTGGGCAACAGAGCGAGACTCTGTCTCAGAAAAAAAAAAAAAAAAAGAGTCCCATTTAACTCTAAATTATTGCTACTGTCTTAGTACTTGGATTCCTGTGTCCAGAAGCAGGCTGTAAAGAAGGTCATCTTGGTAGGCGCAACTGACCCTAATTTCCAGCTCAACCATCCAGAATAGACCACTCAAGGCAATTTCTTATGGATTTAGACTACAATACATTCTAATTTTCCTTGAACATATTTTTTTCCTAAGAAGTAATGTTAAAGACCTTTAGAGATAATTCCTAGCTATGAACGTAGTTTCTAGAACAGATAAGAATTTCTTGGAAAACGTTGCCTTCTGTAGTACATAAGAAGAATTGAGTGTCAATACATATAACTAAACAGGAGCAAAAATAACAATACTTCTGGAAATTTGACTTAAGTCATGGAAATTTACTTGATTTTGGACTTGAGGTAAACAATATGTCTTTCTGCTTTTATCCGCAGTTGCTTGCATATTTCCTGTTATAAATGTTTGTCTAATGATTAAACCAACAAAAGTTCTGAACCTTAAGTTCAAATATCAAATTCCAATTTATTCCCATTTTGATGTTCCTAAAATTATACCTCTAGTTCAAATTTTTAGATGGCCAAAGTGTTTGCTTTATTCACAAAGTTGAAGAGAGACTTTCAGGAGCTCAAAGCAAGGAGATATTGTTTTACATCTCTGTCTCTTCAGGAAAAAAAATATGACTTTGTTAAATAGAGCATTGCTGAATGTTGGATAAATTCAACTCAATCTCTTTCCAGTGAGATTTGGAATGAGGGCAGACTTCATATTTTAGGGGAATGAAACTCCCCCAGCTGATTCTGATCCAGAGCCAGGTTTGAGAATGACTGTTTAACTCACTTCCAGGTTTCTTAGGATACAAGTAATATTTCTCTTTCCGACATCAATCCAGGAGGTCAGAAGACGAAAGTGATTTTCAGCTATAATTCAGCATAAGGAATGTCAACAGTCTTGGGGGAGAATACAGCAAGGGAACAACAGCACAGTTTATACATTTTAGTTTATTCTCTTGCTGAAAGAGGGGAAGTAATTTAAGCAGCTAACAAAAAATTAAGGGGAAATATGATTTCTATTTAGAATAAAGATGGTATTTTACTTGACAGAACTGTTTTGAGATCAGTGGCAAAATCTTCCTAGTCTTCAAAAAGAAATTTCAGGTTAGAGTACACTTAAAAAAAAATCAGAGTCTCGCTCTGCCACCTGAGTGCAGTAGCGCAATCACAGCTCACTGCAGCCTCCGCTTCCTGAGCTCTAGGAATACACATATTTTTAATGTTCCCAAACATCCACCTGTTTCTCCACATTTCAAGTTGGACCCACTTTGTATTAGGCCTATTATGGGTTGCAAATAAAACTAGTGTAAACTAAAAGAGAGTTGCTGGTTTATAAAACAGGAGAGTCTAGGGGTGGGGACTGGCTTCAGAACAGCTGGAGGCAGGAGCTCAAAGAAGGTCACGAGGTTCTGGCTCCCGTTCCCAGCTCTGCTTCGCTTTATTCTACAGACAGAGCCTCCAGAAATGGTGGCCAAGAGTGTCCCTGATAGCTCTATCTTCTCAGCCTAGCAACTCAGAAAACAAACGTCTCTTTCCCAGTGTTTGTGTATCAACCTCAGAGAAGATACTGGTTGGTCTTCTTTGGAGCCTATGACTGCAGCCTCCCTCAGCCATCACTGAGGCTGGGGAGATGGCTTTGGCCAGGCCTGGGTCTTAGGGCTGTCTCTATAGTGGTGGGGGTGACAGCCCCATCAGGACCATGTGGAATTGGAGGAGGAGTTTCCCAACACAATGACAAAGGAGTTGGGGAACTTTGATGAGAAGAGAACATTTATCTTTCTCTACTACTACAGGATTATTGACCAAGTGGAAGCTAATAGATCTAAATTTGTGTGTGTATTTATCTAAGGAATTCTAACCAGGCCAGGTACAGTGGCTCATGCCTATAATCCTAGCACTTTGGGAGGCCGAGGCAGGAGGCTGAGTGTGGTGGCAAAAGCTACTACAGTAGTCTGTAGGCCCAGCTACTCGGGAGGCTGAGGTGGAAGGATTGCTTGAGCCCAGGAGGTTGAGGCTGCAGTGAGCCATGGTCATACCACTGCACTCCAGCCTGGGCAACAAGTGAGACACTGTCTCAAAAAAAAAAAAAAAAGAAAGAAAGAAAAAAAAGAAAAGAAATAAAATAAAATATTTAAATTGATGAGGTTTTTATGAAAGTAAAATATCTGGGGAGTGGGGATGGAGGCAGCAGGGACGCAGATAAGGCAGCCCCACCACCTAGACTGCAGTGGCTTATGCCTGTGCTTTCTCTACCATATATATACTTTTTTTCCACTATGGAGCAATAAATAAATATTTGCTAAGTTATACTTAAATGATGAAGTAAAGTTAGTACTTTTCCTTTTATGTTTGTTGGTAAACATACATATAGAATGTACAGTAAAGCCTATAGTGAAGCCTGCTCTCTAGCATTTCCTTAACAAAGTCACTAGACACTTTATTTTATCAATTGTTTCTTTCTTTTTCTCTTCTTTCTTTTCTCTATCTCTCTCTCCCTCCCTCCTCCTCCCTCCCTCCCTCCCTTCCTTCCTTTTTTTTTGTTTTCTTTTGACAGAATCTCACTCTTACCCAGGCTGGAGTGCAGTGGCGTGATCTCTCACTGCAATCTCCACCTCCTGGGCTCAAGTGATCCTCCCACCTCAGCCTCCCAAGTAGCTAGGACTACAGGCACCTGCTAGACGCCCAGCTAATTTTTTGTATTTTTGGTAGAGATGGGGTTTCTTCATGTTGCTCAGGCTGGTCTCGAACTATTGGGCTCAAACGATCCACCCACCTCGGCCTCCCACAGTGCTGGGATTACAGACATGAGCCACCGCGCCTGACCATCAATTGTACTTTTTTTTTTTTTTTTGAGACGGAGTCTCGCTCTCTCGCCCAGGCTGGAGTGCAATGGCGTGATCTCGGTTCACTGCGAATTCCACCTCCCGGGTTCAAGCAATTCTTCTGCCTCAGCCTCCCAAGTAGCTGGGATTACAGGTGCCCACCACCTCACCTGGCTAATTTTTGTATTTTTAGTAGAGACGAGGTTTCACTATGTTGGCCAGGATGGTCTCGATCTCTTGACCTCGTGATTTGCCCGCCTCGGCTTCCCAAAGTGCTGGGATTACAGGCATGAGCCACCGTGCCCAGCCCATTAATTGTACTTTCTACTGAGGAATGTTGGAAAGATGTTGATAATGGACATTGTAAGAGGTGTTGATATGTTTCATAATGAAACATATTGTATATTTTAGGGGGAGATCACGTGTTCGCGTAATATGTAATTTAGAGGTGAATTATATGTATTAGTATAATACACGCATAATATAATTCCCTTGAATTTCACTATTTAAAAGAATCGATGGATATCCAATGCACACAGCCCTGTTATGGGATATATATGATATATTAAGTTACATAATGATTTAAGTTTCATTTAAATGGTGATTTAAAATTAAACATGATGTGACATGAGAGGTTTCTGTAATGTGTTAAAATATAAAATTAATTATGAGCTTACAGCACATGAAAGGAATAACATGTCACTTACAATGGATTAATTTTTATAACCTAAGAATTCAAAGACAAAGAGGTGAAAGCAAAGTGTTAATTCAACACTTCAATAAAACCTACAAAGATGCTACTAAAGGCTAATTTAAATTTGAAAATGCACTAATTCAAGTGTATTTTCAAATTTTTGCTGTTCTATCATAAACCTGAGACAAGACAGATTAAATACAGTATGCTAACTGAATCTTATAAGTTATTAAATATATGCTAAATACTAGAGCTTCGATAAAATATAGTGTAGAAAATAGGTTATACGTTACTTGAGGACTATTTTGTCCTTTGTATCAGCCCATGTTGTATAAGCAGTTGAGGAAATGACAGGATTTGTGCTAAAATTAGCAAACTAGAAATAACTTTCAAATGCTACTATGATAATTGAGATTATTTAAATTACACATTATTTCTTCATTCAACATGTTTTGTTTAAAATACTAGAAGGAGGCCAGGCGCAGTCGCTCACGCCTGTAATCCCAGCACTTTAGGAGGCCAAGGCAGGCGGATCACTTGGGGTCAGAAGTTTGAGACCAGCCTGGGCAACATGGTGAAACCTCATCTCTACTAAAAATGCAAAAATTAGCCGGGCGTGGCAGTGGATGCCTGTAATCCCAGCTACTTGGGAGGCTGAGGCAGGAGAATCGCTTGAACCTGGGAAGTGGAGGATGCAGTGAGTCAAGATTGTGCCACTGCACTCCAGCCTGGGCAATAGAGTGAGACTCTGTCTCAAAAATATGTGTGTGTGTGTGTGTGTGTGTGTGTGTGTGTGTGTATATATATATGAAGTGATTCTGTACATATTGGGAAAGTCACAAAAGTGTTGGCTCACTGCAGTGAACACTACAATAATCAGAAGACACTCCTAAAATTTGATTTTGAGATGTTGTGCTCAACTTTTAAAAACGACAACTGGAAATTATAAACCTTTTATCGCCAATATTAAGGAACCTTTGTTAATAAACCAAATAATTTTCAATTAATTAAAAGCATTAAATACATGATTCAGCATACTAACTAGATTTGTATTAATTTTACAAAAGAAAAAATAACAACCAGTTACCCAGCATAGATAAATCATAAATCACAAGTCTTAAAAATAATTCTTCCTCTGAAAAATTTTTTTTCTTTTTCTTTTTTTTTGTTTGAGACAGGGTCTTCCTCTGTTGCCCAGGCTGGAGTGCAATGGCACAATCACAGCTCACTGCAGCCTCAACCTCCCAGGCTCAAGTGATTCTTCCACCTCAGCCTCCCAAATAGCTAGGACCACAGGTGCACGCCACTATGCCCAGATAATTTTTTTTTTTTTTGAGACAGTGTCTTGTTTTGTCAGCTAGGCTGGAGTGCAGTGATATGAACATGGCCCACTGCAGCCTTGATCTCCTGGGCTCAAGCGATCCTCCTGCCTCAGCCCCTAATAGCTTGGACCGCAGGCATGTGCCACCATGCCAGGCCTTTTTCTTTTTCTTTTTTTTTTTTTTTTTTTTGTAGAGACAGGGTCCCACTATGTTGTCCAGGCTGGTCTCCAACTCTTGAGCTCAAGCGATCTGCCTGTCTCAGCTTCTCAAAGTGCTGGGATTACAAGCAGGAGCCACCGCACCTGGCCCCTCTGAAAATCTTAATAAAGCTTGTAATCTGTTACATGCACAGGAGCAAAATGCAATAAGTATAAAGACAATAAAAGCCACCAATAATTCCATTTCTCAGCTATAATATCATAAACTTCATATAGAGAGGCATGTTTATGTACAACTATATACATAAATTTAGTATTGGATTAAAATCAAGCACTAAAAAGCAGTGTGATTCAATATCATGTATCATCAGGGAATTCCAAATTAAAAACAACCACGAGATACCACTACACACCATTAGAATTAACTAAAATCCAGAACACTGACACCAAATGCTCGTGAGGATGTAGAGCAACAGGAACCCAGGAACCCCATTGCTGGTGGGAATGGAAAATGGTACAGCCACATTGGAAGACAGTTTGGCAGTTTCTTACAAAACTAAATCATACTCTTACCATATGATCCAGCAATCTTGTTTTTTGGTATTTACTCAAATGAGTTGAAAACTTTACGTTCACCAAAAAAACCTGCACACAAATGTGCAGCTTTACTTAGAACTTGGAAGCAACCAAGATGTCCTTCAGTAAGTGAATGGATAAATCGTGGTACATCCAGACAAGGGAATATTATTCAGTGTTAAGAAGAAATGAGCTATCCAGTCATAAAAAGACATGGAGGAAACTTAAATGCATATTACTAAGTGAAATAATCCAATCTGAAAAGGCTACATTGTGTATGATTCCAAGTATGTAATATTCTGGAAAAGGCAAAACTATGGAGACAGTAAAAAGATCAGTGGTTGTCAGGGGTTGGGGTAGGGAGGAATGAATAGGCAGAGCACAGAGGCTTTTTCGGACAATGAAAAGACTCTGCAAGATACTGTAATTGTGGTCACATGTCATTATACATTTCTCCAAACCCATAGGATGTACACCACCAAGAGTGAACCCTAATATAAACTATGGGCATTAAATATTGACAATGTGGGCCGGGCGCAGTGGCTCCCTCCTGTAATCCCAGCACTTTGGGAGGCTGAGGCAGGCAGATCACTTGAGATCAGGAGTTTGAGACCAGCCTGGCCAACATGGGGAAACCCCATCTTTACCAAAAAATACAAAAATTAGCTGGGCGTGGTGGTGCATACCTGTAGTCCCAGCTACTTGGGGGGCTGAGGTGGGAGGATCACTTGAGTGAGACTCCATCTCAGAAAAAAAAAAAAAAAAAAAAAAAAAAAAAAAAAAATATATATATATATATATATATATATAGAGAGAGAGAGAGAGAGAGAGAGAGAGAGAGAGAGAATGTGTATGGATGTTTGTTCGTCATTTGTAACAAGTGTACCACACTGATGGAGGATGTTCAGCTGGGAGAAGGGAGGAGGAGGCATATGGGAAGTCTAATTTTTGTTCAATTTTTCTGTAAACCTACACCTACTTTAAAAAATGAAGTCTATTGATTTTTGTTTTAAAAAGCAGTGCTTAGCCGGGCGCGGTGGCTCACACCTGTAATCCCAGCACTTTGGGAGGCTGAGGCGGGTGGATCACAAGGTCAGGAGATCGAGACCATCCTGGCTAACATGGTGAAACCCTGTCTCTACTAAAAATACAAAAAATTAGCCAGGCGTGGTGGTAGGCGCCTGTAGTCCCAGCTACTCGGGAGGCTGAGGCAGGAGAATGGTGTGAACCCGGGAGATGGAGCTTGCAGGGAGCCAAGATCACGCCGCTGCACTCCAGTCTGGGTGACAGAGCAAGACTCCGTCTCAAAAAAAAAAAAATCAGTGCTATTATCTCTAAAACCCTTGAGAGTGTCCAGAGTTTTTTTTTTTTTTTTTTTTTTTTTTTTACAAAAAAAAGGTAAAAAATTATCTGCAGGCAGGCAGTAGTGGAGAGTGAGGGGCCCTGGGGTCAAGCTGCCAGGGTTCCGATACTGGCCCTTTCCCTTTATGCCTGTGTGACTTTAGCCAAGTTACTTAACCTCTGCCCCTTGGATTTTGTTTTCAAATATTGAAAACAGCAGATACTTACTTCCTAGGGCTGTTATAGCATGTACATGAGCAAACACATTAAAGCACTTATAGTAAATTGTCTATAAATGTTAGCTATTATTATTATTATTATTATTTTGAGACAGAGTCTTGATCTGTTGCTGAGGCTGGAGTACAGTGGCACAATCTCGGCTCACCACAACCTCTGCCTCCCAGGTTCAAGTGATTCTCCTGCCTCAGCCTCCCGAGTAGCTGGGACTACAGGTGCACACCACCATGCCCGGGTAATTTTTGTATTTTTAGTAGAGACAGGGTTTCACTGTGTTGGCCAGGCTGGTCTTGAACTCCTGACCTCGTGATCCGCCCACCTCAGCCTCCCAAAGTGCTGGCATTACAGGCGGAGCCACTGCGCCCAGCCAGCCATTATTAATTAAACCTCCTCTCCACCACTTCAACTCTAATAAAAATTAATTAAAATTTTCCTCAATTTTATTCATTTTATGTTTTGTTTTAGTTTTCTGTTTTGTTATTTTTTTTTTTTTTGTTATTGAGACAGAATCTTGCTCTGTTGCCCAGGCTGGAGTGCAGTGGTGTGATCTCGGCTCACTGTAGCCTCCTCTTCCTGGGCTCAAGCAATTCTCATGCCTCAGCCTCCTGAGTAGCTGAACTACAGGAACACACCACCACACCTGACTGACTTATTTATTTATTTTTGAGATGGAGTCTCGCTCTGTTGCCCAGGCTGGAGTGCAGTGGTGCAGTCTCAGCTCACTGCAACCTCCACCTCCCGGGTTCAAGCTATTCTCCTGCCTCGGCCTCCTGAGTAGCTGGGATTACAGGCGCGTGCCACCACACCCAGCCAATTTTTGTATTTTTAGTGGAGACGGTGTATTTTTAGTAGAGACAGCGTTTCTTGGCTCACAGTCGCGTCGCTCCAATCTCTGCCTTTGTAGCCACATTGCCTTTTCCTCTTCTGTATGTCTTCTCTGTGTCTATCCCAAAATTTCCCCTCCTTTCTCTAATGAGTGTGATTGCTTGTAGAGTCTAACCAGATAATCTGGGATAAGCTTCTCCTTTCAGGATGTGAGTCACATTTTTTGCCATATACGGTGATAATCACAGGTTCCAGGGATTAGAACGCGGAGCTATCTTTTTAGCAGCCACCATCTGTTCACTACACATAGCCTTTGAGGATTAAATAGACTTCTGCAGTCTTGTCTAGGAGCCCAATACCCACTTAGAATATTTGTATCCATAAGAAAATGAGATCAGAGTTCAAAATGCTATAGAACTTCTACAATGGATCATTTTCTTAATTAAAAAATATTTGAGGCCGGGCGCGGTGGCTCACACCTGTAATCCCAGCATTTTGGGAGGCCGAGGCAGGCGGATCACCTGGGGTCAGGAGTTCAAGACCAGCCTGGGCAACATGGTGAAACCCTTCTCTACTAAAAATACAGAAATTAGCCGGGCATGGTGGTGTGTGCCTGTAATCCCAGCTACTCAGGAGGCTGAGGCACGAGAATCACTTGAATCCGGGAGGTGGAGGTTGCAGTGAGCTGAGATCGCGCCACCACACTCCAGTCTGGGTGACAGAGCAAGACTCTGTCTCCAAAAAAAATGAAAATAAAAATTGAAACGTTTTATTGGTTTAAAAAAATCTAATAGTAGTGGATGCCTGCTGAAACAGATGTATATACTTGGCACACAGATTACACTTCTCGAGGCTCTTTGCACATCTCTTCTCATTGTCTTTCTTTCTTTCTTTTTTTGAGGTGGATTCTCGCTCTGTCACCCACGCTGGAGTGCAATGGTGCCATCTCAGCTCACTGCAACCTCCACCTCCCAGGTTCAAACGATTCTCCTGCCTCAGCCTCCTGAGTAGCTGGGATTACAGGCACGTGCCACTATGCCTGGCTAATTTTTGTACTTTTAGTAGAGACAAGGTTCCACCATGTTGGCCATGCTGGTCTCCAACTCCTGACCTCAGGTGATCCACCTGCCTCAGCCTCCCAAACTGCTGGGATTATAGGAGGAAGCCACCAAGCCCAGCCTTTATTATCCACTTTCTTAGCTCCTATGGCATGTCTCTGATGGTGGTATCTAAACTAGCACCACTACCTGGTCCCTGCCTTTTTCCCAGTCACTCTTTAT
The DNA here is from genome assembly GCF_000001405.40 of Homo sapiens. Classification (NCBI taxonomy): domain Eukaryota; kingdom Metazoa; phylum Chordata; class Mammalia; order Primates; family Hominidae; genus Homo; species Homo sapiens. The sequence goes on along the minus strand of NC_000008.11, from coordinate 73,766,347 downwards.
TCCTTTCACTGCCTTTGTTTCAAACCATCTGAAATGTACCCTCCTCCATTCTTCCCTGCCTCCTTGCTTTCTTTCCTTTTCACTTCCCTCTCCTCCTTTTCTCTTACTTCTCCTCTCCTCCTTTTCTCTTTCTTCTCCTCTCCTCCCTCCCTCCTCTCCCTTCCCGCCTTCCTCCTATGCATTCACTATATACATATTGACATATAGCCGGGCCCACTCTCTAATATGTGGGACAAAATACTCTCTAATGTTCTGGAACTTGCTTTTATTTCCCTTCCCTCCCTCCCTCCCCTTTTCCTCTCTCATTCCTATTTTTGTATATTCCTTCAAGTTCTTTGTTTACTTGCTTATCGGCTGTCGTCATTATTTTCCTGCCACCTAGGGCAGTTGGTACTCAGTACATGTTTGTCCAATGAATGAACTATTGGTGAAAGTTTCTCACTTTCTGTCCCTTTTCTTCCAGCCCCTAAGGGTAATGAAGGTATACAGTCTAGTGCATCTCTTTTCAGATATTTTTCTACACTTTTACAATGTAAATATGTACACATATCCTGGGCTCCCCCTCTAATGCATGGGATTGCATTCTATATACAGTGCTGTGGAACTTGTTTTTGTTTGTGTGTTTTCATTCAATAATGTAACAAGGACATTTTTCCAGGCTAATACATGTGAATACATCTTCTTTTAAAAGGCTATGTGCATCAGACGCGATGGCTCACACCTGTAATCCCAGCACTTTGGGAGGCCAAGGCAGGTGAATCACTTGAGGTCAGGAGTTCGAGACCAGGCTGGCCAACATGCTGAAACCCCATCTCTACAAAAAACCCACAAAAATTAGCTGGGCATGGTGGCATGTGCCTGTAATCCCATCTACTCAGGAGGCTGAGGCAGGAGAATCACTTAAACCTGGGAGGCAGACTTTGCAGTGAGCTGAGATGGAGCCACTGCACTCCAGCCTAGGTGACAGAGTGAGACTCCAACTCAAAAAACAAAACAAAAACAAACAAACAAACAAAAACTATGCTGAATTCCATAGTATAGATGTATTACAACTTTTAACCATCTCTCATTGATGTCCATTTAGCTTGCACCCAGTTTTTGCCATTGTAAAATAATTGCAGCCCTTTCTATAAGTGAATGGTATTTATTTAGCAAGTGAATGGTATTTATTCAATGCTGTAATATAGAACTATCAGACAATTTTATTTCCCTTGCTATTTTTAAATTTTTGCTTCTAGTAGCCTCTTGCTTCTGAAACTATTTGAAGATTTACTCAATAATTGCAAGGATCTAATTCCATAGTTTCTAGAGCTGTGCTTTTCAAAGTTGGTCCATGGCTCTGTGCCATTATATGACCTTTTTTTTTTTTTTGAGACGGAGTTTCACTCTCGTTGCCCAGGCTGGAGTGCAGTGGCATGATCTCAGCTCACTGCAACCTCCGCCTCCCGGGTTCAACCAATTCTCCTGCCTCAGCCTCCTGAATAGTTGGGATTACAGGTGCCCGGCACCACACCCGACTAATTTTTTATATTTTTTTTAGTAGAGACAGGGTTTCATCATGTTGGCCAGGCTGGTCTCGAACTCCCAACCCCAGCCTGCCAAAGTGCTGGGATTACAGGCGTGAGCCACCGCGCCCAGCCTATATGAACTATTTTTTAGCAATTTATAAAGACTGGGCATGGTGGTATGTGCTGTAGTCCCAGATGCCTAGGGGGCTGAGGTAGAAGGATCCTTTGAGTGCAAGAGTTCAAGACCAGCCTGGACAACCTAACAAGACCCTGTCCCTAAAAAACAACAAACAGTTTATGAAGAGATGAGTATAAAAATTGAGAATGCATATTTAGAAACATATTTAGCAATTTGTCAGAGTGATATTATACCTGTTTAAGCTAAGAATGAAAATTCAGCCTTATTGTTTGTATGTGTTTGTTTGTTTGTTTGTTTGTTTTTTTCATTTTTCTGGTAATTCTTTTTTTTTTTTTTTTTTTTGAGACTGAGTTTCACTCTTGTCACCGAGGCTGGAGTGCAGTGGCGCGATCTCAGCTCACTGCAACCTCCACCTCCTGTGTTTAAGTGATTCTCTAGTCTCAGCCTCCTGAGTAGCTGGGATTACAGGTGCCCGCCACCATGCCCGGCTAATTTTTGTATTTTACGTAGAGACAAGGTTTCACCATGTTGGCCAGGCTGGTCTCAAACTCCTGACCTTAGGTGATTTGCCCGCCTTGGCCTCCCAAAGTGCTATTACATGTGTGAGCCACTGCACCTGACCTGGTAATTCATTTTTATTGTGTTTTATACAAGTATCAGTCCATGATTGAAAAAAAAAGTACTTCAGTACAGTTAGTTTAAGACAAACTTCTCGGGTGCTTGCTAAGTACTTTATTTCTGATTTCATATTCAATCAGAATATTTGTATCTTCATTTGGGAAGTGAGTATATTTTACAATTTAATACCTTCCTTTTCTCAACTTCATTTTCAAGCATAAGTGTTTAACCAGTTTTATAAGTAAAAAGCTCTTGGCTCAACCTAAGTTGTTCCCTGAATTTAGATTCTTCTTGGCTTCAATTTAACCAGTGCCACCTCTATTTCTGTGCTTCCTTTTCCCAATGCTTTCCTAGATCTTAAATTCAAGAAAATATTGTTCAGGCAGGAAAATAGATTCCATTACTATCCAAAAGTAAAAAGTCATTTTTTGGAAAGGAGTTACATAATTAACTAACATTGTTTTAATTTCAATTCTGGACTCCATTGAGGCTTAGGGAGACTTTTGACACAGTGATTTTTAAAAGTAAGTTTTATTTTTATCAAAGCAATGTATGCAAATAGCTTAAAATGTCAAACACAAGACATAAGAAAAAGCAGGAGATATCAGCTCTATCTCTTCCTACGTGCCAGTTGAGCTTTCCAGAGGCTACCACTTTCTCTCTTTTTTTCGTTTTTTGTTTTTTTTTTTTGAGACAGAGACTCACTCTGTTGCCCAGGCTGGAATGCAGGGCGGGTTCAAGCAATTTTCCCACCTCAGCCTCCCAAGTAGCTGGAGCCACAGGCGCATGCCACCACGCCTGGCTAATTTTTGTATTTTTAGTAGAGAGAGGGTTTCACCATGTTGGCCAGGGTGGTCTCAAACTCCTGATCTCAAGTGATCTGCCCACCTTGGCCTCCCAAAGTGCTAGGATTACAGGCGTGAGCCACTGTACTGGTCCTTCTCACCTATTTTAGTTATGGCTACTGATACTTATCTCCATGTATTTTAAAAATTGGGATACAGTAATTCATATACCATACAATTCACCCTTTTGAAGTGTACAGTGCAGTGCATTATAGTATGCTGTGCAACCATCACCACAACCTAATTCCAGATCATTTCATCACCTCAGAAAGAAGCTCCTTCATTTGTTACAAAAGTAGTTTTTTTAAAAAAAGAAAAAGGCCAGGCGTGGTGGCTCACGTCTGTAATTCCAGAACTTTGGGAGGCTGAGACAGGTGGATTGCTTGAGGTCAGGAGTTTGAGGCCAGCCTGGGCAACATGGTGAAACTCTGTCTCTACTAAAAATCCAAAAATTAGGCGGACGCTGTGGCTCACGCCTGTAATCCCAGAACTTTGGGAGGCCGAGGTGGGTGGATCACCTGAGGTCAGGAGTTTGAGGCCAGCCTGGGCAACATGATGAAACCCTGTCTCTACTAAAAATACAAAAACTTAGCTGGGCATGGTGGCACATGCCTGTGATCCCAGCTACTCAGGAGACTGAGGTGGGAGAATCACATGAGCCCAGGAGATCAAGGCAGAGAGCTGATATCACACCTCTACAGCCAGGGAGAATGAGTGAGACCCTGTCTCAAAAAAAAAAAAAAAAAAAAAAAGGAAGAAAAGAAAAAAGAAAAGAAACGCTGCCCTAGGGCATTGTCCTTTTTGTGGTAGAAACAGGGCCTCAGGCTAGCGTATGCTTAAGCAGGAGAAAAGAGTAGTAAGGAGCAGTTGAGGAGCAAGAATGTGTTTGTGTCCATTCCTCCGGTAGAGCTTCCTTGTGTGGTCACACTTACCTGCAGTGAGCTGGCTGTGTGCTCCCAACCTGACATCCTACCTGCCTAGCTACAACTCAATTGTCGTGGAAGTCAGGAGAATGAATTTCGGTGGACAACGAGTAGCCGGGGAGGGCAAGGGAAGTTTTCGTGCGCCTGTCAGGTGGGTTCACCTGGACCAAGTCCGTTGTCGTCGGCCTTTTACCTTTGCCGCCGGCTCTCTGCCTGGTGTTTGTGAGCCCTAGGCCTCTTTCCAGGGTCAGTTTCACCAGAAAATAAACCTCCTATCTGCTTGGGAGGCTGAGACAAGAGAGTCGTTGTTTGCTGTGGGGGTGGAAACTAATTTAATGGTTCCTTATACAGATTTTTCCCTCAGTTATGCTATAAGCCTAATGCCTTATCTCCTCTAAACACTATCTGGTGCCTTCGTTCCTGAGCTTTGCCGAGATTCTTCTTGTAAAATCAGCTCATTTTATATTGGTTAGTGAGGCTTCCGCTTCCTAGACTCATTAAGTTAGTTATTATTTCTCCATGCACTTTGTTTCTTCTATTTGTCTTTGTGGGCATATGCCTTTTAAATTCTTCACTTCATTATAATAAGACTTTGGAGGGAGGAGAGATAAATGGATGTGTTCAGTCTGCCATTTTAAGCCAGAAGTACCAATTTGAAAAAGTGATTTCCATATGCCTTTCAAATTTAGGAGAGAGGTTTATATATGGAAGAGGAGCTATCCAAGAAAAGAGAAAGGAAATGCTTCAGATTACACAGAAATGGCTACAGTACACATAATATCATTAATTGCATTATTTTAAACTTACCAAAACTCCTTGAAATATGACTTTGAAAAGGACACATATTGAGTTTTGAACTAACATCACCTTTCATTTTCTTTTTTTTTTTTTGAGATGGAGTCTTGCTGTGTTGCCCAGCCTGGAGAACAGTGGCGCCATCTCCGCTCACTGCAACCTCTGCCTTCTGGGTTCAAGTGATTCTCCAACCTCAGCCTCCCGAGTAGCTGGGATTAAAGGTGCATGCCACCATGCCTGGCTAATTTTTGCATTTTTGATAGAGACGGGGTTTCACCATGTTGGCCAGGCTGGTCTCAAACTCCTGACCTCAAATGATCCGCCTGCCTCAGCCTCCCAAAGTGCTGGGATTACAGGTGTGAGCCACCACACCTGGCCTATTTTCTCTTGTAAGTAGGGGCTGGCAAACTTTTCTATAAAGAGCTCTATAGTAAGTATTTTTGTTTTGGTGGGGCCCTAGATTCTCTATTAGTACTCAATTCTGCAGATTTATAAAACCAGCATGGACAATGTGTAAACGAAAGAGCATAGCTAAATTTCAAAAGCCCTTTATTTACGAAAACAGGCAGCAGACCAGATTTGATTCGCTGACCTCTGCTTTATTTTTTATTTATTTATTTTTGTGACCTCTGCTTTTTTTTTTTTTTTTTTTTTGATAGAGTCTCGCACTGTCACCCAGGCTGGTGTGCAGTGGTGAGATCTTGGCTCGCTGCAACCTCCACCTCCCGGGTTCAAGTGAGTTCCTGCCTCAGCCTCCTGAGTAGCTGGGACTACAGGTGCGCACTACCATGCCCGGGTAATTTTTGTATTTTTAGTAGAGATGGGGTTTCACTATGTTGGCCAGGCTGGTCTAGAACTCCTGACCTTGTGATCCACCTGCCTCGGCCTCCCAAAGTGCTGGGATTACAGGCCTGAGCCACCATGCCCGGCTGACCTCTGCTTTAAAGCATTGAAATCTATGTTTGCAGACATTGTCATGTCTTCTACTTGTCTTGACTGTTTAATTTCTAATGAAAGGTTGATCACCTGCCTCCAGAGTTGGTGTTGTACATCTTGAGTGGACCATCAATAGTCCAAGATGACATTTTAAAGCTCAAAATTAAGAAAGTAGAGCTACTAGAGAACAGAGAGAAAGCCTATAAAAGTCAATTGATGGTTAAAGATGGAGGGCAAAATCAGCAACGTAATGATCTTTTTCATTTTACCAGAAATCTTCCCATTCTTAGCTGAACATCAGAGACTTCTGTTCTACCCTAGGTAGAACCCTTCTGCTTGATCTCCAACTGTGCCTTTGTGTTTCCCAAAATGTGCTCCACTGATGTGCTTCCTGCCAAAAAGTTCCTACGGTCAAATGGGCCTGGGGTATAGAACAGATCCAATCCCTTTCTTGCAAACTTCACTTATATTGGCAGAAGATTTTGAGAAGTTCTGCAATCAAAAAAAAAAAACTTCTTATTTTATTTTCATAAAGACAGGGTGTTACTGTCACACAGGCTGAAGTGCAGTGGTGCACTGCAACCTCCAACTCCTGGGCCCAAGCAATCCTCCCACCTCAGCCTTCCGAGTAGCCGGGATTGCAGGCATGCGCTACCATGCCCAGCTAATTTTTAAACTTTTTGTAGAGATGGGGTGTTATTCTGTTGCTCGGGCTGATCTCTAACTCCTGGGCCCAAAGGATCCTCTCTCCTCAGCTTCCCAACATGTTGGGATTACAGGCATGAGCCACTGCACCAGGCCAAGCTTCTTTAACTTTGTTGAATTCACAGCTTCTTGGATGTATTTAATTAAAGAATTCTTTACTGACATAACATCTATTAATGTTCAGTGTAATGATTCCATGGAATTATGCTACATGATGTTCTGGATCAGTCTTGCTTATTATCTAGGATTTGGGAATCCATAGGTTAAAATTTTCCATGCTTAATATTGCTAGCCCTGTCTTTAGACTGGTTCTGGCTTTGTGTTCTCATTTTAGAGGATCCAAGGATAATTCTGACAGTATTCATTGACCCTGTCTCTAAAGGAAGTGCTGGGAAAATTGTGACCTGATAGGATCTAGTGACGAGTATTTTAATTCCTTATAAGAAGTGGGAGACAGACACTCACTAGAAGAAGTGGAAAAGTGGCACCAACATGGGAGTGAAACAGCAAAGACTAGACCATTTCTGTTTTCCTTTTTTGGAGACAGGGTTGCTCTATTGTTCAGGTTGGAGTGCAGTGGCACGATCAGGGCTCACTGTAGCCTCAACTTCCCGGGCTCCAGCAATCTTCCTGCCTCAGTCCCCCAAGTAGCTAGGACTACAGGCATGCACCACCACACTGGGCTAATTTTTTTTTTAATTTAGTAGAGATGAGGTCTCGCTATGTCGCCCAGGCTGGTCTCAAACTCCTGGGCTCATGTGGTCCTCCCTCCTTGGCCTCCCAAAGTGCTGGGATTATAAGCATGAGCCACTGTGTCCAGCCTCTAGACCATTTCTAAGGTAAGGGTATTGAGAAACTACCAACTAGCTTAAGGGAATTGACTGAGCTTGACGGCCCAAAGACAATATGCGTAGTGTTCTGGGTTGTCTGTTCACAAAAGCCCCAGCAAAGGGGCTCTGTCTTAGTAAATTTGGGCTGCTATAACAAAATACCTTAGACTGGCTGGGCACAGTGGCTCATGCCTGTGATTCCAGCACTTTGAGTGGCTGAGGTGGGTAGATCACTTGAGCTCAAGAGTTTAAGACCAGCCCGGGCAAGATGACAAGACCCTGCCTCAACTAAAAAAAAAAAAAAAAAAAAAAAATTAGCTGGGTGTGGTGGCATGCACCTGTGGTCCCAGCTATGCGGGAGGCTGAGGTGGGAGGACTGCTTGAGCCCAGGAGGTTGAGGCTGCATTGAGCTGTGTTCGTGCAACTGCATTCCAGTCTGGGCAACAGAGCAAGACCCTGTCTCAAAACAAAACAAAATACCGTAGACTGTGCATGTTCTGCTCACTCCTTTTCTCTAGGCACAAAGGTGAGGCTTACTCAGCAACACTTGTACCTAAAGATCTGTGACTACCTAGAGAGGTACTTTTAAAAAAATTTTCACAAACACACTGTATAACATAGTGGTGATCTGGCCAGAGTGACTTTGGAAAAGTCAAGGGTATACTTCTTAGTGCAGTTCCAAGCAAATTAGGGAGCTAGGAGCAGAGGTCCCCAAAAGGTTAGAACAACTCTGAGAAGGTATCATAAACTCAATTCAAACTAAGCAAAGGTTGGTGGTTAAAGCTGGAGTAGAGGAGGAAAGGAAAAGAGTGGGTCAACATACAAGACTTGAGGTAGCCGTGGTTTTATTGTTCACGGATGTCTGGGACAACACTGAAGTGATGATATCCTTAGAGGAGAGGAAGAGAGTAGGCTGGGTTCAGCCCTAGGCATAGAGGCCAGCAGGTCCTAGATAGGAGAAAGTTGTATATTAGATATTTAAAAATGGTGTGTGTGTGTGATATACCTTTGTAACAGACCTGTATGTATACCCCCGATTCTAAAATAAAAGTTGAAAAGGAAAAAAGAGAGGCCGGGCACAGTGGCTCACTCCTGTAATCTCAGCACTTTGGGAGGCTGAGGTGGGTGGATCACGAGGTCAGGAGTTCGAGACCAGCCTGGCCAACATGGTGAAACCCAGTCTCTACTAAAAATACAAAAATTAGCTGGGTGTGGTGGCGGGCACCTGTAATCCCAGCTACTTGGGAGGCAGAGAGAGGAGAACTGCTTGAACCTGGGAGGTGTAGGTTGCAGTGAGCCGAGATTGCACCACTGCACTCCAGCCTGGGTGACAGAGCAAGACTCTGTCTCAAAAAAAAAAAAAAAAAAAAAAAAAAGGAAAAAAGAAATGGTATGTGGTGTGTGTGTGTGTGTGTGTGTGTTTGTGTGTGTGTGTGTGTGTTGGAGAGCAGTCAACAGGATGCAGAAAGCAACAATTCCAGGAACTTTGATGACGGGGCAGACAAGTAGATTGGCTACACACAGTGGCAGTGATACAGAGAGACTAGAGACAATATCTGAACACACCAGCAGGCTGCACTGCCACTGGCAGGCATGTTTGTTCAATGAGAAAATGAATGAAGGGCTCAGGCCTGCAGATGATGCTGGGGTAGGGCTGGGAGAGGAAGGAACAAACCCTGCTCTGGGTACTGAGCACTCTGACACTAGTAGCCTGGCCCGACCTTGTCAGACAGCCTTCCGTTGGTCCCTCCCTAGGCCATTTCCCCACTGAGATCATGGCCCACTTCCAGCTACAGCATGTCCCAGAAACAGGCCATGACTAAATGTTACATATTGCATGTTACTGCCTGGGAGTTTCCTCCAGCTTCCAACTTACTCCTTCATCTCGGCTGCTACCGCAACTACTGACTGTTTTAACTTGCCTAAAGCATCCCCCTTGACCTGGGAAGGAGAATAGACTAGAAAAGACTAGTAAGGCCTGTTCCACTTCAATCTGGTGTTTGTAATCTCTGCAGTGCAGGTGTGCCTATCTGTCTTCAGCACAAGAAAGGTGTTAAATGAATTAAGCCAGCTGAGATGATTCATGCAGAAAAGCGTAGGTACCAATGGAAGGAAATTTTCTATGTCACCTTTATATTAACATAGGAGCAATATGGTGAAAAGACAAGGTGATATGTTTCAGAGAATGTGTGGAGGTATTTTTTGTTTTTTTTGTTTTTGTTTTTTGTTTTTGTTTTTCAGACACAGTTTCACTCTGTCACCCAGGCTGGCATGCTGTGGCATGATCTCCGTGCACTGCAACCTCTGCCTCCCGGATTCAAGCGATTCTTCTGCCTCAGCCTCCTGAGTAGCTGGGATTACAGGCGTCTGCTACCACGGCCAGCTAATTTTTGTGTTATTAGTAGAGATGGGGTTTCACCATGTGGGCCAGGCTGGTCACGAACTCCTGACCTCAAATGATCCGCCTGCCTTGGCCTCCCAAGGTGCTGGGATTACAGGAAAATGTGTGGAGTTTTAAATGTGATTCTAAGATCCTCTGACGTGCCTTCCACGGAAAGAAAGGATCAGGTGCCCTCCCCTTGAATCTGGACTGTGTGATTTGACCAGTAGAATATGGGCAGAATTCAAAGCATATTTGAATTCTGGGCCACGCTTTAAGAAAGTAGTGACTTTTACTTCTGGTTTCTTGGAACCCAGCCACCATGCTGTGAGGGGGCCAAACTCAGGGTTTGTTCCTTCCTCTCTCAGCCCTACCCCAGCAACATCTGCAGGTACATAGAAAAGCCACATGTGGGTGTTCTGGTTGACAGCCCCAGCTGCGGTCCCAGTGGAAAACCATCATCAACTATAGATGAGTGAGTCCTTACATGATTTGGGCTCCCAGCCTTTGAGGTGCCCTTAGCTGATACTGCATGGGGCAGAGACAGGATACTGAGCCCTGCCTGAACTAAATAAATTGTTGCTTGAAGCTGCTACATTTTGGGGTGCCATATTACACTGCAATATGTCTCAAATTCAGAATGCTATTGACAATTAGCCAAGAAAAGAAAGAATGAGAAGCAACAATTCCAGGAACTTGGGATGAAGGGACAGATAAATATTAATAGATTGGCCACACACAATGGCAGTGATACAGAGAGACTACAGAAAATTGTTCAGATATTGTCTGTAGTTTCTCTGTATCACTGCATTGTGTGTGGCCAATCTACTTGTCTGCCCCTTTATCCTCAGTTCCTGGAATTCTGGAATTGTTCCTCTTCAATACAGGTATACATAGCTGAAATTTTTAGTTTTTTTCCTCCTTTATAATTGGCAAGAGAAAAACAATGTTTTATGAAGTTTATAATGAAGTCTTTTGGAAAAGTTATTGGAAAGGAAAGATGAAGTGATTGCTAAGATGATGTCTGTCAAAACAGTCACAATTAAGAAGTGTTTAAAGAAGTCATTGTACTTGTTTAAAAAGCAATACTTGCCATCTTTCCCTTCTCCCCTAGCCCCCTCCTCCTTCTCTTGTGTGCAGAGATGTCACAAATTTATTTCCACTGCAAGGACATTCAAATAATAACTAACAAGTTACACTTCTAGGTTTTGTTACATATATAATATATTTGTATAGTTCAAAGAAAAGTATTCGATATTTAAGGTAAACAGGGTGGAATAAAACCAGGTTCTAGAACCTTTCCCACTCCTAAAAACTAATGAAATAAAATCTTATTTTCTCCAGAAGCCCATTAGACTGGGCAAAGCTAAGCTAATAGAGGATCTGGGTACAGTTTCCCAGATTAAATATGAACAAAATAAGAATAAATTATGTTAAAATTATGCCATTATTCGGGCGGATTACAAGGTCAGGAGATCGAGACCTTCCTGGCTAACACTGTGAAACTAAAAATACAAAAAAATTAGCCGGGCGTGGTGGCAGGTGCCTGTAGTCCCAGCTACTAGGGAGGCTGAGGCAGGAGAATGGCGTGAACCTGGGAGGCGGAGCTTGCAGTGAGCCGAGATGGCGCCACTGCACTCCAGCCTGGGTGACACAGCAAGACTCCATCTCAAAATAAAAATAAAAATAAAAAAATTATGCCACTATTATAGCTAAATAAACAAATAAATGGAACACTGTATTCAAAAGATAAAGGAAGAACTCAAGTTAGAAGAAAAATACCTCATGGAACAGAAGACTATTTCTATGAAGGCTTTGCACTACAGAAAAATGTAACATATTTTTCTGATGGGTTTTCTAATGGATGCCATTTTACTCATCCTGAGTCTTGGGAGTATAATAGCTTCCTCCATCTCCACAACTCCTAGATGGAGCAGCCACCCCGCTATTGATGCTCCCCTTGTGTCTGAACCTATTTCCCAGCTCCACCAATTCTACAGTAGTGTAATCCCACATCGTGGTGTGCTGCAGTCTTTCAGGTGGGGGCAATTCTTGGGGGCTCCCCACTGTGGCTGCAATTGGTTCACTTTTATCTTGTTGGTGACCACTGGATGCACAGAGAGGATGGGAACCTCTATGGGCTTGTCCCAGTCCTCACTCTCCTCCCCACTAGAGCTCTCCATGGGGTCCCAGGATGACTTAGTCATGAAAGCCCTGACTCATTGACGTGGCAGCTGACGTCTCTTCAAACGGGCTACCTGACAAGGACATGCCAAGGTTTGTAGAATCTGTATATTCTGTTAAAAAACCTTCAACTTACAGATGATAAAACACAGATTGAGTTGAAAGGGCAGACTGTAAAGCTATCTTGTCTTGTATTTTAATTAAGAATGAAATCAAGACTTAAATGATGCCATTACAAATTTAAGGAAAAAATTAGAATCAAAATACTAGATAGACTGGCTGACAACCAAATTTCTGGCATGGTGGAAAATGCGAATATCCCCAAGAAAAAAAAATTCAGAGACAAGATGATAGTTATAGAGAAAAAAGAAAAGTCATTACAAGCATAATTGGGTCCCTATTATTTACTTATTTATTTTTTTGAGATAGGGCCTTACTCTGAGGCTGGAGCGCAGTGGCATGATCATGACTCACTGCAGCCTTCAACTCCTGGGCTCAAGAGACCCTCCCACCTCAGCCCGAGTAGCTGGAACTACAGGTGTGCACCATCATGCTCGGCAAATTTTTCTTTTTATTCTTTGTATATATTTTTAATTTAATTTTATTCTTTAGAGACAGAGTCTCGCTCTATCACCCAGGCTGGAGTGCAGTGGTACCATCACAGTTCACTGCAGCCTTGACATCCCAGGCTCAAGTGATCCTCCCACCTCAGCCTCCTGAGTAGCTGGGACTGCAGGTGCATGCCACCATGCCCAGATAATTAAAAACTTTTTGTTTTTTGTAGAGACAGGGTCTCATTATGTTGACCAGGCTGGTTTTGAACTCCTGGCCTCAAGTGATCCCCCTACCTTGGCCTCCCAAAGTGCTGGGATTACGGATATGAGCCACCACACCCAGTTCCTATTATTTGTATTCAAAAAAAATTATTTAACACCATGTGCCATAAGACTTAAAAGAGGACAGGCACTGTGGCTCACACTTTGGGAGGTCAAGACAGGAGGACCACTTGAGCTTGGGATTTCAAGACTAGCCTGGGCAACTTAGTGAGACCTCGTCTCTACTAAAAATTAAAAAAATTAGCCAGGCATGGTGGCACGTGCCTGTAGTCCCAGCTACTTGGGAGGTTGGGGAGGGAGGATCACCTGAGCCTAGGAGGTCAATACTGCAGTGAGCCATGATTGTGCCACTGGACTCCAGTCTGGGCAACAGAGCAAGACCCTGTCTCAGGGGGATAAAAAAAAAGACTTAAAAAAGAATCTTTCCATACTTCATTAAGTATATTTTTGTTTCCTTATTTTTTTTCTTATTAGTTGAGAGTTTTCTTTTTTAATTGATACATGGTATCTGTACATGTATATGGAGTACATGTAATATTTCGATACATACATACAATGTATAGTGATCAATCATGGTAATTGGGATATCCATTACCTCAGACATTTATCATTTCTTTGTATTGAGAACATTTCAGATCTTCTCTGCTAGCTATTTTAAAATGTATAATAAATTATTTTTAACTATAGCCACCCCACTGTGCTATTGAACACTAGAACTTATTCATTCTATCTAACTGTATGTTTGTACCCATTAACCAATCCCTCTTCATTTCCCCCACTCACCCTTCCCAGCCTCTGGTAACCATCATTCTACTCTTTATCTCCATGAGATCAGCTTTTTTAGCTCTCACATATGAGTGAGAACATGTGATATTTGTCTTTCTGTGTCTGGCTTATTTCACTTAGCATAATATCCTTGATTCATATATTTTGTCTTAATGGGTAGGATCTCTTTTTATAAGGCTGAATAATATTCCATTATACCCATTTATTTGTCGGTTCATCCACTGATGAACACTTAGGTTGATTCCATATCTTGGCTATTATGAATAGTGCTGCAATGAACATGGGGGTACAGATATCTCTTCGCTATACTGATTTTCTTTTCTTTGGATAAATATGCAGTAGTGGTTGCTGGGTTGTATGGCAGTTCTATTTTTAGTTGTTTGAGAAACTTCCATACAGTTTTTCATAACGGCTGTACTAATTTACATTCCCACTGTCAGTGTACAAGAGTTTCCTTTTCTCTGCATCTTGGCCAGCATTTATCTTTTGTCTTTTTGATAACAGTCATTCTAACTGGGGTAAGATGATAGCTCATTGTGGTTTTGATTTGCATTTTCCAGATGATTAGTAATTTTGAGCATTTTTTCATATACCTGCTTGTTTCTTATATATAATTGATTACCTTTTTTTTTCTTTTGAGACAGGTTCTCTCTCTGTTGCCCAGGCTAGAGTGCAGTGGTGTGATCATGGCTCACTGCAGCCTTGAGCTCCAGGGCTCAAGTGGTCCTCCCACCTCAGCCTCCCAAGTAGCAGGGACTACAGAAATGCACCACCACACTCGGCTAATTTTTTATTTTTTGTAGAGACAGGATTTGGCCATGTTGTCCAGGCTGGTCTTGAACTCCTGGCCTCAAGCGATCCTCCTGCCTCTGTCTCTCAAAATGCTGGGGTCACAGGCACAAGCCACAGCACCTAGCCCACTTTGTAAAATATATTTCTACTGTTTTTTAGCAGCGTTTTAGGTGGCTAATACCTTAATAATTATTTTGACATTATTATGAAAACAAGTTGAGTTTCAAGCAATACTTTTATTACTGAACACATAAATATATTGGGAATTTTCAAAATGTTTTTTTTTTATTTGAGACGAAGTCTCACTCTGTTGCCCAGGCTGGAGTGCAGTGGAGCTATCTCAGCTCACTGCAAACTCCGCCTCACGGGTTCAAGCGATTCTCTTGCCTCAACCTCCCAAGTAGCTGGGACTACAGGCGTGTGCCACCACGCCTGGCTAATTTTTTTGTATTTTTGGTAGAGACAGGGTTTCACCATGTTGGCCAGGACAGTCTCGATCTCTTGACCTCATGATCTGCCTGCCTCGGCCTCCTAAAGTGCTGGGATTACAGGCGTGAGCCACCGCGCCCGGCCTCAGAATGCTATTCTAATAAAGTACAGTGTTTGGAAGTGCTTATTTCATGCATTTGTTATTCATTCATTCCCCTGTAAGTTCCATGAGGACAAAGATTTTGCAGATTTTTTTCGTTGCTACACATCCCTAGGCCAAGAATAGTACTTGGCCCATAGTGGGTATTCAGTAAATGTTGGTCAAATTTGCTAATCCCTTCATTTGACAAGCATTTAGTGAGCACTGTGCTAAGTCCCAGAGAAACAAAGAAGAGAAAGTCATTGTTGTTGCCTTCAAGGAGCTTAAGATATAGTAGAAGAAACACATAAATAGTGTGTAGTGATAAAAATAAATTCAGGGCCATGCAGTGGCTCATTCCTGTAATGCCAGCACTTTGGGAGGCCGAGGAGGGCAGATAACTTGAGGCCCGGAGTTCAAGACCAGTCTGGGCAACATGGCAAAACAAACTGTCTCTACCAAAAATACAAAAATTAGCCAAGCCTGATGGCACATGCCTGTAATCCCAGCTACTCAGAAGGCTGAGGCATGAGAATCGCTTGCACCCTGCAGGCAGAGGTTGCAGTGAACCAAGATTGTACCACTGTACTCTAACCTGGGCGAGAGCAAGAACTCTGTCTCAAAAAAAGAATTTAAAAAAATTCAGATATCATCAATAAAGGAGGGTAACTTCTATGGTGGGTGCTGGGGGCTAGATGAATTTTACAGGAAAATAAATGTCAAGAAAAGGGCATCATAATATAAGATATAATATAAGAAAGAAGAGGACATAGAAGGAAACTGGAGTTTGTGATTCTGGAATCTGTCCCATTCAAACTGCTCAAATCCGATAATGGTGAATTTGAAAGCATTATCTTTTTCCTGATGCTTGAACATTTCACTGCAATGGTGACTGGTAAAAATGTGTTGATAAAACAGACGCTTTTTAAAAAAAAATTTAATTTTAAATTTATTTTTAATTAAATGGAGGTGGGGTCTCACTTTACTGCCCACGCTGGTTTCAAACCCCTGGTTTCAAGAGATCCTCCCTCTTTGGCTTTTCAAAGTGCTGGGATTACAGGCATGAGCCACTGCGCCTGGCCTCATTTGCTTTAATCAGCTGCCTATTAATAGGCCCACTGTTCTTTATTTATTTATATTTTTTGATACAGGGTCTTTCTTTGTGGCCCTGGCTGGAGTGCAGTAGTGTGATCTCAGCTCACTCCAACCTCTGCCTCCCAGGCTCAAGTGATCCTCCCACCTCAGCCTCCTGAGTAGCTGGGACTACAAGCACGCACCACCACGCCCAGGTAGTTTTTCTAATTTTAGTAGAGATGGGGTTTTTGCCATTTTGCCCAGGCTGGTCTCGAACTCCTGACTTCAGGTGATACGCTAGCCTCCCAAAGTGCTGGGATTATAGACGTGAGCCACCACAGCCGGCTGGCCCACCGCTCTTTAAATATTCATTATTTTCAACTCCTATACAAATATTTTATTTTAAAGTAAATCCTAAAATGATTGTAGAGTGATGTGTGGATTTCCATGTCACTCAGGTGATTTCATGTACTGATACTATATACCTTGAGCAACTGAAAGTGCTGATTCAATTAAAAAACAATTTCCTTTCTGATAATTGTGACTTAGAAAAATTCATTCTATTTGGGGTTTACCAATGACTGAAAATCAGTTATGAGGAACAGTTACGGGAGGGATAAAGTTTTCAATTAACTTTAAGGATCTGAATCAAAGAGAATGAAATCTGACCACCCCAGAGTTCTTTCCAAAAGTATAAACTCATCCATTTATACCAAAGGATTTACCGTCCACCTACTTGCTGTTGGATGCTGGGACTACAGATATGCATGAGACACAGAGCCTGCCCTTCAACAATGCAATGTTTGGTAGATACAGACAGGCTAAAAAAAAAAATTCTAACATACCTACAATATCAGAGAAGAGAGGTACAAGAGAAGAGCACTCGCCTGCTCAGAGGAGTGTTAGAGAATGCCTCTCAAGGAGGTGATTTTTTTTCTTTTTTTTCTTGAGATGGAGTCTTGCTCTGCTGCCCAGGCTAGAGTGCAGTGGCTCGAACTCAGCTCACTGCAACCTCTGCCTCCCGAGTTCAAGCAATTCTCCTGCCTCAGCCTCCCAAGTAGCTGGGATTACAGGTGTGTGCCACCACGCCCAGCTAATTTTTGTATTTTTAGTAGAGATGGAGTTTCACCATGTTGGCCAGGCTGGTCTCAAACTCGTGACCTCGTGGTCTGCCCGCTTCGGCCTCCCGAAGTGCTGAGGTTACAGGTGTGAGCCACCACACCCGGCCAAGAAGGTGATTTTTGAATGCCGTGAAAGATTATTTGTTCACCAGGCGAGAGAAGGGTAGCCTGAAGGGAGAGAGAATAGCCTATGGAAAGACACAGAGGTAGGCAGCTTGACCCTTGGTATGGCTGGTGGGAAAGTAAGGTATTCATTCAAAATATTCAACAATTTCTGGTCAACTTCTTTCAGTCAATGATGGACAGGTGGACTGCATATACAACGGTGGTCCCATAAGATTATACAGTTCTTTAAGCCGGGCGCCTGCAATCCCAGCACTTTGGGAGGCCGAGGTGGTGGGGAGGGGCGGGGGGGGGGGGGGCCGGCGGGGAATCACTTGAGGTCAAGAGTTCGAGACCAGCGTGGCCAACATGGTCAAACCCCGTCTCTACTAAAAATACAAAAATTAGCTGGACGTGGTGGCATGTGCCTGTAATCCCAGCTACCAGGGAGGCTGAGGCAGGAAAATTGCTTGAACTCGGGAGGTGGAGGTTGCAGTGAGCTGAGATTGTGCTACTGCATTTCAGCCTGGGTGACAGAGCGAGACTTCGTCTCAAAAAAAAAAAAGATTATATAGTTCTTTTACTGTAGGTTTTCTGTTTAGGTACAAATACCCTTGTGTTGCAAAATTGCCTACAGTATTAGTACAGTAACACACTGTACAGGTTTGCAGCCTAGGCGCAATAGCTATATACCATATAGCCAAAGCAAGTAGTTGGCTAGACTACCTAGGTTTGCGTAAGAACACGCTATGATGTGCGCAAAACAACAAAAATCGCTTAATGACACGTTCCTCAGAACATATCCTTGTGGCTAGGTAAGGCATGACTGTATTAGAATGCTGACTGGGTGCGTAAGCCGCTAGAAGGAGCACAGCAAATTTAGGGAGGATGCAACATGTTAAATCCGAGGGAACTGGCAGAGGTGAAAAGGGGGGAAAGGAGCATAGGAAAGAGTTCTGGGAGGAAAAATATAGCTGTAGCTAACATTGTACCAGGAGAGGTACTACATACCCGGTCCTATTTAAAGGGCTTCATATGTATTGTCACATTTAAATACGAACTATCTATCACATGTAGTCTCCTCTTGATGCACAGGATAAGTAACATGCCCGTGGTCTCCTCACCAGTTAGCAAGCGGATATCCAGCCTTGGTTATCTGACTCTGGCGCCCTTGCGGTTAACCAGGACACACACTACCTTCCCAGGTGCAGACATGAGATTGGTTTTAGATGATGACTGAAATCACCGGCCTGGGAGACATTTCTCAGTCAGAGAAGTGACACTGGGAAGAAACCCTAGAAATAACGTTGCAAACGAGTAAGTTTGTGAAAACACACTAATAGTTCTATTTCGAAATTTCTTTGTCAGATTATTTTTGGTGCCGGTTACTAAACGAAGTGTTCAGTTTCATTGAGCTTAACTGGGTTGAAGTTATCTAGACAAAAGTAATCCACATCAAAACCAGGACGAATTAAGACGTAATTTCTGTTTTCTGGCACTCTTGCCTCATAAATCTAGGATTCAGGGCATTGTTTTCAATGGTTCTCATTTTTGGCTCCAAGGATTCTTTTTCATGTGACTAATATTTTCGGTAGAAGAGGAGGTCTGGCCACGCCGCGGGTCTTGGCGAGCAGGTGATCACGGATCCCTGGTGTTTGCTGGGCGAGACGGTGAAGCAACCTCCTCCCCGCCCCCTCCCCCGTCTAGAAAGGTGCAAGATCCGCTAAACCGTGCGTTGCACAGCGGCGGCCGGAGCAGACGCGGGATGGTCGCGCGTCCCCTGCACAGCACAGAGGGGCAGCCGGAGAGCCTGGGAAAGGTACGAGCGGGGAATCAGAGCACAGGGTGCGGACCAGAAAGAGCAGACGGTCAGTCGGGCGGGGAAGGAAGTTGCCGAGTTGCAGGTGTGGAAGGGGCTGCCCCAGGCCCACCCTTGGCAGACGAGGGGGCGGGGAGTCGCGCCGGGGACGAGGAGACTGCGGACCGGGCGCGCTCCTTGCGCAGTCGCTCGCCCGCGTGCCCAAGCCCCCCGGGAATGGCCCTCGCCCAGGGGCCCAGCTCGCCGCCGCTAGCCCCGCAGAGCCTGCAGCTGCTGGGGCCCGGCAGCCGCCAGGGGGCGGGAGCTGCGTCGCGAACAATGGCCGCGCTTGGTCGCGGGCCGGCGGGAGGCGGAGTGGAGGTAGAGCCGGTGCCGGGCGCGCGCGCCGGCCGGGCGTGCTGGGGCGCGGGAGCGGCTGCGCAGGCGGGGGCGCGCGGCGCGAGCGCGGGAGGGCGCGGCGGGAGCGCCGGGGAGGCGGGCGGAGGCGGGCGGAGGCGGGGGGCGGGGAGCCCGAGGGGTGGAAGCCGGCGGCGGCCGAGCGGGGTCAGTTCTCTGTAGTGTTTGCCAATGTTGGAGCCGTCTGCAAAGTGTCCCCGGCAAGAAGGTAAATACCCTCATCGGGGGCGTCCGGGAGACCCCGACTTCCGCGCCGCCGGCGAAGAAGGCAGAGGGCGCTGGGGAGCCCTGCAGTTCCGCAGCACGGGGAACCCGGAGAAAAGCAGCCCCCTTCGCGGCCTCCCCTCCCCCGCGCCTTCCCTCCCACATCGGGCTCTCGGGGCAGCAGCGGGGAGGGGAGACCGGCGGGGGAGGGAGGACAGGGAGGCGAAGGAATTGGGGTGGGGGGTGCGTGTGTGGTGGAGGGGGTGGGACGACACAGGTGTCCTGAGGGGAGGAGCCGGGAGGAAGGCGAGGAGGCCGGGCCAAGTGGGGGTGCGGAGGTCGGGGAGACAGGAACGCGGCTGCGGGCGCGGGAGGCTGGGGTTCTAGGGGGCCGGGGTGGTAGCGGCCGGAAGAGAGGACGGCGAGTGCAGCCACGGTGTGGCTGCGAGGGAGAGGGAGCGCCTAGAGTAGGGCAGGGGAGGGCGGCCCGGGGAGGGTCTGCGGGAAATGGGCCTGGGGGCGCTGGAGGCGGAGCGGCGGGGCCGGGGCGCGCCGGAGGGTGGCGGCGGCAGCTATTTCTGTAGAATGGGCTAGTGGTAAAGACGTAACTTGCCGAAATGGGGAGGGTAGGTGGGGCCGAGGGGACAAAATATATCCTATGACAGGCAAGTTCTGCTGTGGCTGTTACGAACTCCTACCGTGATGGCTCGGCTTAAAGGGGTAGTTGGCGGTAGTGACCTTGCCGGGGTGAAGGGAGTTGGGCGAGGAGACAAAGCTCAGTTACGGAATCCGCTGTGTGAGAGCAGGAACTCTAGTCTCTTCGGGGTCGAGCCGGGGGCTGTGGCTTGGGGGCTGGGGGTGCTCCGCAGAGGCCATTGAGAAGCACGCCACTCTGGGATTCTTAGGGAGGCGGTGGGGGTAATGGCCGTGGGATTCTGGAAGTCTTTGGAAATGTGTGTAGAATTTTGCATTTGTGAATAATTTTCTTTGGTAAGGGTCCATATTTGCTGTGATGTCCCCTTACCCCCATCCCCACTCCAAAGGGTTAAGAACTGCTTGAGCAGATAGAGAGGGACCATTCAATTAGGGTAGACCTGGGAATTTACCAAAGGATTTTAAAGTGGGTGGATCCTGCAGAAAGAAAGGCTAGAGATGATCCTTTAAAGATATTTTACTGTTAATTGAAAACGTTTTTTATTTAATGTTTGCTTTCACAATTTTGGTGAACTTTTGCTGAGCATTACTTGGCTTCTGATGCATCCTGTGTTTCAGACCAGCATCGTGAATACTTGAAATCAAAATTGTGATGGACAGGCAGGGTGATAGTAACCTTGGAGGAGAAAAGATTTCAACATTTCTCCAGGATATTTCTTCCCCGTCCTTGCTTTCTTTAGATGATTCAAGTACACTGTTGTGAACTCAGCTGCGGTGGAAAAATCTTATTTAATAAAACTACCAAAACCAAGACTTACTCTCCATCTCTGTTTTGTAGTATGGCCAGATTTTCATTGTTCAGTTTGTATCTTACTGCAAACAAGAGATATCACATAACACTTTAATTGTAGATTGCTGCATTTTGCAGCAGGCCTGTATTAAATTTGCGAAGCAGTTATGCCAAACTATCTGGTGTGTTTGTGTTTTCCTGCTATGGTTTCAAGTCAAGTCACTATTGCCATATTTTATTATATGGTAGGCTAGTCTGAAATTTATTCCTAAGTGATGATAAGTTGGTAGGATATGGTACATACTTGCTCACAAATTACTGCATTTTTCCCCATAAAAACCAGTGTTTTGTATTTGTAAGAATGTTGCTGTGTAATCCAAGTATGTATTGTTAATTTCAAATAAAATGCTGTGTAATTTTTAAATTTTAACTTTATTTGGAAATAATTTCAAGCTTACAGACAAATGGCAAGAATAAGAATAATACAAAGAAAATCTTTGTAACCTTTATTCAGATTCACCTGTTAACATTTTATGTATTTATTATTTGCTCTCTATCACACACAAAATATTTTTCCCCTGGACCATTTAAGGGTAAGTTACATACATTGTGATCCTTAACTCCTAAATACTTGAGCTTGGAAAACCATGCAAATTTTACATTTTAGCTTACTTGGCTTGTCTGGAATGAAGTGCTAGGAAGAGTGGCTTGGTTTGCTTTTCAACAAATAGTATGAATATAAAAAAAATCTAAGATAGTCATCAAGCTTTTAAATATACAAACAATCCAGAAATCGAGGCAGAGCGGTTTTCCTGTTTAGGTTCTAGAAGATATGGTAGGTTTTTTTTTTTTTTTCCTTTGTGCCTACCCTTCTCTTTATTCCTATTATTATCTTGTTTTGTGCACGTTCAGTGCTGGGAATCTGATCATTTATAGGTACAGATCATAATAAAGAGGGAAAACTCTAGATACTGCAAAATTGAATTCTCTTAGACTGCATAGTTTGAGACACGCACAGTATGATTATTCACATATAGATATATTTGTGCCTCTTATAGGTACACAAAATACTAGATGTCTAGAATCAGTAATAATTATCATTTTTATTTATGTGTGCATCGTTTGATTTTAAATAATCCTCCCCAAGTTCTATATAGGAGCTTTGCCATTATGTTGTCCTAGAGGTCAAGCCCTTGACTTTGTTCCAGGAAAAATTATAAGAAGGCAAATCTTTTATTTTTCACCAAGCTGATCATAGAAAATAAAAAAAATTGGCCAGGTGGGGTGGCTCATGCCTGTAATCCCAGCACTTTGGGAGGCCGAGGCAGGTGGATCAGGAGGTCAGGAGTTCGAGACCAGCCTGGCCAACATGGTGAAACCCCGTCTCTACTAAAAATACAAAAATTAGCTGGGTGTGGTGGTGCGCGCCTGTAATCCCAGCTACTCGGGAGGCTGAGGCAGGAGAATCGCTTGAACCCGGGAGGCAGAGGTTGCAGTGAGCTGAGATGGCGCCATTGCACTCCAGCCTGGGTGACAGAGTGAGACTCAGTCTCAAAAAAAAAAAAAAATGTCCGGGCATGGTGGCTCATGCTTGTAATCCCAGCACTTTGGGAGGCCGAGGTGGGTGAATCACCTGAGGGTTGGGGGTTCGAGACCAGCCTGACGAACATGGAGAAACCCCGTCTCTACTAAAAATGTAAAATTAGCCGGCCGTGGTGGCGCATGCCTGTAATCGCAGCTACTCAGGAGGCTGAGGCAGGAGAATCATTTGAAACCAGGAGGCGGATCTTGCGGTGAGCCGACATGGTGCCCATTGCACTCCAGCCTGGGCAGCAAGAGTGGAACTCCGTCTCAAAAAAAAAAAAAAAAAAAAAAATTAAAAAGAAGGCAAGTCTTTTTTAATTTGGTGTATAGTGAAGAAAAGACGACTTTGGGCCAGAATGAACCGTTCTAAACCTAGCAATGTGACTGTAGGCAAATAACCCAACCTCTAGAAAAATGGAGATAATGCCTACATCCCAAGATGATGAGGATTAAATGAGTTGATGTAAAAATGGCAAAATGTGGCACCTAGCGTATACAATTGGTGTCTGAAAAATGTTAGTTTCCTTTTTTTTTTTTCTGGCCTGTGTTATTTAGAGTTTTCCACTAGAATAGTTTGTGGCGTAAGACTTCTGTTTTCCTTACATAAAAGCAGTGTTTTTGGGTACCCACTTTGAAAAATCAAAATGAAAAACATTTTAAAAAGCTCTTTAAAGGACCGTATATCTTTTTTAGAGTAATAAGCATTGAATTGATAGTTTTGTAGCAGTTTGTAGTCTAAGAGTAGAGATAGTAAATTTTTTTTGCTTTTCATGTTGTCAAATAAGACATTTAAGTGAGAATTGCCTATCAACTGTAGGATGGGTGCTGATATAAAAAATTTATACATATTTAGTAACAGTGCCGTTTTATAAAGCAGTTTAATTATTGGGGATTATATAGATTTCTGTGCAGCTTTTAATTTCTCAGATGGGCAAAATGTAATTCATAATTAAAGTACGACTTATATCAGCAGTACATTGCAGTTACAGGTTGGGCCATTCTTCATGAGCATCACGTCTTCCCCAGCCGTCTCCCTATAATCCTGCTTGTTTTCATTTAGTAGTTTGGAATCTAGAATTGCCTGTCTTCATATGCCTGACCAGATAGGGCATTTTTGGGACGCATGGATACATTTCTCTAAAAGCGCTTAGTTGTAATTGGAATCAACTGTAGCTGGAAACTTTTGTGATAGAGGAGGTGGATTTTTTTTTTAATTATTTTTATTTTTTGAGATGGAGTCTTACTCTGTCACCCAGGCTAGAGTGCAGTGGCGCAATCTCCACTCACTGCAGCCTCCGCCTCCTGGGTTCAAGCGATTCACCTGCCTCAGCCTCCTGAGTACCTGGACTACAGGTGCGTGCCTCCATGCCTGGCTAATTTTTGTATTTTTAGTAGAGACGATTTTGCCGTGTTCGCCAGGCTAGTCTCGAACTCCTGACCTCAGGTGATCCGTCCGCCTCAGACTCCAAAAGTGCTGGGATTACAGGCGTGAGCCACCACACCCAGCTGAGGAGGTGGATTTTATGAAACCAAAGGTAGTATAAAACTGCTCTGCATTTTATTGATATGTCTTGATATTTTAGCAAATTGTTTAAAATATGTGACAGTAGACTGGGCGTGTCTTTAAAGTAGAAACAGAGTCTTAAAGACGTGCCACTGTGAACATTCTGAATTGTCCATGGTATAATTACAAACTACAATTTTTAAATTGATGTAAATCTAAAATAACTGGTTTGCTTAAAAAAGTATAATTTTCAGAATGTTAGCCAATTACAGAGTGCTGTTATAGACATTAGTTTCATGTGTTTTAATTTCTACAGCTCTTTATATTGTAAAGAAAAGGCTTACAGAATATTTAAATCGTATGGTTAATTTTATGTTCATAAAGTTTTATTTTTTGTTACTTCATGGAATATCTTTTCCGTGTCAGAAGACTAGAAGTTTCGGGCCGGGCGTGGTGGCTCACGCCTGTAATCTTGGCACTTTGGGAGGCCGAGGCAGATGG
Source organism: Homo sapiens (assembly GCF_000001405.40). Taxonomy (NCBI): domain Eukaryota; kingdom Metazoa; phylum Chordata; class Mammalia; order Primates; family Hominidae; genus Homo; species Homo sapiens. Next base: position 73,741,753 of record NC_000008.11, on the reverse strand, counting down.
ATCACCCGAGGCCAGGAGTTCGAGACCAGCCTGGCCAACATGGTGAAACCCCGTCTCTACAAAAAATACAAAAATTAGCCAGGCATGGTGGTGTGTACCTGTATCCCCAGCTACTGGGGAGTCTGAGGCAGGAGAATCACTTGAGCCTGGTAGGTGGAGGTTGCAGTGAGCTGAGATTGAGCTGTTGCACTCCACTCTGGGTGACAGGGCAAGACTCCGTCTCAAAAAAAAAGAAAAAAAAAAAGGTTAGAACTTTCAAAAAGGTACCCCAATATCTTACTCTGCTTGCTTCTTGGAATCAGCCACCAGTGTTATCAGCCTCTAATATTGAAGAAATACATAGAGATCTGTAGATAAGCATTTGTAACTTTAGCAACGTATACTAATAAAGACAAAGTGGAGTTTTTCAAAGTTGGTGAATGCTTAATAATGTTAATTTTTTTTTTTTTGAGACGGAGTCTTGCTCTGTCGCCCAGGCTGGAGTGCAGTGGCGCGATCTTGGCTCACTGCAAGCTCCGCCTCCCGGGTTCACGCCATTCTCCTGCCTCAGCCTCCCGAGTAGCTGGGACTACAGGCGCCCGCCACCACGCCCGGCTAATATTTTGTATTTTTAGTAGAGGCGGGGTTTCACTGTGTTAGCCAGGATGGTCTCGATCTCCTGACCTCATGATCCGCCCGCCTCTGCCTCCCAAAGTGCTGGGATTACAGGCGTGAGCCACTGCGCCTGGCCTTTTTTTTTTTTTTTTTCTGAGATGAAGTCTTGCTCTGTCACCTGGACTGGAGTGCAGTGGCATGATCTTGGCTCACTGCAACCTTGGCCTCCTGGGTTCAAGCATTTATTTCTTCTGCCTCAGCCTCCCGAGTAGCTGGGATTACAGGCATGTGTTACTATGCCCAGCTAATTTTTGTATTTTTAGTAGAGACAGGGTTTCACCATGTTGGCCAGGCTGGTCTTGAACTCCTGACCTCAGGTGATCCCCCCACCTCGGCCTCCCGGAGTGCTGAGTTACAAGCGTGAGCCACTACACCCGACCAGTAATGATAAATTCTAGAAAGCAAGGGACACTAAGTCACTGAGATGCTTTAGTGGTTATTCACACTTTACTTTTTAAATGAACTGTTTTCAGTTAAAAAAAAAGATGATTGGTTGTGTTTGTATTTTAAGTTATAGCTAGTGTATTTTTTTAATGAGATACTCCATTCCTATTGAAAGCGGGTGTATTTTAACACCATGTGACTAATGCTACACTTGTGAATAATCTCATTTTTTGAATTGAAAATATAAATGTTTAAGTTTTATAATTTGCCACTTTGAAGTTCTAATGTTACTCATTTGCTCATGTTGAACAGGGATTTTATTTTATTTTTTTGCCTATCCAAATATTAATTAATACCTAAAGCACCATGGGAATATTGAATTATAGAGTTGGACAGGATAGTCTTATTTATTGTTGCATAGCACATTGCACCAGAATTTAAGGACTTAAGACAACAAACATTATCTTACAGTTTCTGTGGGTTAGAAATCTGGGTGCAGCTTAGCTGGGTGCCTGTGGCTCATAAAAGAGGTGGTAGTCAAGCTGTCAGTTGGGGTTGCAGTCACATCTGGAAGCTCTACTGGTGGAAGATCTGTTTCTGAACTCATTCATGTGGCTCTTGCAGGGTTCAGTTTCCTGGGGCTCTTGGACTGAAGAAATCAATTGTTGCTGGCTGTTGGCCAGAGGCTTTTCTCAGTTCTTTGCCATATGGGCCTCTCCAAAGGGCACCACAGTTTGGCATCTGCCTCCCTCTGAGCAAATGAGTGAGAGAAGGTGACACCTAAGAATTTTTATAACCTAATCTTGGAAGTGGTATCTCATTATTTCTGCTATATTCTATTTGTTAGAGGCTGCCTACCACAAGGACTTTAGCTTACTTTTTAAAGATTGAAGAAAAAAAAGAAGACAGAAAAAGAAGAACTCAAAGATACACAAAGTAATTTGAACCAAGGCTCAGAAGGTAATCTGAAGAACTTTGACTAAAACTCAAATTCACCAATATCCAGGCCGTGTGCTCTTTATACAGCATCCCGTTCTCATAGGAAATGTGACAGTAATTAGAAAATAAATAAAAATTGATGCAGATGCTGAGGACACTATTGTAAGAAAAATATTAAAGTTTTCAAAGTCATTTTGAATGGACTCTAGTTTGTCATCTTGAAAAAATGGTAGCCAAATATGGGTGTGTGTTTGTGTATGTATGTGTGTACTTACAAAACGTTTGCTTCCAGGGGAAAGTTCAATATTAAAATTTAGCAGCATAACAGTTTCTATACAGGTGATTAGATATAGGCCTTTTGCTGTGTATCACAATTGTGTTGTTGCTTTAGATAATTTTTAGGGGAGAGGTCTGTATATAATTTATATTTTATATAAACTTTTTTTCATTACAAGATCCCATGATTTATTTATTTGTAATTTGGACTTTCCTGCCCTTCATTGGCATCTGTTTTCAAATTAAAATTTTTTTTTTTTTTTTTTTTGAGATGGAGTCTCGCTCTGTCGCCTAGGCTGGAGTGCAATGGCGCAATCTCGGCTCACTGCAACCTCTGCCTCCTGGGTTCAAGCAATTCTCCTGCCTCAGCCTCCTGAGTAGCTGAGATTACAGGCACGCGCCACCATGCCTGGCTAATTTTTGTATTTTTGGTAGAGGCAGGGTTTTCACCATGTTGGCCAGGCTGGTCCCGAACTCCTGAACTCAAATGATCCACCCACCTTGGCCTCCCAAAATGCTGGGATTACCACGCCCAGCCTGAAATTTTAATATACATACTATTTTTATACTGATGATAACAGACAAAATGACAGAGAAAAAGAAACTATTCAGCAAGATAATTGTACTATATGCTCTTTTCCATACCATCTAAGAGAATACTTGTGGTGTTGCATCTTCTTTAGGATTAATTTATCGTATAGAAGATGGGAACAAAGCTGTTTAAAACAGGACTGCAAAAAGGGAAGTATACATTAAATATTAACCTGAAACTCTCAGATTTATTTTTAACAGCTTCACTTTTGTTGGGATTGTCTTAGAAGTCTAGAAGCAGAAGGAGCTTTGTTCAGATCTGTACTGTCCAGTATGGTGGCTACTAGTGACGTAGTTATTCAAGTGAACATGAAAGAAAATTAAATATTATTTTCTTGATTGCTCTAGCCACATTTCAAGTGCTCAGTAGCCACATGTGGCTAATGACTTCCAGATTGGACAGTGCAAGTACAGAACATTTTTATCATCATAGAAAGTTCTATGGAGATCTGGATAAATTACATTTTATATTTGATTTTGATCAAGGGCATGTGTTTAAAATACCAGTCATTGAGGTTATCAGCTAAGTTGAACTTTATTTCTTCATTTTCGTTTTCCAGTTTTTGGAGCCGTGAGGGATACAGCAGTTTGGTCAATATTGTCTTAACATGCTTCAAATAAATCAGGTGAGTTTGTGTTAAGGCATTTTTCATGCTTACATGGTGCTTTGGCTGTAAATTGTGGAACATTTTAACTCAGCTTTTCTTTTCTATAACTGTAACCTGACTCATCACTTTTTAAAGCAGTTACCTACTGTATAGTCATCATTGGAGGCTGTGTAGGGCAGGTTGTTTAAGGATTAGAATGATCTTCTGAAAGTTGATAACTTCTGGTTGTGCAAGGCAGAAGGTTTGTCTGTTCTTCTTGATGTCACATCCCTTTAGGACTTGTTAATGTGTTCAGAATGCTTATGATCATGATACAGCTTCAGTAGGTGGCAGTTCTGCAGACTCAAAGCATTTTTAGTGACAAATCTTGTGAAGTAGTTGTATCTGTTTTTTTTTTTTTTTTAAAGTTCACTTTCCAGGGCACTGAAAAACACTAGAAGGAAGTGCCCTGATAAACTACAGCATTTAATACTTTAGACTCACTGAAAGAAGTGCTTTTCTTAGTTCTTGACGTTTCTCCAAGAACTTTATACATTTAATTTTACCTTTCCCGATCAAATAGAACATTGTATCATAACTATAGTGTTAGAAAATACTTTTGGCCAGGCTGGGTGGCTCAAACCTGTAGTCCCAGCACTTTCTGAGGTGAGGTGGGAGGATCTCTTGAGCCCAGGAGTTTGAGCCAGACTGGGTAACGTAGTAAGACCCTGTCTCTTAAAAACAAAAAAAAAAAAAAGGAAAGAAACAAAATACTTTTATTTCTTTTGATTGCAAATCAACAGAGAAGTAATTAAACTTTTTTTCTTTTCCCCTGTGATTAAGAAAGTAATCGACTGGGCACGGTGGCTCACACCTGTAATCCCAGCACTTTGGGAGGCCAAGGCGGGCAGATCACCTGAGGTCGGGAGTCCGAGACCAGCCTGGCCAACATGGGGAAACCCCGTCTCTACTAAAAAATACAAAATTAGCCAGGCATGGTGGTGCGTGCCTGTAATCCCAGCTACTCGGGAGGCTGAGGCAGGAGAATCACTTGAACCCGGGAGGCGGAGGTTGCGGTGAGCCAAGATCGTGCCATTGCACTCCACCCTGGGCAAAAAGAGTGAGACTGTCTCAAAAAAAAAACAAAAGTAATCTTGGCCAGGCGTGGTCGCTCACGCCTGTAATCCCAGCACTTTGGGAGACGAAGGCAGGTAGATCACCTGAGATCAGGAGATCAAGACCAGCATGGCCAACATGGTGAAACCCCATCTTTACTAAAAATACAAAAAAATCAGCCAGTCATGGTGGTGCACACCTGTAGTCCCAGCTACTTGGGAGGCTGAGGCAGAAGAGTTGCTTGAACCCAGCAGACGGAGGTTGCAGTGAGCTGAGATCACACCACTGCACTCCAGCCTGGGCTACAGAGCGAGATGCGTTCCAAAAAAAGAAAGTAATCTTGACCCCCTGCCTTCCGACATATAGTCCTGCTCACCTTGCCAAAGAAATTTCCAGTTCCTGTGCATCCCATGCCATCTCTAAGCTAATGACTTCTAAGTTTATACCTGGTCTAGACCTTTTTTTTCTGAGCTCCAAACTCATGTAGCATTTACCACCTTGATCTCTTGGATGTCTTTATACATCTTAGACTTAATGTGTGCCCTAGAAATAATCTCAGTGCTTCAGTTTTACTGGACCGTTTCAGTTCCTAGATTGGGTAAGGTTGTTCTGGCTACAGGGATTTGCACAGATTTCCTCTGCTGGACCTCTCTTCCCCACCCCTGGGTTTGGCTTGCTTGACTGCAGTCCTGCTATATGCTGTTATAGCACCTTGCTCTTTAGTTTAATAACATGACATTTGTAGTTATAGTCAAATATGTAATTATTTGTTGTAACATCTGTCTCCCTTGTTAGACAGTTTGTTTCATGAAGACAGTGACTTTTCTTGTTTACTCTTATATTTCCAGGTCCTAGAATAAACAATGTAAATAGTTTTCATACATTTATTTGTTGGGTGTATGAATATATGAATGGTGCTAGAGTTGTCACTAAAGCAAGGAGATATTTATTTTTCAACAATAACCACGTAATTATGTTGTCAGTTTTGGTGTTATATGCTGCTTGTGTTACACAAATGCAACTAACTCTCCCTCATGTAAAGTTATTATTTAGTTTTCTCCTGTACTAGAAACTTCCCTAGTGCAACAAAAATTACTTTAATCAAAAACATTACTAATAATTTAAAGAAATCGTAGTGCTGTCCTGTGCTTAGTGCTTCCTGTTTCCTCACAGCTGCTCTCAAATCCCAGTGGAAGCATTATGAGACCTTATTTGCAAACTGTTATAGCTGTGAAGTTGCCACTAAATAACTTTCTATGGATACCTGCCATTAATTATTTGGTTACAATTAAAATAATTTTTCATCTTCTGCCACAGACATTTGGAAATGACCATTTTATGCTAGCCAACTTCATTGAAAATTATAGTTTATGGATTAGTCCTAATGAGGATTTACTGACTGGCTATGTTGCAGGTCATGTTGAATCAGGCATTGCAAACAGTTCCTAGGCAATTCTCTACATGGCCACAAGCAATTCCCTGGATGTTGGCTAGAAATCGTACACAGTGCCTGGAGATATACATACTTAAATTGTACAGGTTGAGTATTCCTTATCCAAAATGCTTGGCACTGGAAGTGTTTTGGATTTCAGATTTTTTTAGATTTTGGAATTTTGCCTACAGGTTGAGCATCCCTAATCCAAAAATCGAAAATCCAAAATGCTCCAATGAGCATTTCCTTTGAGCATTATGTTGGTACAAAAGAAGTTTGAAATCTTGGAGATTTTGGATTTCAGATTTTTGGATTTAGGATGCTCAATCTTAACAGAAGTGTATTCCTAGAACAATTTAAGAGACCCCCCCTTCTTGTTACTGACTATAACTGTCATCCCCCAAACTGTTCAAGTCTGAGATGAAGACTCTCTTCAGCTAAACATAGAGTTGAATTCTTAAATTCATGAGTGATTTTTGAATCTTACTTTCTGGGCAACCACTTTCTCATAACAGTGAGGGTTCTCAAGGTAAATGTGTAAAGGGGCCCAGTGTGGTGGCCCATGCCTGTAATCCCAGCACTTTGGGAGGCTGAAGCAGGAGGATTGCTTGAGCCCAGGATTTTGAGACCAGCTTGGGCAACATAGTAGGACCCTGTCTCTACAAAAAATAAAAAAAGTTAGATATGGTGACACATGCCTGTAGTCTCAGCTACTTGGGAGGCTGGGGTGGAGGATCTCTTGAGCCTGGGAGGTTGAGGCTGCAGTGAACTGTGATCATACCACTGCACTCCAGCCTGGGTAACAGAATGAGACCCTAGGCATGCAAAGGGGATTTAAGTTGATTCTCAGCTTGAAAGAGTTGAGATTTTTACTACGTGATTTTCAACGTTGTCTCTAGGATTAGTACTACATTTTTATTTGGGAAGGCTTTTGTTTTCTTAAAATACCTGAATTAGATGCTTTTTTATTTTTTATTTTTTGAGATGGAGTCTCACTCTGTTGCCCATGCTGGAGTGCAGTGGCATGATCTTGGCTCACTGCATCCTCCGCCTTCCGAATTCAAGCAATTCTTCTGTTTCAGCCTCCTGAGTAGCTGGGATCACAAGCGCATGCCACCACGCCCGGCTAATTTTTGTATTCTTAGTAGAGATGGAGTTTCACCATGTTGGTCAGGCTGGTCTCGAACTTCTGACCTCGTGGTCTGCCTGCCTTGGCCTTTCAAAGTGCTGGGATTACAGGCGTGAGCCACCGTGCCCGGCCTACATGGTTTTTTATTCATAACAGATTCTTCCATATGTGTTACTAAAACTAATTAAAAACTAGGCTATTGAATATCAGGTTATTTGATATTAACTTTGCCTAACTTTATTATTATCATAGAACATGGATGTTCCATGTTCTGTTAAGATAATAGCACTTTTCTGCCTTTAAATTGTGATCATAGTTGTTGTTTTTGCCTTTTAAGAATGTGTGTTATTATCCATGTGCAACTTATGCTTACTGTAGAAAATTAGGTGTGATAAGCAAAAAAAAAAAAAAACAAACCCTGAAAAACAAACAAAAAAAATCACAAAAAATTCCACTTCTATTACAGAGATAATCACTGGTAACATTTTGGGGTGTATACTTCTAGATTTTTTTTCTATGCAGGTATGTTTTTATGTGAATATATGTTACTTTTTAAAAACTGGGATTATACAATATGTAATGTTTTGAAGTGATTTAATAATAATTCTTAGTTTGGATGTACTAAAATTTAACCAAGCCCTTATTGTTGGACAGATTTTTATATTGTAGTTAGTGCCATAGTAAATTTTTTAAATGTATATCTCTTTGTCCAATTATTTTCTTAGAATTAATTATTAGAAATGGAAATACTAGTCAAAGATGTATGTGGATTTTAAAGATATTTGGTGTATAGCTCCCAAAAAGACAAAATTATATCTGCCAGAAGTGTATCTACCTGTTTCCTTACTTCCTTGACAAAATTTCAGTCTTTGCTTATCTGTCTGACAAAAGGTGGTATTTTATTTTGTGTTTCTATAATATTTAAATATTTTTTGTTCTTTCGTGTTTTGCCTTTTGTGGATTGCTTATATGTGTCTACTGTCATCTATTTCTTTTTATTTGTAAATAACATTCTTTGGATTATGCCCTCTGATAATTTTCTGAGTTAGTATTTATAATCATTACTTTATACTTTTCAGTCATTATTCAACAGATAACCAACGGGAGTATACTGGTTTCTGGGGTACCATAATATTTACCAGTATGGTATATTTTGGCCCTTTCTCCCTGATCATTAATTATAGGTCCCCCGGGAAAAGGAACTCATTTTAGCAGTAAGCTACAGCAAATATAAATTACGAAGATACATGCTGTGAATAATATTTTTAAATGAGTAGCTGAAGTAGGGCCAAGTTTTGGAGATTAGCTGGTGAGGTAGGCTTGACAGGTCAGTGTGTCCTAAGGAATTGGAAAAGTCTATATTAGGCGGTTGTAGTATTGGGAGAGCCTAGCAACTGGGAATTTACAGGGATCAAAATAATCTGGTGATTCTTTTTAGTGAGGTTTGATAGTAGATATTGGGAACATGGTAGCTAAGAGGAAGCTTTAAGGCCTAACTGAAGTGGAAGAGATGACAGGCAGGACAAGACAGAATTTTTCCGTGTCGAAGGAGTAGCAGAACCGTGTAGGGCAAGAGGGAGCCAGGTGTTATTAAAAAAAAAAAAAAAGTTTTTATTACACTGGATAGTGTAAGACCAGAGTATGACTACCAAGAAACAAAGTCTAGAGTGTAAGGAATAATGACAGCTATCTCAGAGGTTTGTTGTGAGGAGTAATTGAGATAACAAAGGCAAAATGCTTAGCATTGGTGCTGGTACTACTGCTATTAATTTTACTATTAATATTGCTGTTGGCTATTGCTGCCTGACTGGAAATTGGTGGGAAAGGAGGGCAGACGGCAGACATTTAGGTAGATCATTGAGTGAAGTATTTGGGGGAATGAACCACTTTCTCAAGCCCAGATTGGCTTCAAGGTCCTCCTGCTTCTTGCCACAAGCACCAGGAACTCTATTCTTTTCTCTTAAAAGTTGCTGCTACTTAGTAGTAGTTACTTTTCTTTCCAAGACTGGGTGTGGAGCTCTGTAATCTGCTCATGTCTCTTGTAGCCATAGAATATAGCCTACAGTTAGGGGATAAGAAAAATAGTAAACATAAGGAGGTTAAAAATGTGTAAGAAAGACTTCTACTTTCCCCTATGCTGGTATAATGGGAACTGGATTTATTTTATATGTAGCCAGCTTCCAAGATGGCCCCCAATGATCCCGGCATCCCGATATTTACACCATGGTGTAATCCCCATACACACTGTATTGAGGTTTATCTGTGGAACCAATAGAATGTAACAGAAGTGATGGATCATTTCTTAGGATAGGTTATTTATAATACAAATGTGGCTCCACCTCCTTCCCCTCACTACCCCCAACCTTGGATTACTCACTCTGAGAATAGTTAGCTGCCATGTTGTGAATGGCCCGATGGGGAGGCCCATGCTGTGGGAAACTGAGGCCTCCTGCCAACAGCCAACAAGGAACTGAGGCCTCTCTAGCCAACAGCATGTGAACGAGCCTTCTTGGAAGCAGATGTCTCAGCTTTAGTCAAGCTTCCAGTCCTAAACATCTGTCCTGCTGACATCTTGACTGCAACCTCATGAGAGATCCTGAGCCAGAACTACCCATCTAAGCTGTTCCCTGATTGCCAACCCTCAGAAACTGTGTGAAAAAAAGAAATGCTTGTTTTGTTTGTTTTTAAATTTTTTTTAGCTTTTTTTGAGTTGAAGTCTTGGTCTGTCACCCAGGCTAGAGTGCAGTGGTACGATCTCAGCTCACTGCAACCTCTGTCTCCCAGGTTCAGGTGATTCTCCTGCCTCAGCCTCCTGAGTAGCTGGGACTACAGACGTGCACCACCGCACCTGGCTAATTTTTTGTATTTTTAGTAGAGATGGGGTTTCATCATGTTGGGCAGGCTGGTCTCAAATTCCTGACCTCAGGTGATCCTCCTGCCTTGGCCTCCCAAAGTGCTGGAATTACAGGCGTGAGTCACCGTGCCTGGCCAATGCTTGATTTTTAAAGCCACAAAATTGGAGGTAATTTGTTATGTAGCAAAAATCTACTCTTCCTCTTTAAATAACTTGAGAATTTATAAAATATATAAACAATAGCTTTTAGACATTGATGACAGGCAGCACCAGACTGTGATCCCTGAGAGAATAGGAACAAGTGAAGGTAAAGCCCTTCAATTGTAACAGCTTACTGCAGAGCCTAGAGGCAGTTTATTGGCTGCAGTGCAAGGTGTGGAGGAACCAAAACAGAGCCCAGCAGTCCTACTGAGATAAAAAGACAAAGATAAAAATTTGGGAAGATCAAGGCGATTAGAATTACAGGGCAGAGTACCAGAGAAAAAAGAGCTAAGGGGGTTGGGATTGGCGTTGGGGAGGCATAAACTAAAAAGCAAGAGAGCATGAACAAGTGAGCATGCATTTTGGAGATCTCCAGAGGGTTCTCCTGGAGTCTTTTGCTGAGTTCTGATTTCGTAGATGCTTGACAGGCCCTACCTGAGGCCAGAGAAGAAAACACTTGGAAAGCACTAAGAAAAACAATTTCCAGAGTTCACAATAAGGCTTCAAATAGTCGTGTTCCTACTATGCAGAGTAAAGTATGTTGTAGAATACATGGGGCACTGGGAAGAGTCCTCAGAAGGCTCCAAATGATTCCAAGTAACTTAACTGCACCAGAACACTATTTAGAGGAATACAACAAAATTCAGAACCCAACAATGTAAAATTTAGTTTTTGTCATTCAGTCAAAAAATGCTTGCTTTGACGTTAGCAATGGATAGAACATCTAGACAGAATATCAGTAAGGGACTAGAGGACCTCAACAACAGTATTAATCAACTAGACCTAACAGACATATACAGAACATTCAGCAACAGCAAAATATGTATTCTTTTTTTTTTGTCTTTTTTTTTTTTTTTTTTTTGAAAGACGTAGTCTTGCTCTGTTACCCAGCCCAGAGTGCAATGTCTCCATCTTGGCTCACCGCAACCTCTGCCTCCGGGGTTCAAGTGATTCTCCTGCCTCAGCCTCCTGAGTAGCTAGGATTACAGGTGTCCACCACCACACCCAGCTAATTTTTGTATTTTTAGTAGAGACGGGGTTTTGCCATGTTGGCCAGACTGGTCTCAGACTCCTGACCTCAGGTGATCCACCCTCCTCGGCCTCCCAAAGTGCAGGGATTATAGGCGTGAGCCACTGCACCCTGCCAAAATATATATTCTTTTAAAGTATACATGAAACATTCTCCAGGCTGTATTAGGCCACAAAACAAGTTTCAGTAAATTTAAAAAGATTGAAATCATGCTATGTATCTTCTCCAGTCACAGTGGAATGAAGTTAGTAATCATTAACAGAAGGAATACTGGAAAATTTACAAATATATGGAAATTTACAAATATGTGGGAATTAGAGAATACTTAGAAATAAATTAAAATGGAAACAATATATGTGACTTAAATGATGCAGTGAAAACAGTCCTGAGAGGGAAATTATTAGCAATAAACATCTACATTAAAGAATAAGAAAGGCCTCAAATAAATAATCTTACTTTACATTTTAAAGAAACTAGAAAATGCAAAGCTACCAGAAAAAAGGAAGTAAATAAAGATTAGAGTGGAGATAAATGAAATAGAGAATAGGAAAATAATATAGAGAATTAGTGAAACCAAAAGTTTGATTCTTTGAAAAGATCAATGAAATTGACAAACCTTTTGCTAGACTGACAAAGAAAAAACACAGATAGGTATAACTAAAACTAGACGTGAGTGTGGGGACATTACTACTGACCTTAAACAAAAAGGATTAAAGAGAATACTGTGAGCAATTTTATGCACAGATTAGATAACCTACATGAAATGGACACAGTTTTAGAAATACGCATTACTAAAACTGACTCAGAAGAAACAGAAAATATAACAGACTTACAAGTGAACAGATTGAATTAGTTAAAAAACCTCCCAAACTAAGATTACTTGAGCCTGGGAGGTTGAGACTGCAGTGATCCATGATTATGCCATTGCACTCCAACCTGGGTGATAGAGTGAGACCCTATCTCAAAACAAAACAAAAACTCCCAATCAGAAGTCCAGTACCATATTGCTTCTCTGGTGGATTCTACCAAATATTTAAAGAAGAATACCAAATATTTAAATATTTAAAGAGTATGAGAATCGCTCTCAAACTCTTCCAAAAAATTGGAGAGGAGAGAGTAAGAATACTTCCTAACTCACTCTTTGAGGCCAGTATTATTACCCTGATACCAAAGCCAAACAAAGACGTAATGCGAAAATTACAGACCAATATTCCTTATTAATAAAGATGCAAAAATCTTCAACAAAATACTAGCAAACTGAATCTAGCAGCATATTTAAAGGAATATGCACCATGGCCAAGTGGGACTTATTCCCAGGATTGCAAGGGTGGTGTAGTACAACACATTAATAGAATGAAGCGGGGAAAACCCCCACGTGATTGTTTCAATTGATACAGTAGGCAGTTGACAAAATTCAACAGCTGTTCTTGATAGAAAGGCTCAAAATCAGGAATAGTAGGGAACTTTTTTTTTAAACATTTCCTCAACATTCAGCGTTTATGAAAAAACCCACAGCTAACATCCAACTCAATAGTAAAAGACTGAAATCCTTGCCCTTATGATCAGGAACAAGGCACGGATACCCATTCTCACCAGTTATTCAAGTTGTAGTGGAAGTTATAGCCAGAGCAGTGTGACAAGAAAAAGAAACAAAGACATACAGATTTGGAAGGAAGAAATAAAACTGTCTCTGTTTGCAGATGACATGGTCCTATATATAGAAAATCCCAAAGAATCCAGAAAAACCTCCACTAAAGCTAATAAATAACTTGAGCAAAGTTGTAGGTACAAGGTAACACACAAAAAGCATTTGTGTTTCTGTGTACTCGGAATGAACAATACAAAAAGAAATTTTAAAAGATTGCATTTATAATAGCATCCAAAAGCCTAAAGGAGTTGACTTGCTTATGAAAGACTTGTGCACTGTAAACTATAAAACATGTTGAAATAAAGAAGACCTAAATAAGTGGAAAGACATTTTGTGTTCATGAATTGGAAGACTTTACATTGCCGTTAGGATGGCAATACTGTCCAAAGCAATCTCCAGATTCAATGCAATCTCTATCAAAATTCCATTGGCCTTTTTTTTTTTTTTTTGCAAAAGTTGGAAAGCTGATCCTCATATTCATATGGAATTGCAACAGATCCAAATAGCCAAAACCATCTTGAAAAAGGAAGAATAAAGCCAGAGGACTCATATTTCCCAATTAAGAAACTTACTGCAAAGCTACAATGATCAAAATAGTGTGGTACTGGCATAAGGATAGATGTATAGACTAATAGAATTGAGAGTCCAGAATTAATATATATGTAGGCAATTGATTTTTAACAAACATGCCAGGATGATTCAGTGGGGAAAGAATAATCTCTTCAAATGGTTTGGGGACCCCTGGAGATGCACATGCAAAACAATAAAGTTGGACCCCTACTTCATGCCATGTATAAAAATTAACTCATAATGGACCAATGGCCAAAATACAAGAACGAAAACTTACAACTCAACAGCAAAAAAAAGCTCAACTAAAAAATGGGCAAAGGACTTGGAATAGACAGTTACTCTGAGAAGATAAACACATCATTAATACTCAACATCATTAGTGATCAGGGAGATGCAAATGAAAACCACAGTAAGATACCACTTCTCACCTACTAGGATGGCCAGAATCAAAAGACGGGCAGTAACTGGTTTTGAGGACGATGTGGAGAAACTGGAACCCTCGTATGTTGCTGGTGGGAATGTTAAATGGTTCAGCCTCTGTGGAAAAAAGAGTTTGACAATTCCTCAAAGGAACACATAGACTTGTCATATGACCCAGCAATTCCACTCCTAGGTATATACCCTGAAGAATTGAAAGCAGGTACTCAAACAAATATATGACCACACATGTTCATAGCATTACTATTTGCAATAGCTAAATGGTGGAAACAACCCAAATGTCCATCAGTGGATGAATGAGTAAACAAATTGCAGTAGTCTGTATTCCATAAATTGTCTAGCAGTAAAGAAATGAAGTACAGATACATGCTACGATGCAGATGAACCTAGAAAACATATTAAGTGAAAGAAGACACACACAAATGGTCACATATTGTATGATTCCATTTATGTGAAATATCCACAATAGGTAATCTATGAGACAGAATGTAGATTGTTGCTTGCCAGGGCCTGGGATTAAGGGTGAATGAGAAGCAACTGCCTAATGGGTGTTGAATTCCCTTTTGGGGTCATAACAGTGTTTTGGAACTAGGTATAGGTGGTAGTTGTACAACACTGTGAGTGGACTAAATACCACTGGAATATTCAGTTTATTTTTTATTTATTTATTTTTTTGAGATGTAGTCTCCCTCTGTCGCTCAGTCTGGAGTGCAGTGGTGTGATCTCAGCTCACTGCAACCTCTGCCTCCCGGGTTCAAGGGATTCTCCTGCCTCAGCCTCCTCAGTAGCTGGGATTACAGGCACCTGCCGCCACGCCCAGCTAAATTTTGTATTTTTAGTAGAGACGGGGTTTCACCATGTTGGCCAGGCTGGTCTTGAACTCCTGACCTCAAGTGATCCACCTGCCTCGGCCTCCCAAAGTGCTGGGATTACAGGAGTGAGCCACCGTGCCCAGCCGAACGTTCACTTTGAATGGATTAATTAGATATTATGTCAATTCTACCTCAATAAAATATTAAAATGCTTACAAAGAAGAATGAAAATATGACCCATAGCCAGGATTTAAACATTTTCTGAAAAGAAAGAGACCCAGAAATGATAAAGATGGTTTAGCAGACAAAGATATAGAAACAGTTCTTACTAATATGCTCTAAATGTTCAAGACACGAGGGGAAAACAGAAAGATGATGTGGAAATACATAGAAAATATAAAAATAGAGATGAAGAATGCAGTATCTGAAATAAAATATATATTGGATGGGATTAATAGCAGATAAGACACACATCAGTGGGCTTGAATAGATAACAATAGTGACTATCCAAAATGAAGCACAGGGTGGAAGGACTAAAGAAAAAAACAGCATCAGTGAGCTGTGGGAAATATCGAGTGGCCTAAGACGTGTAATTAGAATCCTAGGAGAAGGGAGGGGCAACAGAAAATATTATAAGAAATAATGACTTTTATTTATTTTTTATTTCAACAGTTTTTGGGAAACAGGTGGTGTTTGGTTACATGAATAAGTTCTTTAGTGGTGATTTCTGAGACTTTGGTGCACCCATCACCCAAGCAGTGTACACTGTACTCAATGTGTAGTCTTTTATACCTCATACCACTTTCACCCTTTCCCCAAGTCCCCAAAGTCCATTGTATCATTCTTACACCTTTACATCCTCACAAATTTAGCTCCCACTTATGAGTGAGAATATATGACGTTTGGTTTTCCATTCCAGAGTTATTTCAGTTAGAATAAGTCTCCAGTTCCATCCAGGTTGCTGCGAATGACATTAAGAAATAATGACTTTAAACCTCTGTTCTCTGTTTAGTAGAAACTATAAACCTGTAGATGATGGTAAGAAGTCAACCTAAAGTAGAAGAAATATTAAAAAAAAAAAAAACCTAACCACGCACATCATAATCAAATAGCTGAAAATTGGTGGTATTGAAATAAAAATTTTGTTGTTGTTGTTGTTGAGACAGGTCTTGAGACAGGTTTCCCAGGCTGGAGTGCAGTGGCACGATGATGGCTCACTGCAGCCTCGACCTCCCAGGCTGAAGCAGTCCTCCCACCTCAGCCTCTCAAGTAGCTGGGATTACAGGCATGCACCACTATATCCGGCTAATTTTTATATATTTTGTTGAGAAGGTGTTTTGCCATGTTGCTCAGGTTGGTCTCCCAACTCCTGGACTCAAGTGATTCACCTGCCTCGGCCTCCCAAAGGGCTGGGATTACAGGCATGAGCCACTATGCTCAGTTAATTTTTTTATTTTTAGTAGAGATGGGGTTTTGCCATGTTGGCCAGGCTGGTCTTGAACTCCTGACCTCCAGTGATCCGCCCACCTTGGCCTCCCAAAGTGTTGGGATTACAGGTGTGAGCCACCATGCCTGGCCCATTTTTAACTTTTAAAAAGATAATTGACTAAAACAAAAATACTAACAGTGCCTTGAGGGCTTATACATAGAAATTAATTGATGTCAGTAGCATAAAGAAAGGGATAAGGGAAAGGGAAGTATAGAATTTTTAGGTGCTGATATCAAACATGAAGTGGAATGATATTTGAAGGTAGGCTGTGTATGTTTTAGAACAATTCCTATACGACAAAATAAAAATAGTAAGCCTATGTAGGATATAAAATGGGTACTAAAAATAATCAGTCTAAAAGAAGATAAAGTTGAAGAAAGGAACAAATAAAAGGACAAAAACATAACAAAACAGTAGATATAAATCTAGTAATATTGACAACTATACTAAATGTAAATGACTTAAATGCTCAATTTAAATGGCAAAGATTGTCAGATTGTATAGAAGAGCAAGACTCAAGTACAGATGCTCCTTGACTTATGATGGTGTTAGGTCCTGATAAACCCATTGTAAGATGAAAATATTGAAAGTCAAAAATGTATTTCATACACATAATTAACTGGGCATGGTGGCTCATGCCTGTATCCCAGCACTTTGGGAGGCCAAGGCTGGCAGATAATTTGAACCTAGGAGTTCAAGACCAGCCTGGACAACATGGTGAAAACCCATCTCTACAAAAAATACAAAAATTAGCTGGATGTGGTGGTGTGCACCTGTAGTCCTAGCTACTTGGGAGGCTGAAGTGTGAGGGTTGCTTGAGCCCAGGAGGTCAAGGCTGCAGTGAGTTATAGTCTTCATTGCATTCTAGTCTGGGTGACAGAGTGGGACCTTGACTCAGAAAAAAAAAAAAAATATATATATATATATACACACACACACACACACACACAACCTACTGAACATCATAGCTTAGCCTAGCCTACCTTAAATGTGCTCAGAACACTTAAGTTAGACTACAGTTGGGCAAAATCATCTAAATACACCCTATTTTATAATAAAGTGTTAAATATCTCATTATAATTTATTGAATGTGATACTGAAAGTGAAAAATAGAATGCTTATATAGGTACTTCAGTATGGTTTCTACTGAGTGCATATCACTTTGTCACTATGGTAAAGTTGAATCATAAGGTGAACCATCGTAAGTCAGGGACGGTATATTTATGATGTTTACAAGAAACTCAAATAGATACAGATAGATTAAATAAGAAGGACGGATGGGGACTTTTGCCTCTGGTCCATGTGGTGTAACAAGGATCGTGTTTACTGTCCTCTTGAAACAATCCTACCCCTCTTCTCCAAAAAAACAAAATATGTAGAAACAACAATGATTAAGACATTCAGGTCTTAATCTCAAGAATCAAGTGATTCTTGAGAGAGAAGAAACAAACAAGGTGAGTCCTACAATTGCCCCAGGCCTACTGCACTGAGAGATTTTCCAGGATGTGACATAGAGAGTAGAAACTGAGATGTGGAGTCTGGCAGACTCTGAGTTGAGAAGATGTTGCTGCTCTGGAGCGAACTAGTAAATTATAAAAACAAGACTTGAAAGGAACAAACTATTTCCAAATTACTCAACTGTATGCCTGGACAAAGTCCAAAAAGATTTATAGGAGTCATATAGCAAGGTAAAATTAACAAGGTATGTCATTCAGTTAAAGATTACCATGTATGCAAAGAAGCATGAAATATGACCCATAATTATGAGAATCTTCCGTCAAAATTGACACAGAACTGACACAGATGATAGAATTAGCAGAGGGCATTAAAACATTATAACTGTATTCCATGTATTCAAAAAGTTAGAGATACAGAAGAGACAAAAAGACCCATATCAGACTTACAGTGATGAAAACTACAACTGAGATGAAAAATATACGGTATGAGATTAATGGTAAATTAGACATTGCAGAAAAAATTATGAATGAACTTGAAGGCAGAGCAATAGAAACCATCCAGAATGAAGCATAGAGAAAGAAGAAAAAAAAGTCAGTGAGCTGTGGGACACACTCAAGCAGCCAAATAGATGAATAATTGTAGTTCTCAAGGGACATAATATACAGAAGAATATATTTTAAGAAATAATGGCCAAAAATGTTTTAGACTTAAGCCATAAATCTACAGATAAAGAAGTTGAATGAGTTTTAAGTATAAGAAACATAAAACTACACCAAGGTATAGCAGGTCCTCAAATAATGTTTCTTTCAACATCATTTTGTCATAATGTTGATGAGAGAAAAAGAATTGATTCCTGGCTGGGGCCAGTATTGGTGTGATGTTTTCATGTTCTTCCCATGTCTGCATGGGTTTTCTTTGGGACTTCAGTTTCCTCCCACATTAGGGAGATGTGAGCATTAGGTTAATTGGCTTCTCTAGATTGTTCCAGTATGAGTTAGTCTGTTGTGTGTGTGTGTGTATGTGTGTGTGTGTGTGTGGGTGTGTGGGCACGCACGCACTCTAGTGTGGAATAGCATTCTGTCTAAGGCTGGTTTCTGCCTTGTGCCCTGAGCGGCTAGGATACGCTCTGACCACCTGTGACCCTGAACTAGAAAAATTGGGTGAATAATTATCTTACTTGTTTTTATTAATCTTTCTTAAGTGTATGTGTAGCTCACATTCATTTCATTGTTTAATATTAGAAGTGTTTTGGTATTAGAAGTTCGGTGATGTTTTTGTAACTAGAAATACACTGTAGGAACTTAACACTTGTTTATGTCGATTGGACCATGGTAAATTGGGTTCTGTTCTACTTTGTTTCACTTGAAGTTGCAGCTTCCAAGGACCTATTGATGATGTTAAGTGAGGACTTACTGTACATTATAATCAAATTGTTGAAAGCAAATGATAAAGAGAAAATCTGAAAAGCAGTCAGAGAAAGAGATATGGTCATTTTGTGTGTAGAGGAAGAAAGATAAAGATGATTATCTTAATAGATTTATCAGAAACGATATAAGCAAGCAAACTGGGGAAGCATCTTTAAAGTACTGAAAGATGAAAAATGTCAATCTATAATTCTGTATCTGACAAAAATATGTTTCTAAAATAAAGATGAGATAAAGATGTTTACAACACAGAAGCAGAAAGAATTTATTGCTAACATTTCCCCTCTGGAAGAAAATTTAAAAGCAATTCTTCAGACAGCAGGAAAATGATACCAGATGCAAATATGGAGTTACATGAAAGAAAGAACACTAGAAATGGTAACTACTTGGGTAAATACATGAGATTTTTTTTCTTATCAGTTAAATCTCCTTAAAAGATAAGTGACTGCTTAAAGCAAAAATATTAACAAGCTGTTGTGGGGTTTATAACTTATCTAAAAGTAAAATGCATGATAACAATAGCTAAAAGGCAGGGAGGGAGAAATGGAGGTATACTGTTATAAGATTCTTTTGCTCTGTGTGAGGTGATAATATCACTGGAAGATAGACTGTGGTAAGTTAAAAATGTATACTGTAAACTCTAGCCCCTAAAATAGCAAAATAGAGAGTTACAACTAATAAGCCAATAAAAAGGAGATAAAATGGAGTCACACAAAATAATTCAACAGAAGTCCAAAAAGAAGAAAAAAGGAACAAACACCAAATGGGAAAAATATAAAATAAATAGCAAGATGATAGAATCAAACCTAACCATATGAATAGTCACACTAAATGTAAATTGTCTAAACACTCCAGTTTAAAGGCTGAATTTGTCAGATTGGATATAAAAGCAAGATCCAACTATATGCTTGCCTACAAGAAATAGTTTGTAAACAAACAGGTTAAAAGTGAAAGAATGGGAAAAGATATAATATGGTAACCTAGTCAAAAGCAACTTGGAGTGGCTATATTAATATTAAAGTATATTTGAGAGCAAGGAATATTTCCAGGGATAAAGAAGGTCATTTCATTTATAATGGTAAAGAGGTCAGTTAAGAGGACATAATGATGTTACATGTTTATGCACCTAATAACAGAGCTTCAAAACACATGAAACAAAACCTGATAGAAATGCAAGGAGAAATTGAGAAATCCAGTCATAATTGGAGATTTTAGTAACCCCTGTCAATAATTGATAGAAGTG
Source organism: Homo sapiens (assembly GCF_000001405.40). Classification (NCBI taxonomy): domain Eukaryota; kingdom Metazoa; phylum Chordata; class Mammalia; order Primates; family Hominidae; genus Homo; species Homo sapiens. The sequence goes on along the minus strand of NC_000008.11, from coordinate 73,721,478 downwards.
GACAGAAAATCATCAAAGATATAGTAGACTTGAGTAACTGTTAAGCAACTTGACCTAATTGCATTTATAGAACACTCTACCTAAAAAGAGTAGAATACGTATTTGTTCACAAGTTTATCCAAAACATTTGCAACGATAAACTGTATTTTGGGCCATAAAGGACTTTTTTTTTTTTTTTTTTTTTTTTTTTTGGAGGTGGGGTTTTGCTTTGTTCACGCTGTAGTGAAGTGGTACCACCATGGCTGACTGCAGCCTTGACCTCCTGGGCTCAAACAATCCTCCCATTTCTGCTCCCCGAGTATCTAGGACTATAAATGTGTGCCGCCACACCCAGCTAATATTCTTTTTTTTTTTTTTTTTTTGTAGTGTTGGGATCTTACTGTGTTGCCCAGGTTGGTCTAGAACTCCTGGGTTCAGGTGATCCTCCTGCCTCTGCCTCCCAAACTCCTAGGATTGCATGCGTGAGCCATGGTGCCTGGCCATGAAACAAGTCTTAAATGAATTCAAAAGGATTCAAGTCATTAAAAAATTGTATCTGATTACAGTGGAATTAGGAATCATTAACAGAAAGATTCTTGGGAAATCTCTAAATATTTGGAAATTAAAAAATATAAGTAATCTATGGTTTAAAAAGAAGGAAAGGTAAATTAGAAAGTATTTTAAACTAGGCCGGGCGCGGTGGCTCACGCCTGTAATCCCAGCACTTTGGGAGGCCGAGGCGGGTGGATCATGAGGTCAGGAGATCGAGACCATCCTGGTTAACAAGGTGAAACCCTGTCTCTACTAAAAATACAAAAAATTAGCCGGGCGCGGTGGCGGGCGCCTGTAGTCCCAGCTACTCGGGAGGCTGAGGCAGGAGAATGGCGTGAACCCGGGAAGCGGAGCTTGCAGTGAGCCGAGATTGCGCCACTGCAGTCCGCAGTCCGGCCTGGGCGACAGAGCGAGACTCCGTCTCAAAAAAAAAAAAAAAAAAAAAAAAGAAAGTATTTTAAACTAAATGACAACAGCAATACAACATTAGGAGATATTGCTAAAACAGTATTTAGGGAGAAATTTATAGCTCCAAATGTATATATTTTGAAAGAAGAATGAACTCAAATAGCTCAAATATTTGACTTCAGCTTCCATCTTAAAAGACTAGAAAAAGAAGAACAAATTAATCCCAAAGGAAGAAGAAGAAAATGGATAACCTGAATAGCTTTTTTTTTGAGACAGGGTCTCACTCTGTCGCCCAGGCTGGAGAGCAGTGGTCCGATGATAGCTCACTGTGGCCTTGACCTCAAGTGATCTTCCCACTTCAGCCTCCTAGCTGGGACTTCAGGCACATGCTACCATGCCTGGCTAATTTTTTTATTTTTAATGTTTGTAGAGATAAGGTTTCACCATGTTGTACTGACTGGTCTCCAACTCCTGGGCTCAAGTGATCCTCTTGCTTTGGCCTGAAGTGGTAGGGTTACAGACATGAGCTATCATGCCTAGCCCTGAGTAGCTTTTTATATGCTAAAGAAATAAAAATTGTAGTAAAAGTCTACTTAAAAAGAAAACTCTAGGTCCGGATAGTTTCACTGGTGAATTATACAAGTTAAGGAAAAAATAATATCAATTTTATATGCTTTTAAAAATATTGAAGTGGAAGGAATTTTTTACAAGGCTCATGATGCCAGCATTACTGGGATACCAGAATCAGACAAATACATTTTAAGGAAATTACAGACCAGTATGTCTCATAAATATAATTGCAAAAATCTAAACAAAGTTTCAGCAAATCTAATTCAACAGTTTATTAAAAGGATAATATGTCATAACCATGTGGGGTTTATCCCAGGAATGTGGGGTTGGTTTAGTGTTCCAAAAAATCAGTAGTGTAATTTAACATATTAATGAACTAAAAAGCAAAAATCACATGATCATCTCAATAGATGCAGAAAAATCATTTGATAAAATCTAATATTCAGTATCATAAAGACTCTCAGCAAACTAGAAGTGGAAGTGAACTTTCCCAGCCTGCTAATGTGCTTCTATGAAAAACCTTATTAGCTGACCTTGTACTTATTGGTGAAAAACTGGACACCTTTTTTTTTGAGACAGTCTCGCTCTGTTGCCCAGGCTGAAGTGGCACGATCTCGGCTCACTGAAAGCTCCCCCTTGTGAGTTCGTGCCATTCTCCTGCCTCAGCCTCTGTAGTAGCTGGGACTACAGACACCCGCCACTATGTCTGGCTAATTTTTTTGTATTTTTTAGTAGAGACGGGGTTTCACCAGGTTGGCCAAGATGGTCTCGATCTCCTGACCTTGTGATCCACCTGCCTCGGCCTCCCAAAGTGCTGGGATTACAGGCGTGAGCCACCACACCTGGCCAAAACTGGACACTTATTTTAAAAAAAGAAGACGGGATGTCCACTTTAACCAGTTCCGTTTGACGTTGCCGTGGAGGTTCTAGCCCATGCCATCATGCAAGAGAAGGAAATGCATGGTGTTCAGATTGGAAAGAAATGAATAAAACTGTCCTTATTCACAGATGACCTGATTGTCTATGTAGAAAATCTGATGGAATCCTACTAGAACTAATAAATTACTATAGCAGAGTTGCAGGATAGAAGAGCAGTATGCAAAAACCAATTGTGTTTCTATACATTAGCAGAGAACAATCATAAATGAAAATAAAAGAGTAGCATTTTCAAAAGCATCAAAAATATGAACTACTTAGAGATAAGTCTAACAAAATATGTTAAAGAAAATGAGAACTACAAAATACTGCTGCAAGAAATTAAAGGATACCTGAATAAGATACAGTTGATTCTCATTATTCATGGATTCTTTACCTAGGAATTGGCTTACTCACTAATTTTTATTTGTAACCCCAAAACCAATACTTGCAGTGCTTTTGTGGTCATTCTCAGACACTTGCAGGGGCAAAACATTTTGAATCACCCAGTGCACATGTATATACCCAGCTGGGATCAAACAAGACAATGCTCTGCTTTCTTATTTTGGGTTTCATACTGTAAGCAAGTAGCCCTTTCTTGGTTTATTTAGTGCTGCATTTTTTGCATGTTTGTGCTTTTTGTTGGTTATTTTGATGTTTACAAAGATGGTTATTTTGATGTTTAAAATGTTTAAAGTGTAATGTTTAAGTGCCATATAGTGTTTCTAAGTACCAGGAGGCTCTGATATGCCTTACGGAGAATATATGTGCATTAGATAAGCTTTATTCAGGCAGGAGTTAAACAGTACTATTGGACATGAGTTCAATGTTAATGAATCAGTAACATATATTAGTAATACATACTAAACAAGAAGTCTCTAAACAGAAACACATAAAACATGACATATGATCAGTTCACAAAAATGTCAGCAGAAGCTTGCAAGAACCTAATACGTTAGTTCCCCTGGGAGCAATGGCTCTATAATTGCTGATTCACATAACAGTCATTGACATATTATTATCTCAATAATGAGAAGTGACTGTGTATCCTTTTCATGGGTTGGAATACTCAACTTTGTTAAAATGTTGATTTTCACCAAATTATAGATTTAAGAGACTTATATTTCAATCTTTGCAGGCTTTTTTATAGAACTGCACAGGGTGATTCTAAAATTCATGTGGAAATTTAAAGAACTTTAAACAACTGTGAAAAAGAACAGTGTGGGAGCCAACACTACCTGATTTCAAGAATTAAAAGCTGTAAAATAGTTTGGCGTAAAAATAGGTAAATAGGCGGCAGAATCGCTTGAACCCAGGAGGTGGAGGTTGCAGTGAGCTGAGATCGCGCCACTGCACTCCAGCCTGGGCGACAGAGCGAGACTCCGTCTCAAAACAACAACAACAACAACAACAACAACAACAACAACAACAAAAGACAAATAGATCAGTGGAAACAGAATTGGTAGTCCAGAAATAAACTCCTTATATGTAGATAACTAATAATTTTGACAAAGACATAAAGGCAATGTAGTGGGAGAAATGTAGCCTTTTCCACAGTTGGAAACAATTGGATATTGATATACAAAAAATGGATTCATACCTTGCGCTGTATAGGAAAACTAACTCAAAATGGCTTCTGGACTTAAATGTAAAACCTAAAACTATAATGTTCGTGGAAGAAAACAGGAGAAAAAAATTTTTAGACCTCAGTTAGGTAATAATTTTTTAGATATACATTAAAAGTACAAACTATAAAAATTGATAAATTAGACTATTAAAATCTGCTCTTTAAAAGACACTGGTAAGAGAATAAAGAGAAAAGCCACAGTTTGGGAAAAAAATTTTTATTTTTTTCGTAGTGATTCCTCTTTATTATTTTCTAAGATGACTGTCCATTTGCTCCAACTTTGTTAGCAATTCATCTTTTTCCTACTACTTTATTTATTTTTTTTGGAGACAGAGTCTTGCTCTGTTCCCCAGGCTGGAGTGCAGTGGTACCTTCTTGGCTCACTGCAGCCCCTCACCTCTTGGGCTCAAGTGATTCTTGTGCCTCAGCCTCCTGAGTAGGTGGGATCACAGGCGCACACTACCGTGCCCAGCTACTTTTTGTATTTTTAATAGAGGCGGGGTACCATGTTGCCCAGACTGGTTTTGAACTCCTGACCTAAAACGATCCACCTGCCTTGGCCTCCCAAAGTACTGGGATTACAGGCGTGAGCCACCGCGCCTGGCCTAGAAGAAAATCTTTACCAAGCATATGTCTAATCAGTAACTTGTATGTAGGATGTGTAAAGAACTCTTCAAATTCAGCAATAAGAAAAAAAAATCAAAAGTAAAATATTCAGACACTTCACCACAGGAGATACAGATGACATATAAGCAAATGAAAAAAGTTAATTAACAGTATTCATTAGGGAGATGCAAATTAAAATCACGAGGTATCATTATACACATATTTAGAATGACTGAAGTTAAGAAGACTGACCAAACTAAATACTGGTAAGGACACACTGTGTTTTTGTCCTGTTTAAATCTCTAGATAGCTTCACTGGAAAAGTTGGAGATGGAGGCACAACATGGCCTGCTTTAAATCAGATCCTTGAGCATTATTTTTCTGTTTTTCAGGACCATGGTGGCACTGTCAAGACTAGAAAGAACTTACTCTGGCCGGGCGCAGTGGCTCACGCCTGTAATCCCAGCACTTTGGGAGGCCGAGGCGGGTGGATCACCTGGGGTCAGGAGTTCGAGACTGGCCTGTCCAACATGGAGAAACCCCGTCTCTACTAAAAATACAAAAAATTAGCTGGGCGTGGTGGCGGGCGCCTGTAGTCCCAGCTACTTGGGAGGCTGAGGCAGGAGAATGGCGTGAACCCGGGAGGCGGAGCTTGCAGTGAGCCAAGATCACACCACTGCACTCCAGCCTGGGTGACAGAGCGAGACTCTTGTCTCAAAAAAAAAAAAAAGAAAAAAAAATTAGCTGGGCATGGTGGCGCATGCCTGTAATCCCAGCTACTCAGGAGGCTGAGGCAGAAGAATCGCTTGAGCTTGGGAGGCGGAGCTTGCAGTGAGCCGAGATTGCGCCACTGCACTGTAGCCTGGGTGACAGAGTGAGACTCCGTCTCAAAAAAAAAAGAAGATAAATATACGATCACACAGTAAGCTGCTGTAACTTTTGTCATTCACCAGTTTGCAAAGTTTTCCCATGTTGATTCATAAGCTCTGTACCTCTTTCTCTTTTCAAAGCTGCATGATTCATGTAGTTTAACCAATTTTTGGTAAATAATAATATTTATCTCATTTATAGTTTTTGCTATTATAGTCTTGTTTTCCAGATTATCATTGCAAATGTCTTCCTGTAGTATGAATCCTCAGATTAATAATTGCTGTTTTAAAGATAGGTACAATTGAAACTTTAATCAATGTTGCCCATCAGAAATTTTGTACTAATTTGTATTTGCACCAACAGAATTCTCACCCATTTTCCCCACATACTTGTTAATACTTAAATGATTATTAAAAAAAATCTTTATCAGTCTAATAGGGGAAAATTATATATCACTGGAATTTGAATTTTTCTTTCTTTCTTTCTTTTTTTTTTTTTTTGACAGTCTCACTCTGTTGCCCAGGCTAGAGTGTAGTGGTGCCATCTCGGTTCACTGCAACTTCCACCTCCCAGGTTCAAGCGATTCTGGTGCCTCAGCCTCCCGAATAGCTCGGACTACAGGCATGTGCCACCATGCCTGGCTGATTTTTGTATTTTTAATAGAGACAGGGTTTCACCATGTTGGCCAGGCTTTCACCATGTTGGCCAGGCTCTTTAACATTCTTTTGAACAGGTATATTTACTCAAGAAATTATGTGAATTGTGTGTAACTTTGCCCTTTTTTCCTATTGGCTTTAAAAAAATTGATTTATAGTATCTTTTTATTTTATGAATGTTAACAGTTTGTCTTCACTTTTTTTTTTTTTTTTGAGACGGAGTCTCGCTCTGTTGCTTAGGGTGGAGTGCAGTGGTGCGATCTTGGTTCCACTTGCAACCACCACCTCCCGGGTTCAAGTGATTCTCTCGCCTCAGCCTCCTGAGTAGCTGGGATTACAGGCACCCGCCATCATGCCTGGCTAATTTGTATATTTTTGTAGAGACGGGGTTTCACCATGTTGGCCAGGCTGGTCTGGAACTCCTGACCTCAGGTGATCTGCCCGCCTTGACCTCCCAAAGTGCTGGGATTCCAGACGTGAGCCACCACGCCTGGCCTTTCTTCACATATTGCAAGTATTTCTTCTGTATACAAAAAGTAACTCAAAATGGCTTAGACTTTAGTGTCATATGTGGTATGTTTTGCTTTAGAGAAGTTTTATTATTTTTATGTTGTTAACTATCAGTTTTTGCCTTTATGGCTTCTAGGTTCCTTTTCATATCTAGGAAGGCCTTCTGTGTTACAGGAGTATGACAGATATTTAGCTAATTTCCGTTAGTTTTTGTGAAATTTTTGTATTTTGCATTTTAATATTTCTGAAATTTATCTTTGTGTTTATGTGAGAGAGGAACTTAAATTTTTTCCTAATGGACAGACTGTTAAAAATGGAGCAGTTTGATGCCTGGGTAGTTTGTCGATAATTTTGCTTGGACAGCCTTATGTTAGGGTCTAATTTGAAAATAGAGGGTTTGTTTTAGTTAATAGCTGGGGACATATCTGTCAGATTGCTCCTAGAAGGCAAGAGCCCATGAAAGGGTCCTTTGCTCTTTTGACTTTTTTCTTTCTTATTTTACTTGGGAATTAGGATGAGTTCCCTCCAATAGCAGAGAATAGAGAAAGGGGAACCAGTAAAGAGACATAGAAACTGTGTTTAAGGCCGGGCGTGGTGGCTCACGCCTGTAATCCCACCACTTCGGGAGGCTGAGGTGGGCGGATCACCTGAGGTCGGGAGTTCGAGACCAGCGTGACCAATATGGAGAAACCCCGTCTCTACTAAAAAAACAAAATTAGCTGGGCGTGGTGGTGCATGCCTGTAATTCCAGCTACTCGGGAGGCTGAGGCAGGAGAATCACCTGAATCCAGGAGGTGGAGGTTGCAGTGAGCCGAGATCGCGCCCTTGCACTACAGCCTGGGCAACAAGAGTGAAACTCTGTCTCAAAAAAAAAAGGAAAGAAACCGTGTTTAAGTCATTTCTGGGACCAAGGATGGAAAGGATTCTTTGGAATGATTTGCCTTGCGAAGCGAGGTAGTCTGTGACCTTAGTAGCAACAGTTCTGGCTGGAATATAGCTACTTTAAAAAATGCTACTTTAAGTTCTGGTTTAGGAAACTTTTGGTGTTCTAGTGAATTCTGGTCACATAGTTTTATTCTGCTGTTTTTTCTCATGCGTTCTGTATTCTGCCAGTTTTCTGCTTGCATTTGCCAGAAAGTTATGTTGTTTTATGTGCTTTCTCCTGTGTCTATACTCCTTGAAAAGCTTGGACTGTCTCTCACGTTCCCTTGTTACCTAAGTGAATTTTTGCTTTCCTTATCTAATCACCACCTCTTAAAACTTGCCTTTCCATACACCCTTTGTCTAAGGAGTTTTTGTAACAGCCTTATTATAGTACTTATATTGTGATTTATTGTGTTTGTCTATTGTCTGTGTCTGTTTCTTCTATCAGACTGTGAACTCCTTTGGGGACAGATCATTTTGCCTGTGAGCTACATTATTTTGTAGCTTGTTCAGTGACTTGAACACAGTTGCTGTGTTTCTTCACTGGTTCCTACACATACAAATGAACAGGCAAAATGAAGATTCAAATTCCAGAGTCCAGGACATTTTGTGAAGACATAAAAATAGAGTGAATCTAAAAATAGAGTATATTTATGTTTTTGTTGGATATGCAAATACTGTTATTATAAATATGTATTTTACCAGTGTTTCTTATCAAAGTTGTAAGTTATATCTAACCAAGTTTCGTATCAGTGAAGGTAGAATATTTCCTAGCACATGTAAACCTTTAATATAATTTATATCATATTTGAGAATTTTTCAGTGGAAACGAACTTATGGGTTTATAAGTCAGTGGAAAAAATAATAACAAATACATGCTTTTCACAGACTACTACAGAAATATACTTGTTTTTTGTTTTGTTTTGTTTTGAGAGAGGATCTCACTCTGTCACCCAGGCTGGATTGCAGTCTGGAACTCCTGGGCTCAAGCAATCCTTCTATCTCAGCCTTCTGAGTGTCAAGGAGTACAGGCATGTGCCATGACATATGGCTAATATTTTTATTTTTTTGTAGAGATGAGGTCTCGCTATGTTGTCCAGGCTGTTCTCAAACCCCTGGCCTTAAGCGATCCTCCCGCCTCTGCCTCCCAATGTACTGGGATTACAGATGTGAGCCACTATGCCCAGCCAAGAAGTATATTTGTATGAGTAAAATCAATTTATCGTAACAGAATATTTTGGCTAAGAATATTTTTACTTAGTTTTATAAACTTTTTTCATGACTTTTTATGTCACTGTTTTAATATTTGATGATAGTGTAATTGTTTTAACAAATGTTTAAATCAGAATAATAATGAATTTTTAATCATTGTTAACAGTGTTTGGTATTATCTCATTCAATCCATGCAATTATCTAGTGAGATAAGAACAACTATTATCTCTATTTTACTTTGTGGGAAAGTGAGATTTAAGTACTTTCTCAAGGTCACACAGATATTAGTAAGTGACAGAGATATCCAAAACAGGCTCTTAACCATCATGTGGCAGTTGTTCTTTCAAAGTGGCAGAGTCTGAGATTGTGAATCCATTTTTATTAATTTTATTTACTTCTAAGTAGGTCTCTACTATTCCAGCCACCAAATGGACTTGAAGACTATTTCAAACTATCTTCAGTGATAACATCTATAGGTCTTTGAAAATGCATACCTGTGTAACATTATGTGCATTTCTCACTTTTTTGCACTATTGACTTCTCTAAAAAAGATTTATATAACTTTTTTATGTGTCTCAGATTTTATAGACCAGTTTGTTTTTATAGATGCTCTATCTAAATTTTGGTGTAATTTAAAAGTTATTGCTGTATTACTGAGCTCTCTGTCAAGTAAGAATCCTATTAAGATTTCTCATTAAATAAAGGAACAACTATTTGTTTTAATCCCTTTTTAAAATAAAACAACTATGACTAATTATTTCCTAAGTTATCAACTTTAAACATTTTGATTTTAATTTTGAAGCTTTATCAAAGTGGGATCTTGGACCCTTCTCACACTAAAACTTCAGTCACCCATTAAAATGTGTTATTGGATTCATGTTAACTTTTATGAAGCAGGAAGTCAGAATTAATGGAATATAAGTTTTATACCATGTTATTTGTTAACATTTTCCTTTAGAGGATTTAGATTAGGTTTTCATACCAAACGGGTTCATTATAAATGAACCATTTAAATCGCTGTTTAATATGTGTAGAACCTATGCTATTAGCAATTTTCATAGTATAAAATTTTCACACTATGTTTGTATGCTTCTAATATGTTTTGCATTGTAACAGATGAATATGCAGCATTACTGAATTATGAAAATTACACAGTGGTGGTATAAATGCTATTTGTGTTATGCAAAATTGGCTGATTTTTATCAGACTTTAATATTTTCTCATTTTAACCAATTATTCTGCTTTTGCTTTTTGATATTAAATTGGCTGTGCTGTCTGTTGCACTTGAATTCATGCAATGGTATGCAAAGGCCAAAACTGATTATCGTCTCAGGTTACCTTGTATTTTCTTATAACGACTGACTTTCCAAATTGAACAGGATGTTTTATAAAATTTGTGTGACATGCAATGGAATAGGTAAAATGCAGGTTTTCTCAAAACTGTCTTGACTTTTGTCTTTTTTGTACTTTTCCCAAAAGTAATAATTACTAGTTTTTTTTTTTTTTTTTTTTTTTTTTGCAAGCCACTTACAATGGCTTAATTGTAGAATCTACTGTCAGCTGTCTTGGCCCTACAATTGGTTGCTTAGATTCCTTCTTTTTACTTAGGTCTTACCAGGTGCTTACGTAGTTTTCTTATAAAATAGTTTCTTAATCATAATTATCACAATCAAGCCATTGTACAAATTATTGGGCCTGTTAAGAGTATTAGAAATGTAAAAGAATATTATTTTTAATATTAAACTTTGGCCTAGGAAGTTTGTAGATGAAGTTCCTAAAGCCAGCCATTTTCATTCATTTTAAGTATTCTTGTGGCTACAATTGAACTGTATTTATTGTGACTATAGTTTAAATGAGCAGGAAGTAATCCACTTGCATGTTTTATGCTTAGATTTTAAAATATATTTTGGCATTTTTTATGGGAAGTGAAAGAAAAAAGTAATTAAATGTGTCTATAAATGAGAGAAAGGAAAAATATAGGTTAAAATAATGTGGTATTAGAAAAATATTCTGAAGCTATAATAGTACCTTGTATTTGCGATATAGTTTAGAAAACCATATCATACATTTACAACTCTTAATCTCACAACAACTTTGGGACTTAAGCGGGATAGATTTATTTCTCTCATTTTATAGAAAGAATAGAAGGCTTAGTGAGTTTAAGTAAAATCATTGAGATCTTGACAGTTAGAGAGGACTTCCTAAACAAGACGTAAAAAGCACAGACCATAAAAGGAAAAGTTGGTAACTATAATACAAAAAAAAAAAAAAAAGGATAGAAGCCTGTAATTCAGCTACTTGGGAGGCTGAGTAGGGAAAATAGCTTGAACCCAGGGTTAGAGTCCAGCCTGGGCAACATAGTGAGACTGTCTCTGAACAAGAAAAAACCCAAACAAACATAAAATAGTAGTGGAGAAAAATATGCAAAGAACAATAATGGGATACTGTTTGTCAAATATCAAATTATCAGAAATTAAAATATTTGATTATATTCCATGTTTTTGAGCTTGAGGAGAAACGGTAGGGGAAGGTAATTTGGTACAGTCATTTTGAGAGCTATTTGACAGCATGCTCTCTTTAAGAGTGAAGAATTGGAAACAACCCAGTGTCTCAGTAGAGGAGTGGATAAAAAAACTGGTGCAATATTGTAAAAGAAATTCTATGGTAGTTAAAATTAATGTGCTAGATTTATATAAGTAAAAGTCTTGAGAACACAATGAAGAGTGAAGAAAGTAAACTGTGAGAATGTTTATTATAATGCTATAATACCATTTATGTGAGTCTAGAACCACATACATCAATACTCTGTAAAAGATAATAAGGAACTTAACAGGAATGGAATACCACTTATTTTTTTTTTAATAAGAGTTAAACATGGAACATGGTTAATAAGCACTGGGTGTTAGGTACATGGGCACTTGTTAAATTATTCTTTTTACAACTTTGAAAATTTATTTAAAAAAACAGAAAGGGGAGTTAATTTGTTTAGAGTTACCGAAAAATTGTAGTTGGAAGAGCTAGTACTTAAACTTAGGACCTGATTCCCAAGACTAGAGCTTTTTCTAACACACTGCCTCATAATGAGAAGGAAAAAAATTGAGATGAAACGATCAAGAAGGTAGACAAAATTTAGTTTCATAGTAATAAGAACCAGGAAACGTATGTGTTTCTAGTAAATTTTTTGAGGGGAAAGGAAAGTTTTTAAGATAAAAAATTATTATAATTTTACTTTAAAATCTTTAAGCATGCTGTTATATACATAGAACAACTTAGGTACTTAGGAAAAATTTTACCTTAATTTATTGTTTAAAATGTGATACATATTTCTGTTGCATGTAATGGAAGACATTAGGTAATTTGAATTTTTAAAATACAAAATTCATGAAAATAATTTAAATATACAATCTACCTTCAAAGTCAAAACTAGTTTTTCTTCCATTTTGTAAAGTCATTCTTCACAAAAACTTTATAGCCTTTTTATTTACAGCTTCTCTCCAAGATAAAATGGCAAACCCAAAAGAGAAAACTGCAATGTGTCTGGTAAATGAGTTAGCCCGTTTCAATAGAGTCCAACCCCAGTATAAACTTCTGAATGAAAGAGGGCCTGCTCATTCAAAGGTAAGGTTATGAAGAGAGGTGGTGAGACATACTTATCAGACTAACAGATTTATCATCTCAGATTTTAATCGTGCTTTATTTTGGGGAGTGGGGGTTCAGCAGATGGCTTGAAGGCTTTTAGTTCTACATTAATAATATTTCAAAGTATGTAACTAAACTATTTTGTAGCTCACTGTGGTTTACAAAGCTCTTTTAGATATAGTACTTCATATAAATCTTAATAAAACCACATGATATATGGATTTTTGATTTCCATTTTGTAATTTAAACTCAGGCACAGGAAAGTTAAGTGACTTGCTTAATAGTTCATAAGTGCCAGTGCCAGTACTTGAATATATTTTCTTTGGCTCCCAAATATGGTGTGCTTTCCATTAAATCACAGCTGCTAAAGTAGAAATGGAGACAGAGTAAATATACCAACAGTTACCTAGTGAGACATCTTTTCCAATGTGATATTTAATTCTAACATTAATCATTTATAAAAGTTGTATATACCACTGTTCTTATTATCTCTGCATTCACTTATATTGTTTTTTTAAATGGAAAGCAATTTTTATTTATATATAGCTGTATACATTTATGTTTGCATATATACATGTTACAAATCTACAACTAATGCATTTATGTTTGAGCTCTATTCAGTTGCTTACAATATCTTAGTTGTGCATAATTTTCTATGGCACATTTATATCTTGGCTATTGGAGATTATCATAATGATCATAAAATTTGTATATAATGTGGCAGCATTTGTTCTCTAAGGGTTGATTAATCTTCTTAAAGCAACTGGCTATTAGGTTATTTGCATCCTGGCATCTCCTACAAACTAAGGAAAATAAGAGGAAACTACAATTTGTCAATTTTGTTTTCTATTAATGGTTTTTATGAAGGATTTAGGGGCAACAATTTAATTTGTTCATATCTTTTGTTCTTGCTTTAACAGAAAAAATAGTTGTAGCCTTGGTCTACCTTTCCAGCTATATGTCCTGACTCTCTTTCTGACTCATTCTGCCCTTAATCATGTTGAACTGTTTGCATTTCTCAGAACGCTTTATGTTCTTTTCACATCTCTCTGCCTTTGCCTAAGTTGTAGTGTCTTTCTGCCTTGAAGGTGCTTTTGCCCTTACTCATTGTTGAGCACTCAGCTCCATGTTACATCTTCCACACGTTTGTGAAACCTCTGATTCCTCTACTGGGCCTCCAGTGGGACCTATAGTTCTCTGTGGTAGCCGTTACTGTGTTATAGTACAGTAATATATGTTGGTCATTAGTTTTGTGCTAGACTGAGCTTGTTTTTGGGTGTGTATTTTACTCGTTTACATTTCTTGGTCCCTGTAGTATATACTCTTTGCTCCTCATTGCCAATTCCAGGTATTCTTCCTTGAGACAGTCCCCCAGTTTTGAGTTTCATATTAGCAGACACACTTCCCACATTCCCTCATGATTGTCATTTACATCTGGGTGATTCCATCACATTTCTTATGGCTCACTTTCACTCTCTTTAGCATTCCCCATTTTAATTTTTGGTGATTTCAACACTTAAATAGATGATTGTTCCAGCATGTTGACCTTTTAGTTTCTTTAACATCTCCGGTGATCTTGTTCTCTACTGTCCTTCAGCCACTCATGCCTATAATCACATTCTTGACCTTATCATTACCAATAACTGCATAATGTTAATTTCAGTCTTTCATCTTTCTGTGACACTTGCCTCTTAACTTTCTAGTTCATTCCGTCTAGTAATTTGACTTCCACAGTCCTTTCATACTGCAGATCCATTGATTCTGCCACCATTTTACTATTCCTTTCTTTCCCCAATCCTCACATAGCTCTTTAACCTGCTTAAATGTTGTGTGCCTTTTATGTAGGTACCCTCAGCTGACTTGCCCAGCTCCTCCATTGTGTCCTGGATCCCAACCTGTTTCACCTCTTCAAGGCCATTTCTCCAGTTTTGCTTCTTCTGCCTTCTTCTCCCAAGAGTGAAGAGCTAGACTGCCTTTAACAGTTAGTGACATCATCCCTATCCTCTATATATGGTAAAGGAAGGTCAGCCTACCTGGGAAGTTTCTGGAGGACTCTTAGGAGGATTTGGTTTTCATTAAGATTCTTTAGGAATCCATTGTAATTTTTGGAAGGGTTTATGAACTGACCTTTTATCTATCTCCTTGTCTCACTGCTGGGGTTTTAAAGGCTAAACAGGTTGGTTGTGATGAAAGTAGATGACAGTGGGTCTCTTCTTATTTCTCAATAGTCCCAGGATTCCCTTGGTTTTAAGGAGATTTGGAGATCCCTTTTGCCAACCTGTGCCAGTTGCTGTAGGTGCTTTGGTGATACACCACCCCCCTTAGCCTGTAGCTTGCTTATTTTTAAAAAGAGTACTAGAATAATTGGCATGTTGTTGAGTGAAACATGATATTGATAAGTTCACATAATAATATAGTTAATATTAATCCTAATTGGCTAAGTCTGGATCCTTTTTGTGAAAAGCAAAATCATTTTCATTCATGTATGTCTATCAGTGGCCTTTAGGTGAGACATAAAATGTATTTTAATGAAATTAATGATAATCTCTGGTAAGAAAAATTTAAACCTAGTTTCAACTCATTAATTTTCTTGGGGCTGGGCATGGTGACTCATGCCTGTAATCCCAGAACTTCAGGAGGCCGAGGCGGGAGGATCACTTGAGGTCAGGAGTTTGAGAACAGCCTGGCCAACATGGTGAAACCCTTCTCTACTAAAAATACAAAAATTAGCCGGGGTGTGGTGGTGCGTGACTATAATCCCACCTACTCGGGAGGCTGAGGCAGGAGAATTGCTTGAACCTGGGAGGTAGAGGTTGCAGTGAGCCAAGATTGCACCACTGCACTCCAGTTTGGGCTACAGAGTGAGACTCGGTCTCAAAAAAAAAATTTTTTTTCTTGGTACATTAATTATATGGCAATTCACACACATACTACACATATGCTGACATAGGTGAGAAGTGGTTCTCAACTTTGGCTGTTAATTGGAATCATTTCAGGAGCTTTAAAAAATACTTATGCCTGAGTCTCATCCCGTTAATTTAATCGGTCTTGGGTGAAGCACACACATCAGGAATTTTTTAAAGCTCTGAAATGACTCAAAAGTACAGCCAGAGTTTGGAAACACAGGACAGAGGTTAATGTCTTCAGTATGGTATGGAATTGTCTTCTCTTATATCATGCTGACAGGTAGTGACCTATCTTACGTTTACATGATTTCCTCCTTCCCCCATGAGTATCACAAATTCTGAACAACTTGTAATATGTGACTATTAAAATAATAATTATTTTAGTCTTTGCCTTGTCTTCTTTTATTTTTCTGCTCAGTTTTTAATTGAACTCTGAAACAAGTTAGTATACCTTATAATAATGGGAGTTATTGTAATATTAGTTTATTTCCTAGGTACCTGTATACAGTTATTTTTTCTACAGATTATTGTTTTGGTTTGCTCAAATCTCGAAAGAAGGCTGTTTTAATTAGAATATGAGGAAGAGAGCCATGAATAACATAAAATGGTATTTTCTTCTTTTCCATTATTTTCCTATTCTGATAATTTGTTGGTAAGCCTGGCTAAGTTTCAAGTAAATTGTACTAGTGCTGATACTTTGAGATGGTTTACTTTGGAATGGGTATCACTGAGGGAGGCAATGTCATCCACTGGCCCTTAAGCCAAGTAGTCTTTAAAAAAAAATCTTCGCTAGAGTTGCCCAGCTTGATCTTTGCCCTTCATTGCCGAGCTTATGTGACCTTGAACAACTAATTTAAAGTCTCAGTTTTCTTATCTGTAAATGGAGTAATATAATACCTCATAAAGTGGTATAATGGAGTGACGATTTATAAGTTCTTAAGCATTGTGTTGATGATGGAGGTACCCAAATAATTATATCATTGCTTATTAGTCATATATAGGACTAAAACAACCCCTTAGTAAAAGGTCTGTTGAGTATTTACTATGTGGCAGGCACTGTTCCTGCACTGAAAATAAATAAGGTGCATATCATGCTGTTAGGAGTTTTGTCTCATAACATTCATTATGAAACCCACAACATCTTAAGATCTTACTTTTGCCTGTAATCCCAGCACTTTGGGAGGCCAAGGTGGGCAGATTATGAGATCAGGAGATTGAGATCATCCTGGTCAAAATGGCGAAACCCTGTCTCTACTAAAACTACAAAAATTAGCCAGGCGTGGTGGCACGAGCCTTTAGTCCCAGCTGCTCGGGAGGCTGAGGCAGGAGAATTGCTTGAACCTGGGAGGCGGAGGTTGCCGTGAGCTGAGATCGCGCCACTGCACTCCAGCCTGGCGACAGAGGGAGACTCCATCTCAAAAAACAAACAAAAATCTTACTTTTAATTTATTATGAAAAATTTGAAATAGATACCAACGTTGAATATTTTGCCAAGATAAATTTATTTACCATCCCCTACCCACTTTTTTGAACTAAAGTTTTTAAAAGAACTATGTCTGTTCATTCATAAGTGCTTTGGTATGCATCTGTAACTGATAAGGACCTTTAAAAAAATAGCGCACTACACCGTCATTATGACTAGATTAAGAAGCCCAAATATTATGTAATACATGGTCTGTATCCATCTTTTTTTTAATTAGACTTAGAGATGTCTTTTTACATTTGGTTTGTTCAAATAGGGTCCAAACAAGGATCATGTATTACATTTGGTGGCTATGTCTCTTTGGTCTCTTTTATTTATTAATACTAACACTCCTTTTATCCCCATCCCCTCTTTTCCTATGACATTGATTTGTTGGAGAAATAGAGTAATTTGTCCTATAAAATGTTCTACATCTTGAATTTGGCTGATTGTATGTAGTGATTGTTATATGAGGGGATTTCATCAGTTGATGAGTATTGGGCTAGAGCAGAGATTTTGAGCTGTAGGATGTGCCTCTTGAATACATAATTTTCAGGCATGATGAAATCATCATTTTCTTTCTATGTACATTTGCAGTGGAAGTATAGGATAAGAGAGTGAGGATAGTGGAAGGGAAATGTAGTAAAGAGTCATGAGAGAGAAAATACTAAAAAGATGGGAGAACATTTTTTGAAGCAATGCAAACTGACTTCTTTCATAATTTAACCCATGCCAAAAGTATTGTTTCTGCTTTATATCTGTGTGGGAAAAAAAGAACAAACATTTCCAGTGTCCTACAACATTTTTTCGTTCCTTGTCGTAATCATCTCTCTTTGTACCTGGGACCCCACACAGCTACTAATCTGCTTTCTGTGACTATAGATGAGTTTGCAGTTTCTAAAACTATATAAATGTAATCATATAGTGGTATGTACTCCTACCAGACTATTTTCACTTAGCATAGTTATTTTGAGTTTGCTCATGTTTTGTGTGTGTCAGTATTTCTTCCTTTTTATTATTGAGGAGTAGTCCATTATGTGTATATAGCACACTTTGTTTTTTGGACATTCATCTGTTGATGGATATTTTGGTTGTTTTTAGCTTTTTGCTATTATAATAAAGCTAATTTGAACATCTATATACAAGTCTTCATATAGACATTGTATTAGTCCATTCTTGTATTGCTATAAATAGTTGAGACTGGCTAATTTATAAGAAAAGAGGTTTAGTTAGCTCATGGTTCTGCAGGCTCTACAGGAAGCATAGCAGCATCTGCTTTTGGGGGGGCCTCAGGATGCTTCCAATCATGGTGGAAGTAAAAGGCATGTCATATGGTAAAAGCAGGAGCAATGTGGGGATTGGGGGGGTCCCACACACTTTTATATGACCAGATCTCATGATAACTCACTATTGTGAGGACAGTACCAAGGGATGGCGCTAAACCATTCATGAGAAATCCACCCCCATGATCCAGTCCCCAGACCCCACCTCCAACATTGGGGATTACAATCCAACATGAAATTTGGGTGGGGACACGGATCCAAACCATATCAGACATATATTACCTTTTCTCTTTCTCTATTTTATTTTCTCTATTTCTTTGGTAATAAGAGTGTCAGGAATGTATAGCAGGTGCATGTTTAACTTTTTAAGACATTGCCAAATTTTTTTGCAAAATATAGTTGTACCATTTTACATTCCCCTCAGCGGTGTATGAGAGTTCTAGTTTTTCTGCCCCCTTGCCTACAGGTTATATAGTCAGCCTTTCTAATTTTAGCCATTCTAATAGGTATGTGGTGGAATCTCATTGTGGTTTCAGTTTGCACTTCCGTAGTGACTGATAATGCTGGCTATCTTTTTGTGTGTTTGTCATCAGTGTATACCTTTAGTGAAGTGTCTGTTCAGATCTTTGCCCATTATTTTTTATTGGGTTTG
Organism: Homo sapiens; assembly: GCF_000001405.40. Lineage (NCBI taxonomy): Eukaryota > Metazoa > Chordata > Mammalia > Primates > Hominidae > Homo > Homo sapiens. The sequence goes on along the minus strand of NC_000008.11, from coordinate 73,702,707 downwards.
TTTTATTGTTCAGTTTTGAGAAGTTCTTTATTCTGTTGTTTGGTGCATATGTTTATAATTGTTTTATCTTCTTGATGAATTAACCCTTTTATCAATAATAATATTCTTTGTCTCTTTTTTAATTAAAAAATTATTTTTAATTTTTGTGGGTACATAGTAGGTATATATATTTATGAGGTATATATATTTATGAAGTACATGAGATATTTTGGTATACCCAATGCATACAACGTATTTGGTATGTTGCATGTACCAAAATATCTATGTGAAGAAAAAGAACAAACATTTCCATTGTCCCACAAAATTTTCTCATTCCTTGTTGTAATCATCTCTCTTTGTACCTGAGACCCCAGGCAGCTACTAATCTTTTTTTCACATAGATTAGACACGCAATGCATAATAATCACATAATGGAAATTGGGTATCCAAAGCCTCAAGCATTTATCCTTTGTGTTACGAACAATCTACTTATACTCTTTTAGTTATTTTAAAGTGTAAAATTAAATTATTATTGACTGTAGTCCCCCTATGTGCTGTCAAATACTAGGTCTTATCCATTCTTTCTAACTAATTTTTTTTTGGTACCCATTAACCATCTTCCCATCCCCTCAACCTTCCTGCTACCTTTCCCAATCTCTAGTAACCATCCTTCTATTCTCTATCTCTGTGAATTCAATTGTTTTGATTTTTAGACCTCACAAATAAGTGACAACATGTGATGTTTGTCTCTCTGTACCTGGCTTATTTCACTTAACATAGTGACGTCCAGTTCTATCCATGTTATTGCAAATGACAGGATCTCATTCTTTTTTATGGCTGAATAGTACTCCATTGTGTATAAATACCACTCTTTATCCATTCATCTATTGATGGACACTTAGGTTGATTCGAAATCTTAGCTATTGTAAGCACTCCTAAAAAACATGGGAGTGTAGATATCTTTTCAACATACTGATTTCTTTTCTTTTGGGAATATACCCAGCAGCGGGATTGCTGGATTGCATGGTAGTTCTATTTTTAGTTTTTTGAGGAACCTCCAAACTGTTCTCCATAGTGGTTGTACTAATTTACATTCTTGCTAACAACGTATGAGGGTACCCTTTTCTCCACAACCTTGCCAGCATTTATTATTGCCTGACTTTTGGATAAAAGCCATTTTAACTTGAGCAAGATGATATCTCAGTGTAGTTTTGATTTGCATTTCTCTGATGATCAGTGATGTTGAGCACCTTTTCATATACCTGTTTGTTGTTTAAATTGGATTATTAGATTTTTTTCCTATAGAGTTATTTGAGCTTCTTATATATTTTGATTATTAATACCTTGTCAGATGGATAGTTTGCACATATTTCTCTCCCATTCTGTGGGTTGTTTCTTCACTTTGTTGACTGTTTCCTTTGCTGTGCAGAAGGTTTTTAACTTGATGTGATCCCATTTGTCCATTGTTGCTTTGGTTGCCTCTGCCTGTGGGGTATTACTCAAGAAATGTTTGCCCACTCCAGCATCCTGAAAATTTTCCTTAATGTCGTCTTGTAATAGTTTCATAGTTTGAGGTCTTAGATTTAAGCCTTTAATCCATTTTGATTTGATTTTTTTTGTGTATGGCAAGAGATAGGGGTCTAGTTTCATTTTTCTGCATATGGATATCTAGCTTTCCCAGTACCATTTATTGAAGAGACTGTCTTTTCCCCAGTGTATGTTCTTGACACTATTGTCAAAAATGAGTTCATCGTAGGTGTGTGGATTTGTTTCTGGATTCTCTCTTCTGTTCCATTGGTCTGTGTGTTTATTTTTATGTAGTACCCTGTTGTTTTGGTTTCTATAGCTCTGTAGTATAATTTGAAGTCAGATAATGTGGTCCCTCCAGTTATGTTCTTTTTGCTCAGGATAGCTTTGGCTATTCTGGTTCTTTTGTGATTCCATATAAATTTTAGAATTGTTTTTCCTATTTCTCTGAAGAATGTCATTGATATTTTGATAGGGAATGCGTTGAGTCTGTAGGTTGCTTTGATTCTTCCAATTTATTTTTTCATGTCCTCTTCAGTTTCTTTCATCAGTGTTTTATAGTTTTCATTGTAGAGATCGTTCACTTCCTTGGTTGAGTTAATTCCTAGGTATTAAATTTTATTTAAGGCTATTATAAATGGGATTACTTTTTTGATTTCTTTTTCAGATTGTTTACTGTTGGCATATAGAAATGCTACTGATTTAGTATATTTATTTTGTATCCTGCAACTTTACTAAATTTGTTTATCTGTTCTAATAGTTTTTTGTTGGAGTCTTTAGGTTTTTTTAAATATAAGATCATATCATCTGCAAACAATGATAATTTGACTTCTTCTTTTCCAATTTGGATGCCCTTTCTTTCTTTCTCTTGCCTGATTGCTCTAGCTAGTACTTTCAGTATTATGTTGAATAACAGTGGTGAAAGTGGGCATCTTTGTTGTGTTACAGACCTAAGAGGAAAGGCTTTCAGTTTTTCCCCATTCATTATGATACTAGTTGTGGATCTGTCATATATGGCTTTTATTATGTTCAGGCATGTTCCTTTTATGCCCAGTTATTTGAGGGTTTTTATCACAAAGTGATGTTGAACTTTATCAGATGCTTTTTTGGCACCAATTGAAATGTATGGTTTTTGTCCTTCATTTTGTTGATGTGATGTATCACATTGATTGGTTTGTGTGTGTTGAGCCATCCTTGCATCACTGTGATAAATCCCACTTGGTCATGATGAATGATCTTTTAAATGTATTGTTGGATTAGGTTTGCTAGTATTTTGTTGAGGGTTTTTGCATCAATATTCATCAGAGGTATTGGTCTGTAGGTTTTTTTTTTTTTTTTTTTGATGTGTGTTTGGTTTTTGGTATCAGGGTAATACTGGCCTCACAGAATGAGTTTGGAAGCATTCCGTCCTCCTCTATTTTTCAGAATAGTTTGAGTAGGATTGGTATTAGTTCCACTTTAAATATTTGGTAGAATTCAGCAGTAAAGCTGTTGGGTCCTGGCCTTTTCTTTACTGGGAAGCTTTTCATTACTGCTTTGATCTCCTCACTTGTTATTGGTCTGCTCAGGTTTTGGATTTCTTCCGGGTTCAATCTTTGTAGGGTGTATGTGTCTAGGAATTTGTCTGTTTCTTCAAGATTTTTCAATTTTTTGGCATATAGTTGCTCACGGTAGTCACTAACGATCCTTTGAATTTCTGTTGTATCCATTGTAATGTCTCCTTTTTCATCTCTGGTTTTATTTACTTGGGCCTTCTTTCTTTTTTTCTTAGTCTGGCTAAATCGTTTGTCAATTTTGTTTATCTTCTCAAACACCAACTTTTTGTTCTAGTGATCTCGTATAATTTTTTCATTTCAAATTCATTTATTTCTGCTCTGATCTTTATTATTTCTTTTCTTCTACTAATTTTGAGTTTAGTTTGCTCTTATTTTTCTAGTTCTTTAAGGTGCATTGTTAGATTGTTTGTTTGAAATTTTTCCACTTTTTTGATGTAGGTGTGTGTAGCTATAAGCCTCCCTCTGAGTACTGCTTTTGCTGTATCCCATAGGCTTTGGTTTACCATTCGTTTCAAGGAATTTTTCAATTCCCTTCTTAATTTCTTCATTGAAATGGTCATTCAGGAGCATATTGTTTAATTCTCATGTGTTTGTGTAGTTTCCAAAATTCCTCTTGTTATTGATTTGTAGTTTTATTCCATTGTGGTCAGTGAAGATGCTTGATATTATTTTAGGTTTTCTTTCTTTTTTCTTTTTCTCTCTCTCTCTCTTTTTTTTTTTTTAATGTTTTAAGACTCGTTTTGTGACCTAACATGGTTTATCCTTGAGAATGATCCATGTGTCGAGGAGAAAAATGTGTATTCTGCAGCCATTGGATGAAATGTGTAAATATCTACTAGATCCATTTTGTCTATAGTGCAGAATAACTCTGATGTTTCTTTGTTGATTTTCTTTCTGGGAGATCTGTGCAATGCTGAAAGCGGGGTGTTGAAGTCTCCAGCTGTTATTGTATTGGGGTCTGTCTTTCTCTTTAGGTCTAATAATATTTGCTTTATGTATCTGAGTGCTCCAGTGTTGGTTGCATATATATTTACAATTATTATATCCTCTTGCTGAATTGACCCCTTTATCATTATATAATGACCTTTTTTGTCTCTCCTTACAGTTTTTGTCTTGAAATCTATACTACTTTTTCTGATATGAGTATAGCTGTGTCTGCTCTTTTTTGGTTTCCGTTGCCATGGAATATGTTTCTCCATCCCTCTCTTTTCTGTCTGTGTGTGTCTTCATAGGTGGGGTGTGTTTAGATCATTGGATCTTGTTTGTTTCTCCATTCAGCCACTCTATGTCTTTTGACTGGGGAATTTAGTTCATTTACATTCAGTGTTATTATTGCTAAATAGGAACTTTCTCCTGCCATTTTGTTATTTGTTTTCTGGTGGTTTTCAGTCTTTTCTTCCTTCTTTCCTTTCTTCCTGTCTTCCTTTTAGTGAAAGTGATTTTCTGTGGTGGTATGCTTTAATTTCTTGCATTTTATTTTTTTGTGTATCTGTTGTATGTTTTTTGATTTGAGGTTACTATGAGGCTTGCAAATACTATCTTTTTTAAATTAATTTTCTTTTTTTTGAGACAGAGTATTGCTCTGTCTCTCAGGCTGGAGTACAGTGGCGTGATCTTGGCTCACTGCAATCTCTGCCTCCCAGGTTCAAGCGATTCTCATGCCTCAGCCTCCCAAGTAGCTGGGATTACATGTGTGCACCACCACACCTGGCTAATTTTTGTATTTTTAGTAGAGATGGGGTTTCACCGTGATGGCAAGGCTGGTCTCAAACTTCTGACCTCAAGCAGTCTACCTGCCTTGGCCTCCCAAAGTACTGGGATTACAAGTGTGAGCCACTGCGCCGGTGCAAATACTAATACTTATAACGCATTATTTTAAACTGATGACAGCTTAACACAATTGCAGAAACAAACTTGCAAAAAGAAAGTTAATTAAAACTCTACACTTTAACTTTGTCCCCGCTGCCAGCTTTTTAACTTTTTGTTGTTTCTCTTTATGTCTTATTACACTATTTCTTGAAAAGTTGTTGTAGCTATTATTTTTGATTGGTTCATTATTTAGTCTTTCTACTTCAGTTAAGAGTAGTTTATACACCACAGGTACAGTGTTATACTCTTCTGTATTTTTCTGTATGCTTACCGTTACCAGTGCATTTTGTACCTTCAGATGATTTCTTCTTTCATTAATATCCTTTTCTTTCAGATTGAAGAACTCCCTTCAGGATTTCTTGTAGAACAAGTCTGGTGTTGATGAAATCCTTCGGCTTTTGTTTGTCTGGGAAAGACTTTATCTCTCCTTCATAATTAAAGGATATTTTCACCAGATATACTATTCTAGGTGAAAGTTTTTTTCCTTCAGCACTTAAAATATGTCTTGCCACACTCTCCTCACCTTTAAAGTTTCCACTGAAAAGTCTGCTGCCAATTAGCTGGGTATGGTGGTGCACGCCTGTAATCTCAGCTACTCAGGAGGCTGAGGCAGGATAATTGCCTGAACCTGGGAGGTGGAGGTTGCAGTGAGGCAAGATCGCATCACTGCATTCCAGCCTGGGTGACAGAGTGAGACTCTGTTTCAAAACAAAACAAAACAAAACAAAACAACAAAAGTCTGCTGCCAGTTGTATTGGAGCTCTATTGTATGTTATTTATTTCTTTTTTTCTGGCTGTTTTTAGGATCCTTTCTTTATATTTGACCTTAGGGAATTAGATTCTTAAATGCTTTGAGGTAGTCATCATTGGGTTAAATCTGCTTGGTGTTCTATAACCTTCTTGTATTTGAATGTTATCTTTCTCGTTTGGGAAATTCTCTGTTATTATCCCTTTGAATAAACTTTCTACTGTTATCTCTTTTTCTACCTTTTCTTTAAGGCCAGTAAGTCTTACATTTGCCCCTTTGAGGCTATTTTCTAGATGTTTTTGGTGTGCCTCATTGCTTTTTAATTTTTTTCTTTTGTCTTTTCTAACTGTGTAATTTCAAATAGCCTGTCTTCAAGCTCACTAATTCTTCTTAATCATTTCTGTTGTTAAGAGACTTTGATGTAGTCCTCATCATGTCAGTTGCATTTTTAAACTCTGGAATATCAGCTTGATTCTTTTTAATTTTGATCTCTTGGTTAAATTTATCTGATAAGAATTCCAAATTCCCTTTCTGTGTTGTCTTGAATTTCTTTGAGTTTCCTCAAAACAGCTATTTTGAATTCTCTGCCTGAAAGGTCATGTATCTCTGTTTTTCCAGGATTGATCCCTTGTGCTTTATATTAGTTCATTTGGTTAGGTCATGTTTTCCTGAATGGTGTCGATGGTTGTAGATACTTGTTGGTGTCTGGGCTTTAAACAGTTAGGTATTTATTGTAGTCTTCAGAGTCTGAGTTTGTTTATGCCTGTCCTTGGGAAGGCTTTCCCAGGAATTTGAAGGGACTTGGGCCCCAAGCCCAACAATGCTGTGGCTTTTGGAGACTTGTTAGAGGTACAGCCTTGGCAGCCTTGGATAAGATCCGGAAGAATTCTCAGGATTACCAGGCAGAGATTGTTGTTCTTTTTCTTTACTTTCTCCCAAACAAATGGAGTGCTAAGCCACTTGGAATTGGGGGTGTGGTGATGCAGGCACCTCTGTGGTCATCATCCCTGGGATTGCTCTGGGTCAGACCTGAAGCCAGCACAGCACTGGCCTTGCCCAAGGCCCTTCCCTTCAGGGTGGCGGGTTTTTCCCTGGGTTCCAGGTGTGTCCAGAGGTGCTGTCTGAGAGCCAGGGATTGGAGTCAAAAACCTTAGCAATTTACCTGATGTTTTCTTCTATTGTGGCTAAGCTGGCACTCAATCCATAATACAAAATCCCTCCCACTCTTCCCTCCCCTTTCCACAGGCAGAGGAACCTCTCCTTGTGTGGCCACCAACACCACCACTGGTCCATGGGCTCATTCTTCAGGGCAGTGGGCTCCCTGAAGTAGATCCGGAAATGCTGTCCAGCGTAGGTGTGGACTCAGGGACCCCAAGAGCCTGCTTTTTGCTCTTCCTGCTGTGGCTGAGCTGGTACCTAGGGCACAAGACAATGTTCCCTTTACTTTTCTGTCTGCTTTTCTTAAACAGGAGTCTTTCACAATAGCCACCACAGCTGGGAATGTGCTGGGTCACCCCTGAAGCCAGTACATGTCAGAGCCCAGGGCCCACTGCATACTCCTTGGGTATCAGTGGTGATTATTCAGGACCCATTGGTTCTTTGGTCAGCAGGTAATGAATCCTGCCAGGATTGAGTCCTTACCTTCAAGGCAGTGGGTTCCTTTCTGGCCCAGGGTGTGTCTACAAATGTTATCTTGGAGCTAGGGCCTGGAATGGGGGCCTCACGGCTCTGCCTGGTGCCTTATCCTATGGTGGCTTAGCTGATATCCAAAATGCAAGACAAAGTTCTCTTTTTTCTTCACTCTCCTCTCCTTAAGCAGAAGGAAGTAGATACTTTCGTTGCTACAAGTTGCACTTCCTGGGGTTAGGGGAGGGATGGCATAAGCACTCCCTTAGCCATTCCAGCTGGTGTCTCCCTAGGTTGCGTGCCATCCTAGTTCACTGGCTCTAAGCCCAGCCTCACACTAGGAGTTGCCTAGGAAGCACAGTCTCGTGTCCTAGACTGCCTTTCAGATTTATCTAGGACCCCGGAGCACTTCAGCCTGTGGTGGCAAGTCTTGCCAAGAAATTCAAGTTCCAACTGCTATGATGGGCAATTCCCCTCCAGCTAGTGCTGGTCCAAATCCTCCCTCCCTGTGCAGGTGCTGGCTGAGTCCAGCACATTTTCATTGTCTGCTGTGACAGGGCAGCACTGAGTTTAATGTACTGTTTTCCAATAGCCGTGCTCTCCTCCCTCAAAGTGTACAGATTTTCTCTCCACGCCACATGGCTGCTGCTGGGAGTGTGGGAGAGGGTTGATGTTGGTGATTCAAGACTCTCCTACCCTCCTCAATGCCTCTTTTGGCAATATGAAGTTAAAGCCAGACACTGTGATTGTTCACCTGATTTTTGTTTCTTGTAACGGTGCTTTTTTGTGTCCATAGTTGTTAAAATTTGGTGTTCCACTGGGGGTGATGAATGATATATAGGCTTTTGTTCCACCATCTTGCTCTACCCTCCTCTGTAATTTTACTCTACCCTCTTCTGTAACTTTACCCAATGAACATACTTTGTGTGTGGTCTGAATTCTTTGTATTTATTGAGACTTATTTTATGGCCCAGAATATGGTCTGTCTTGGTAAATGTCCTGTGAACAATTGAGAGCAAGTGTATATTCTGCTTTTCTTGGTTGGAGTATTCTAACAGTGTTGATAAGATTGTGTTGGCTGATAGTGTTGTTCAACTGTACTATATTCTTGGTGATTTTTTTTGCTTGTTATATCAGTTTTTGATAAGGAGTATTGAATCTGACTTTAATTGTCAATTTTATAGTTTAAGTTTTGTCAGTTTTTGCTTCATTTATTTAAGCTGTGTTATTAGGTGCCTAAATGTTTAGGATATCAATGTCTTCTTAATTGCTTTCTTTATTCATATGAAATGACCTTCGTTACCACTGGTAATAGTCTTTACTCTGGAATCCACTTAGTCTGATATTAATATAGCCATTCTAATTTCTCCTTGATTTATGTCAGTATATGTTTTTCTCATTACTTTAAAACTATATGTGCTTTTATATTTGAAGTACAGTTTTTGTAGGTAGCATGTAGTTTGATTTTGCATTTTTATCTAGTTTGACAATCTCTGACTTTCAAGTGGGGGTGTTTACACCATTTTGTTCTAATTTTCACAACTAACCATGTGTTCTTATTAGCCTCATTTCACTAAAGAGGTAAGAAGCTGAGAGTTAGAAAGAATAATTAACTTCCCAGTGTTGTACATAGTAAATGGCGAAGCCAAGGCTTAAATTCATAAACAGTGTGTCTCCAGCATTCCGTCTTAAAACTACTACACTTTTTACTGTAGTAGGAATCTTAAGAGAGATTGTAGAAAAGCATAGGATTGCCTTGGAAATACTTATATTTTACAGAATGTTCATGTTGATGGTTTTACAGAATGTTCATGTCGATGGTGGTAAGAATGGTAGTTTGAATGGGAAGGTCATATTAAGGGAACTGCTTTAAGATAGTAAAAAGAAATTTTTTTCTATACTTCCAACACTTTTTTTTTTTTTTTTTTGAGACGGAGTCTCACTCTTTCGCCCAGGCTGGACTGCAGTGGCGCTGTCTTGGCTCACTGCAAGCTCCACCTCCCGGGTTCACGCCATTCTCCTGCCTCAGCCTCCCGAGTAGCTGGGACTACAGGCACCTGCTACCACGCCCGGCTAATTTTTTTTGTATTTTTAGTAGAGATGGGGTTTCACCGTGTTAGCCAAGATGGTCTCGATCTCCTGACCTCGTGATCCGCCCGCCTCGGCCTCCCAAAGTGCTGGGATTACAGGCGTGAGCCACCGCACCCAGCCCACTTTTTTTTAAATTAAAAAATTTGTTTCCGAGATAGGGTCTTGCTGTGTTGCCTAGGCTGGAGTGCAGTTGTGCAGTCATAGCTCACTGCAGCGTTCATCTCCTGGGCTCAAGGGATCCCCCTGCTTCAGCTTCCTCAGTAGCTGGGACTATAGGTGCGCACCACCATGCCTGGATAATTTTTTACATTTGTGGTAGTGCTGAGGTCTCCCTGTGTTGCCCAGGCTGGTCTCGAACTTCTGAGCTCAAGTGATCCTCCCACCTTGGCCTCCCAAAGTGCTGGGATTCCAGGCATAAGCCACCACACCTGGCTGTAACACTTCATTTCTGACACTAAATATGTGGGGTTTTTTTCCACGCCAGCGAATTCTGCAATTGTCCCCATACATTGACTGGATGTCCTACTATTTAACTAAATTCTGACACTAACTGCCCACGGTTAGTGCAGACCCTGCAGGTTAAGGGCTCAGTCCCACAACACTGCTCTCACCTCACATGACAGTCACAAATCTGGGTCTTCTAAACTTGTGACCAACTGGCTATAAACCGGGGGCTCTCAGCACCCTCTTCTCAGGTTCCATAATTTGTTAAAACAGCTCACAAGACTCAGGGGAACACATACTTATATTTACTAGTTTATTATAAAGGATATTCTAAAGTATATAGGTGAACAGCCAGATAAAGAGTACATAGGAGGGCCGGCGTGGTGGCTCACGCCTGTAATCCCAGCACTTTGGGAGGCTGAGGTGGGTGGATCACGAGGTCAAGAGTTCGAGACCAGCCTGGCCAACATAGTGAAACCCCGTCTCTACTAAAAATACAAAAATTAGCCCGGCATGGTGGCTTGTGCCTGTGATGCCAGCTACTTGGGGGGCTGAGGTAGGAGAATCACTTGAACTTGGGAGGCGGAGGTTGCAATGAGACGAGATTGTGCCATGCACTCCAACCTTGGCGACAGAGCAAGACTCCATCTCCGGGGAAAAAAAAAAAAAAGAAGTACGTAGGATGAAGTGTGTGAGAAGGGAAATGGAGCTTCCAAGCCCTGTCTGGGTGTGCCACCCTGCAGCACCTCAGTGTGTTCACCAGCCTGCAAGCTTTTTGTACCCTATCTTTTAGGGATATTTATGGAGGCTCTGTCACATAGGCATGATCGATTATTAACTCAGTCTCCAGCCCCTCTTTCCTCCGTGGTGGATAGGAATGGGATGGGGCTAAAAATGAAGTTTCTAACCATGGCTTAGTTTTTCTGGTGACTGGCCCTCAGACTAGCTCTCTATCCAGGGGCCTGCCAAGAGTTGGCTCATTAGAATAAAAATTTCCTATCACCCAGGAAATTCCAAGGAATTTAAGAGCTCTGTGTTAGAAATTGGGATCAAAGACCAAATATTAGAACAAAAATGCTCCTAGTTCTCCTGTCCTTCCGGAAATTACAAGGTTTTGGGAGCTCTGTGTTAGGAACCAGGGCCGGAGACCAAATACATATTTCTTATATACCACAGGTGGTGTTGTGGTAGTTTAGGGGAGAGATACTGATATTGTCCACATATCATTGGTGCATGTATATATCTTAGTATAAAGACATTGGTGCATGTATATATCTTAGTATAAAGAGAGGAGGCCAGGTCTGAAAAACATTTAAGTTGAGTCAGTAGTTGTTAATTGCAAGCAGGAGAGAAGGGAAGACCTCTCAAAGGTGTCTGGCTCATGAGATTGGGAAAATGGTGACATCTGGATGATTAGGAGGCAGGAAAGATTAGAGATAGGAGCTAAATGAAGTATACTGAGTCTGAGTTTATAGAAACCTTAGACCAAGGAGGTGACAATATAAATTACAACGAAGAGTTATGAGATGTTAAATAAGCCTTAGGAAGGCAAGGATAAACGAAACTAATGAGGTTTGAACCTGAACTATTGGGAGATAATGGATTAAACATTTTGGGGTATGAACTGATTTGGAGGGGGTAGAGTGGAGGAGGCAGTGTTTTGTTTGACCTTTTACCTCTTGAGTTTGTGGAAATACCAAGTAGACAGTTAGATTTATGTGATTGTTGTTTAGGAGAGGTCAGGTCTGGAGACATGCAGAGTAAATTTAATATGCTTTCCTGATGCAATCAGGAATCTCAAGGTCATTTATGTGGGTATTTCTGTTTTCAAGCATATGAGCTATATGCAAGATTATGTATATTATATATATCATGTGAAACCTTTGAACTTTCTTACTTTGTGGCAAAGTTCTTTGTTAAATACCAAAATTTGAAGAAAAAGAGCTAGTCATTGAAAAATCATTCTGAAACCAGAGAGAGTATTAAAGATACATTTTAGGTATATATTTTAAACTGAATTAGAATAAAAGAAAATTTAATCACTTTAAACAGGTATGTTTATGTTGTGAATTTCAAATGACAAATCCCAATTCTCTATTTTGATTAATTAAAAATCTACAGAAAAAATGGAAAGAGTGGTGTAATAGACACTCATGTATGGTTTAGATTCACCGATCGTTAATTTATTTGCCACATTACTTTATTTCTTGCTCCCTCTATATTGACATATAATTTTTCCTTGAACAATTTGAAAGTAAATTTCAGCTACCATGACACTTCACTCTTAAATACTTACATATCTATCTTGTAAGACTAAAGACGTTCTTCATAATCACAATACTGTTAATCACACAAGAAATTTAATCCTGGCTAAACCTATTACTTAATGTATAGTTCATAGTCACATTTCCCCAGTTGTCCTCTGAATGTCCTTTACAGCTTTTTTCCCCTTCCCATTTTAGATATAATGAAGGATCATGCATGGTATTTATCATGTCTTTTCATGTCTCTTTTCTTTTCCTTTTTTTTTTTTTTTTTTGAGACAGAGTCTCGCTCTGTCACCCAGGCTGGAGTGCAGTGGCGCAATCTCGGCTCACTGCAAGCTCCGCTTCCTGGGTTCATGCCATTCTCCTGCCTCAGCCTCCCGAGTAGCTGGGACTACAGGCACCCGCCACCACGTCTGGCTAAATTTTTTGTATTTTTAGTAGGGATGGGGATTCACTGTGTTAGCCAGGATGGTCTCAATCTCCTGACCTTGTGATCCGCCCATCTCAGCCTCCCAAAGTGCTGGGATTACAGGCGTGAGCCACTGTGCACGGCCTTCATGTCTCTTTAGTGTCCTCCCTGCATTCTTTGTTTTTTTTTTCCTTTTATGACATTGACATTTTTGGAGCCTAGGCCATTTGTTTTATAGAATGTCCCATAATCTAGATCTCTCTGGTTGTTTCCCTGTGATTAGATTCAGATTAAACATTTTTGGCCAAGAATTGTACATGGTTGTTGATATATACTTCTCACTGGATTGTATCAGGGGGCACATGACGTCAATTTGTATGATTATTGGTGATGCTAACTTAGTGAAGGTATTTTCTATCTGATCTCCTTTCTACAATAATATATATTTTTTTGTAATAAGTAATTTTAAGTTAATACTTAGTATTCCTAGAAAGTAATATGCAGTCTGGAGTGAAACCAATTATGCGCATATCATGTAACTTGATTCTGAATTTTAAAGGTGAAGAATAGGTTTGGGGGCTCATATGGAAATACAGTGAGAATGGAATTCAGAGCATGTTAGTGGAAGGATGTGTGTGAGATGAGGATGCACAGGTAGAGCCTTTGTGCCATGCTAAAACAGGAACAGTTGAAGGGTTTTAACCTGATGTTGATTGGGGTGATGAAGTTGGATTTGTGTTTTAGAAAGATAGTTTTAGCAGTGATCAGCTGGAAGAATATTATGTCCAAGCTAAAGATGATGAAAGGCTGGATCCAGTTGGCAGAGAGAGGAAGAAGATTTGAGAAATATTTATGATGTTAAAATGGACAGAATTTAGTGATTGGCTCAATGTTTGTTGTGGAGATTCAGAGTTTTTTGGTAGTATAATATTTAATAGAATTGCCTGACTCATTGCCTAGATTGTGCTAAATGTAACATTCAAGGAATTAGATTTTATGAAAGTATTATAGACACATGGTCTTTTGGCTTCTCTTACAGTTTCTCTTATTATTTCTACTTATTCTGCTTTTGTGAGGACCATTTGAATGACATTAACATTGTGATTCCATTTAGAGGAAAGATTGCTTCTTGATTTATTCTACCCAGAATGTACACCTAGATCTGCTACTAAGCTTTTGGATAGGATAGAACAGAATTTGGTACTCTCTTAAAATTTCTTCACTAGGTAGAGTAAGATTTTGTTGCAGATGATCTGTAGGTAAGGTCACCTCTAGCTCTAAAATTCTGATTCTATGATGTTTATTTTTCTCTCAGACAGCCAATTTTATTTCTTGGAAAAGTCTTAATGTTTTCTTTGTCTATTTATGTTTTTCTAAGATGTTCTCAGTGCAGCTGAGTCTTGGTGAGCAGACATGGGAATCCGAAGGCAGCAGTATAAAGAAGGCTCAGCAGGCTGTTGCCAATAAAGCTTTGACTGAATCTACGCTTCCCAAACCAGTTCAGAAGCCACCCAAAAGTAATGTTAACAATAACCCAGGTATGGCAGTGACTCCTTCTGTTATGTTGTCTGCTATGTGTGTTCTGCTTGTTGTATGTTTCATTTATAGTAGGCTAGTAACAGAGTGAGCAAGTATTAATAGTACACATATGCCCATACCTACACACACACACACACACACACACACACACACACACACACACGGTAGCATAAAAATAACTGAAGGAGGCTTGGTGCGTTGGCTCACGCCTGTAATCCCAGCACTTTGGGAGGCCGAGGCGGGTGGATCATGTTAGGTAATTAGTTCGAGACCATCCTGGCCAACATGGTGAAACCCTGTCTCTACTAAAAATATAAAAAATTAGCCAGGTGCCTATAATCCCAGCTACCCAGGAGGCTGAGGCGGGAGAATTGCTTGAATCTGGGAGATGGAGGTTGCAGTGAGCCAAGATCGCGCCATTGCACTCCAGCCTGGGCAACAAGAGCGAAACTCCATCTCAAAAAAAAAAAAAAAATGAAGGTGAGAGGATGAAGAAAGTAATTGTAATTGTTTTTAAAATTTGCTTTAGTGGATACTATAAAAGTGCATTGTTTACTTTTTTAATGTTGGCAAAAACATATTTGAATACAAAGCACAGAAAATTTGACTGAGTTTTTTTTTTTTAAAGTAAAGATAGTAGGCCGGGCGCGGTGGCTCACGCCTGTCATCCCAGCACTTTGGGAGGCCGAGGCAGGTGGATCACGAGGTCAGGAGATTGAGACCATCCTGGCTAACACAGTGAAACCCTGTCTCTACTAAAAAAATACAAAAAAATTAGCTGGACATGGTGGCGGGTGCCTGTAGTCCCAGCTACTCAGGAGGCCGAGGCAGGAGAATGGCGTGAACCCGGGAGGCAGAGGTTGCAGTGAGCCAAGATCGTGCCACTGCACTCCAGCCTGGGCGACAGAGCGAGACTCTGTCTCAAAAAACAAACAAACAAAAATGATAGTGGCTTGGTGCAGTGGCTCCCACCTGTAATCCTAGCACTTTGGGAGGCCTGGGTAAGAGGATTGCTTGAACCCAAGAATTTGAGAGCAGCCTGGGCAATATAGCAAGACCTTGTTTCTACCCCTGCAAAAAAAAAATTACAAAAAATGATTAATTTCTCTTTTTAAATATATAGTTTAAATATATAGTTATATATATAAAAAACTATATTTTATATATTATATAATTATATATATTTTATTTTATATATTATATATTTATATATTATAAATATATATTTATATTTAAATTAATTTAAATATAAATATATTATTTTTATAAATATAAATTATAAATTATATTTATATTATATAAATTATAAATATAAATTATATTTATAAATATAAATATAAATTATATTTATAAATATAAATATAAATTTTTATAAATGTAAATTAATAGAAATATAAATTAATTTATATTTAAATTAATTTATATTTAAGTTTATATTTAAATTAAAAAATTTATAATATATTGTATATATTATATAATTATACATAATTATATAAATATAATTTATATAAATTTATATAATATATAAAACTATATATTTATATATAGCCTGGCCAGCATGGTGAAACCCCGTCTCTACTAAAAATACAAAAATTGGCTGGGCATGGTGGCGCGTGCCTGTAGTCCCCACTACTTAGGAGGTTGAGGCAGGAGAATTGCTTGAACCTGGCAGGCGGAGGTTTCAGTGAGCCGAGATCACGCCACTACACTCCAGCCTGGGCGACAGAGCAAGACTCTGTCTCAAAAGAAAAAAAAAAAAGAAAGAAACCCCATCACAAATTCCGCAAACCACCTGCATGTAAAATACTGCTAAGTAAATTACTGTTCTAATTTTAAGCTCCTAAGAATAATTTTAAAGAGTTGTTCTAATTGCATACAATACGAACAACATTATATGTCATTATCTTTTTTTTTTTATTTCAATAGTTTTTGGGGAACAGGTGGTATTCGGTTACATTGATAAATTCTTCCGTGATGATTTCTGAGATTTTGTTGCACCCATCACCCATGCAGTGTATGCTGTACCCAATGTGTAGTCTTTACCCCTCATTCCCCTCCCAACCTTCTCCCAGATCCCCAAAATCCATTGTTTTTTTTTTTTTTTGAGGGGGAGTCTCGCTCTGTCACCAGGCTGGAGTGCAGTGGTGCAATCTCGGCTCACTGTAACCTCTGCCTCCCGGGTTCAAGCAATTCTTCTCCCTCAGCCTCCCAAGTAGCTGGGACTACAGGCATGTGCCACCACGCCTGACTAATTTTTTGTATTTTTAGTAGAGACGGGGTTTCACTGTGTTAGCCAGGATGGTCTCGATCTCCTGACCTCATGATCTGCCCACCCCGGCCTCCCAAAGTGCTGGGATTACAGGTGTGAGCCACTGTGCCTGGCCTAATTTTTTTGTATTTTTAGTAGAGACAGGGTTTCACCATGTTAGCCAGGATGGTCTCCATCTCCTGACTTCGTGATCCATCTGCTTTGGCCTCCCAAAGTGTTGGGATTACAGGCGTGAGCCACCGCGCCCGGCCCATTGTATCATTCTCAATGCCTTTGTGTCCTTGTAGCTTACCTCCCATTTATGAGAACATACTACATTTGGTTTTCCATTCCTGTGTGACTTTACTTAGAATAATGGTCTCCAACTCCATCCAGTTAGCTGTAAATGCCATTATTTCATTCCTTTTTATGGCTGAGTAGTATTCTATGGTATATATGTACACCACATTTTCTTTATCCGTTCGTTGATTGGTGGGCATTTGGGCTGGTTTTATGTTTTCGCAATTGTGAATTGTGCTGCTATAAACATGTGTATACAAGTGTCTCTTTCATATAATGACTTATTTTCCTCTGGGTAGATACCCAGTAGTGGGATTGCTGGATCAAATGGTAGTTCTACTTTTAGTTCTTTAAGGAATCTCCATACTGTTTTCCATAGTGGTTTTACTAGTTGACATTCCCACCAGTGGTGTAAAAGTGTTTCTTTTTGGCTGGGCGCAGTGGCTCATGCCTGTAATCCCAGCACTTTGGGAGACTGAGGTGGGCAGATCACGAGGTTAGGAGATCGAGACCATCCTGGCTAACACGGTGAAACCCTGTCTCTACTAAAAATACAAAAATAATTAGCCGGGCAGTGGCGGGCCCCTGTAGTCCCAGCTACTTGGGAGGCTGAGGCAGGAGAATGGTGTGAACCCGGGAGGCGGAGGTTGCAGTGAGCTGAGATCGCACCACTGCACTCCAGCCTGGTGACAGAGCGAGGCTCCATCTCAAAAAAAAAAAAAAGAAAAAAAAAGTGTTTCTTTTCACCACATCCACGCCAACATCCTTTATTTTTTTATTTTTAAATTATGGCCATTCTTGCAGGAGTAAGGTGGTGTGTTAGTCTGTTCTCACACTGCTATAAAGAACTTCCTGATTCTGGGTAATTTATGAAGGAAAGGAGGAAGTTTAATTGACTCACAGTTCTATATGGCTTGAGAGGCCTCAGGAAACTTACAGTCATGGTTAAAGGTGAATGGGAGGCAGGCATCTTCTTCATAAGGTGGCAAGAGAGAAAAAGACTGAAGGAGGAACTTGCCAAACCCTTACAAAACTATCAGATCTTGTGAGAACTCAGTCACTATCATGGGAACAGCAAGGGGGAAACCGCCCCCATGATTCAAATTACCTCCACTTTGTCTCTCCCTTGACACATGGAGATTATGGGGATTACAATTCAAGATGAGATTTGGGTGGGGACACAGCCAAACCATATCAGTTGGTATTGCATTGTGGTTTTGATTTGCATTACTCTGATAATTCATGATGTTGAACATTTTTTCATGTTTGTTGGCCATTTGTATATTTTCTTTTGAGAATTATCTATTCGTGTCCTTAGCTGACTTTTTGATGGCATTATTTTTTTCTTGCTGATTTGAGTTCCTTGTAGATTCTGGATATTAGTCCTTTGTCAGATACATAGTTTGTGAAGATTTTCTCCTACTCTATGGGTTGTGTGTTTACTTTGCTGATTATTTATTTAACTGTGCAGAAGCTTTTTAGTTTAATTAAGTCCCATCTGTTTATCTTTGTTTTTGTTGCATTTGCTTTTGGGTTCTTGGTCATGAAGCCTTTGCCTAAGCCAATGTCTAGAAGAGTTTTTCCAATGTTATCTTCTAGAATTTTTATGGTTTCAGGCCTTGATTTAAGTCTTTGATCCATCTTGAGTTAATTTTTATATCAAGTGAGAGATGAGGATCCAGTTTCATTCTTCTCCATGTGACTTGCCAATTATCCCAGCACCATTTGTTGAATAGGATGTCCTTTCCCCACTTTATATTTTTTGTGTGCTGTGATGAAAATCAGTTTGCTCTAAGTATTGGGCTTTATTTCTGGGTTCTCTATTCTGTGCCATTGGTCTATGTGCCTATTTTTATAGCAGTATCGTGCTGTTTTGGAGACTATAGCCTTATAATGTAGTATGAAGTCAGGTAATGTGATGCCTCCAGATTTGCTCATTATGCTTAGTCTTGCTTTAGTTATGTGGGCTCTTTTTTGGTTCCATATGAATTTTAGCATTGTTTTTTCTAGTAGTGTGAAAAATGATGATGGTATTTTGATGCGAATTGCATAGAATTTGTAGATAGCTTTTGGCAGTATGCTATTTCCACAATATTGATTCTGCCCATCCAAGAGTTTGGGATGTGCTTCCATTTGTTTGTATCCTCTATGATTTCTTTCAGCAGTGTTTTGTAGTTTTTGTCGTAGAGTTCTTTCCACCTTCTTCATTAGGTACATTCCTAAGTATTTCATTTTTTTGCAGCTATTGTGAAAGGGTTTGAGTTCTTGATTTGATTCTCAGCTTGGTCGCTGTTGGTGTATAGCAGAGCTACTGACTTGTGTACGTTTATTTTGTATCTTGAAACTTTACTGAATTCATTTATCAGATCTAGGAGCTTTTTGGTTGAGTCTTTAGGGTTTTCTAGGTATACGATCATATCATCAGCAAACAGCAACAGTTTGACTTCCTCTTTATCGATTTGGATGCCCTTTATTTCTTTCTCTTGTCGATTGCTCCGGCTAGGACTTCCAGTACTGTGTTGAATAGAAGTGGTGAAAGTGGGCATCTTTGTCTTGTTCCAGTTCTCAGGGGGAATGCTTTCAACTTGTTCCCTGTTCAGTATAACGTTGGCTATGGGTTTGTTATAGATGCTTTTATTACCTTAAGGTATGTCCCTTCTATGCCGATTTTGCTGAGGGTTTTAATCATATAGGGATGCTGGATTTTGTAAAATGCTTTTTCTTTGTTGAGATGTCATGTGATTTTTGTTTTTAATTCTGTTTCTGTGGTGTATCACATTTATTGACTTGTGGACGTTAAACTATCCCTGCATCCCTGGTATGAAACCCACTTGTTCATGGTGAATTACCTTTTCGATACGCTGTTGGATTCAGTTAGCTTATATTTTGTTGAGGATTTTTTGCATCTATGTTCATCAGGGATATTGGTCTGTGGCTTTCTTTTTTTGTTATGTACTTCCCTGTTTTTGGTATTAGGGTGATAATGGCTTCATTGAATGATTTAGGGAGGATTCCCTCTTTCTCTGTCTTTTGGAATAGTGCCAATAGGATTAATACCAGTTCTTTTTTTGAAAGTCTGTTAGAATTCAGCTGTGAATCCGTCTGGTCCTGGGCTTTTTTTATTGTTGTTGTCAGTTTTAAAATTACCATTTCAGTCTTGCTGTGGTCAGTTCAGAGTTTCTGTTTCTTCCTGGTTTAACCTAGAAGGGTTGTATATTTCCAGGAATTTATCCAGCTCCTCTAGGTTTTCTAGTTTGTGTGTGTAAAGGTGTTCATAGTAGCCTTGAATGATATTTTGTATTTCTCTGGTATCAGTTGTTATATCTCCTGTTTGTTTCTAATTGAGCTTATTTGGATCTTCTGTCTTCTTTTTTTGGTTAATCTTGCTAATGTTCTATCAATTTTGTTTATCTTTTCAAAGAACCAACTTTTTGTTTTATTTATCTTTTGTATTTCTTTTGTTTCAATTTCATTTAGTTCTGCTCTCATCTTTGTTATTTCTTTTCTTCTGCTGGGTTTGGTTTGTTCTTGTTTCTCTAGTTCTTGAGGTGTGACCCTAGATTGTCTTATTTGTGCTCTTTCAGACTTTTTCATGCAGGCATTCAGTGCTGTAAACTTTGCTCTTAGCACCACTTTTTCTGTATCCCAGAGGTTTTGATAAGTTGTGTCACTATTATCATTCAGTTCAAATTCTTAAATTTCCATTTTGATTTCATTGTTGACCCAACAATCATTCAGGAGCAGGTTATTTAATTTCCATGTATTTGCATGCTTTTTGAGTGTTCCTTTTGCAGTTGATGTCCAATTTTATGCCACTGTGGTCTGAGAGAGTAGTTGATATAATTTTGATTTTCTTAAATATACTGTGACTTGTTTTGTGGCTTATGTGGTCTGTCTTGGAATATGTTCCATGTGTTGATGAATACAATGTGCATTTTGCAGTTGTTGGGTAGAATGTTCTGTATATATCTGTTAAATCCATTTGTTGTAGGGTATAGTTTAAGTCCATTGTTTTTTTGTTGACTTTCTGTCTTAACGACCTGTCTAGTGCTGTCAGTGGAATATTGAAGTCCCTCACTATTATTATTTTGCCCTCTGTCTCATTTATTAAGGTCTAGTAGTAATTGTTTTATAAATTGGGAACTCCAGTGTTAGGTGCATTTATATTTAGGATTGTGATATTTTCCTGTTGGACTAGTCCGTTTATCATTATGTAATGTCCCTCTTTGTCATTTTTAACTGTTGTTGCTTTAAAGTCTGTTTTATCTGATGTAAGAATAGCTACTCCTGCTGGCTTTTGGTGTCTGTTTGCATGAAATATCTCTTTCTACCCCTTTACCTTCAGTTTATGTGAGTCCTTATGTGTTAGGTGAGTCCCTTGAAAACAGCAGATACTTGGTTGGTGAATTCTTATCCATTCTGCCATTCTGTATCTTTTAAGTGGAGCATTTAGGCCATTTACATTCAACATTAGTATTAAGATGTGAGGTACTATTCTATCCATTGTGCTAGTTGTTGCCCCAATACCTTTTGTCTGTTTTTTCTCATTGTGTTATTGTTTTATAGGCCCTGTGAGATTTATGCTTTAAGGAGGTTCTGTTTTGGTGTATTCTGAGGCTTTGTTTCAAGATTTAATAATTCATTTTATTACTTCTTTAGTGCTGACTTGATAGTGGCAAATTCTCTCAGCATTTGTTTGCCTGAAAAAGACTTTTATCTTTCCGTCATTAATGAAGCTTAGTTTCACTGGACATAAAATTCTTGACTGATAATTATTTTATTTAAGGAGGCTAAAGATAGGACCTCAATTCCATCTGGCTTGTAGATTTTATGCTGAGAAATCTGCTATTTATCGGATAGGTTTTTCTTTATAGGTTACCTGGTGCTTTTGCCTCACAGATCTTAAGATTATTTCCTTTGACTTGACTTTAGATAACCTGATTGACTGTGTGCCTAGGTGATGATCTTTTTGCAATGAATTCCCTGGGTGTTCCTTGACCTTCTTGTATTTGGATGTCTAGATCTCCAGCAAGGCCAGGAAGTTTTCCTTGATTATTCCCTCTAAGTTTTCCAAACTTTTAGATTTTTCTTCTTCCTCAGGAACACCACTTATTCTTAGGTTTGGTCATTTAACATAATCCCAAACTTCTTGGAGGCTTTGTTCATTTTTTAAAATTCTTTTTCCTTTGTCTGTGTCAGATTGGGTTAATTTGATTAGGCCTTGTCTTTGAGCTCTGAAGTTCTTTCTTCTGCTTGTTTGATTCTATTGTTGAAACTTTGCAGTATATTTTGCATGCCTCTAAGTGTGTCTTTCATTTTCAGAAGTTGTGACTCTTTTTTATTTATGATTCTATTTCTCTGGAAATTTTTTCATCCATGTCTTGTATTATTTTAAAAATTTCTTTAAGTTGCCTTTCACCTTTCTCTAGTGCCTCCTTGAGCTGCTTAATAACCGACCTACTGAATTCTTTTTCTGGTAATTCAGATATTTCTTCCTGGTTTGGATCCATCGCTGGTGAACTAGTGTGATCTTTTGAGGGTGTTATAGAACCTTGTTTTGTCATATTACCAGAATTGTTTTTCTGGTTTCTTCTCATTTGGATATACTGTGTCAGAGGCAAGATCTTGAATCTGCTGTTCAGATTCTTTTATCCCACGGGATGATCCCTTGATGTGGTTCTCTCCCCGTTTCCCTATGAATGGGGCTTCCTGAGAGCTGAACTGCAGCGATGGTTATTTTTCTTCTGGGTCTAGCTACCCAGTGGAGCTACTGGACTCCAGGCTGGTATTGGGGAGTGTCTGCAGAAAAAGCATTTGCCCTAGGCTAGAAGTCTTCCTGCTAAGAAAGCAAGCAGGGCTTTCAGGCCTTGCCCTTCCATGCCTGCAGTGGCTTCTGTTCTCATATCTGTACTTTCCATTGGCCCCCTATTCCCGCCGGCCCCCTATTCCCACCTCCTCCCCCACCCCCCACCCAGATTCTGCCCAGGAAAATTTGCATTCAGTCAAAATTATGACAGCGTTCAGCTAGAAGTCTTTCTCACTGTGGTACTTCCCTAGTTCCACTGACTGCCTTCCCCAAGGACCACTGTGAGATGAAAGTAAAAAAAAAAAAAAAAAAAAAAAAAATGGCTTCCCTAGGGACTGGGAGTGTCTACAGGGGTCTCTTATCGCTGCTGCTTCTAGTTTTTGTTTTTGTTTTTGTTTTGTTTTTTTTTTTAGGTGGAGTCTCAGTCTGTCACCCAGGTTGGAGTGCAGTGGCGTTGATCTTGGCTTACTGCAGCCTCCGCCTCCTGGGCTCAAGCAATTCTCCTGCCTCAGCCTCCCAAGTAGCTGGGATTACAGGTGTGCACCACCTTGCCCAGCTAATTTTTTTTTTTTTTGTATTTTTAGTAGAAACAGGGTTTCACCATATTAGCCAGGCTTGTCTCAAACTGGGCTCAAGCGATCCACTCACCTTGGCCTCCCAAAGTGTTGGGATTACAGGCATGACCCACCATTCCTGGCCTGCTTCTTCTACTTTTATATTTCGCTCAGCTCTCTAAATTTGTTTCAGTCCTAGGTAAGGTTAAATTCTTCTGTGATCTGGATTTTCAGGTTCCCCAGTGAGGATGTGTGTTTGGAGGCAGACTTTCCCCCTCTCACACTTTGGGCACTCACGGTGTTTTGGCTGTCTCATGGAGTTTGCAGCGGCAAGCTGCTTCTTTCAAAGGGTCTGTGAATTCTTTCAGTTTTCCTGGTATGTTCTTGTGGTGGTTCTTGGAGCAGAGTTTACACTGTGAGTCTCCACATGCTGTTTTGTCCTGAGTGGGAGCCTCAAGTTAGTCCTGCCTGATATCCATCATTTTCTCCGGGTGACCTCAGTGAATCTATATGTCCCGTTATCTATTGGGAAAGGCAAACCTGTATTTTGGACATAGTGTATTAATTGATAACATTAGGTTAATGGAATTACTATAACTTTAGTACCAGCCATATATCCATTTACTCATTCATTTGTTAACTGATTAATTCAAGTGGTTACCTTCTAGTCAATATTAATTTCGCCTTAGATATTTTTGTTATGGAGGTTAAGAAAGATTTTGTGCCTGTCAACAATAACTCTAAAATGTATTTAATCATTCTCTACTTGGTTATATTCATAATCAAATCACATAGACACTTGTTTCATTCTCATGTGGTCTGTGCTAGGTTGACATTCTCTGCTCTTTCAAGGACTACTCTGCAGAATCCATGGCTTTCTGATTGCAAGTCTCTGCTTCTGTTCAACTGATTGCAGTATTTATTAAGCTTAAATAAGCCAAAATATTATTACAATAGAAAAAAAACTTATTCTCTTCATTTTGAAGTTCCTAAAAGATTGTCCATTTCTTTAATTTTTAAAAGCCTCTTCAGAATACTGGTTGATCATTAGTAGCATACCACCACCATGATATATTTAACACTTGCTTTTTACATATCTAAGAGAAATAAAACATTGTCCCTTTCAGTGAGTGTCTTACAGTCTTATATATGAACACGTAATTTGATGGTAAAGATTAAGTGCCAAGTAGACAATAACAGCCATCAGTATTACAGGTAATGATAAACATGGACTGAAGTAGTTGAAGTAAGATACAGGCCTTGACCGAAAAGTAGGCAGTTATAGATGAGAGGAAAGAATATTTTAGCCAGAGGGAATACTATGAGGAAAGGCTTTGAAGTAGGAATCTGGACAATGGATTTGGTAAAAAAAAAATTTTATAGATGGTTTTTAATTAGAGCAGGTAAATGACTAGTAGGAGGTAAGACTGGAGATGTAGTTAGTGAGTGAATTGGGACGACTTGAATGCCAGCTTTACGAGATTAAGTTTTATACGTAGCTGGGAGGAATTAATATTCATGAGCAGTGCATGATGCATTTAAAGGAGTATTTTAGGAAGCTCAGTTTGACATGTAAAGGGAAGGTGGGAGACACTAAAAAACCATTGTCATAGTTTATGGGTGAAGAAAGAAAGAGACTCACGTGCATTGAGTACTGTATGCCTCCCGCTCTGCAGGAGTGTTGAGAGTGGCATTTGGAATGGAACAGAACAAGCTGTCTAAGGCATATAATGTAAAGCAAAGGCATATAATGTAAAGCAAGAGCAGTTAATTGTGTGCTGAGCTCTGGGTCAAGTCCATATTTAGAGGATTATAGCAGGAAGTAAACCAGCAAGAGTCAGAGGAAGGAAACAGGAGAGTGTCTGAAAGGCCCCAGTGGAGATAAGAATTTCCATGGTTGAGTGTTATAGTAAGCTGAGAGAATGAATCGATTATTTGGTGTAAACTTTTAAAATAAAGTCTAATACTGTATACAGACAAGGGCACATTACAGTTATAGAGCTTGATGAATTTTTATGCTGTGAACACTTCACCACATGTTTTACTAGTGCTATGGAAGCTTCCCTCATGCCCACTTCAGTTGGTTAAACAACTCTAAAGGAAACCAATATTCTGATTTCTACCAGATTAGTTGTGCCTTCTTGTTGGAATCAGACAGTAGACTCTTGTGATAGCTCATTTTTCTCAATATTGTGTGTGAGAGTCATCTATGTTGCATTTAATGGTATAGTATTTCATTGCTATGTAGTATTCTATTGCATAAGTATACATAATTTACATATTATTCATTGTACTATTATACGTATTTGAATTGTTTCCAGTTTTGAGCTATTAGAAATAATACTGCTGTGAACAGTATTCTTAAAATGCATACATTTCTCTTGGGAATATATCTAGGATTGGAACTGTTGGGTCATAGTTATGAATGTATTTGGTATTAATACATAATGTCAAAGAATGTCAGTTTACCTTCCCACCAGCGGTATGAGAGCTGTCCACATCCTCATCAACATTTGATATCTCCAGCTTTCAAAATTTTAGCTATTATGCTGAGAGGTATAATAGTAATTCATTGTGTTTTTAATTTGCATTTCTCTAATAACAAATGCAGGTGAGCATCTTTCCATATGCCTGTTGGCATTAGGCTAGGCTCTGTTGTAAAGTGCTGGTTGGAATGTTTTTCCCACTTAAAAATCTGCATTGTCTGTTTTAAAATTTTTTCTACTTTTTACTGGCTTACAGGGTTCTTACATATTCTGGATTCATATAATTTATCAGATATGTATATTGCAAATATCTTTCTATACTCCTAAGGGTACATTTTGATGAATAGAAATTCTTTTCAATGAGACCAGGTACGGTAGCTCACACCTGTAATCCCAGCACTTTGGGAGGCCAAGGTGGGTGGATCACTTGAGGTCAGGAGTTTGAGACCAGCCTGGCCAACATGGTGAAACCCCAACTTTACTAAAAATACAAAAATTAGCTGGGCGTGATGGTGTGCACCTGTAATCCCAGCTACTCAGGAGGCTGAAGCAGGAGAATCGCTTGAACCTGGGAGGCGGAGGTTGCAATGAGCTGAGATTGCACCACTGCACTCTAGCCTGGGTGAGAGCGAGACTCCGTCTCAAAAACAAAAAACAAAACAAAACAAAAACAAAATTCTTGTTTAGTGGAAGCTAATTTATTAGTCTTTTCCTTTATAGTTAGCGCTTTTTTGGTGTGCCATTTAATACACCTGTGTCTCTTACAAGTTTGTGAAGATAACCTCATGTTAGTTTTAGAAGCAGTATTATTAGATCTTTACAGTTTAGATCTACAGTCTGTCAGGAATCGAGTTTAATGTATGATGTGAGGTAGAGTTCAATATTTTTCTTCATTTAAAAAATATATGGACATTCATTTAATCCAGCACCATTTATTGAAAAGATAGTCCATTCCCCTCTGCAGTGTAGTGGCACCTTTGTTATAAACCTGGTGACTGTAACTCAGTATTGAGAAGTAATAGGTCTGTGGAGGAAAGATCCAGTCTTGACTCCACAGTGTGTAGATGGGTCTTAAAAAGAAGTTATATCCTAATGAGGAGTTAAGTTCATTTGCAGCATGGTTGATCTGTTAGTAATTGGGAATATATTATAGAACTGTTTTGCTTTCTCCCTTTTATTTTTTTTTAAACTATGGAAGTAATTTCAGATTTATATACAATTTGTGGAAATAGTACATAGACTTCCCATGTATCCTTCACCTTTATTCCCCATTGATAGCATTTCTGAACCATCTGGGAATAAGTTGTAGACATGATGTCCCATTACCCCTTAATATTTCAATGTATATTTCTTAAGGACACGGACACCGTTCTATCGGGAAGTTAACTTTGATCCATATTACCATTTAATCCACAGACTCCATTTCAGATTTCACTAATCATCCCAAACCTTTACAGCTCCAGGAGCTAATCAAGACCATGTGTTACATGTACTTAACATTTCTCTTCATTCCACTTCAATCTGTAACAAACAGTTCCTCAGTCTTTCTTACCTTTTATGACCATAATATTTATGAAGAGTATGGGACCACAGAGTTTTTAGAATGCCCCTCAATTGAGTTTGTCTGGTGTTTCCTCATGATTTATGCATTTTAGCATGAATACCAGAAAAATGACTTGGACTTACCTTAGTGCTTTCTATGAGGAGACGCCTGAGATTGACTTGTCCCATCAGTGACGACTTTTGTCATGCGGTGAGGAGTATGCCAGGCTTCTTTGCTGTAAAGTTAATTAATCCGTATGTTTTGTTGTTGAATAGTAAGTAATAAGTATTTTCTGAGGAGACATTTTGAGCCTGTGTGTGTGTGTGTGTGTGTGTGTGTGTGTGTATACATGTATGTCTTATTTGTGCTCTTTCAGACTTTTTCATGCAGGCATTCAGTGCTGTAAACTTTGCTCTTAGCACCACTTTTTCTGTATCCCAGAGGTTTTGATAAGTTGTGTCACTATTATCATTCAGTTCAAATTCTTAAATTTCCATTTTGATTTCATCGTTGACCCAACAATCATTCAGGAGCAGGTTATTTAATTTCCATGTATTTGCATGCTTTTTGAGTGTTCCTTTTGCAGTTGATGTCCAATTTTATGCCACTGTGGTCTGAGAGAGTAGTTGATATAATTTTGATTTTCTTAAATGTACTGTGACTTGTTTTGTGGCTTATGTGGTCTGTCTTGGAATATGTTCCATGTGTTGATGAATACAATGTGCATTTTGCAGTTGTTGGGTTATGGCTTTTAGGCCTCTTAAGTGGATACTTAAGCTAGGAAATACCTAGTACTTTTTTTTTTCCTTAAGAGAAAATACATCATGAATTCATTGTGATATTTTCAGTTAGGATTTAAGACTATATTTTCAGTTAGGATTTCAGTTAGGATTTAAAACTACAGGGTTTTAGGTAGTGTGTTTGATTTTATATTTGTGTCTCTTTATGCTAAAAACCTTTGTTTCTGACATTAATTCTTTAGTCTATTTTATGTATATTTTATATATATATAAAATAATTTTATAATAGCAATTGCAGTGAGACAGGGACGCCAATATTACTAACAGCATGATTACTAAAAATAGTTTATGATTTATTTGCAGGGTTTAAAAAAATCTTTAGAATATGTGGTTATTTGACTATATTTTAAAGTTATTTGAAATAACTGTTCTTCGTATGATTAGGGCCACCAATCAATTAGGTTTTAATTGCTTTGTTTTCTTTATAGAGATTACTTTGTCTCCATTTTTATTTAATTTTGTTTGACTTAAGTAAAAGCATATTACTTGTTACTAACAATGTGATTACTGAAAACAATTTAAGATTTTTTTTTCTCTTTAGGATCTCATGGCTATTTTACAGTTTTTTAAGTCTTTTGAAATAATTCTCTTTGTGGTTAAGTCACTGTAGATAGATTTAGTTCCAGTTTTCTTTCGATTTTAGAGATTGCTCCCCCACCCCTTTTGGATGAAATTTTGATTTCTGTAATTATGCAAAAAATTCATGTTTTCAAAATAAAATCTATGAAACAGTGTACATTCAGAGACATACAGCTTCCATTCCTAAGTAAGTTTTTTTTTTTTTTTTTTAGTTTTGGGTTTATTCTTTAAAAAAAGTAAGCAAATATATATTTATATTTTCATTTTCACCTTTCTTAGACAAAAGATAATATAAAGCACACACTATTTGGTACCTTGCTTTTTTTCGTTTAACATTATACCCTACACTGCTAAGGTATAACCTCCGAGGTATATTAAGTAAAATAAAAGAAGCAAGGTGTGTAGTAGTCTTCCTCCTTTTATAGCTGTTCAGTGTTTTATGCTATGGACATTTATATAACTGATGCTGCATTGATGGTTGTTTAGGTTGTTTTCAGTCTTTTGTTTTTATCGATAATGCTACTTGTACGTATCTTTAATATTTGCTAGGAATATATTCGATGACATTTTAGTTTCAGGAAACATTGCTTATATTTACTCTGTTTTGTTGGTTATAGAAAAAATTCAAAAAACTTTTTTCATTAGATAAGTCCAAGAACCACTGATGACTTTCTTGCCAATGCTTAGTTATTTAATTACCAAAGTATAAATAAAAATATTCACAGATGATGTTTTTAATGATTAAATACATGCAAGCTTTCTGGGGTAAGTAATGATGAAATGCAGTACTTTAAAAAATAATATTCACGGTTAGCAATCTAAGAATCATCTGTTTACTATGTTTTGATAGTAATGATTGCACACTCAGATTTTTTGTCATTAATGTACAGAAAACATTGCAAAATCCCAAGATTTTATTAGGAACTATTTTCTTGGTTTTTTACTTTGTTTTCGCAGTTCCTTAGAAAATCATACAGGTGGTCCATCCATTCTTACCTTCTTCCATGGTATTTAAGCGTTGTATAAATATAGCTTGCATGTTTAATTGTGAAGATATTTCACTTGTGTGCCTTTAATGTTTTTTTTTTAAACAGGCAGTATAACTCCAACTGTGGAACTGAATGGGCTTGCTATGAAAAGGGGAGAGCCTGCCATCTACAGGCCATTAGATCCAAAGCCATTCCCAAATTATAGAGCTAATTACAACTTTCGGGGCATGTACAATCAGAGGTTTGTATGTCTTTTTTGGTTTTGTTCTTAATTATTATTTTATCCATGTTATAAAAGTTTCTCACACTCAAAAGAGTATTTTCATTGTAAATCTAATTGACCTTGGGCATTGTGCATGGAATTTAGATAAAGCAGGTTCACAAGGAATATTTAAATTAATAACTTAAAGAAACCCAGTTTTCAGGAACTAGTTTTTTTTTTTTTTCCCCTACCCCACAAACGTAAAAGATCTGAAGGAACTAGTTTTTATTGTGTCATGAGGGCCCTGTATTTGTTGCAGGGAAGACCAAGTCTTAAAGTCATTTCACAGTTTATAGTGTTGACTTTCTCATTCATTTACCAAGCAGAGCTCAGTTTTTTTCTTGATTTGTCTAAATACATTAGTGAACATGAATGTTTGTAATTTATAGGGAAAAAAGAAAAAATGTAAATAATGTAATCCCAGAATTTGCCACCTTTTATATTTTCATGTACTTTACATTCTTTTTTTCTTTGCATTTAAATATATTTAACCAAGTTGAAGTTGTCCTTTATATGCAGTTTTTGTAGTACTTTATGAAGGTATGATAGACATACAGTAAAATGTACAAATCTTAAGTATACCTCTTGATGACTTTATTTTATGTATGTATATATGTATTTATACTTTATTTGATGACTTTTTACATACGTATAGCCTCACGTGATCACCACTCAGATCGAGATACAGAATGTTCCCAATCACCTCTGAGAGTTTCCTCAGACCTCTTTGTCTTTGACACATCCTTCTCCCAGAAATAATCACTATTTTATTATCATAGACTAGTTTTTGCCTGTTGTTGAACTTTTTATATCTAGACTCATACAGTATTTATGTGCATCTGGCTTCTTTTACTTTGTATAATGATTTTCTTGTTTGGGGATTCATCCATGTTGCTTATATCTGGGTTTTGCCCTTTTTTATTGCTGGTTAGTGTACTTTGTATGGATATATCATAATTTGTGTATCTTGTATATGCAAAACAAGCACTCTCTTTTCACTTAATATAGTGGCCATTTGTCATATATTTAAGAATTTTTTTTTCTTTTCTTTCTTTTTTTTTGAGACGCAGTCTCACTCTGTCACCCAGGCTGGAGTACAGTGGTGTGATCTTGTCTCACTGCACCCACAGCCTCCCGGGTTCAAGTGATTCTTGTGTGTCAGCCTCCTGAGTAGCTGGGATTACAGGCACCTGCCACCATGCCTGGCTAATTTTTGTATTTTAGTAGAGATGGGGTTTCACTATGTTGGCCAGGCTGGGGGTCTTGAACTTCTGACCTTAAGTGATCTGTCCGCCTCGGCCTCCCAAAGTGCTGGGATTACAGGCGTTAGCCCCTGTGCCTGGCACAAAATGATTTTGATGGCTACATAATGCTTCATATGGCTTCATAAGGTATATAAATGTATGTCTATTTTTTTATCTAGGTTGTTTATGCCCTCTTTTTTGTTAAGATTGCTGCAGTAAATAATCACTATGTAAATCTTTGTTCACATCACTGATTATTTCCTTCCTTATATTACTATAAGGGGAATATTCTTTAAAAAGAATAAAGCATTGCCCAATTGCACTAAAGTTTGTACTAATTTCTTACAGTATATGAGAATGCTTATTCTATTCTGAGAACACTGAGTTAAAAAGGTTTTTGTCTTCTTTGGTAGTTAAAAAGTAGTGTTTTTTTTGTTTTTTTTTGTTTGTTTGTTTGTTTTTTAGATGAAGTCTCACTCTGTCACCCAGGTTGGAGTGCCATGGTGTGGTCTCAGCTCACTGCACCCTCCGCCTCCTGGGTTCAAGCGATTTCCGGCTAATTTTTGTATTTTTAGTAGAAACAGGGTTTTACCATGTTAGCAAGGCTGATCTCAAACTCCTGACCTCAAGTTATCCGCCTCTCTCAGCCTCTCAAAGTGTTAGGATTGCAGACATGAGCCACCTCACGTGGCCATCAAGTAGTAGTTTTTAAAATTCAATTTTATTGATTACTAGTGAGGCTGAACAGTTTTTTTTTTAGATATTTGTTATCCTTTTTGATTTGTCTATTTTAATTTGCTGATTTTTATTCCATTGCTTCACCAGTTTTCAAATGTTTATGTGTTGAGGATGTTAACCTTCAGTCTATTTTGTTTGTTGTAATTTTCCTGCTTTAAAAAATTTGGCTTTTAATTGTGTATTTGTTTTTAATATCCTGTAGTTTTAAAATTTTATGTGGTCTTATCTATTGATTTTTCTTTATTTCTCTCACTTCTTTTATGCCTGAGAAATTCTTTCCTATATTTGATCAGATATTTGCTGGTGCTTTTGTTATGGTTTTATGTATTTACTGATACCATAACTTAGATGTGTAGGGAAGATATTTATTTAGTCCATAAATAATCTGATACTTTTTGGTTTCTTGCTTGCTAGGGGAAAAATTATCTTTAATTGTATCCATTTAAAACTTAGTTCTATTCAATTGTAAATAGTTCCTTTAAATATTATTGTTTAGGTTCTCTAAGAAGAATTTGCACACTGTATTAGACTTCTGCCCTTCCCTTTTCCTCTCAGGTATGCCTGGGGGAGCTTTCTCTATGCTAGGAAGGGAGAGGCATCTATATACCTCACCTCTGTAGAGGCATCTTGTGTTGTCCTTTAGTTCCTCTTTTCTTTGTGGTCGTGTGCCTTGTCCACGAGGTGTGGAAACTTGCAGTTGGTGGCATCTAGTCCGTCTTTTTCTCCCTTAGGTAATGCTTCCAGAGTGTATCTACTATCTTCCCCTTGCTAATGGGCCTAAACCCTCAGCTTTTCTTGGCTTCCTTGGTATATTTCATTCTCTCCTGTAACATCTCTGCTTCTAATTGTGATGCATACAATGGCAGGCTTCCCAGCCCTCAGCTTGGTGTCCACACCGCATAGGAGGCACAAGGGACAACACATTTCTCTTGTAGTTGTTTTATTTTCTCTTTCTCTGTATAATATACGCATTGCCTTTATGTTTAATCTGACGTTCCCCAATGTAAATAAATAAAGCTAGTTGCCCACTTCAACACAGTAGATATCTTTAGTCACCTGAGTAAGGAACACCTAGCCTATTATATACTAATTTTATTGCTAATGTACTCTAGTAAATAGATTTATGAGAGTATTACATCTTTATATTTGTTTTATTTTGGTATCTGTGGTCCTTTATTGAAATTTTGCTACAGTTCTGACTAGTGAATTTATTACTTTTAAATGGAAATAAACTACTTTTATTACTTCTAAATTTATTACTTTTAAAAAGTCTGGTGCTAAAGCAATGAAAAGTCAGACACTAATCCCTGTCCTTATGGAGCTCATGTTCTTGTAGGGGAGGTAGTCAGTCAATAAGAAGTGGTTAGTCACTGAGAAGGTTGCTTTTGATAAAGACCTCAAAGGAAGAGAGAGAAAAAGCAGTGTGAATGTTGAGAGAGAGAGAGAGAGAGAGAGAGAGAGAGAGAATTCCAGGCTCAAGAAATAGCAAGTACTCCCCGCAGTAGAAGTGTGCCTGGCATTGGCCTCAAGAGGCCAATGTGGCTTGATCAGAGTGAACCAAGGGAGAGAGGAGTTAGTATGTGAAATTAGACAGGGATCATGTGATTTTGATTTTCTTTTTTTCTTTTCTAAATTTTCTGTTAAGAATGTCGGCATTTTTTCTTTGTTGGCAGTTTCTAGTTCCAAGATCTAATTCTTATGGTTGTTGTGAGGGGTACAATAATTTTATTTATGATTTCTCCAAAGTCATAAATAAAGGATGTGCCTTAGGCCATTCCATGAATAGATAATATGGACTTTTCCTTTTTTGGAGTGTCTTTATTTTATGATATTCTGCAGATCACAAAAAGGTAAAAAGAATATCGGAAAGTACTAGTAAGCTACCAAGCCATGTTTCAACTGAAAAGCTCTTTCTGCTCACAGAAGCGCAGACCTAACCATTACTCAGTAGGCTGTTACAACCATGATTTCTCATATTTATTTTAATTTATAGATGGCAACACTTGAATGGATTACAGGGACTCTGGAGCCAAAGATCCAAGGAGATGTCTTTTCCTTGTCAGAACCCAGATTAATCATTAGCTTCTTAAGGCAGGGAATGAAAGGTGAAGTCCAAGAAACAGGTATCATTTAGAGGGATTTTTGAAAAGGTCCTTTTATTTTCTACTTAAAGTAATATTAAGCAAAATTAGGTATTACCTATGCTGTTTTACCACCCTCTACTGATGATGTTTCTCCACTTGAACTTATTCAAAGGCCTAAGAAGAACTGAATTTTTCTTCTTTTTTAATGATGAGTGGAGAAAAAAACATTTATCCATGAGCAAACTCTGTAGATACAACTTGGATTCTGAAGTACCTGTCTCCTTTTATTATGCCCAAGATGTTTGACAATAATTACATCCGGTTATGTATTTTTCTTTATCATTTGAGGCACTTTTCACTAACAGATATATTATGAAGCAGAAAGCATATAAAAATTCATTTGACAAAGTACAAGGTAAAGCTTGGAGAACACTTCGTGCTTTTGTTCTCCCATCTTTCTTATAAAAATTATGTACATTAGAGAAATAGAATGGCTGAATTTAGACAGTTTTTCAATTTTGTATATTCACAGATAAAAAAATATTATTGCTTAGCAAATGGCCAAAATGGCAGACCAGCAGACCAAATGGCCCCTTGATCTGCTGGTGTAGATTTCCATGGGGCCAAAACTCAAACTAGGTTATGTGCAAATGGGAATTTTTGAGCTATGTAACTGGGATATCTCTTGGGGAGATGTACAGGCATAGTTGGATGTAGGGCTTTAGTGTTGTTCTTCCTCATTTTCTATTTCTCTCTTTCTAGCTCTTGTTTCTTTTTTTCTCTACTTTGTTTTCAAATAAGCCAATTCCCATTTGCTATACTTCATACACTGTATAGTCTGTAGACTTGTAGTGAAGAAGGTGAAGTTTTTTTTTTGATAGTCATTAGAAAAGTCCCCACAAACACTTGGAGTAAACTGTCCATCCTGGAATTAATCATTCAAACTTGGTTGGGGGTAGGGACATACTTTACTTTAGCCAAGCCTGGGTTATATGTCCAACCTGGAGAAACAGGTTAGCCCCATCCAAACTACTCCGCAGGGTACAATTATTTTATGGAGCGGTTCCTCAAAAGCAAAGATTTTTAGAGAAAATTATTTCCATTACAGTCAGAACATTTGGTTCAGTTCCTAGTTCTGATG
Organism: Homo sapiens; assembly: GCF_000001405.40. NCBI lineage: Eukaryota > Metazoa > Chordata > Mammalia > Primates > Hominidae > Homo > Homo sapiens. The sequence continues at coordinate 73,667,878 of NC_000008.11, read as the reverse complement.
CTTTTAGTTAAGTGATCTTGCACAAGGCTCTGGACCTCCATTAATTTCCTCATTTGCAAAACAGAGATAGTAATAGCAAATGAAGGACTTTCGTGAGGTCATCTTCATTCAGCAGACATTTATTGCATGCCTACTCATTGCCACATGTTGTGTTTGAGTAGAGACTTTGAGGAAAGACAGGCAGTCTAATAGACTTAAGTTTAGTAGAAGAGGAAAACGAAAGAACAGAATGATAGATGTGCCCCGATGGTGCTATGGAAACATTAGGAAGGAACTAAGCACCCCATCCAGATTGGGGCACCAAAGAAGCCTTCCAGGAGGGATGAACTGAATCTTCAAGGTTAACTAGGATTTAGCCAGGTGAGGAGGGCAAGGAAAAGTAATACAGATTTTGGCAACAAAGGCTAGGAATCCTGAGAAGTTTAGTTCATTCATGGACTTAGAAACAGTTCGGTAAGTCTGGAATGAGAAGAGTGAAGTCTAGGCAGGGCCCCGATTTGAATGTCCTGAATTGTCCATGCCACGAGGTTTGGATTTTATTCTGAAGGTGATTGGGAGTCATTGAAGGATTTTAAGCTGAGGGATAAAATAATTGGATATATGTTTTAGGAATATTGCTTTGGCAATATTCCTAAAACTTGAAGGGATAAAGAATTACGACAATGTTGTTGTAATTCAGGCATAATGTGATGCAGGCCTGGAATAGTGCAGATGGAGAGGAGGGGACAGTGTCTATAGATATTTAGAAGGTAGACTTGATTGCATTTGGGGTATTAAGGATAACTTCAGATATTTGGATGGCTAGTAATACTGTTCACCACAAGAGTAGTTGGAGCAGGTTTTTGGAAAGATGAAGAGTTTAATTTGCACTATGTTGCATTTAAATTGCCTACGAAGTATTTAGGAGTCATTTTATCACTCTTTATGGCCACAATGAAGGGTAGCAAAGATTATCTTTGACTTTAAAGACTTGTTGGAAGTAGACGTGGCAAGAGGTAGTATAACATCTAGAGCTTTCAGAATAGGTTTGTGTAATATATCTTAAGAAAATGGCAGTTTAGGATTCAACCCAAGTTTGAGTGACCTATCAGCTCTTTGTTCATTGAAGGTGTATCCTTTCTTCCCCAAAGGGTTTGTTTATTTGTTAACACTCAGTTTGGAACAAGTTTATGGCCTACATTCTCATTAGATGTGTTTAGTATATTTTATGTCAAGGTTACCTTTAGCTAATGTATCCAGTTCTTGGCCCAATCTCTTATAGCTAGGTTGGTCAAGTTATTTTCTTTTAATATATGTTGAGTCATAGCAAGTTAAACAAGAAGAAAACAATTTGGACTATTTTGCCTGAATGTTACTTGTTTCTATGGCCAGAATTAGACACTTACTTAAGGCTTCTTGGTTTTTCATTGTACCCCTGTGAAATAAATCTGTGAGACACGGAAATCATTTTACAGATAGTGATGGCTATCAGTGGAAATTTGATAGGGCGAAAGAAGTTTTTTGAAACATCCAAATTGACTTGATTGCATTATGTTAATTATCAGTAAAATTAATAATAGCCAAGATTCTGATTTATGAAAACAGCTTGTTTATTACATTTCAGTTTATGTTATATAGGCTGATGATTTGTTGCTAAGTATTGTGATGTTGGTGTGCTATTTATTCTGAGGTTGTTCAAACTTTGCATATAAGATTTTTCACTCATTTGTAACACCCTCTTAAAAAGCATATTGGAAAGTACAACAGTTGATGTTGAATATTCAGTTGGCCCCTCGTATCCCTGGGTTCTGTATCCATGGGCTCAGCATTCATGGATCCAGCCAATTGTGGATTGAAAATATTCAGGAAAAAAAGGGTGGTTGCATCTGTATTGAACATGTACAGACATTTTTTTCTTGTCATTATTTCCTAAACAACGCAGTGTAACTACTATTTTCATAGCATTTACATTGTATTAGATATTATAAGTAATCTAGAGATGACTTAATGTATATGGGAGGATGTGCATAGGTTATATGCAAATATTAAAATATTAATATTTTATATCAGGGACTTGAGCATTTTATATCAGGGGCTTGAGCAGCCATGGATTTTGGTATCTGTAGGGGGTAAGGGTGAAGGTCCTGGAAACAATTCCCCACAGATAACCTAGGGATGACTGTATTTGTACCAGCAGTGATATGAACAGTTACAAACCTACAGTTTTGGTTTCTGCCACCAGATGGTGCTTGTATACTGATCAAACAACATACAGACTGGGTGAGCTCACTTTGGTTACTATTCCAAGGCCATTAAATTAGAGGTTAAACCGTATGAAACTGCCAATATTTGACGTTTCTTTGACCTACAAATATGTCAGTTTCATATGTTCAACCCAATAGGAAAAAGTCATCCAAGTATACAACATTAAATTCTCTTGGATAAATGAAGTAAGCATAAAGTGGTGAAAAGCCCAATTTGTTTCAATAGATATAGAACTTTGCCTTTTGTATACTACATCCCTTGGTTTGGGGAATATATTCTTTTCTCTTTTCTCATATGCTTTACACATGGAATGTGTGTCAGAACTCTTAAACTGATTCTACTTCATGTAGATATCACTTTATAGAATAGATGTAGAACTGAAAGATAGGCAGCAAGGTAACTTTTTAAATATTTTGTTAAAAATAATGTTAAATTATTAACATTAATGTTAAATTAGGATTTTTTTTTATTTGGGAGAAATTAACCTAAACCCATAACAAAGACGCATTAGAAATGTCTTTTTAAAACTCTCATAAACCAGAGAAGAAAATTTGAACAAGTTACCAAAGCAAGGATGAGGAAGAGTGAACTTAAGATCAGTATCCCCCATGGTCACAGATATAAAAATTATTATTATTATTTTTTGAGACAGTCTTGCTCTGTTGCCCAGGCTGGAGTATAGTGGCCTGATCTTGGCTCACTGCAACTTTTGCTTCCCAGGTTCGAGCGATTCTCATGCCTCAATTTCCCGAGTACCTGGGACTACAGGCGCATGCCACCACACCTGGCTAATTTTTTGCATTTTTGGTAGAGACAGGGTTTCAACATGTTGCCCAGGCTGGTCTTGATCTGCAGACCTCAAGTGATCTGCCCACCTCGTCCTCCCAAAGTGCTGGGATTACAGGCATGAGCCACCATGCCCAGCCAGATAAAAATTCTTAACAAAATATCAGCAAATTAAATTCAGCCGAATTTAAATAACATTATGATTAAATGAAGTTTATTCTAGGAAAGCAAGATGAATTTAGTATTCAGTAATCAAAGTAATTAACCCAATTAATAGAATAAAGGAGAACAACCATATCAGTATCTCATTAGGTGCAGAAAAAACATTTGACAGAAGTCAGCGCTCACTAATGATATAGACTCAGCAAACTAGGAATGGAAGAGAACTTTCTTAATCTGATAAAGGGCTTCTTCAAACAACCTCCAGATAACATTATGCTTTATAGTGAAAGACTGAATACTTGTAAGATCAGGAACAAGGCAGTAATACACACTGTTATCACTTCTGTTCAACATTATACTTAAGGACTGGTACGGTGGCTCATGCCTGTAATCCCAGCACTTTGGGAGGTCGAGGTGGGCAGATTGCTTGAGCTTAGGAGTTTGAGGCCAGCCTGGGAAACATGACCAAACCCCATCTCTGTTGGCGTGTGCCTCTAGTCCCAGCTACTTGGGAGACTGAGGTGGGAGGATTGCCTGGGCCTGGGAAGTCAAGGCTTCAGTGAGCTGTGATCGCCACTGCATTCCAGCCTAGGCAACGCAGTGAGACCCCACCTCAAAAAAACAACAAAGAACCCCACATTATACTTGAGTTCTATCAAGTGCAACAATAAGAAGAAACAAATGGGGGAATATTGGAATAGGAGATATAAAACTATCTTCATAGACACCATGATTCTGTATGTAGAAAATAATAAATCAAAAGTACTGAAAAGCTACTGAATAAGTGAATTTAGTAAGGCCACAAGTTGCAAGGTTAGTATACAAAAATCAGTGGTATTTCTAGTAAATAGTAATGAGCAGTTGGGGAATTAAATAGCGTGAAAACATATTCAGAGATAAATTTAATAAAATAGGTACACAACCTGTATAATGAAGGCTATAAAATACTGCTCAAATTAAAGAAGACTCTATTATTTAAGATTTCAGTTCTCTCAAAGTTGATGTGAAGATGCAATGCAGTTGTAACAAAAATCATAGTAGAGTTTTTTTTTTTTTGGTAAAATTAATAAAGTAGTGCTGACATTTGGAGATGCAAAAAAACAATTTGGCTACTGCAAATTGTTTTTGCAGTAGCCAAAGCAATTTTGAAAAGAACAAAATTGGCTGGCCCACACTACCTGACTTCAAGATTTGCTATAAAGCTACAATAATCAAGACAGCAGAAAATTAACATAGGGACAGATATATGGATCAGTGGAACAGAATAAAACAGCAGTTGGCAAACTATAGCCCATGGGTCACGTCTGGCTTGCCTGTTTTTGTATGGCTTGCAAGCTAAGTAATGTTTTTTACATTTGCAAGTGGTTGGAAAAACATCAAAAATAAAATGATATTTTACAACACATGACATTTAGATGAAATTGAAATTCTAGTGTGTGTCAGTAAAGTGTCATTGGAACACAGCCACAGTCACTTGCTTATGTGTTGTATATACTTGCTTATTTATAGTCTGCTTTTGTGTTACAACAGCAGAGTCGAATAGATGTAATAGATCATATGGCCTGCAAAGCCCAAAATATTTTATATTGGGCCCTTTACAGAAGTTTGCTGATCTCTGGAATATGGAGGCAAGAAATAGATCAATCCATATATGAACAATTTAATTCTTTCAAAATTAATTCCAGTGAAGGTGCTAATGGGGAAAGGATACTCTTTCCAACAAATAATAGTAAAATAATTGGCCTTTCTGACAGAAAAAAAAAAGAACCTGGGCTGGGCGCGGTGGCTCATGCCTGTAATCCCAGCACTTTGGGAGGCTGAGGCAGGTGGATTACCTGAGGTCAGGAGTTCGAGACCAGCCTGACCAACATGGAGAAAACCTGTCTCTACTAAAAATACAAAATTAGCCTGGCATGGTGGCGCATGCCTGTAACCCCAGCTACTCAGGAGGCTGAGGCAGGAGAATTGCTTGAACCCGGGAGGCAGAGGTTGTGGTGAGCTGAGATTGTGCCATTGCACTCCAGCCTGGCAACAGGAGTGAAACTCTGTCTCAAAAACAACAACAACAACAACAACAACAACAACAAAAACCCCTGAACCTTGACTTCACACCACAGACAAAAATAAATCAGAAATGGGTCATAGACATATATGTAAAAGTTAAAGTAAAATTTCCAGAAGAAAATACTTTGCTACTTTGGAAATAGACAAAGATTTCTTAGAACACAAAAAGCACGGATCATGCAACAATTGAGAAATTACATGTCATCAAAATTTAAACATGGATCATGAAAAAATTGAGAAATTATAAGTCATCAAAATTTAAACTTCTGGTACTAGAAAGACACTTTTTACAAAATGAAAAAGCAAGACATATATTAGAAGGAAACATTCGTAATACATATATTTGAAAGAGGACTTCAGAATATATAAAGGAATACCTACAACTCATTAATAAGGCAAAAATGGACAATATTTTTGAATAGACAATAGAGATAAGAATGGCTAATAAACACATGAAAAGATGCTCAAAGTGATTAGTCATCAGGGAAATGCAAATTAAAACCATAGCTAAAGTTTAAAAAGACTGACAACACCTAGTGTCATGGTGGGGCAACTGGAAGTCTCATATATTGCTGCTGGGGATATAAAATGGTACAGGCACCTTGTCAGAGTTTATGATGTTCTTATGAAGTTAAGCATGTAGTACTTATCTTACCACCCAGCAATTCCATGTGGTATTTACCTAAGATAAATGAAAATATATGGCCATTCAAAGACTTATACATGAAAGTTTGTAGCATTTTTCTTTATAATAGCCCCAAATTGGAAACAACCCAAATATCTACCACTAGGTAAATGGTTACACTGTAATGTAACCATGACTTGGCATACTATTCAACAGCAAAACTTGTGATTCATCCAATGATATGCATGAATCTCAGAAACAATATGCTGAGCAAAAGAAGACAGGACAGATACATAGTGTAGGTACTGTAAGATTCTATTTTTGTGGAATTCTAGAATAGGCGAAACTAATCCGTAGTGACAGAAAGAGGTTCTTTGATTGTCTAGATTTGGGGCTGGGAATTTCCTATACAAGGAAAGTTTTGGGGGTGATAGAAATGTTCTGTATTTTCATTTTGGTGATTGTTAATATGAGTGTATGTCAAAATTCATCAAACTCTGAGCCTAAAATAGGCACATTTCATTAAATGTAAATTTTACCTCAATAACATTGATTTAAAAAATAACATTTTGTAATCCTCCATTTTCTTTGAGGCTAAAAATATTTATAAGAAAGCGCCAGATTTTTGCTTCTCAAGCATTTGGCCAAAAACATTGTAAATGTTTTTCTAGAGGTTAAAATAATATTTACCTTATAGGGTGTTTGAGGACAGAATGATAGGCTGGTTCAGTTGCTTAGCTTCTGCCTTTGTGCACTGATTGTTATTATAATTGTTAGCCTTTATTGCATTTTAGCTTGTTTAGTTACAAGTACAAACTCTGGAGTTGGAATCATAGTTATGTGGATTTGAGCAGGTTATTCGACTTCTAATTCTCGGTTAATTCACCTGTAAGTTAGGAGAATAAATAACGCTTCCTTACAGTGTTGTTTTCAGGTTTTAATAAAGTAATTCAGTGACCATGCATGACCCTTTACCTTACTTTACTGTAGTGTTTTGAGTTCCTTTAAAAGAATCTAAATATCAGTGTATTTGTACTGGACATTGTTACTGTGGGAGATTTAAAAGAATTTACATCTGCTTAATTAAAAAAATTAAATCAGGCTGTGATTCTGTTATTATTTCTGGGTGTATGCTTTATAGGAGGAATGGCTGATTCTCTATTGCATATGGATATTTTTGGCCCGTGTTAAAATTTACTTGACCCTGGAATAATGTTACCCAGAGAATCATTTCTCCCTTAGAAAACTGCGCATATCAGGAGTTATTAAGTTAGGATTTAAACATGAGCTTTGGAAAATCTGTGGCCTTTGTGTAATTATATGCAGCATTTTATACACATACCTCTTCTGCCTTGTCTAGCTTGATAGCCATTCAAGCTGGTCTTTCAGCTTTCTCAGCGTTCATTCCCAAGGAATATCTGGTCTGTTTTCTTGCCACAGAGTTAGTATTCAAGTACTAATAACTTGGTAATACATTTACCATGATAGAACTTCAGGACTCCATGCTCCTTTGTTCTGTTTTTAGAGGCAGCCAGGCAGGCCCAGGGATCACCACTTAATCTTGGTCCTGAGCCGGTGTCTCGCTCTGTCACCCAGGCTGGAGTGCAATGATGCGATCTCAGCTCACTGCAGCCTTCGCCTTCGGGTTCAAGTGATTCTCCTGCCTCAGCCTCCTGAGTAGCTGGGATTACAGGCATGCACCACCATGCCCAGCTAATTTTTGTGTTTTTAGTAGAGACAGGGTTTCACCATGTTGGTCAGGCTGGTCTTGAACTCCTGACCTTGTGATCCGCCCACCTCAGCCTCCCAAAGTGCTGGGATTACAGGATATGTCACACAAGTTTAACATTTTTCATATCCCCTTTAGACAAAAACAAAAGCATAAGTAAACAGAGCCAATTCTTAAATTAAAAAATGTCTATAATTTTGGGTTGACCTTAGTCTGATTTTCATTTGGTCACTTTTTTTTAATGCTATTGAAATCCTTTTTGAGTTCTTTATGCTAAAAGTTTAAGCATTATTCTCTACAAAAGTGAATATAAACAAAGTGGCAACAAAAAGATAATTACCGTAAGTTTTTCTCCCCTCAAGTTTGTTGCGATTATTTAGGAAAATATAGCCATGACTTAAATCTGATTAATACTGAATTCGTAATGTTTTTACAACAAGGGGTCTATCTTTCTAGTCCTAAAGTTATTTAAAAATTTTAACAACTTTTGTCTAGAAAGGGAGAAATAAATAGCATTCTCTATTCTTTTATTTGAGGCTAGTTTTATTAATCTGTTGCTCAAGCTCTGAAAAATACTTGGTTTATTTTGTGTTTGAAGCAATGCTCTTTCACCAATATCTTTATTTTTTTGTTCAGTTGAGCAAAATCTTGCTTAGCAATGTTTATTTACTTGTGTTTAAAAAAAAATCTGGGTACAATGACAGTTTAAATTATGAAGCTCTTCTTTTTTTGAGACAGAGTTTCGCTCTTGTTGCCCAGGCTGGAGTGCAATGGCGCGATCTCAGCTCACTGCAACCTCCGCCTCCCGGGTTCAAGCAATTCTCCTGCCTCAGCCTCCTGAGTAGCTGGGACAACAGGCATGTGCCACCATGCCAGGCTAATTTTGTGTTTTTAGTAGAGACAGGTTTTCTCCATGTTGGTCAGGCTGGTCTCGAACTCCCGACCTCAGGTGATCTGCCCGCCTCAGCCTCCCAAAGTGCTGGGATTACAGGCATGAGCCACCAAGCTAGGCCATGAAGCTCTTTTTAATATGTCATGTGACATATAAATACGTGGGCTTTCAGTATTCAGAATTCTGAAAGGTTTATATAGGTTGCCAGTCATTGCTCTAAAAATTCCGAAAAACTTTTGAAGCTTTTTTTTCTGCTTTGTTTTGGAGGGTTCCTTTATGAATCAAAAAACGTTATCCACCAGCTGTTTCTCCTTAATGCTCAATCACTTTTTATGCATTTTCTTCAAATACTGATTTTCAGTGAAGGTTTTGTGAAGTTTTAGTGTCCGTTGGATTTAGAAAGCAATTTAAGTATGGTTGGTTTTTTTTTTTTGTTGTTTTTGTTGTTGTTGTTGTTGTTTTTTGAGACGGAGTTTCTCTCTGTCGCCCAGGCTGGAGTACAGTGGCTTGATCTTGGCTCACTGCAACCTCCGCCTCCCAGGTTCAAGCGATTCTTCTGCCTCAGCCTCCAGAGTAGCTGGGACTACAGGCACGTGCCACCATGCCCAGCTAATTTTTGTATTTGTAGTGAAGACGGGGTTTCACCATGTTGGCCAGGCTGGTCTTGAACTCCTGACCTCGTGATTCACCCGCCTCGGGCTCCCAAAGTGCTGGGATTACAGGCATGAGCCACCATGCCCGGCATAAGTATGGTTTTTAAAACAAATTTGCTTTGACTATTAATGAGGGTTTATGTTACATGTTTATAGAAGTTTCTGCAATAACATAATTTCTTGGAAATGTAATATTGTGTCTAATAAATTCTGGGTAAGATTTTGGGTGATCATCAAATAGGCCTTGTTCCAAACTTTGTTTTTATGTTGATTACTGGAAACTTGGAATGTATTTTCTCATAGAAACATTGTGATAAATGGTGGTGAACTTCCCAAGATAATTTTTTTTTTTAATTGAGATGGAGTGTTGCTCTGTTGCCCAGGCTGGAATGCAATAGCACGATCTTCGCTCACTGTAACTTCCCCTACCTGGGTTCAAGAGATTCTCATGCCTCACCCTCCCAAGTAGCTGGGACTACAGGCGTGGGCCACCACGCCCGGCTAATTTTTTAATTTTTTTTTAGTAGAGATGGGGTTTCACCATGTTGGTCAGGCTGGTCTTGAACTCCTGACCTCAGGTGATTCGCCCACCTCAGCCTCTCAGAGTGCTGGGATTACAGGCGTGAGCCACCGTGCCCAGTCCCCCAAGATAGTTCTTAAAACCCCGTGTTACTGAGTGTGACTATTGTGCCTTTTAAATATTTTTTTTTTTTAATGGAGTGTTGCTCTGTCGCCAAGCTGGAGTGCAGTGGTGCAATCTTGGTTCACTGCAACCTCCGCCTCCTGGGTTCAAGCGATCCTTGTGCCTCAGCTTCCCTAGTAGCTGGGATTACAGGTGTGCGCCACCACACCCAGCTAATTTTTGTATTTTTAGTAGAGACAAGGTTTCACTATTTTGGCCTGGCTGGTTTTGAACTCCTGACCTCAGGTGATCTGCCTACCTCGGCCTCCCAAAGTGCTGGGATTACAGGCATGAACCACTGTACCCGGCCTCTGAATTCTTTTTAGCAAATAAAGTTGTCATTGACACCTAAACCTGGTAAAGACAGTACAGAAAAGGAAGTTGCAGTCTAATACCAATATAAATATAGAAGAAAAAAATGAGCAAATAAAATCTAATATGAAATTAGTAATAATATATACCTTCTAAAAATTTATGTTGAATTTAATTCATTCATTTGAATACGTTTATTGCTATAACTGTTGAAGGTTATGAATTCTCCTTCGACCATTGTTTTACATTTGTACTATAGTTTCTGCTATGTAGTATTTTTATTATTCTTTCAGTATTGATTTTCTAGTTTGTATTTTCCCTTTCATGTACAAATTACTTAATAAAAGGTTTATTTTTCAAGTAGAAGGGCCCTTTGCTTTTTAAAATTTTGTTATTAATTTCTAGTTTGTTATATTTTGATTTGAGACTGTAATATCTCCACCTTGTGGCACTTCCTTATGCTTTCTTTGAGATCAAATGGAGGATCATATGTACACACATATACAGCATAACATCTTCTGTAAGAGTTTGTTGCTTTGGTCTTTTATATGTTTTTTTGTCCACTTGATCTGTGTTGTACTGAGAGTGATGTGTTAAAATCTCTTAGTATTTGTGTGCTTCTGTTTATATCTCCTTGCATCTCCTGTAGTTTTTGGCTTCAGGTGGCTGCTGCATTATTTGGTGCATAGGTATTCATAACTGTTATATATCACTGAAGAATTGCAGGTTTTAGCATTAATACCTAGTGTTCGCCATTAATACCTTTTTGCTTGAACTCTGCTTTGTCTGATATCAGCATAACAATCACTGCTTTCCGTTTTCATTAAGCTAGTACAACTTTTTAGCTTTTCTCTGTTTTTGGTGTCTCTTGTATGTAGTGTATATTTGGGCCTTGTTTTATGAGACAAATTTAAAATCTTTTTTGTTTAAGCCTGAAATGTATTTGAGTTGAGAAATAAAGGCAGATTTTGATTTGGCATTTGGTTGACAGCGGGTGTTTACCATAAATTAAATGAGCTGTTTGCAGCTCTACCATTTGGGTAAAATATATTTGAAGTGTATGATAAGATCAAAACATTTTATAAAACAAATGTTATTTCAGCAAAAGGATATTGGAATTAACAATATTTTGATGTTTTCTACCCTTTTGGACTATATAAAATTAAACTGCTAAGGGAAACAATAGCAGGTATAATTCATAATCATTTGATAAGTCATAGTAATACTGTTTTGGAATATTTCCCAGAAATGGAGAATCTGAATAATTGTAGCAAATGTGTAATGCATCCTTTGTAAGTCAGGTAGTTTCTGGTTACTTGCTTTCAGCAAATTGTGAGAGGACTTAACATCAATTGCCACGTCATTAAAAATAATTTCTGATGGTAGATCACAGTGTGTGTTTTGGCATAGAAAAAATTGAGTGACCTTGTTATAACAAAACTCAGAGTGATTTAGTTTTTAATGTGAATTACATTTCTTAGTGATTATACCTGAAATAAGTGAAATAAGAGTAGAATTGAGAACTTATCTCATTTTAGCAGTAAGAAATATTCTTTCTTAGATACATCAATATAAAGAAAAAAAGCTCTGTAAATGTCAGTGAGTTTCATGTCCATTAATATTTTACTTTTTGTTTAAAAATTATGTGGCCTGGCACGGTGACTCATGCCTGTAATCCCAGCACTTCGGGAGACTGAGGCGGGCGGATCACAAGGTCAGGAGATTGAGACCATCCTGGCTAACACGGTGAAACCCCATCTCTACTAAAAATACAAAAAAATTAGCCCAGCGCAGTGGCTCATGCCTGTAATCCCAGCACTTTGGGAGGCCGAGGCGGGCGAATCACGAGGTCAGGAGATTGAGACTATCCTGGCTAACACGGTGAAACCCTGTCTCTACTAAAAATACAAAAAATTAGCCGGGTGTGGTGGCAGGCACCTGTAGTCCCAGCTACTCGGGAGGCTGAGGCAGGAGAATGGCGTGAACCCAGGAGGTGGAGCTTGCAGTGAGCCGAGATCGCGCCACTGCACTCCAGCCTGGGCGACAGAGCAAGACTCTGTCTCCAAAAAAAAAAAAAAAAAAAAAAAAAAGATGTATTAAAATTATAATATTTGTTTCATTATCTGCTAATAATTTCAATAATGGCTCATTGCACAAAATATTTTCTAACTTACATGGAAGTACAAACTCCTATAATTTTAATTAATATATCTATTTTTGTTGCATAGAATTATGGTAGAATGAGGAATAAAAGACTTTTAGTTATAAAATATGAAATTAGGATGAAATGGAGAGAGTGCAGTAAAATGCAAGTTAAACAAGATACAGCTGGTGTAAAATTTCTGTTGTATTTAACAGAATTTATGTATTTTTTGAGTAGATAAAGGTGGATGTCAGCTTGCTATGATAGTTCAGTTTTTGGATACACTTAAAAGAGTGACATAATTTTATTTTAAAATGTAAATATTTACAGTAAATTAGAAACTACATCCTTTGCAAGTACTTAATGAAATTTTAAAAATGTGAATTAAAACTTTAGCTGTAAGAAGAAATATGCAAGAATATGTGTAACTTTCTAAAATGTTTTTGTAGGGTACAAGCATTCAAGTTTGAACACTACTGCCATAGATTTATTTGAAAAAGAAGCTAAGTTAGAGATGGCTATTGCAGAATGCAGAAGAGGTGTACATTTTTATCCTGATTTACACATGCATAGGCAAATGTGGTGGTTTAAGAAATGGTTTGGGCCGGGCGCGGTGGCTCACGCCTGTAATCCCATCACTTTGGGAGGCCGAGACGGGCAGATCACGAGGTCAGGAGATCGAGACCATCCTGGCTAACACGGTGAAACCCCGTCTCTACTAAAAATACAAAAATTAGCCGGGCATGGTGGCGCGCGCCTGTAGTCCCAGCTACACAGGAGGCTGAGGCAGGAGAATGGCGTGAACCCGGGAGGCGGAGCTTGCAGTGAGTCGAGATCGTGCCACTGCACTCCAGCCTGGGCGACAGAGCGAAACTCCGTCTCAAAAAAAAAAAAAAAAAAAAAGGTTTGATAATTAAAAGAGTTCTTTTTTTTTTTTTTTTTTTTTTTTGAGACAATCTTGTTCTGTCATCTAGGCTGGAGTACAGTGGCATGATCACGGCTCAGTGCAGCCATGACCTTCTGGTCTCAAGTGATCCTTCCACCTCAGTCTCTCTAGTAGTTGGGACACCATGATGTCTGGCTAATTTTTTATTTTTTGTAGAGATGGGGTCTCACTATGTTGCTCAGGCTGGTCTCAAACTCCTGGGCTCAAACAATCCTCCCGCCTTGGCCTCCCAAAGTGTTGGGATTACAGGGGTCAGCCAGTGTGCCTGGACAGTTAAAAGGGTCTTGAGCTTGAACATAGCAGTCATAGTTAAGTTTTTGGGCTCAGTTATACCAAAAATTGAAATCTTATTTTTCTTTTCTGGTATATAATGTAATCCTCCCATTTATAAAATAATAAAATTGTATTTATCACCTTACTACTATGTATAGGTAAAAATATTTATCTTGAACCATTAGAGGGCAGCACGGTTTTATCTTTGAAATTAGCTTTCACAACATGTAAATGCTTTTGAGTCACAGGCTTAATATAAGCATGATTAAAATAAACTATGAAATTTTAAGTTAAAATTAAAATATTTCATTTGGAATTTTTGTAATATAAAAAATGTGGTAGCAAGATAAAAGTAAGTCATCCTTTTATTTTTTCCCTCCCCTTCCCTCTTCCTAACCACATTAGAACTTTTACAAAGTTTGAAAAGCTATACAACTTGATTCTAAACTTAATATTTACCTTGATTTTCAGATGAAGAGTTACCTAAGTCAGTGTTATAAGATGTTCCATGGTAAAAGGGATTTGAAGACAAATTTTGGAAATGCTGCATACTGTATCTCTCTTGAAGACTCCTAAAGGTGTCATGAAGAAAACTGTTTACCTAAGTGGTTCCTAACACTGACTGAACATCAGGCTTTCCTGGGCAGCTTTAAAAATTCTGATGCCCAGACTTTATGTGGACTAATTAAATCAGAATTTCTGGTTGCAGAGCTTGAACCGCACTGTTTTTTAAAACTTCCCCAAGTAATTCTATGTCCAGTCATTTAAATACTGGTCCCCACAACCCAAAACACATTACCCTCTATTAACATCAAAGATTATGAGATGGTTTGAATAGTCATAGAACTTTTGAAAGAAGTAAAGAAGAAGGGAAGAATTACAGTTAACCACACTCCTTAAGGATAATTGTTCTGGACAGCTAGCTTCCCCACATTGCTGAGGGTTCACTTTTTTTTGGAACCTAAAACTTTACTTAGTTCAGTAATTTTGGATAGAAATATTTCTAAAAGTTATGGCATATATTTTTTATATCCTTAAATAGAAAATGCCACAATTCTTAGCATGAAGAATCCTTGCTGTTGACTCATTATCAACCTTATAAACAATAAGTATTACAAGCCTCATGAGATATGTACATGGTTTGTCCTTATACCAGATAATCCTAGACATCTGTTTCTAGAGTACCCAAGTGTGCTTTTAGTTACTTTCCAAATCATTGTTGTCAGTCAGATTGTCATCTTATTTCTTGTTTTTGTCAGTGCACCTTTGCATATTGCTTGCTCCTTTCTTTGATGCTTTTCAATTGCTATTATCTTGAAAACCGATATTATTGTTTGAATTTGGGGCAAAGTAAGAGTAGCAGGGCTTTAATTACGCCCTAAGATGTCCCCTTAACTGTGGAAAACATCGAGTTTTATCTAGTTGGTGAATTTTTTTACTTCAGAATTTATTTTTTTCTGTCATAAATTTTGCTAAGGATCTGCATTTTGAGTAGAATGAAGTGGCCAGATAGTTGAATAATGGTTTGGTGAATATCTATATGTATATATGTATGTGTATGTGTGTTACACATACATATTTAATGACATGAAGTACTTTGGTTGCTTGGAATTGGACAGAAATAACAGTTTTTTTTTTTTTTTGGGACAGAGTCTTGCTCTGTCACCTAGGCTGGAGTGCAATGGCGCGATCTCTGCTCACTGCAACTTCCACCTCCCAGGTTCAAGTGATTCTCCTGCCGCAGCCTCCCGAGTAGCTGGGATTGCAGGCGCCTGCCAGCATGCCCGCCAGCACGCCTGGCTAATTTTTTTTTTTGTATTTTTAGTAGAGATGGGGTTTCACTATGTTGGCCAGGCTGGTCTTGGAACTCCTGATCTCGTGATCTGTGTGCCTTGGCCTCCCAAAGTGCTGGGATTACAGGCGTGAGCCACCGCGCCTGGCCAGAAATAACAGTTTTAATAAATTTCATGAAATCACTTTCTTGTATGTTAAAGGAAACAGAAAGGGTTCATTTGTGCATGGTTTAGTCTTTCTTTTGAATGTGGAAGTTTTTCTTCTTATTTGTGTGTCTAAAAAAATTAAAAAGTGAAACATTTTCCAAAATGAGAAGATTTGCTAGTAAGTAATGCATACTTCTATGAAATTATCTGCCTGAGTTTGATAATTTTATTTATATAATTTCTTTTTTTTCCCCCTTCCAATCCTTCATGGTTTTCTTTTTTACACACAAAGCCTACAACCTTTACTTTTTCCAACTGGAAAACCAGTTTTTCCAACACTTTTTAAAAAACAAATTACCCTTTTATCATATGCTGAAAGCCCTCCCTATAACAAGCCCACTTCTGCGTTTGACTCTACACTGACCCTTCATTTACTTCCTAAACCAACCCTTTTGGTAACTTTTGGTGAAGAGGTGGCTTTAATAAATATATTCTCCAGAAATCTCCAGAACCTTTGCGTGGGTCAGGGTGAGAGGTGCCTCCACAATGTAAACAGAACAGCTGAGTTCTCTGGGTAGGTGCCAGGTGCAATCTGCACAGACCTGTATGGGAGGCCTGGAGTCAGAGGCATTTCCTCAAAATGCATCCCGTCTCCGGCAGAGCACACCAGGCCCCAGGGCCCCGTGGACAGGGCTGGTCCCAGCGTATGCATGCCACTTCCTGGGCTTTGGGGGGTGGTACGCCAGAGGCTGCCCACAGCAGCAGGCCCACTCAGAGGCCAGGGCCTCTTGTTCCACTTGCAGAGACCCCAGAAGGAGCCAGGGGACAGCATCAGAGTCTGGGGCCCAGGCAGGGGTGCCCAAGGGCACAGCAGGTGCAGGCCATTGGCAAGGCCAGAAGACGGTGAGTGGAAAGCCAGGGGTGCGTGCAGTGACTCCGAGAAGAGGCTGTTCAGCTGGGAGTCCTGCATTTGCCGTTCGTGTTTCATGCGGCGATTTTGAAACCAGGTTTTTATCTGGACCTCCGACAGCTGCATTTCCCTGGCCAGCCTCTTCCACTCCAGAGGGCCCAGGTACTGGTGGTGCTGGAAGATGCCCTCCAAGCCACGGACCTGCTCCGTGGTGAAGGCTGTGTGGACACAGTGGGGCCCGCCAGGCGTTTGGCCCTTTCCTCAACCCAGCCATAGCCCTCTCTGGCGGAGGCAGATTTGAGGACCTAGCCTCCTTGATGCTGACGGCCTGAGGGGGCTCCTCGGGGCCCGATGCCTGGTCCGGGCCAGGGAGGCTCCCCAGGGAGACCTCGGCAGGCCTGGGGGTGTGGGTCGGCCCTGAGCAGCTGCTTTGGGAGAGCCAGTCCACGGAGCCAAAGCTAGAGGGCTGCTGCCCGCCACAAGGTGGGGAGGAGGAGGGACGCATGGCCGGGCAGGGCTGGCCAGGGGCAGGATCCAATATTTATATCATTTCCTCAAAGATGTTCCTTTATCGACTTGACGTTTTTGCTTGGCATTACTTCTATTCTCCCATTTAGAGTCCTTACATATATATTTTTCTGTTCTTCTATTATTGCCCTTTATTTTCAGAGTCTCTTCTTGGGAACTGAAAAGGAAACTTTCTTTTGGAACTTTTGATTTCTAGGTGTAAGAACTTCTGTTCACTAATTTGATGGAAAAAAAGAAATAGGATTGCACAGTATTTTTCTTTAGAAGGAAAAAACCCACCCTTTTTGTGAGTTGTAGATCAAAAGTCAACAGAGAAATGTTGGTTCCACATTAAAAATGTCCTAATACGTATTACCGTCTGATGTATAAGTAGCAAATATTCTACCTTTAATAGTGTTTAGTTAGAGATGGGGGTTATCATTTGTCAGGAATATTAAAGAGAACTTTCTTTGGTTTGATATAGATGAGTGACTTTTAAAACATTTTTGACTCTGACCTTTGCTAAGGAATTTTTAAAAATAATGTGACCCAGTATATAAATACATACCTACATCCACACACATATACATTTTTACATATATCACTAAAACAAAAAATTTATGATACGATAACATCTGTATTATACTCTAATATTTTCTATTTTGTTTTATTAAAAAATTATAGTTGTGGTTTATTAAATTTATTTCATGACCTGTTAATGGGTCATAATTTATACTTAAAAAAAATTTAAATGATTTCCAAGGTTTCATCCAACATAAGATTCTATGTTAGCATGACTCTATGCTCTCATAGAGAATCAAAGCTCATCATAGAGCAGCTGGGACCATGTTAAATTAGGAATGATAATAGAAATTCTCCCAAGACATCTGGATATTCAGTTATCCCCATCATATCTGGAAGTCCAGTGTCACCAGTTACTCAAAAAGTACAGAATCTTTGAATAAAATCTGCGATTTACTTAATACTGTTGTATCAATGTTCAGTTTCCAGTTTTGACCAGTGTTACTGTGTTTTTGTCAGTTGCTAATGTTAGGGAAAGCTAGATGAAGGGTGTGTGGGAACTCTGTGCTATCTTTGCACCATATATATATATATATATATATATATATATATATATATAAAATTATATAGAAGACATATATACTAACTTATAAAAAATTAAATATAGAAGAGCATCTTTGAGTAGTGTGCTCTCAAAGATATCTAAAACCTTCTCAAAGACATCTAAAGCGTTGTGTTTGGAACTTTTGTTGTGATATATTGATGATAATATCATACAAACTGCCCTGTCCATCATAGTACATTTTAATATGACTTTTATAAGTAAGAGAAAGAAGCTTAGTGAGCAGTATTAAAGTTGAGTTTGTTAATCCTATTTGATAGTTACTTGACAGTTCCTTTTAGGAGTTTAGAACTAGGAGAAGAATTAGTAGAATAAATTCTTCAGAGAAGATACCAAATTACAGAGTGGGGGCTGGTATTATCTTTTTTATAATTTCTATTGTGATGGAACAAATATAATGAGGAATAGGTGAGTTTAGAGATAATTTCTAGAAAATTGCAAAGATCAGGGTCGGCAACCTGGACCTCTGTGTTGAGAAAGGGGTAATGGGGAGCAGTGTTAGTCAATTTAAATACAAATAGAAGTCTTTACTTAAATGGTAAGCAAGAATAATGATCTGTATGAAGTGATGAGACGTTGGAAAAATGCCACTTATTGGATATCAAAAAAATATTTTTAACTGGCTGAGTTAGAAACAAGAATATGGGATGTGCAGAATGTTTGGAAATCTCGGTCTTTGTTTTGCATCTCTGAACTATTACACCATTGAACTACTCTTTCTTGGCTTGATGCCTTTAGAAACTACATATTAGCTTCATCAAAAAGCTCTTATTGGAGGCTGGCCTGGTGGCCCAGCACTTTGGGAGGGCAAGGTGGGAGGATTGCTTGAGGCCAGGAGTTTGAGACCAGCCTGGGCAACATAGCAAGACTTAGTCTCTACAAAAAATTAAAAAATAAGTTGGGCATGTGGTGCAGGCCTGTAGTCCCAGCTACTAGGGAGGCTGAGGCAGGAGGATCGCCTGAGCCAACAAGTTTGAGGCTGCAGTGAGCTATGATGGTACCACTGTACTCCAGCCTGTGTAACAGAGAGAGAC
This sequence comes from Homo sapiens, assembly GCF_000001405.40. Classification (NCBI taxonomy): domain Eukaryota; kingdom Metazoa; phylum Chordata; class Mammalia; order Primates; family Hominidae; genus Homo; species Homo sapiens. The sequence continues at coordinate 73,648,832 of NC_000008.11, read as the reverse complement.
TGTGTCTCTAAAAAACAAAAACAAGAAAACTCGCATTTGAAAAACAAGACACAACTGAAAGACTCCAAACCTAACCCTTTTCAGAAAATCAGAGGATAACCATTTACAGTAAAGAAAAAGGGTAATTTTAATGGCAGAAGTTAAAAGTTCAAAGAAAATTGCATGTTGGGTATTTTTTGTATACTTATCACCATGCTGACAGCAGTAAGGTGATTCAAGGGAAATACATGAAATTGTTCCTGCCCATAGGAATGTGTGTTACCTTCAGGGAGATAAGATGATAACAGTAAAAGTTATGTAGTCTACTGTGTGTAGAACACTGCCAGTTTCTTTATACACAGACGTGGTGGTTCTCCAAGGTATATATATTTTATCCCTGTTTTAGTTACGAAGAAACAGAGACTCAAGTTTAATTTGCTCAGTATCATTTATGAAGTAAGTTATAGAATTGGATTATAAATCTATTTCTGCAAGACTCAAACCCATTTTACAAAATAATTTTGTTATTGGGTATTTTGGATACTGTGAAGTAAAACACTCGAAGCCTCACTTCAGAACGTATTTTTTCTAGAATAAAAATCACCATGAAATAAAATCATTCAAGAAAATACTAGGAATGATAGTATATGTGGGATGTAAATTTTCAAGATACGTATTTGGAAACTTGAGAATGTAGATACTGCTAATTACTATTGATTTAGTTATTCTGTCTTCCTTTTGAAAAATCTTTTTATTTAGAAATAATTAGAGATTCACTGAAAGTTGTAAAAATGGCACACAGAAGCCCATGTACTCTGCACTCAGTCTCCCCCATTGGTTACATTTTACAGACTTGTAGGACAATATTTCAAACCAGTATACTGACATTGGTAAATGTATGTGTTGTAGTTCTGTTTCATTTTGTCACATGTAGATTCATGCAAGCACTGCAGCAAACAAGATGCAGAACTCGGCCAGGCATGGTGACTCATGCCTATAATCTTAGCTCTTTTGAAAGGCCCAGGTGGGACAGATAGCTTGAGACCAGGAGTGTGAGACCAGCCTGGGCAACATAGTGAGATCCTATCTCTACAAAAATAAAAATAAATTAGCCAGACATGGTGGTACATGTGTGTTGTCCTGGCTACTTGGGAGGCTGAGGTGGGAGGGTTGCTTGATACCAGGAATTTGAGGCTACTACGAGCCATGATCACACCACTGCACTCCAGCCTGGGCAACAGAGTGAGACTGTCTCCAAAAAAAAAAAAAAAAGATGCAGAATTATTCTGTCACCACAAAGCTCTTCCTTATGTTGTCCCTTAACTACTCTTCTCTTCACCTCTGCTACCCTACTATCTCTAGCCCTTGGCAACCATGAATGTGTTCTCCATCTCTATGCTTTTGTCATTTCAAGAATATTACATAAATGGAATCATAGTATGTGACTTTTTGAATAGTATTCTATGTTTTTGAGTAGTGTTCTGTGTACCACAGTTTGTTGAACCCTTCACCTATTGAGGGATGTTTTGTTTTTCTTCAGTTTTTAGCTATACATATAAAGCTGCTGTGAATATCTATGTATGGGTTTTGTATGGACATAAATGTTTATTTCTTTGGGATAAATACACAGGAGTGTGATACCTCAGTTGTGTAGTAAATATATGTTTAGTGTTCTAGGAAACTGCTACACTATTTTCCAGAGTTGCTGAACTGTCTGGCATCACAATCAGGAATGTATGAGAGATTCAGTTTCTTCTCATCCTCCACAGCATTTGTGGTTGTCACTATTTTTATTTTGGTCATTCTGATGTGTAGTTATATATCATTATGGCTTTAATTTGACATTTCCATAATGGTTAGGGATGTTGAACATCTTTTCGTGTGTGTGTGTGTGTGTGTGTGTGTGTGTGTGTGTCTGGCTGTGTGTCTTTGGTGAAATATCTCTGTCTTATGCACATTTTCTATAAAATTGTTTTTTTTTTACTGTTGAGTTTTGAGAGTTTTGTATATATTTTAGATATAAATCCTTTGTTAGATATGTGGTTTGCAAATCTTTTCTCCCTGTTCATAGTTTGTCTTTCCATCCTCTTAACATAGTTTTTCATAGAGCAGAAGTTTTTTATTTTGATGAAGTCCAGTTTATCAGTTTTTTTTGTGAGTGTGCTTTGGGTATCAAGTCTAAATCTCCTCACCAAATCTAGATCCCCAAAGGTGTTCTCCTAGGTTTTCTTTTAAAGGTTTTATGGTTTACATTTAAATGTACATTTTGAATTAGCTTCTTTTTATCAGGTGTCATGTTTAGGTCAAAGGTTTTTGTTTCGGTTTTTTGCCTGTGGTTATCCAGTTGTTCAGCACCATTTGTTGGATAGCTCTCCTTCCTCCATTGAATTGCTTTTTCACCTTTGTGTAAAGACAGTTGGCCACACTAGTGTGGGTCTGTTTCTGGGTTCTCTATTACGTTCTGTTGAACTCTGTGTCTCTGCCAACTCCTCACAGTGTTATTACTGAAGTTACATAATAAGTGTTAAAATAATATAGAGTGGTTTCTTATGCTTTATTCTTTTTCAAAATTGAATACTCTGCTTTCTTTGCCTTTCCATGTAAATTTTAGAGTAAATCTTTTCTTGTATTTTTACTTTCACCTTCCATGCATTTATTGCTGGTATGTAGACCTACATTTCAATTTTTGTATTTTGATCTTGTGTCCTATAAACTTGCTAATTCACTTATTAGTTCTAGGTAATTAAAAATATGTTTCTTTCTACACAGACAATTATTTCATCTTTAAATAGGGACATTTTTATTTCTTTGTTTCTGATCTGCTTGCCTTTCATTTTGATAAGGTTTGGATCTGTGTCCCCACACAAATCTCATATTCAATTGTACCAATGTTGGAGGTTGGGTGGGGTGGGAGGTGATTGGATCATGGGGATGGTTTCTCATGAATGGTTTAGCACCATCCCCTTGGTGCTGTTCTCGTGATAATGAGTGACTTATCATGAGATCTGGTTGTTTAAAATTGTAGCACCTCCCTCCTTTCTCTCTTCCTCCTGCTTTGGCCATGTAAGATGTGCCTGCTTCCCCTTTGCCTTCCACCATGATTGTACATTTCCTGAGGCCTCCCAGAAGCAGAAGCCTCAATGCTCCCTGTACAGCCTGCAGAACCATAAGCCAATTAAAACTCTTCTTATAATTTACCTGGTCTCAGGTATTTCTTTATAGCAATGTGAGAACGGACTAATACGTGTTTCATTTCTTACCTTATTGCACTGGCTAGATCTTCAAGCACTGTGTTGTGTAAGAGTAGTGGGAGTGGACCTCCTTGCCTCATTCTTCATGTACAAAACATTCAGTCTTTCACCATTAAGTCTGATTTTAGGTGTAGATTTTTAGTAAATATTTTAAATCCAACTGGACATGTTCTTCTTCCTAGTTTTTTGAGAATTTTTTTTATCGTGAATGGGTGTTGAATTTTGTTAAATGTTTTGCTGCATCAATTAACTGATCATATGATTTCTCATTTTTGACCTGTTAATGTGATAGATTACATTGATTGAATTTTAAACATTGAACCAGCCTTGTATGCTTGCAATAAACGATACTTGGTCATGGTCTAAGATTCTTTATGTATGTTGCTAAATTCTACTTGCTAATATTCTATTAAGGTTTTTTGTCTCTATAGTCATGGACGATATTTGTCTGTAGTTCCCCCCACCATAACCCCTTTGGCATTCTTTTTCTGATTTTTATATCAGGATACTATTGTACTCATAAAAAGAGTTGGGAGACATTCTCTCCTCTTCTGTTTTCTGGAAGAGATTTTATAGAGTAGACATTACATCTTTAAAAGTTTGGCAGAATTCTTCCTGAAAACACCCACAACTGGAGATTTTCTTTTTTAGGAGTTTTAAATGTATGAGTTCAATTTATTGAATACTTATAGGGCTTTTCAAGTCATCTTCATATTGGGTAAGTTGTGATAGCTTGTGCTTTTTGAGGATTTGGCTCATTTTGTCTAATTGTCAAATTTCTGTGTGTAGAATTGATCTTAGTATTCCCTTATTCTTTTGATGTCTACAGGATCTCTAGTGATAATCCCTGATTCTTTTCTGATATTGATGATTTGTGTCTTCTTTTTTCTTTGTCAGTGTTGCTGGAAGTTTGTCAGTTTTATTATCCTTTTCAAAGAACCAAGATTTTGTTTAATTGCTTTTATGTATAGTTTTTTTCTGTTTCCAGTTTTATTGATTTCTCTTCTTAGATTTACTACCTTCTGCTTTCTTTAGATTTACTTTCCCCTTCTTGTTCTTTGTTCTTGAGGTGTGGGCTTAGATTATTTATTTGAAACGTTTCGTCTTTTCTTTCTTTTTTTTCTCAGACCATTCTTCATAACATTTTTTTTTTTTTAAGAGACAGGATCTTACTCTGTTGCCTAGGCTGGAGTGCAGTGGCATAATCATAGTTCACTGCAGCCCCAAACTCCTGGGCTCAAGTGATCCTTCTGCTTCAGCCTCCTGAGTGGCTAGGACTACAGGTGCACACCTGGCTAATTCTGATCTATGTATTTAGTGTTATGAATTTTTCTCACTTCTGCATCTCACAAATTTTGATATATTGTATTTTATTTTCGTTCAGTTTAAAAATTTCCCTTGTTAATTCATTGACCCCTGGATTATTTTAGAAGTGTAGTTTCCAAGTGTTTGGAGATTTTTCCTGTTATCTTTGTTATTGATGTTTAGTCTGATTCCATTGTGGTCAGTGAATACACTATGTATAATTTCACTTCTCTTAAATTTGTCAGGTAAGTTTGTAAAACTTACTTTTCAAAATCTATTTCTAATTTTTCATTTTGCCTTCTTAGTTCCTCACTTTCCTGCTTTCTAGGACAAGTCCATACAAACCTTTGGCTTACCAGAGGTGCAGCTGTAGCATTTTATATGAGTGTATCTATTTATGCAAATTATATACTATGCTTTCACTTCAGAATGTGTTATGAGTTTCCATGTAACTAAGTGTACAACTATTTAATAAATTTACATAGTATTCTGCTGTAGTAATACACCATAATGTATTGTCATTTTTGTTGTAGAGTTTGTTTCTAGTCACTATGAAGTAACAGACAGTAGCACAGAAAACAAACATGGGGGCATTTTCAAACACGGCAGTAGTTCCTAGTCTGTGTTCCCATCTCTTTTTAGAGTATAAAAGTACAGGTATATGGTATGTTGATCTTGCTTGATGGGCTCACTGGACCTCCTGTTTTTAAATTGATATTGTCAGAGGCCATAAGGACCTCTTCCTCCATGATGGCTACCTCTTAGCTCGAAGCTATTATACTATTTGGGCTAACCCTCTGGGTACAGGTACCATTTTGTCTTAGATGGACATTGGGCATTTCAGAGGATATGCAGATTCACTGTCCCACTTCACCTAGTCTCTGCCCCCATAGGAATGTGAACTCCTTGATTGGGACTCAGATGCAAGTGATTTCCTTCTTGTATGTGTGTAATATGTGACTGGGTGGTAATACTTAACGGAGTACTGTATGTATGGGATTAGGGTCTTTACCATATTTGCTATATTAATTAAAGGCTATAGCTGCCTAGTGTGGAGGATGTTTAATTGGAATTTCATGTCTATTCTAAATTTAGTGGGAGAACCTTTTAGGATTCTTGCTTTTGCCAGTGGATAGAGGTTACTGCCATTTACTGAGATGGGAAAGAATGGAGAAGAAACAGATTTGGAGTGCAGTTAAGACTTCGGGGATAGACATGTCTGTAAGACATCCAAGAGGAGTTGTCAAATATGTGTTTCATGTAGGAGACTGGACTCAGGAGAGATCTAGATGAGAGAGGTAACTATGGGAGTTGATTGCATATACATCACCCTACAAAGCCCTGCTTTTTCAGACCTTTATTACTTCTCTAACCCACCTGCTGCTCCCTGCTGTTCCAACTTCACTCCAGCCACACTGGCTGCAGTTTCCAAACAAGTCAGGTATACTCCCATTTTAGAGGTATTTATTTTCTGTTCTCTCTCATTTGCCAAGGTCTAATGTAACCTTTTCAGTCTTGCCTTTCATTTCACCCCAACCCACTCCACCCTGTCCTACCCTGACATTCCCCAGGCCCCTGCCTTGCTTTTTTCTCTATGCCGTCTAGTTTCATCTTTATTAGCTTTGTATGGCTAAAGCAGATAAAATAAAGAAAAGCAGTGATAAAAGAGGTAAAGCAGGAGAGGGTAGGCAGAGACTAGATCCTCCAGGGCTATTTTACGAAATTTGGTCTTCATTTTCAGAAGAGTGGAAGATGAAAGTTTTTTTTTTTTATTTTTGGACGGAGTCTTGCTCTGTCGCCACGCTGGAGTGCAGTGGCGCGATCTTGGCTCACTGTGACCTCCGCCTCCCGGGTTCAAGAGATTCTCCTACCTCAGCCTCGTGAGTAGCTGGGATTACAGGCACATGCCACCACGCCCAGCTAATTTTTGTATTTTTAGTAGAGATGGGGTTTCACCATGTTGGCCAGGATGGTCTTGATCTCCTGACCTCATGATCCACCCACCTTGGCCTCATAAAGTGCTGGGATTACAGGCGTGAGCCACCGCACCTGGCAAAGATGAAAGTTTTTGAGTGGGGGAGACCTGACCATGTTTGCATAGAGAAGCAGTAGGAGAAAGGCAAGAGTGGTTATGGGTAGATCAAGTGGGAGATTATTGCAATAAAATAGAAACAAAACCAAAACCGAAACACATTTAGTGAGTGATCCAAGCATTCTCCTAAGTGTTGAAGAAACTAGGATGGTTCCATCTCCCACTTAAGGAGTAAGTCTAGAAAGTTAGAGAAATGATGTCTACTTAAAGATAAGTGCTCTAGTAGAGGAAGTTCATAGTGTTGTGGGAGTATAAAAGAGTACATTTGATCCAGAGGTTCCAGGTTTGTAAACCTGAACTTAATAGTTGAACAGCTTTCACAAAATTACCACTTAGAATTAGTCTCACAGAATTCTAAAATTTAGAACCCAAAGGGATGTTTATCTGATTTCGACTAGAGATTAGAAAATTTTCTAAAGTATGTTTTAAGAAATTTTAGGTTTTTTTGGATGTTAATAAGTATGACACACAAAAAGTGGTTAAGTTTGGACAATACCAGATTAAACCAACAGTTTTCTTTACTGCGGAACTTCTCAGAATTTATGATCTGCTTAAGTACATTATAAATCTTCTAGAGATGTATATAATGTGTAGCATTTCTCAGACTCAATTGGCCATAGATCCTGTTACATTAATGAATGATCTGTGGATACAGGGCAAACTTTAGGAAATGCTGGCTGACATGATTTGCTGAAGATCTTAACAACTAGTTAAAGGGTAAGCTATAATTAAAATACAGTTTTCACAACTTTGTCCTTTGAGTTTTCTAAGACATTTCAGTATTACCATATGAAACAGTGTTAACTATGAAACTACCAGGATTCTTTTTTTTTTTGCAAGGGTAGGAGGACAGGGGTCTCATTCTGTTGCCCAAGCTGGAGTGCAGTGGCACCATCTTGGCTCACTGCAACCACCACTTTCTGGGGTCAAGCCATCCTCCCACCTCAGCCTCCCTAGTAGCTCGTTAATATAGACCAGGTGGTCCAAGGGCCACTATGCCTGGCTAATTTTTGTGTCTTTTGTAGAGACGAGGTTTCACCATGTCACCCAGGCTCCAGGATTCTTTTGGCCACATTTTAATACTATATTACATTTGGAATTAATGAAATTCTAAATTTGGCATAATATAACTAATAACTTTGTATCACTCAGTGGGCAAGTATTATATAGAGTTAGTTTAAGTCTACGTGAAATTTATGACCTAGGAATGTGTAATGAAACAACACTTTTCTGTTTTTTTTATTGCTTCTTTTTTGTGGCTTTGAAATATTAAGAATACTTCATTTTAGCTTTCTTAGCTTTGATTCCGTCATTATTTTGGCAGATTATACTGTTTTAGAACTTACATATGGTAAAAATAATGGCATAGTAAAAATGCAACATTATTGATATTCAGTTATTAGAAAGAATGTTTGGAAAGTATTTCTAGTAACTACTTTTCATGTATTTCTAGATGAGGCAGGGGTTGGCAGTCTAGAGCCCACAGCTTTCTTTTTATGTATGTCCCATGATCTAAGGTTGTATATTTAAAAATCATTGAAAAAATTAGTAGAAGATTGGTTTGTGATGTGTAGAAATTATATGAAATTCAGATTTCAGTGTCCATAAAAACAAAATTTTATTGGAGCACCACCACCCTCATTTGTTGATGTATTGTCTATGACTGCTTTCTCAATACAACAGCAGTATTGAGAAGGTGTGTTAGAAACCTTATGGCCTGCAAAGCCTAAAATATTTACTATTTGGCTCTTTTCAGAACGTTTGTGGACCTCTAGTCTGTATTAATGAATAATAGAGTGTATGGGATTATAAGTTTAGGTATATCCAATATAGGAAGCTATGTTTTATATATAACCAATTCTTTAAGTCAGTGTCTTCTAATCAGTTCCACTTATTTGTCCCTGCTGGTTCTAGTCTCTTTTTTTTTCTGGTAGAAGTTGTATATTTTATTCTAATTTTGTTTCATTTTTTTCTTTTTTCCTATTGATCAGTAAACAGTATATGATGTGTATTATTATAGGAAGCACTTGGGTTTGAGAAGTATCTTTGTAAAATAAATCTTGAATAATTTTATATTGTTTCTATACAGTTGATTGATGGGGAACACTTTTTATATTTGAAGTTGACTTTGATAGGCTAAGTTCTTTTTAAAAATAATTATTTCATATGATCATATTAGCAACAGAATGTTATTCTTACTGGATTTAGTTGGCCCGAGGAAGTCATAATTTAGTTTGTTCCTAACACAACTGGAGTAAATATTCTTAGAATACTTCACCTCTTTGATTTGAATGCTGTTACCAGTGTATAAAATTTTATGTATCTATTTGTATTCTATTTGATAGCTTTTATTGGTTCTTAAGAGGGTTTGTTAAATTTTCGTTTCCAAATATTGAATAATTTTGCAGTTGAATTTTTTCTTTTGCAAATTTTATGGTTTGGGAGAGATAAAAATAATATCAAACCAGAACAAGGATAATGGAATTATTGATGTCTTGTTCAAACATCTAAAACATGGAATTTTAAAGAAGTAGCTTTAAATATGTAGGAGCCTCTACGGTGCTAAACACGTCCTTTTCAGTGTAATTTTTAGTTTCAGTTGTAATACAGAAGTTTATTTTCAACCTGAGTGATCTGAGAAGGTTGTCGAGCATGAGGGTACCAAGTACGGCTCATTAGCACCTTACTATTAGTACTATCTTTTTTTCTTAGGAAGGGTTAGCTAGACTAGAATATGTTGCTAGGCTTCCATGTCTTTCGTTTTAGCATCTCATTCATCTCCCAGATGTTTTGGTAATAAATTCTCCTTGTTAGCACAAATGAAACTAGGATCATGTCCTCCCTTCAAAGAGCATAGAAACAATTGTATACATTCTCCATGATTAAGGAATTTCTGGGTATTCACAAATTGTATTCTTTTTCCTTTGTTAGTGTAGGTACAAAGATAAATTGAATAAAATATACTATTAAAGAAAATTTTCAAGTGGATTTAGAAACTCGAACCAGTGAAATTAATGTATCATAGAAAAAATTTTCACTATTAAACTGTTAAATTGTTAAAAACAAGATACTACAATTTAAATAATATCTGTTGAACTTTAACAAGAATTTGTGGGTTTGTTTTTCTTTTTTGTATCAAAATAATGGTTATATTTCATATTAATCTTTAGCAACTAAAATATATTGTGGCATCTTCTTATGGAATCATTTGTATGTTCAACAAGCAGTTTTTTATGTTTTCAGAAATAGTTGATATCATTTCATATTAATCAACTATTTCTGTTGCAACACTGACTGGTATTGCTTACACCATATTAAAAAACACATTTTTTTAAATCAATTTTTTACTACTTGTACCAACTAAATCTAGTAAGAATATGACTCAGGTCATGTGATCATTTCATATTAATCTTTAGCAACTAAAATATATTGTGGCATCTTCTTATGGAATCATTTGTATGTTCAACAAGCAATTTTTTATGTTTTCAGAAATAGTTGATATCATTCAGTTTGGACAGTAATAACAGAGGTACCTAATGAGTTTTTAAAAACAGGTAAGCATGGGACAGTGACTGAATTTAAGAATGTCTTGGAAAATATTAAGTCTAGAACTTTAGTGGGTGGAATTTTATTAGACTGCCAGTGAAATTGCAATTATATTTGAAGTTACTCTGATGGACTCTTTTTAAAAAAAAAAAAAAAAAAGAATATTTCAAATGACCTGGGTTATATTCTTACTAGATTTAGTTGGTACAACTAGTAAAAAATTGATTTAAAAAAATAAGTGTTTTTTAATATGGTGTAAGCAATACACAGTCACTGTTGGGATAGAAATAGCTATTATTTGAAAAAGGGAGAGGAGTCAGTTTCCTATAGTCATATAGGTTTGTAAAATGCTGGATCAAGGAAAATTTAAACGTTTTCTTATTGTAGAAGTTCTCAGAGCCTTTACTTTTTTATTTTTGTGGGTATTTAATTTTTTGTATTTATTTTATACAGTATAAAATATAAAAAATTCAAATATTAATGTAAATACTATGCCACCCCTGCATTCCAGTTACCCAATTTTGCCCCTGCCCCTGCCAGTTTCATGTATTATCCTTTCAGGATATTCTCTGGATATGTATATGTATATGTATTTACTTTAAGAAAGTATCATTCTGTAATAGTATTCCGAATCTGTTTTTTTTTCCTTTGAAAAATACCTTAAACAGCATTCCATGTCAGTATGTAAGAAGCTGCATTATTTTTTCTAAACTGATTATGAAAATTTTAGAAACCCTGCAACCATATAGGTCTATTTAACTCCCACCCCATATATAGATGTCATTTGTATTACATTTATATAGATCATAACTTCCACAATGTTATGATTTTTTGCTTTAGTCTATATCTTAAAGAAATTAAGAGAAAAAGGTCTTGAATTTATTTGCCCACATATCTATCATTTCCCTTTTTTTGTTTTGTTTTTGTGTTTGTGTTTGTTTTTGTTTTTGTTTTCTCTGAAGATCCAGATTTCTGTCTGGCTTTACTTCTCTTCAGTTTGAACACCCTTTAGTATTTCCTGTAGTGCAGGTCTTCTGGCAATGATTTCTCTGAATTTTTGTTTACTGAAAACATCTTTATTTTGCCTTCAGTTTTGAAGATATTTTCATTGAATATAGAATTCGGAGTTGACAGTTTTTCTTTTTTTTCTTTTCTTTTTTTTTTTTTTTTTTTTTTTTTTTTACTTTCAGCACTTTATAAAGACTTTAAAGATGTTGTTCCACTTGTCTCCTGGCCTCAGATTTTTTCTCTTGAGAAGTCATCCATCATTTGAATTGTTGCTCCCCATAAATAATATGTCTTTTTAGCTTTTAGCAGTTAAACTATAACATATCTTGTGTGGTTTTCTTTATATTAATCTAGTTCACTGAGCTTCTTGAATATGTAAATATGCCTTTTACCAAAGGAAATTTTTGGGTCTTAGGTCTTTTAATATTTTTCTGTTCCCCCCTTTTCCTCCTCTCCTTCTGTTAGACCTTTTTTTTAATTTTAATTATTTTTAATTTTGTCTAACAGGTCCCTAAGCTTCAGTTCATTTTTTTAACTTCTTTTTTTCTAATAGTTAGGTAGTATAATTTCTGTTGATTAATCTTAATTCCTTGGTCATCTCCTTTTGGCTATTATGTCTATCCAGTGAATTTTAAATTTGAATATCATATTCTAGAATTTGTTTGGCTACTTTTTATAATTACTGTTCTCTGCTGAAATTCTCCATACATTTATTCATTAAAAGCATATTTTCTTTGATCTCTTTGAACATAGTATAACTTTGCTGTTAGTTCCTTTTTTTTTTTTTTTGAATACAGAGTCTCCTCTGTCACCCAGGCTGGAGTGCGGTGGTGTGATCTTGGCTCACTGTAACCTCTGCCTCCCAGGTTCAAGCGATTCTCATGCCTCAGCCTCCTGAGTAGCTGGGATTACAGCTGTGTGCCACCACACTCGGCTAATTCTTATATTTTTAGTAGAGACAGGATTTTGCCATGTTGGTGAGGCTGGTCTCGAACTCATAGCCTCAAGTGACCCACCCACCCCAGCCTACCAAAGTGCTGGGATTACAGGCATGAGCCACCACACCCGGCCCTTTGCTGCTAATTCTAACATCTCGGTCATTTCAGGGTAGTTTTCTGCTTACAGTTTTTTTTCTCTTGAGAATGGATCATTTTTTCCTGTTTCATATGTTGAATAATTTTGGATTGTATTCTGGACATTGTAAAATTATATGTTGTAGAACCTAGATTCTATTATGTTCCTGTGAAGTGTGTGTATGTGTGTGTGTGTATGTTTTAGACAGGCCCTCACTCTGTCACCCAGGCTGGAGTGCAGTGGTGCAATCTTGGCTCACTGCAACCTCCACCTCCCAGGCTCAGGTGATCCCCCCACCTCCGCCTCCTGAGTAGCTAGGACTATAGGCACATGCTGCCATGCCCAGCTAATTTTTTGTAGATATGGGGTTTTGTTGTCTTATCTTTATAGATATGGGGTTTTGCTATGTTGCCCAGCCTGGTCTCTAACTCCTGGGTTCAAGCAATCTTCCCGCCTTGGCCTCCCAAAGGTGTTAGGATTATAGGCGTGAGCCACTATGCCTGGCCAAAAAAATTTTTTAGGCAGGCAGTTAGTTGGCTGGGGTCTCAACAAAACTTTTCTGCATTGGGTGGCAGGCACCTCAAATTCTAATCTCGTAGCTAAATTTCTTTGAATTGGTTCCAGGGGTGTGTGTGTGTGTGTGTGTGTGTGTGTGTGTGTGTGTGTGTGGTTCAGGGGTCAGATAGAGATTCGAACAGTTTTATACATAGAATATGAAGCTCCCTCTCTCTCCAGATTATTTATTTATTTATTTAGACGGAGCCTTACTCTGTTGCCCAAGCTGGAGTGCAGTGGCGCGGTCTCGGCTCACTGCAACCTCTGCCTCCTGGGTTCAAGCAATTCTTCTGCCTCAGCCTCCCGAGTAGCTGGGATTACAGTTGCCTGCCACCATGCCTGGCTAATTTTTAAATTTTTAATAGAGATGGGGTTTCACCATATTGGCCAGGCTGGTCTCAAACTCCTGACCTCATGATCCACCCACCTTGGCCTCCAAAAGTGCTGGGATTACAGGCATGAGCCACCGCCCTCGGCCTCAGATTTTTATTTCTAATATTTCCTCCTCCATATTCCAGGGGCTTTGGAATATGAGCCCTTATCGCTGGGTCTTCAAACCAGTATGACTATTTTCCAGTGGCATTTTAGCTATTTCACATGGAATAGATGGGCTTGCCTTCAAATTCAAGCTATTAAAAGAAAAAAAAGGGAGAGAAATGCATCCTATGCTGTTCTTTTTTTCCAGATGTTAACTTGCCTCCAGTGTCCACCTGTTTCATTGACTTTTTGGTACCTTTAGATGATTGTTTTTTTACAGTTTGTTCAGAATTTATTGTTTCCTGCAGGAGAATCAGTTCAGTGAGAGTTTACTTGGCCATACTGGAAATAGGGTTACTGCTTTATTTATTTAAGAACGGTTTAGTATCCCACTGTGTGATTTCTCTGTAATTTATTTAACTTCTTAGTCCTGTATTCATGGACATTTAGTTGTTTTGAATCTTCTGATGTTATCAGTGTTGCAGAATGTATCTTTATACATACACGTGGTGAGACATTCTTATGGGTACTTGGAGTACATCAACAGACATTTCTGTCCTCATGAAGTGTACATTCTAGTTGGGGGAGATAGAAAATAAAAAATAAATACAAGTACATTGTATAGTAGATTAGAAAGTGAAAAGTGCTTATATAGGAAGAATAGAGCCCTGTTTGAGTAAAAGGATGGGAATCACAATTTGAATTAGGTCTTGCTGAGAGGTGAGATTTGAGCGAAGACTTTAAGAAGGTGAGAGAGTGAGCCTTGAGGATGTCTGAGGGAGAAGCAGGAGATCAGCCATTGTAAAGGCCCTAACGTGGAGGCTTATATGGTGAGTTTGAGGAGCAGAAAGGAGACTAGTGTGGCTAGAGAAGAGTAAGTGAAGAGGTGAGTGGTAGAAGAAGCCAGAGATGTGACTGGGAGCCTGATTTATGTAAGGCCTTGTAGGCCATTGTAAAGATTCTGGCTACTATGAATGAAATGCAAAACCAATGTAGGTTTTTTTATTTTTTGTTTTTTTGAGACGGTGTCTCACTCTGTTGCCAGGCTGGAGTGCAGTGGCGCAATCTCAGCTTACTATGTCTTCTGCCTCCCAGGTTCAAATGATTCTCCTGCCTCAGCCTCCCAAGGAGCTGGGATTACAGGTGTGTGCCACCACACCCAGCTAATTTTTGTATTTTTAGTGGAGATGGGGTTTCACCATGTTGACCAGGATGGTCTCAATCTCTTGACCTCGTGATCCGCCCACCCCGGCCAACGCAGGTTTTGAGCAAAAAATAAATAAATAAATAAATAAAAACCGTTTTGCTGATTAAGAGAGCAGTTGGGAGGTTATTACAATAATCTAGACTAGAGACGAGGCTGTTTTGAATGTTTTGGAGTTTTTTACCAATATAATTAGGTGAAGAATGATACCTCTTTGGCATTTTAATTTGCATTTCTTTGATTATGAATGAGGTCAAACATCTTCTCATATGCATAAAATCATTTATATTTCCTTTTCTGTGGTCTGTAAGTGTATAACCTGTGCTAGTTTTTGTGCTGATTCAGTAGTCTTTTTCTTTTTTTTGAGATGGAGTCTCGCTTTGTCACTCAGGCTGGAGTTCCGTGGCATGATCTCGGCTCACTGCAACTTCTGTCTCTTGGGATCAAGCAGTTCTGCCTCAGCCTCCTGAGTAGCTGGGATTACAGGCACCCACCACCACGCCTGGCTAATTTTTGTATTTTTAGTAGAAATGGGGTTTCACCATGTTGTCCAGACTGGTCTTGAACTCCTGGCCTCAGGTGATCCAGCCGCCTCGGCCTCCCAAAGTGTTGGGATTACAAGCATGAGCCACCGTGCCTGGCCTCAGTGGTCTTTTTCTTACTGACTTGTCCTCAGTATTTTTTAAAGCTCCTCATGTACTTCCGGTATATAGGCAAAGATGAAACCACTGATCTAGCCCATCCTCATCTTGTAGCCGCCTCAAGGTCAGATCATGCCCAATGTTAAGAGGTACTTGGAGTCTATAGTCACAAAGTACATTCACTCCCAGCACTTCCCCATTCAGATCTCACATGCATCCTTTCACTTTGAACTTGTCCTTCTGCTAGTCCTGATTGCTTTACTCCCACATAGCTGAGAACCTGGCCCTTGCTGGTCCTGTCTCTCCCTTGCAATCATTCACTTTTAAGTTGAGAGGAATATAGTAATGTAGTATTGAGGTTAGGGGGTGCTGTGGAGCCACTCTATCTTCATTTGAAACCTGGTTCCGCCTAGGCCAAGCAACTTATCTTCTCTGTTTTTCAGTTTCCTCAACTGTAAAATGGAAATGATAACAATATGTATTTGCCTTATCAGGCTATTGTGAGGATTAGATGAGTTACTGCATGCTCAGTGCCGGCATATAGTAAACCACTCAGTAATTGTTAGCTATAACCTCTCCTTCATTTAACAGATATGTAGTGGACTCCTTTTAAGTGCTAGGTATCATGCTGGATACCATACACTAGGGCTGCAGTGAATACAACTCCCTTTTTCCCTGTGTATAAGCAGAAATTGTCCCTTTTGTAGCCTTCCTAGAACACTATTCCTGGAATAGCATGCGTATCATTTACTCTAAACTTTTCCCTTTGTTGAGGAACTATGAGGTCTAATACAGGGTTCTCAAGCATTTGCAGGGGAGTCTGGCCTTTCTAAATTTGAGAAGTAACAGGATATACTTATTTTGATTATATTAGAATTACATTTTGATTAAACAAGAGTCAAGTGACAACTAAGATTATAAGTTTAGCTCTTCATCTGTTTGATTTTATCATGAGTTCACCAGCTCTGAAGTGTTCAGTTTCTGGCCAGAATTTCTTATGCATAACTGGGGTGATTTTAGCTTCCTGAGAGATCACCATGGTCATACTCTTGTCAGTCTTGATCACTCTCCTGCTTTGGAGTTCTCAGTCTTATAAGCTCAGATTGTATTGCAGGTTTCTAAGTCTCATAAGAAGTGTCATCCTCTGCAAATAGGATTATATGGTCTTATTTGCAAACCCTTTTTTGTTCTCTTGAGTGACTTTTTCAGGATAACAAAGAGAACAATAAGTAAAATTTGCTTAAGATGCATTCTTTCTTTACTCCCATGTGGGTCTCAGATTTTCAGAATTCTCCATGTTGATTCCTCAAATACTTAAGGAACCTTATATACACTGGGTTTGAATGACTTATTGGTTTGCTTGACATCCTGTCTTTGTAAGAGTATGTGGCAGGCTTTCTCCAAATCAATAAAGGCAGCAAGACTTTTTTTTTTTTTAATGTACTGAACTTAATAGTTGTTTACATACTCATTTTAAAATGGAAATAAAACTATCTTATATTCTGATCTTTTCTAAATCCAAATCAGTTCTTTATGTCAGCTTTCAATCGTCTATATTTCTAATGCAATATAATACAATATTCTTAATATCATACCTACTGTCAGCAAGTATTTTTTGCCCTTGTTCTCTTGCTCGTGTTCGTGTGCTGTCTCTCTCTCCTTTCCTCCCTCTGTCTTCCTCCCTCCCTCCCTCCCTCTCCTCCCCCCTTCTTGCCTCGTCCTTATCCCTCCTCTCTCTCATTGAGATAAAAATGAGCAACTTCAGCTTTTTGGCTGTTCTCTTTTGCGGGTGGGTAAGATTTAGGATCGTAGGCAGTAATATTTGGACTATATATTTAATCATCTCAGGTATTATTCTCATCATGGCTTACTGCTTTTCTCAGTTTGAGTTTCCTGGGAGCTTATTATTCATTAATTTCCCAGGCTTTTTCTTGGCTTCAGTTACAAGGACCTTGACCAACTTGCTTTATTTATTTCCTTATGATTTGTTGACATTCTCATGTTCTCTGGTCAAGATGCACTTCTTTAAAGATAAATGAGTTACTAGACTCCTGTACTGTAATTGACTGACAGGTCACAGAACAGTCTATACAGAACAGTCTGTGTAGAACAGAACCCCAAACATGTAAATAAATGGCCTTTACAATTTTTAAAAATTGTAGTAATGTTATTTATTATTTTACATTAAATTCTTCCAGAGGCTTATTTAGTTGATTTCTACTGGTTTTTATAGTATCTGAATTTATCAGCTTATCTTCTGCACACTGCTTGGTGTTTTGAACTGCATTGGTGTTCATTTTTTATTCCTCTTTTTTTTTTTTTTAAGAGATGAGGTCTCACTCTATTGCCTAGGCTGGAGTGCAGTGGTACTCAAACCGCAAGGGTACATTTGATGCTGAGCTCACTGTACCCTTGAATTCCTGGGCTCAAGCAATGCTCCTGCCTCCGCTTCTGAGTAGCTGGAACTACAAGGGTGTACCACCATGCCCAGATAATTTTTTATGTTTTTTGTAGAGACAGTCTTGCTATTTTGGCAAGGCTGGTCTCAAACTCCTGGCCTCAAGTGATCCTCCTGCCTTGGCCTCCTAAAGTGCTGGGATTATAGGTGTGAGCCACTGTGCCTGGCCTAGATTGGCATTCTTGAGTGACCAATGAACCAAATGTCAGATCTCCTAGACAGGCATGAAGTGATGTTCTCCCGGGTATGGTACAAGCGCTAATGGGAAACTAGGGGTGCCACTGAGCGTGTGAAATGAAAGTCTAGAGATTCTGCCAGCATAACCACAGCTAAGGGTATTCTTTACAGGGAATAACCAAAAGCTTTAGAGATGCTGCAGCTTCATAGAAACATTGTAGAATATCAAAGAAGGCTGATGGATTAGTTGTCAAGAGGGAAAGAGGCCAACAACTATGATTTCCTGGGGCTACTATGTTCTGACACAGCATGTATCTTGCATAGGGTGACACAGCTAGTAAAGGGCTGAGCTGGCCCTCCAGCCCAGGAGTAATATGTCATCAAAGCTCGTGCTTTTTCTGCTATGCTACACTAACTCATGTCAACATCCACTCTTTGGGAATAGTAGGATGTCATGATGACTGAGTTATTTCAGAATATCTTCAAAAACTATTTTGTCCACAGAAAAGAATGTCTTTGGCCACACTTTGTATTTAGTGTGACTAAAATACACGTATCTGTATTGTGAACAGGAGTAAACCATCATAACCCGAGGCCAAAACTGTTAGCCTTTCAAAGCTCTAAGTATTACTTCAGCCTCTTCCTATGTGTGGTAGTCAGACTGGATATCAATATTGTCTCTACCAATATCATCTCCCTTATTTGTTGCTGTGTTTTACCTCAGGGTACATGGCAAAGATAAAGAGGATTGGATAGTTCTCAGCTTAGTGTGCATCCTGGAATAAGAGACAGTTCACACTGACTAACCGATGTAAAAGCATACCTTGCGTATCTGCAGCAATGCAGGAAAAGGAGAGCATAGGTAATTGAAATCCACATAGTGCATTCCCCAGAGGATTTGTGCAGGAAAAATTTTACAAATTAATTTAAAATGACTGAAAATTATAAATTGTTTAACGTTAATCCAAGGTACTTTAAAAGTGGAAGAGTTTTCTTAAAGTTCCAAGTACTGTACTATTTTAGCAAATGTTGCTTTTTTTACACTTTTAATATTAAACAGTATGAAAGGATCCAGGTAGTTGAGCAAAGTTCATTTTCCTATTTCTTTGAAAAGCATCTCTATAAAACATAAAAATAAAAAAAAATTAGCCAAGTGTGGTAGTGCACGCCTGTGGTTCCTGTTACTTGGGAGGATTGCTTGAGCCTTGAAAGTTGAGGCTGCAGTGAGGCATAATCGCACGACTACACTTCAGCCTGGGTGACAGAGGGAGACCCTGCCTCAAAAAAGAAAAGTGGGCTTCGAGTCAGACAGTGGTATTGGCTCCAGAGCATCTGTATAATTCCAGTAAATCATCTGGTTTGGATTGTAATGAACCCCCCAAAGTGTGTTACTCATAGCCGAAGAAATTTCTAAGACCCTTAAATGATTACTGTCAATAATCTGAGACTATTTGCATTGCCTAAAATCTGACAGGAGATCTCCATGTGGCAGTTCCAGCTAATAAATTATATTTCTACTTTTAGTTTCTACGAAGCTACTTTAAAACCCTGCAATTTTTTTAAAACATACGTGTCCTTCTAATGATTGTGAGACTATGAAACAAAATGATTATCTTTTAGATTAATTCTTATCGCAGGTGAGAGGATAAAGTGTTTTGTAAAATAATGTATTAAACATACCTATTCCTTGGCATGTATGTTTAGATTTTTAATTATAATTTTTATGATGTGTTGGAGCCAGCATTTTCCTGTAGAAATATAACTCAAGATTTAATATTGGGCAACAGTGGGAAAATGGGATTTAGTATGAAAATATTTGCTTTATGTAAACCTTTTTATGAATGCACCTAATGTATAAAGTGAAGTCAAGCTGTAAAAACAATTAGCTGGGAAAATGCCAAGTAAATTTTTTCTGTTCCAGTGAGTATCTATTAACTATACATTATTGTTATCATTAAACTGTATGCAAATGTATGACTAAATTCATTTAGATTTGAGTGAAAGAGACAGAATACTAGAAGTATGCAGTAAGTATAATTAGTTTGCATCTCCAAACAAAGCACATTAATCTTTCTGCAATACCGCTGATGTAATGTCTCCATGTTACTTTTGGGAGTATGTGAAGTGGGCAAACATCCAAAGTTGATAGTTAATTCTGATCAGCAAAAGCACTGGAGTAGATGCCTGGGCTGGACGTTGTAATAAAGCAAACAGTTTTTAAACTTCTTGGAAGATTTTAGTGCAAACGTAATCATCCATTTGAATCTTTTATTATAGACATTATAAAATTAATTTATCGAAAAAGAGTGTAAACCCTCTTTTAAAAAATCCAGTATGTTTGTATCTTTTATACTTTCATGCTTTTTATACTTCTAACAAACTTTTCAAAAACATATGCTTGTGGACTTAATGGAGAGATAGAAGTTTTATAAGTATTTTCTAGAGCTCGTTTCGTGAATCCTTTTGTTGGTGGGAAGGACTTGAGAGATTTTCTACACTAGTTGTTTTCAAAGTGCATTCTCAGAGAACCCTTAACCAAAGATGATATCTGCTGCTGGAATTAAATAATAGGAATATTCTTACAACTCAAAGAAACAATAAGCCATATTTTCCATAAGTTTTTAGTACGTAAGATTCTGCTATTAGATTACTAGCATGCAGTATTTAGTGAATATATATTGAAAAGTTAAAAGTGGCTGGGCACAGTGACTCATGCCTATAATCTCAGCACTTTGGGCGCCCGAGTTGGGAGGATTGCTTTAGCCCAGGAATTCAAGACCAGCCTAGGCAACATAGGGAGTGCCTGTCTCTACAAAAAAAAAAAATTAGCCAGGCATGATGGCACATGCTTGTGGTCCCAGCTACTTGAGAGACTGAGATGGGAGGATTGCTTGAGCCCAGCAGGTTGAGGCCGCAGTTAACCATAATCATGCTCTGCACTCCAGCCTGGGTGACAGAACGAGACCCTGTTTCAAAAAAAAAAAACTTACATTTTAAAAAAAATTGTATGTTTTTGAACTGCAGAGTATATGTGTGAACATATATATCTATTTGAAAATTGTCCCTCAGTACACAGATATGCTATATTTCATGAAAAGTATAATAATTTTCAACTGGTTTGTCACTTGAATAAAGCTGAAAGTTGATACAGACAAAATTGTTCTTATTACTGATGGCTCTTAGAGAACATAAGGCTTCTTGCCCAAAGTCTTTATAGATCTAGTAGCTGGAACTTAAATCCAGTAGATCTTATTCTAAACCTAAAAATATTTTCCTCTGTCCACACTGTCAGTGTTTTTTTTTTTTTTTTAACAAGGTTTAATGAGTATTTACTAGCCGTGTTCCCATTCAAGTAAGAAATAAGAATATTCTTTATCAGCTGCTATTTAGTATTCTTTTGGAAGTTTGGATCAACAAAATTAGCAAAATAAATTGTGGAAATAAATAGGAAAAACAAATTCTGGAAATAATAGGAAAATCCTAATTTTTTCTTATGAAACAAATGGTGAGAGAATTAACTAAAATCCCATTAAAGACAGGAAGAGCACTCTGTAAGGCAGATGAGTACAAAGTTGATATTCAGGAATCAGAAGCCTTTGTATTCACAAACAGGGAAGAAGGCCCCTGTGACGAGGCCCTTCTCAATCTGTAGCATGTGTGCAAACCACCTAGGCTGTTAGGTAATGTGCGCATTCCTGGACTCCATCCTGAATCCCTTTGGTCAGCCCTGAATCTGCTTTTTAGCAAGTGTTTCTAGACCCCATTAGGAAGACTCCAGTGTTTTCTATGTGGGACCCACTTGAGAAATACTACTCCAGGGAACCCGCCCTCCTGCCCCCCCCTCCCCCCCCCCCCCCGCCGTATTCCTGCAGCATCACTCCACAATTCTGCTGGTTTCCACAGTGCTAGCCATTTACCTCTCAGACAGGCCTGCTGCAGCACCCAGGGGAACACAGTGGCAGCACACTGGAAGAAGAGGCCCCCAGATCGCCTTGCCAGGGACCCTTCTTCACAGTTGCAAAGTAGGAACACTTCCAGCACTGCTTTGCTTGTCAGCCACCACAGGGGAGGCACATCTTACTGCTTCTGCCACACACTGTCTGACCACCAGGAGGGCAAGAAATAGGGTGGTGTCCTTTAGCACCTGAAGACTTTGAGCAGAACCTCCAGGCTGGGTGCACCCTTTCCTCACCTGCCAGATTCAGCGTGGCTGCTTTTCACTAGAGTTGATCACCCATTTTTCACTAGTCCTATGGCTACCTAATTCCTGTGTGTTCTACTGCCTCCCAGTTGGAATGAGCAGCGATGCTTGGCAAAACTGTAACTGGTTAATTCCAGCTCCTCTGACTCTGCTGCAGTTGCTCCTAGGAAGCTACAGAAAAACATCTATGCTGACTAGTCCACCTTGATATAATGACCACAATCCTTAAGTGAAATTGTAGCACTGCCTGCAATCCTATATTTTCTTGAGCAGTTCAGTCTCCTATTTTTAGAGATGACTTTTCCTGCACTATGGAATGGCTTGTCACCTATTCTCTTCTTGCCTCTCCTCGGGTAAATAGCAACAAGATCCTTTTAAATCATGTCAGATTGTGCCACTTTCCTGCTTAAAACTTTCCAGTGGCTTCCATCATGTGGAATTAAGTTCTGATTTGCTGCCTGGTGACTTCTCAGACCTAGTTTCCTACTAATCATTCCTTGACTCAGGGCTTGTCAGGTACAAGGAACACTTGCCCTTTCTCAAAAATGGACCAACCAACATGTTATTTCTGCAGGGCCTTTGCACTTGCTGTCTTATTTGCTTAGAGCACTTTTTCTTTCTGGCATTTCCATGCCTAGAATTCTCACTTTATTCAAATCTGTGTTCAAATGTCACCTCCTAAAGGAGCCCCTGTTAATCTTTTTCTATACCATGCTTTATTTTTCTTCCTAGCTCATCTCATTTGTTGATGTGTATGTGTCTGTGTGTGTGTGTGTGTGTGTGTGTGTGTATGTGTACTTACTTGATTGATAGTTTCCTGAGGGCAGTCCTCCATCTCTAGAAACTAAAACTCCATCCCAGCATGAAGTAGGCCTTTAATAAGTATATGTTGAATTATTAATGTAATTCACATACCCCCCTAGCAATTAGACAAGAGTAGGAAGAAGACCAGGTCAGTAACATCCTAGAGTGCAAAAGGGAGGTCTTTTACACTTCCCTTTACAAAATTTGGTAGGCTAGTTTGTGGGAGTCTGCCAAGAATGTGAATGAGAGTAGGTGAGATCACCTACAAAAACTGTCTTGTCAGTGAGAAACAAAATAGAACCCTAGGGAGTATCAACATTTTTTAAAAAAATGATTTGTATTGAAATAAAATTTACGTAACACAAGATTAACTATTTTAAAGTATACAATTCATTGTGCATTTAGTACATTCACAGTGTTGTACAGCCATCACCGTGGTCTAATTTCAAAACATATCTATCACTCCTAAAAGAAACCCCATACCTGTTAACAGTTACTCCTCAAACTCCATCCTCCCAGCTCCTGGCAACCACTAATCTACTTTCTGTCTCTATGGGTTTGCCTATTCTGGATATTTTGTCTAAATGGAATCATAGAGTATATACTCTTTTGTATCTAGCTTCTTTCACTTAGCATAATGTAAGTTCGTTTATGTTGTAGCATGTAATTATACTTCATTCCTTTGTACGACTGTAAAACACTCCATTGTGGGGACATACCACATTTTATTTATTCATCGGGACATTTGGGTTATTTCCACTTTCTGACTATTAGGAATAATGCTGCTGTAAACATTTACCTACGAGTTTTTGTTTGAACCCCAGTTTTCATTTCTCTTGGGTATATATTTAGAAGTGAAACTGCTGGGTCAAGTGGTAATTCTGCTTTTAATTTTTTGAGGAACTGGTAAACTATTTTCCATAGCAACTGCACCATTTTACATTCCCACCAGAATGTATGAGGGTTCCAATTTGCCATGTCTTTATGACTTTTTTTTTTTAAACTATAGCCATCCTAGTGGGTGTGTGAAGTAGTGTCTTATTGTGGTTTGGATTTGCATTTCCCTAATGAGAACATTTAAACCTGGGCTCCAGATGGGTGGGTTAAGAGGAGACAAAAAATGAGCAGAGAGGAAATAGGACTTTGCAGTCAACTTGGTCTTCTAGACTTACAGTGTCCCCATCATTGCCTTTGGCAGCTGATATCCTGCACCTGACTTTTGGCGTACAGAGATCTTCAGAATCTGCCAGATCTCATACATCTAGAGAGACTTAAGTTGCTTTGATATTCCCAGTCCAGCATGACTTCTTCAGAGTTTATAGTTAGTACTTCTGCAGTTTATAGTGTTCATCTATCCAGTTCATTCAGAGGCAGCATGGTATAGCAGTTATGAGCATGGGTTCTGGAGTGAGACTGCCTGGGCTCAAATGTGAGCTCAAGTCGGGTGGCCCTGGGAAGGTTAGTGAATATCTCTATTCTTCAGTTTCCTCATCTGTAAAATGAAGTGGGGTTGTGAGGATTCAGTGAGATTAGTATCTAAATGCTTGGAATAGTGCCTGGCACATAGTAAGTGCTTTGTATGTTTTAGCTCTAATTATGATAATGGTGATGTGATAATGATTTATCTATATATCCATTTAGAGAAGGGGCAAGAACAAGTTTATGTTGGTTCCAAGTATGAGATTGAGGGTGGTGATTGTGTGTTTACAATAATGGGGCTCTTTGATAACGTGCTGTGCTTTGCATAGTCCTGATTATGGCACTACTGTCAGTGATACAGTACAAGTTACTTATTCTCTTGATTTGTGTTCTGTATTCCATAAATCATTCCACTAGTTTATCAAATTTAATTTCAAACACAGATTTACCTTTGTTTGGATAGGGACTAGACTTCCTTCAATTAAGTATTTTTTTTTCCATTTTTATTCTAGTGTACCGTATTATTTTTTAAAACTTGAAATTATGAGAGGAAAGAACATCATTTATAATGCTATCATTTCAAAACACCCTATCCTAGCTTTTAGTGCATATCTTTCTATATTTCCTCTAGGCATTTAAAACATACTTACAGTAATTCTACAAATAGAATATCCATACACCTCTTTTAAAGCATATTTTCATCTGACCTGTGAATCTTTTCTAATCAGTCCTAATATTTGAAATTCCTCAAGAATTAACAGTTAGATCTCATAAAAGATATATTTTTCAAAATTTGTAGATATGAATAGAGAAAGAACTGTCTTCTATCTAGATATTTTATATACATACAAGTTTGAAAATGTGCCAAGGACTATTTTATAGCTCTATGATAAAAACCTGCTGTTTTTCTACAGCAAGAAAAAGAATGCTTAGCAGTGCCAAAAAGTGTACAAAGAGTCAAAATAATCGACATGTCATTTGAATTCTTAGTTTTGGCCTTTAGGGTCCTTTAAACATAAATTCTACAAATATTTTGTAGATAAGTAAACTGAGATAGAAAGGTTAAGTGACATTTCTGTTTCCAGTCAATGTTAGAAATAAACACAGAAATCCAAAGCCTCTCCTTATTAGATCGGAAGATAGCATTTTCATATATTTTAAGATGTAAGTCTGTAGGGGAGATATGAATGTTTAAGCTGTGTTGAGATTTATGAATAATGCTATCAAATAGAATGAGGTAATTATTTTTCAATTTGTAAAAATCCTAATGTTATTTGGGATATGTCTTTCTCACCTTGTAAAAATGATACTCAGGAAAGTGGAGATGTTGGAGAATAAAACAGTCACAGAATGGTAGGGAGGACATACGGGATTTTAGTTGTTTAGAAAGATAATACAAAATGAGTCCATAAAGAGGGCATTAAATGAAGTAACTTTAGGGAGGTTGGCAAGGATATGTGGTATAAAAAGTTGCTACAACTAACAGTCAGATATAAGTGAATGTAAAATCTTTCCTTTACTCAAAAAAACTGTAAGGAATATCAAGTATTAAATCAAAGGAACCAGTATACATTCTTTCTTACTGTTGTATTGACTTGTGGTATCTTGAAGATAGGCTGAATCTCAAGACTTGTTTGGGATCTAAAGGAAAGGAAGATTCTATTTTATTTTATTTACAATTTTATTTATTTTTTGCAAGACTTCCAGCAGTTAGAAGGCAAGGAGACATGGGGATAAAAAGGCCTTGCAAGCAGCATTTGTCAGATTTAGTCTGTTAAGTAATGTGGCACACAACGCTGTTCATTTTGATGTTTCACTTTGATTTTACGTCATGCACTTGTGTCTATTTGATCTGACATGCTGCAGAAACACAGTGTTTCATCATGGTTGTCTGTTTGTTTCAGCAGCCATTCACTCAATAAAACATCTCTGAAGTCTATCAGTGGGCCTTACTTTAGATCCCTTGCATTAGGTTCTCTGGCCTTCCATGAAGATAGACAATTTAATAAACAAAAATTAACAAAAATGGAAGAAGATAAAGCAGATTTTTAGGAAGCTCCATACGGAATTTCCTGGACTCTGCAGTTAGGCAGACTTAAATTTGGTTCCCAGCAACTCTTTTGGGGACATTTGTTACCTCTTAAGGTGACCTTGGGGACATCTCCTGCCTCACCAGGCTGTAGTGAGGATTAAATGAAAAAGAGATATGAAAGACCTGGCCAGGCGTGGTGGCTCACGCCCGTAATCTCAGCACTTTGAGAGGCCGAGGCGGGCGGATCACAAGGTCGGAGATTGAGACGATCCTGGCTAACACAGTGAAACCCTGTCTCTACTAAAAATACAAAAAATTAGCCGGGCGAGGTGGCGGGCGCCTGTAGTCCCAGCTACTCGGGAGGCTGAGGCAGGAGAATGGCGTGAACCCCAGGGGGCGGAGCCTGCAGTGAGCCGAGATTGCGCCACTGCATTCCAGCCTGGGCGACAGCGAGACTCCGTCTCAAAAAAAAAAAAAAAAAAAAAATTAGCTGGGCATGGTGGCGGGCGCCTGTAGTCCCAGCTACTCGGGAGGCTGAGGCAGGAGAATGGCGAGAACCCGGGAGGCGGAGCTTGCGGGGAGCCGAGATCTAGCCACTGCACTCTAGCCTGGGCAGCAGAGCGAGACTTCGTCTCAGGAAAAAAAAAAAAAAAAAAAAGAGAGAAAGACCTAACCATTGTGCAGTAAGCATTGTGTGTGGTCTCCTTGAATGGACTCTGAAGCAATTGCCAAGTCACATGGGCCACATTGTGGGATGTGGTGATAATCCTGGACCTTTATCGTGCAGAGAGTCAGCAGGGCAGCTTAAAATTATGGTTCCATCCTCAGAAACTCTGATGCAGCAGATCAGGCTTGGATCACAGGAATCTTCATTTTTAACAAGCATGGAAGATAATTCTGATGAAAGTAGGATCTTTCAAATCCCAAGACTTTTTTGGGATTTAAAAGAAATGCAACCATTTGACCCTGAAACTTAAATAACTTGGATGGGGGAGTTTTCGTGGTTCATCTTTTAACAGTAATCATTATGGGGATCTAAACATTGACCACAGAATTCTACTTGAGAAAAATCATTCAAGAATAGCTATGTCTGCTTAGGTAAATATACTAATTTGTAAAAATATGTACATCACTTATTATACCTACTGTGTTAGTCTGATCTCATGTTGCTGTGAAGAAATACCCGAGACTGAACTGGGTGATTTATAAAGAAAAGAGGTTTAATTGACTGACAGTTCTGCATGGCTGGGGAGGCCTCAGGATGGCAGAAGGCACCTCTTCACAGGACAGCAGGAGAGGAAATGAATGCCAGCAGGGGAAATGCCAGACGCTTATAAAACCGTCAGATCTTGTGAGAACTCACTCCCTATCATGAGAATACCATGGGGGAAACCGCCCCCATGATTCACTTAACCTCCAACCAGGTCCCTCCCACGACACATGGAGATTACAATTTGGATTACAATTCAAGATGAGATTTTGAGTGGGGACACAGCCAAACCATATCAAATACCTTACTAAAAGTGAGCTTAATACTTGAAATAAGTGAAAGTAGAAGGAAATCCACTAAATAGAACATATCGATCTTTATAATTAATAAACTTTGGGTATTTCTTTACCAAAGGAAGTAAGTATTTTGAGACCAGACCTATCACACAAAAACCATTCTGCATCATCTCCCCTGTAATTCAATCTGGATGCAATTAATGAGAGTGCTCTGGCTAATCTTGATTGTCATGATGGTATGAGGAGATGTGATATATAAGGTATTCAAACCATGTGGGGTATATTATTAAGAATCATTGTTAAGTAAGAGGATGAAGTGAAACAGAATGAAATAAGTCAGGCATCCAGTCTTGGTATTTCCTGTTGTTAGTGCTAGAATTTTTACCTTTTATGTTAAAAATGCAACATACTTAATTTTTCCTCTGATACTTACACAATATAATTTATATATACATATATATCCACATGCATGCACATACACATACATTGAGCCATATTTGATGACCAAAAAGGGAGAGGCCCCAAGGGCTCTTTGGTGTGCAATTAATATTTTGGCCAGAAAATCAGCAGATTGTTTCAGTATGGTTATGTGTTATGACATCATATTCCAGTAAAGTTACAATGAACAGAAATTTTGTTTGTCTCTGTGGCAAACCAAAATGAGTTTTGTAATTGTCAGCAGGCCTTAGTGATTATAGTGGCGCCCACTCCCTCTACTGTAGTTAAAGGTCTGTTAGCATTTCAGTTGTGGACCTTCTATTTTCAGAAGTTTATAATTAATTGTAAACATTTGCTCTATGGTGAAAGTTTGCCATATGAGATCTCACTTCAGGAGTAAATTTCTGATTTCAAGTTGTCTGTTTTAAAGTTTTATAGTACCACCAGTTAAAAATAAACAAAGTTATGTGGAGGTGGGAAAATTGAATTTTGAGAAATATGAAGTGAAGATGACCGGCGTTATTCATATTAGTCTGTCAGATTTCTGCATTAAGGAATTAAAATAAATTTCTGCATTAAAGGGATTAAAATAAAATAGATGATAGGAAATTGTGCACTTCAGTACACAATATTTAATTGTTGTAACCAAAAAGCAAAAAAGATTATAGTTTTTTAATGCTTTTTAATCTTTGTTTATAATAAAAACATTTAAAATGCGTTATCTTAAATTAATAGAAAACTGTAGTTCAAGAAAATTGATTTTAGGTTAAGCATTTAAAACAGCAACTTTTTCTTTTTTTTCATACTCTGAATTCCTCTCCTTCATTTGACACTGTTAATTACTCCTGTCCCTGACATTGTGTTGTAATTTTTCTTCTAACTTTGACCCTTTTTCATCTCTTTCACTGCTGTCTATTGTTTCCCTTGCACTTTGATCACAGGCATTAATCAGTTCCGAGCCTTAGGCTCTTTTTTGATTCCTTTACACTTACCCTTTCCAGGTGCTTATCCACTTGCATGGTTTCAATTATTGCCTCACAAATCTGCATCTTCAGTACCAATCAACATTTCTAGTTCTTCACCTTCAGTAAACCTTCATTGATTAGTCCCATCTGCCTGGTGAATGCTTACATGATGCGCTCTATCCAGTTTATCTCAGGTTGGACATAGAGCGTCACTACTTGGATGTGCAGTAATTATCTAAAATATAGTAGGACCTCAATTGGACTTCTTTTTGCTTGGAAACAAACATTTTTTAGGACTGGAGTGATTTTTAACTCATTTTTTTCAGCATTGCAGTTGTAAATCCACCATTCCATCAAAATCGATTCTGTTTATTTTGCTAAGTTGCTCAATTCAGTGGTCATATTTCTCAGTCATCATTTTACTTGACCTGTTAGTAGCATTAGATCCAGTTAATCCCTCCCTTCTCCTTGATAGACTTTTTTCCTGTTTGACTTTCAGGAAGGACATCGTGCTTGCTTGGCTTTTCTCCCATCACACCCTCCCACAGAGTTCTCATTATATTATGCCTTTAAATACCACCTATATACTGATGATTCCCAAATATTATTTCTATCTTGGACCTCTTTCCTGAAGTCCAGACTAATAAATTCAGTTGTCCAGTTGACATCTACACTTGGATATCTAATAGGTCTAATAATTGAATATCCCCAAAACAGAGCTGTTGAAATCCACCCCCAGCAAACCCATTTCTTTTGCAATCTTCACTGTCTCAATAGATGGGTACTCCATTTTCCAGTTGTTTAGTTCCGAAACCGTGATGTCATCCCTGACTCCCCTCTCATATTCCATAGCCAGTCTTTGGGTAAACCCATCATCTCTACTTTCAAAATTCATCTAGAAACAATGACTTCTCGTTACTTCCATTGCTACACCCTAGTTCAGGCCACTGTCACCTTTCCCCTTGATTATCCCAGTAGCCTATTAGATATCCTTGCTTCCAGCATTGTTCCCCTACAGTGTGTCCTCAAAATAGTAGTCAGATGGTTATTCCAAGAGATAAGTCAGATTTTGTCACTTCTCTGTGCAGAACCTTCCAGTGGCTGGTCATTTCACTTGGGTTAAAAATGCCTACAGCAATTTGTAGGGAAGGCCCTATGGAATCTTGCCACCTCTTCTCATCTAGCTTTTCCTGTCTCCCTAAACTTTTGCCAGACAGGCTTCCTCCGAGTTACTTGAACATGTGTGGCACACTCCCGCCTCGCTGCCCTTGCTGCTGGTATACTCTCTGCTTCAGATGCACTGTCCCAGAGATCTGCATGGCTTGTTCCCTAACTTATTTCATGTCTTTACACAATTGATATTTTCTCAATGAAACTTCTCTTGGCCACCCTATCTAAAACCTACCTCCCTGACACTTCTGAACCCTTTCCTCTTTACTTTTTCTTACATCTACATCTAACATACTAGGTATTCTACATATTTTTCTTATTGTTTATCTTCCCCACTCTAAGTGTTGTTGTTCATTGTCATAGTCCCCTGTCAAATAGAAGACGCTCCATAAATAATTGTTGAATTAATGGATTTTATTACATATCTTAATTTTTTCTGCTTAATTTCTTTTGGTTTTTTTGTTTCTTCTTACATTCTCTGTTATCTCTTCATATCTGCATTATTGCAGCTTTTTAGTCACACCTCATTAGCCTCATTACCTCAGGCACCGTAAAATGTATGAATATAACACTTCCTGCTTAAGAACTGGCCTAAACTCCTTATTCTTATGCTGAATCTGCTCTCCTTATTACTTTGCATTGTAGTCGGTCCATTTCTAATCTATATTTCTAATCGTAATTATCTTCTGCAAAAAGCACGGTAATCTACATGTTGTCGCCTGAACAGTCTTGCCTGACCCAGCCTCTGTTGTAGCTTCATCAGACTGTTCTCTTACTTCTGTCAAAATCTGACCGAAAACTTCTCACCAGGAAGTATCCTGTGATATAATTAAATAATTTTTACTGTATTGTTTTATGTTTAATGTTGTATTCTATATATGTTTTTCATGG
The DNA here is from genome assembly GCF_000001405.40 of Homo sapiens. Classification (NCBI taxonomy): domain Eukaryota; kingdom Metazoa; phylum Chordata; class Mammalia; order Primates; family Hominidae; genus Homo; species Homo sapiens. The sequence continues at coordinate 73,617,639 of NC_000008.11, read as the reverse complement.
AGATCAGTATAAGCTATTATCTATAGATGTATTGACTCACATTTTATCAAAAAAGTATGTTTTTGAGGTTAAAGTTTTATTAAGAGTATAGCACATTATATAATTGGTATCATTTTAAACAAATCTTATGAATGATTATAGAGTGGTTTTATTAAGCTAACTTTAATGTTTTTATTTTCTTATTTTAGGTATCATTGCCCAGTGCCTAAGATCTTTTATGTTCAGCTCACTGTAGGAAATAATGAATTTTTTGGGGAAGGAAAGACTCGACAAGCTGCTAGACACAATGCTGCAATGAAAGCCCTCCAAGCACTGCAGAATGAACCTATTCCAGAAAGATCTCCTCAGGTGTGGTGCTGCTGCATGTGACAGTCTGTTCTTTCTACTTTCCCAGTGAAACAAATCAGAGCATTTTATAATTAAAATAAATAATCTGTTCTGATAGGGAAGAATACTAGAGTGAAGACCTGACAGTCTTGCTTCATGTGTTCCTGCAGGGTGACTACCTTTCAGAGCTTTGGTTCTTCCCTTGAGTTCACTTCCCAGGCAACTGGGGATTTGGGGATGTATATGAGGATGAGAAATAACATTGATTTGGCTTATATTTCATACTATGTTTATTGAATATAGATTACATTGTGTGAATCTAGAATCAAGGATTTAAAGTGGAAGAGATTTTATGGATTTTTCAGTCCTCTTTTGTTTTACAAATGACATTGAGGCTGTTCTTAAGTAATCTCACTCATTCTCATGGCTTCAGCTACTTTCTTGATTGACTTCAAAATAGTATCTCTAGCTCAGGCATGTCCTATACATAGCATAGTGAGCTTCCTTTTTTTTTTGAGATGGAGCCTCGCTCTGTTGCCCAGGCTGGAATGCAGTGGCAGGATCTCAGCTCACTGCAACCTCTGCCTCCCGGGTTCAAGCGATTCTCCTGCCTCAGCCTCTTGAGTAGCTGGGACCATAGGCTCATGCTACCACGCCCAGCTAATTTTTTGTATTTTTAGCAGAGATGGGGTTTCACTGTGTTAACCAGGATGTTCTCGATCTCTTGACCTCGTGATTTGCCTGCCTCGGCCTCCTAAAATGCTGGGATTACAGGCGTGAGCCACCATGCCCGGCAGCATAGTGAGCTTCTTACTTACCCTACAGTTCAACCTCTACAGTTTTCCTTTCCCCAAACCAATTGTTTCTTTCTCCTTTGATATTTATCTTAATGGCAGACTTAGGTGTTTTTCTGCTTGTACTCTTTCATGAGAGCTCCTATCTATTTCTTGATCTGTTTTCCCACTAGATCATTCTCTCCCAGTTCTTGACAGCAAGGAATACTGTCTCTTTCTAATAGTTATAGTAAGTTCAGCATATATGAGGCCTTCCAGAAGTATGTGTTAAATAAGTGAATAAAGTAAACCAATGCCTGTGCCAGACATAGATCTCCAATTAGGATGCTCCTGGTTTGCATCCTGTACTCTTTCTGTAACTTCATCCTCATAGATCACATTAGAACACCAGTGGGGGAATTCCTGGGTGTTGGGGGTTGGGTGGGTAGAGAACTCTAAAACAAGAGTGCCAGGTTTAGGGATGTAGGCTAAACTCAAATTAGTGTATGGTTGAGTAAAAGATTTCCAAAGTCTGCATTAAATGCTTTTCCTTCAAGGAAAACAAGCTAAAAATCGAGTAACAAAAAGCCTGGCAGCAAAGCCCTTGACCGCTGTGGTTACAGGAGAATGCAGCAGATACAGTCTATATAGTTTGTTGTTTCTTCTTGTAATTTAAATAGGCCATCTTGACTGTAGAATAAAAGTAAAGTTTGTTATAATGTCAAGATTCAGTGTTATCCTATTTTTTGTGATTTAGAATGGTGAATCAGGAAAGGATGTGGATGATGACAAAGATGCAAATAAGTCTGAGATCAGCTTAGTGTTTGAAATTGCTCTGAAGCGAAATATGCCTGTCAGTTTTGAGGTATGTACTCGGTAGAGATCTTCCCATTTTTTCCCTTGCTGTGGTTATTTTAAACAAACAAATCAAATTAACTGGTGTATTAGTATCCTGCAAGAGTTAGTGTGCTTCTATATGTTCAAACCCAGTATTATGAAATGATCTAGGCCCTGGTGAAAATAGAAATCATGATGATAACACAGATTCCTTCTGATTTTTTTCTTTTCTGTATTAAGCCTTTTGTATACATGGTATTTCAATTTTTATTATAAAAGTTATTTTCTGGGTATAGATAATTTGTGGTATCCTATAAGATTTGGCATTTTAAATAGGATTAAATTAAATTTATTCAAGTTAAGATTTAGTGACATACATGTTAATATCCAATTTTTTTTTCAATTGTGTGGAGGCCAAAATATGTTTCACTTTAACCTCAACTAACAAAATCACCAAGAAGTAAGATGTAATGAAGCAACTCTTGACTTAACAGCTAGATAAATATATTGCAAATATATTCATAAAATTGTATGAAATTTCAAAAAAGAAAACTTAAAAAAATAATTATTATAATACTTCTTTTATTAAGAGGTCACTAATTTTACAACTCATGTCTGGAAAGTAGACAAGAACCAGGAAATAAGCTGAAAGAGTTGTGGAGATTCTTCCCTCACATTGTATGACATTCACCTACTAGAAAGCTCCCACATCTTACTCATTGGCAGGATCATCTGAGTTGGACTGAGAAACTGTTTGCTTTCTCTTGGACACATTCTTACAAGTTGCATTATCTCAGTTCTCGGTCCACAGCTTGTTAAAAGCAGCAAAATGAGGAAGTCAGGGAGAGAATGTACTTGAGATCCTATTGGTCCAGCAAGAAATGATACGGAAAATTTGGAAAACCTGTAAAAAGTAATTGCTTATACTAAAAAATTATTGGGATTTTTTTTAAAGGCTACAATGAGTAAGAACAGACAGTTTTATTATTCTTAGGTGTTCTTGGGAACATCAATATATTATGATGTAGGATATCTGATGTTTATAATGATGATCTAATGTGAACAATTAAAGGTTAAATATTTAGTATTGCAGATTAAACAAGGTTTAGGAACATTACATTCATAGTTGACAGGTCCATAACTCATTACTCTAGAAAGCTAGGAATTTTTTTGGCATACCTACTTACCTTTTTAAAATCGTGTCACAAGAATAAATATCCCTTTCTGTAAAACAGCTTTTGACATCCCTATCAAAAACAGCTTATTTTTATCCATTGACTGTTTTTGAGAGGCTTCCACAGGCACAGTGCCTTGTGGTTTATAGAACTACTCGTTTCTCCAGCAACTTACTCGTACATAGGAGGAAGTTAGGTATGTAATTATATACAAATTATCATTCTAGATGACCAATCTAATATGGTATCTAATCTAATGGTATCTTTGATGTTCTTAAATTTGTGTTCCATAAGACATGGAGAAACTGTAATTAGAATGATCTGTTTTAAAGTAATAAATCATTTTGACTATGAATCAAATGTGTTTATTTAGATTTCTTTTGTTTCAATTGCATTAAGCATCAAGTGTCATAAATAGTCCCAGTATAATACCTTCATAATAGCTTTCTTAAAGAAATACTATAATTTTGGCATAATACTAATTTTGGTTTTGATATGAATATTAAGTCATACTTTAAGAATACATCTCAAGTGCCTATCCATTATTTAATATTTTACTTGTATTTAATAGGTTATTAAAGAAAGTGGACCACCACATATGAAAAGCTTTGTTACTCGAGTGTCAGTAGGAGAGTTCTCTGCAGAAGGAGAAGGAAATAGCAAAAAACTCTCCAAGAAGCGCGCTGCGACCACCGTCTTACAGGAGCTTAAAAAACTTCCACCTCTTCCTGTGGTGGAAAAGCCAAAACTATTTTTTAAAAAACGCCCTAAAACAATAGTAAAGGTAAGTTTATATTTGTGAACATCAGTCAGTTTTACTAAATAAATATTATAGTAGCTATAGATAAGCATTTTTCTATAAGGCAGATCCCTGAACTTATGGACTATATACAGTCCTGAAATGAGGGCAGGACATGTGACTATAAATTAATGACAATTCTATTTTGCTTTTTAAATACCTGTGCACCTGCATTTGTACATCAAATAATCATAATACCTTAGGTATTTATGTATTTCTTTGTTGTTTAAAAAGTGCTTTACCATTCATGTCACCTTTACTATAATCCCCCTCATGACCGTATAAGGTAGATGATGTTAGCCCTCATTTTACAAATAAGATTTTACAAAACGTGTTCAAAGAGTTTGCCCATTTTTATTCAGCAATCATGTCAAACCTCCTGAACCGCTCTGATCTCTAATCCAGTGTTCTTTCTGCACACATGGCTGTTGCATAGTAACTTCTTAGGATATCATGAAATGGTAACAGGATACACACAAAAAAATCATGTGACTAATACTAACAATGATAGCTACAGCAGCTGGAAATCATAAAGCAGTCTATGTGCCAGACTTTGTCCCAACACTTTGCATGCTTTAATCACATTTAATCCACATAGCAACCATATGAAGTAGATGGTGTTATTTTGTTGCCATTCGTTCAGATGTGTATACCTTGCCAAAGAAGAATATAGAGCACACAGCTTTTCAAGATATTGTGACTCTTTTATTGGGTCAGAATTTATTTACATTAATAAGAGAAGCAAGGTAAATATCAGAGGAATGAGATGAATCAGCATTTAGTACAGGACAGTGCCTGTGAATGCTTGACACGTATGACATGTCTGGAGCTAGAGTTCTGTGTTTCCAGAGAAAGCCTTAAATTGCCAGCATTTTAGTTGCTGGCTCAGCCTCACTGATTTAGCAGCCTTCTTCTGATCAGGCTATACAAATGAAGGATTACAGATAAGAAATATATTTAATCTCAATGGATTTCTTTTGATTGCACAATGGCACAATTTAGGTATTTTTACAGGTTTTATACCTTTGTACCTTTATTTAAAATACATATATACATATATACAAAAATAACTACTTAAATATTTGTTTTTAATGAATACTGACATGACTTCACTTAGAAGATGTAGTAGGTAATGCATTCCCTGAACTGGAATTATATGTTATATGTAAGGTAGACTAAAAATAAATACAAATAGATCCACTTATCATGAGTCATAGTGGTTCCAAAGAGGACTGGCACTTTCATTCATATGCTCCTCCTACACAGTCAGGAGTAGAATATAGCTATTAAGAGAATGAACTTTGGAGTCAGTTCTGAGTATGAATCCCTGTGGCCTGAGCAAGTTACCTAACTTTAAAAATATTTCTTCATTTATAAAGTGGGAATAGTAACTGACCTTGCTGTATGGGATTGTTATAAGTATTAACTGAAACAATGCACAAAATGCATTAGTAATTATTAAGTATTCATTGTTATTAATGATAATGCAAATACTATAATAAATAACACATATTAACTATTGGTATTTTGTATCTAATACTACCTATTCACATTTTATGTTTATGTGAATATATCCATGAACTGTTTTCTTAAATCTATTAATATATAAAATCTATGGCTTTTCTGTGATGGAGGAACAGCATTTTATGTTGGAATGGTGGCACAAAACTGGTCACATAACTTCTGTCTGCTCTATTAAACTAAGTTTTATCTTGATAAATTAAGAATAATAAACCAGGCAAACCAGGCTGGGCACGGTGGCTCATGCCTGTAATCCCAGCACTTTTGGGAGGCTGAGGCGGGTGGATCATTTGAGGCTAGGAGTTCGAGACCAGCATGGCCAACATGGCGAAACTTGGTCTCTACTAAAAATACAAAAATTAGTCGGTTGTGGTGGCATGCGTCTCTAATCCCAGCTACAGCTCAGGAGGCTGAGGCATGAGAATCGCTTGAACCTAGGAGGCAGAGGTTGAGGTGAGCCAAGATCACTGCCACTGCACTCCAGCCTTGGTGACAGAATGAGATTCCATCTCAAAATGATAATAATAATAATAATCATAATAATAATCATCATAATAAACTGTTAGGCTGGAAAAGATCTGTACATTTCTATAGTAGGATATAAATCTAACTCTTGTTTTAACTATAGCTATTAAAAGCAAGATTATTATTTAAATGTTATTCCCCAGAGGTGGGAGACAGGAGAAACATTTTGAATTCTCAGTTATTTGCTACTGCTTCCAGTATATAAGTAATATTATCCCAGAACTTCCCTCCTATGCATCATTCAGATCTCAGCATAAACTTGACTTTTTTAGGAACTCCTCTGGTCCTCTCCTACTCCCAGACTAGGTTAGCCTCCTGCATTTTTCCTCATATACATCACACTTGGAGTTACTTTTGCCATGTCTGTCTTATGTTAAAATAAAGCTTGTAGATACCCTCTGAAATGTAAGATTATTTTGAGAGAACAACATGTGTATAATGAGTTGGAATCTAGATAATTTTAAGTATGTTCATACCTTATAATATGTCAGTAAATGGATCAGCTTGGAATAGTATCCTGATTTTTAGCATATTCCTCACTTCCTTGTATGGCTTATACATTGAGGGTCTATAGTTTGTTACACTCAATGGAAGCAGGTAAAATATCTATGATTATTTGCCTTGGTTTTATTTAAAGTAATAAAATAATCACATTGTCTCATTTGATCACTTAATCACTCTGTGATGCAGCATTCATTTCCATCTTACAGATGAGGCCCTTTATATTTAAGAAACCTATCCAAGATCCTGTAGCAGAATCAGCTTTCAGATCCAGTTGTCACATCTGACTCCAGTGCCCATTTGATATTGGTTAATTGTGAACTTTTGGATTTTCAGAGTCACTGTATAGGGTTATCCTGTTAACATGTAAAACTGCCCTGATAATGTCTTTGTGTTTACATTCTGTTTTTAAATGTAATTCTCCTCTATAAGACGAGACTACAAAGAAGGCTTTCTAATCTTAGAGATCAAATGTTCTGGACACAATTATTACAAGACTGTCCTTATTGGTATATAGAATGATGATTTAAGATTTGCTGTCCAAGGAATAACTTAATTGTCAAGGGTGCTGGTAGTTCATTTCAATCAGAGCAAGAAACCAAGTCATCCCCTCCCCCGCTGCCTTTTTTTTTTTTTTTTTTTTGAGACGGGGTCTAACTCTGTCTCCCAAGCTGGAGTGCAGTGGCACCATGATCTTGGCTGGCTGCAACTTCTGCCTCCTGGGTTCAAACGATTCTCCCATGTCAACCTCCAGAGTAGCTGGGACTAGGCATGTGCCACCATACCTAGCTAATTTTGGTATTTTTTGGTAGAGATGGGGTTTCACTGTGTTGGCCAGGCTGGTCTTGAACTCCTGACCTAAAGTGATCTGCCTGCCTTTGCCACCCAGAGTTGTTTTTTTTTTTTTTAAACAGGGTCTCACTTGTTGCCCAGGCTGGAGTGCAATGGTAGGATCTCAGCTCACTGCAGCTTTGATTTTTCTGGTCTCGAGTGATCCTCCCACCTCCCAAGTAGTTGGGACTACAGGCACAACACCACCATGCACAGCTAATTTTTTGTATTTTTTGTAGAGACAGGGTTTTGCAACGTTGTGCAGGCAGGTCTCAAACTCCTGGGCTCAAGTGATCTGCCTACCTTGGCCTCCCAAAGTGCTGCGATTAAAGGCATGAGCCACTGTGCCCAGCCCCAAGCAATTCTTAATGTACACTGAACTCCATCATTATCTAAATTGGATTTATGTATCTGATTCTTTTCATTGCAATCTATATCAACAATAATTTCCTTGGAACTCAGAGACATTCTTTGAGTCAAATTAAACAGAAATAAAGACAGTATGCCACTGGAAACACATTCCTACTTATTTAACATCTTCATGAACTGGGCATACTACTTCTAGTGCTAGACTCAGAGCTTCTCTTTACCTTTTCATTGGGATTTCAATCTTAGACTTATAAATTATTATGTGGATTTGTCTTTTCTCATCAGTCCCTCTTCATTCCCCTTATAATTAATTTAATTTTTTTTTAATTGAGACAGGGTCTCGCTCTGTTGCCAGGCTGGAGTGCAATGGCATGATCTCGGCTCACTGCAACCTCCACCTCCTGGGTTCAATCGATTCTCCTGCCTCAGCCTCCCGAGTAGCTGGGATTACAGGTGCACACCACCATGCTCAGCTAATTTTTTTGTATTTTTAGTAGAGACAGTGTTTAACCATGTTGGCCAGGCTGGTCTTGATCTCCTGACCTCATGTTCCACCTGCCTCGGCCTCCCAAAGTGCTGGAATTACAGACATGAGCCACCGCGCCCGGCCCTTTATTTAATTTTTTTTTTCAGGATATAAGTGGAAGTTGAAACCAGTATTTTATCAAAAGCTAAAAGTTTCCTTTGCTCTTTCCTTTCCCTTCATCTAACCATTGCAACAGTGAAGTTCTCAGTCTTTTTCCTCCTCTTTCCCTAAGCTGTTCTTCTACTTCTGGGGGTTCAATTTCATCTTTAAATAGATGATTCCTGAATACCGTATGCTCTGCACTACCTATTAGACATCCCCACTTAGTATTTCACAGGTGCCTCAAGTTTTGGGCCCAAATTCATCATTTTCCCTTCTAAACCTCTTTCTCCTGCAGCATTCTTTATCTCAGTGACTGGCACAAACATCCAGCTGCTGAAACTGCTGGGGGTCATTTTTAACTTCTCTTTTTTTTTGAAGATGGAGTTTTGCTCTTGTTGCCCAGGCTGGAGTGCAATGGCACTGTCTCGGCTCACTGCAACCTCTGCCTCCTGGGTTCAAGCGATTCTCATGCCTCAGCTGGGATTACAGGTGCCCACCACCATGCCCGACTAATTTTTGTATTTTTAGTAGAGATGGGGTTTCACCATGTCGGCCAGGCTGGTCTTGAACTCCTGACCTTGTGATCCACCCACCTCAGCCTCCCAAAGTGCTGGGATTACAGGCGTGAGCCACTGCGCCCGACGTTTAACTTCTCTCTTACCCCTTACGTCCTATCAGTCATTAAGTCCTATTACTCTGTTAGCTAATATTTCTTTTTTTTCTTTTTCTTTTTTTTTTTTTATGGGACGGAGTCTTGCTCTGTCACCCAAGCTGGAGTGCAGTGGCATGATCTTGGCTCACTGTAACCTCCGCCTCCTGGGTTCAAGCAATTCTCCTGCCTTCCTCAGCCTCCTGAGTAGCTGGGATTACAGGCGTGCGCCACCACGCGTGGCTAATTTTTGTTTTTTTAGTAGAGACGGGCTTTCACCATGTTGGTCAGGCTGGTCTCGAACTCCTGACCTTGTGATCCGCCCTGCCTTGGCCTCTCAAAGTGCTGGGATTACAGGAGTGAGCCACTGTGCTTGGCCTTGTCACCTAATGTTTTTTAAGTTGGTTCCTTTTTTTCCATCCCTTCTGCCACTCTTTTGTCCAACTCACAGACATCTATTAACCTGAACTACTACAGTTAAGGTTTTAACTGGCTACAAGTACTCTTGACACCAAATGATCGTTTAAAAAGTATGATCTTTTAGAGACACCTGTCTAATCATATCATGCCTCTGCTTAAAACCTCTTAGTAATTTTCTTACTCTTTGGATAAAGTCCAAAATCCTAAACATAGTTTGAAAGACCATGAGGGATCTGCCTGGATGCTGTACCTGGAGCACCAAACTACAGATTGTCAAGATGAAATGGCAGCAATCATCCGGAAGAGCTAAGACTGCATAGTGGCTCTTACATAAGTTTAGTGTAACGTGTAATCTGTAACAGAGTGATTATCCATGTCTCCATGTCTCTACAGATAGTAGAGACAAGAATAAATTTTCATAGGTGGAAATAAAGTTTTGACCGTATGATATACGCAGACTTTTATTTCTAGGAAAAATACATGAAGAAAGTTCATATGCAGAAAGATAATTTGGTTTCCAAGAATTTTTGCTTTTTTTTTTTTTTTTGAGACGGAGTTTCGCTCTTGTTGCCCAGGCTGGAGTGCAATGGTGTGATCTTGGCTCACCGCAACCTCCTCCTCCCAGGTTAAAGTGATTCTCCTGCCTCAGCCTCCCTAGTAGCTGGGATTACAGACATGTGCCACCATGCCCGGCTAATTTTTTGTATGTTTTTTTTTAGTAGAGATGGGGTTTCTCTGTGTTGGTTAGGCTGGTCTCGAACTCCCGACCTCAGGTGATCTGCCCGCCTCGGCCTCCCAAAGTGCTGAGATTACAGGCATGAGCCATCACGCCCGGCCTGAATTTTTGCTTTTATGTTATAATACATACAAAAAGCTATATATAAACTTGTGTATAAGTTAAAAAGCATACTAAGTAAGTGTGAGAAAGACCTACTGCCCAACTTGAGTATAAAACATTTCTCAATAAGCTTTGAAGCTCTCTGTATGCTCTTCTTCCATCACGTCCTCATGCAACCTTCCCTAGGCAACCTCTATCACTAGTTTTGTATGACCATTTCCTACCTTATAGTTTTACTATGTTTGTTTTTCTAAAGTTATTTGTTTAGTTCCTTTAAACAACTTTATTGAGGTATAATTGACATAGAGTGACTTGTACATGTTTAAAGTGCACTGTTTGATATGTTTTCGTATTTGTTTGCATGTGTAAAACTATAACCACCATCAAGATAATGAACCCATCCATTCCTCCCAGAATTTTCCTTATGCCCCTTTGTAATCTTCTACCTTAATTTGCCGAGAAACCACTCTTTTTTTTGGCTGGCTTCTTTAACCCAGCATAATTATTTTGAGATTCATCCTTATTGTTGCATGCATGAATTGGTAGTTCTGTTTTTTTGCAGGTAATATTTCATTGAATTGATATACCACCACTTGTTTATCCATTCACCTGTCAGTGGATATTTGGGCTGTTTCTAATTTTTGATTGTTACTCATAAAGCAGCTATGAATATTTGTGTGTGTATCTTAAGAGCATATGCTTTCATTTCTCTTGGGTAAATCCTTCAAAGTGGAATGGCTTGGTCATTTAGTAGGTATATAGTCAACTTTAGTTTTTCAAAGTTGTAGCAGCTGTGCACTTTTACATTCTCATCAGCAGTGTGTGATAACTCCAATTGTTTCACATCCTTGCTAACACCTAGCATAGTTTTTAAAATTTCAGATGTTCATGTAGATGGGTATTGATATCTCATTTTGGTTTTAATTTACATTTCCTCTGTGGCAGATGATATCAAGAATTTTTTATGTGTTTACTGTCACATGAGGCCTGATGAAGTGTTTATTTAAATTTTTTGCCAGCTTAACAAATTTTAATTGCTTATTTCAAATAATAATAAATTTATTATTGAATTTTTAGAGGTCTTTATATACTCTGGATACAGGTGCTTTATTACATATGTACTTTGCAAATATTTTCTTCAAGTCTGTGACTTGTCTTTTTCAAAGAGCAGAAGTTATTAATTTTGAAGATTTATTATGTTTATTTTATTATTATTTATATTGTTTCATTTTATTATTATTAGTTTTTTTACATGGAACGTGATTTTGGTGTTATATCTAAGAAATTGTTACCTAACCAAGTTACAAAAATTTTTCTTCTGGAAATCTTATAGTTTTAGAAATTACATTTACGTCTGTGAGGCATTTTGAGTTAATTATTTTTATAAATGTTATGAGGTTTGGCTTGAAGATTTTTTTTTCTTTTTCTTTTTCTTTTTACATATGAATAGCCAATTGTCCCAACACTATTGGCTGAAAAGACTACCCCACTGAATTCCTTTTGTGCCTTTGTTGAAAATCATGTGACCGTGTGTGTGTGTGTGTGTGTGTGTGTGTGTGTGTGTGTGTATGTGTGTGTGTGTGTGTGTGTGTGTGTGTGTGTGTATGTGTATGTGTGTATATATATCTGTGTCTGGGCACTTATTCTGTTTCATTGGTCCCTTTGTCTGTCTTTATACCAATACTACACACACTGTCTTGAATGCCATAGTTTTATAATCTTGAAATTAGGTAGTCTGAGTCTTTTTTTTTCCCCCAAAATTTTGGTTCTTTGTCCTTTGCATTTCCATATGAATTTTAGTATCAGCTTACACATTAAATTTTAAAAAGCCAACTGGGGGCCAGGTGCGGTGGCTCATGCCCGTAATCTGAGCACTTTGGGAGGCCGAGGTGGAAGGATCACTTGAGGTCACGAGTTTGAGACCAGCCTGGCCAACATGGTGAAACCCTGTCTCTATGAAAAATACAGAGATTAACCAGGCATGGTGGCGTGCGCCTGTAGTCCCAGCTACTCAGGAAGCTTAGGCAAGAGAATCGCTTGAACCCAGGATACAGAGGTTGCTGTTAGCTGAGATCATGCCACTGCACTCCAGCCTGGGCAACAGAGTGAGACTCTGCCAAAAAAAAAAAAAAAAAAAAAGGAAAAAAGCCTACTGGGATTTTGAGGAGAATTGACATCTTATTGTTGAGTCTTCTGATCGATGAACATGATGTATTGACTATTTAGATCTTAATTTCAGCAGTATTTTGTAGTTTTAGCAGGCTTTACATAAAATATACTATATATATATTATTCTGTAGCTTGCCTTTTTTACTTACTATTCTTTCTGAAAATCATTCATCTTGATGCATGTAGCAATAATTAATTCATTTTCACTGCTATATACCATTCCATTATATGAACATGCTGTAATTTATCTGTTCTTTTATTGATGAATATTCTAGTTTTTTTTTCCTATTTCAAATAATGCATCTGTGGATATTCCTGTACATATGAGCTACTGTGCATGGGTTACGGTTTTCTAGGGTTTATATGTGCCTAGGAATAGGCTAATTGGGGTAGGATGTACCATCTCAGGCTTTACTAGACATTGCCAGGTTGTTTTCCGATTTATAGTACTCCCAGTGTTTTATAAGAGTTTCTGTTACTCCCCATTCTCACCACTTGGGGCTGTTAGACTTCTTAATTTTTGCTAATTTGGTGGATGTGAAATAGTAACTCACTGAGGTTTTTAATATGTATTTTCTGTGTCCTAGAGGTTAGTTATCATTTCATATATTGAGTTTTTCCTTATGTGAAGTATTTATCTCTTTTGCCCATTTCCCTTTTATATTCTCTTTTTCTTAGTACTTTTTAGGGGTCTTAAAAAATATATTTTGGATACCGGATACGTCTTTTTAAAATTATGTGTGTTGTGGCCGGGTGCTGCGGCTCACACCTGTAATCCCAGCACTTTGGGAGGCCAAGGCCAGTGGGATCACCTGAGGTCAGGAGTTCAAGATCAGGTTGGCCAACATGATGAAACCCCATCTCTACTAAAAATATAAAAATTAGCTGGGCATGGTGTGGGCGCGCCTGTAGTTCCAGCTATTTGGGAGGCTGAGGCACGAGAATCGCTTGAACCCGGCAGGTGGAGTTTGTGGTGAGCTGAAATTGCACTACCACACTCCAGCCTGGGCGACAGAATGAAACTCTGTCTCAAAAAAATAAATAAAATAAAATAAAATGATAATGTGTTGCAGAGATCTCCTCCCAGTTCATGGTTGGTCTTCTTCTGTTCTTTTTGATGTTTCTTGATGAACAGAAGTTGTGAAGCACCTCTGGTATACTGAAGAGTGTGCCCAATTTAAAAAGCATAGTTGACACCTTGCCATTAATACATCTAAGCCCCAAGTCCCATAGAAGCCTTGGTTACAGGTCTATTTTATGATTTTCCTTTATAAATATTCATAAATGACTCATTTATCTTTTCTAGTCACAGTTTTGGGGTGTGGGGGTGGAGGGAAGAAGCACTGTTTCTTTAAGGATTCAATAACAGGTTTCACAAGCATATTTTAAAACTTTTTCTTAAATTAATTTTTAGGCCGGACCAGAATATGGCCAAGGGATGAACCCTATTAGCCGCCTGGCGCAAATTCAACAGGCCAAAAAGGAAAAGGAGCCGGATTATGTTTTGCTTTCAGAAAGAGGAATGCCTCGACGTCGAGAATTTGTGATGCAGGTATTTCTAACCTTTTAAAACTATTGAAAAGATTTAGAAATCCCCAGGATGGAATAGGCATTTGGGCGAAAGGCAAACTAGGACTTAAGAGCAGAAAGTAAAACTGTTTCCAGTTAAAGCATTCATTCTGTCCAGGCTCACCTACCAACTTGGTGGAAACATTCAAGTGTCAAGGACATGTTACAATAGACAACATGAGTTTTCCAAGGGACTCTGAGTTCACACAGGTTATTTACCATGGAGTTTATCATTTAATGCCTATCTTTTAACTTTTTGTGTTACATTTTGTAGCCGGAGTCTGTTAACTACTGGGAATTGGAGACACATGGAATTAGAAACAAAATTTAGAAGGATGGATGTAGTAGATGGATCAGGGCCAAAATCCTGAGCTTGTGGGCTGTCAGGAAAGTTAGAAAAAGAGAGTAAGCAGGCTAGCTAACCATGGTGGGGGCTGAGGCACTCAGGATTGCTGAGATCTGACTGCTGCATTGTGGAGCCAAGAAAATCAAGGAATGGCTGCTAGTGTATTGGCAGATGGGCTAGGAATGAAGTAGAATGCCTAAAATGCTCTCCTTTTCAACCCCTACCTATTCATCTTCATTTGCCAGCTCAAACTCCAGTCTTAAGAAATTTTTCTTTTACTTTTTTATTACAATTTCAAACATATCCAAAGGTGGGGAGAGAATAATAATGGACCATTAATATGCCCATCACTCAAACACAACAGTTATTAAGATTTTTGCCACACTTGATTCAGCTATTAATTTTTCTCTTCTCCCTCTCTTTCTTCCTTTCTCTCTTCTTTTACTGAAGTATTTCAAAGATAATTTCTAACTACATGTCATTTCAGCCTTACATATTCAGTGTATGTTTCTAAGAAATATGAAAGCTTTTCTTACATTAGACATGATTCATTAGAATCATCTAATACCCAGTCTATATTTAAATTATTATTTTCCCCAAGCTGTTTTTTAATTTTTTGTTTTTTTTTTTTTTTGGTGGGGCAACAGGGTCTTGTTCTGTCAGCCAGGCTGGAGTACGGTGGCATGATCATGGCTCACTGCAGCCTTGATTTCCTGGGCTCAAGAGATCCTCCCTTTTCAGCCTCCTGAGTAGCCTAGGATTACACGCATACACTACCATGGCCAGCTAATTAAATGTTGTTTTATTGTTGTTGTTTATAGCAACAGGATCTTACTATGTAGCCCAGGCTAGTCTTAAACTCCTGGCTTCAAGTGATCCTCCTGCTTCAGCCTCTCAAAGTGTTAGGATTACAGGCGTGAGCCACTGTGCTTAGTCTCAAACTGTTTTTTAAATAATTGGTTAGTCACAGAAACTTTTTAGTCAAATCCAAGGATCTCACATTTTATGTAACTTAGATAAAATCAACAAATATTAAGTGCTGACCATGTGGTAGACATTTTGGCACTCAAATACAGTGTCTCATATTGATTAAGTTTAAGTGTATAGCTAAGTTGTGCCTTCCCTCCCAATTTATAATCTCCATGTTTCTTTATCTTTCAGTACCCAATACAGTGGTTTGTAAATAGTAGGACCTTAATAAACATTTGATAGATATTTGCTGCCTGCCTTTCTGCCTGTATGGTTTTTTTTTGGAGATGTTAACTTATAATGTAGTCATAGATAAGTCACTCCTGGGAACCCAGATATCCAAAAAGAGGGGAATTCTCTGGTTAGTAATCACATTATTGTCAAGATGTTATTAGGATCCAGCACATGATTGTTTCATTATTTTCACTGGTAAAATATGTTCACTATTTTTTTCCTTAACATTCTTAACTTTGAAGAATTCTGGAACATATACTTTGAATGCCAAAGCTTGAAGAAAAAAATCGCCTGAATTTTAGACATGTATTGGGAATATAAACTGGCTTTGGCTTTATTAAACAAATCCTTTTCTACAGAGTATATTGAGTACCCCTTTTGAAAGAGGAATTTAGCATATCTTAGGCCAGCTTCCATTTTATGGGTATTCATAAACATTCTAGTCAAATGGGGACATTTGGCTGTGCTTTTAAATGTTTTCGCACTGAATTCATATTGTTTTTTCCCCTTCTGGAAGCCCCAGTGGATTCATTACAGTATTGCAGCAATTTTATCAAAGTAACGGCCTTTGTATAAACTACTTAGGCAATGTTATCATTTGTTATAATTGAATGTGGCAGCAAAATATCTAGAGATGAGATGCTCATTTTTATCTGTTACCAAAGAAAAAGTCTATATATTAAAAAATGGATGCAGTTACTTATGTTGATTACTAGATAAACGAAAGAAAATCTCCGATGACATTATTTGGGTATTTTATTCCAGAGCAGATTTCTTAAAGCTTTTCATTTTTTTGGTGAGGAGTATTTTAATCTTTCAAACAGAAAATAATGATAACTAAACCAAATTGCATATCAGCACACTGTATTACTAACTTTTCAGCCTGTGATTGAGATCACCAGGTTGTTAAAAAATAAATAAAAATTAAGTTTTTGGTAAATCCTATTTCAGAACTTTTTAGTTTCTTAGGTTTTTGAGGATTTGATTCATGTGAATGAGCTGTTAAATTTAAAGACAAACATTTGGCAGTCTTAAATTTACTGCATGGTAAAATAATTGAGCTTCTTTACAGATAGAAATTAACATTTAAATGTAGAGACCATATTTACAATAGTTATAAAATTTGTGACTTCTCAAGGAAGATGACTTGTGAAATTTATAAACTTACTTAACTTTTATAATAAAGTGATGTTTTGAGTGACCATTGTGTTTATTAGCAGGGAATGAAAGTCCTTTGGCAATGTGGTCTTTTTATATTAACAAATTAGGATAACTGCTTACAAACTATTCAACCATGCGATTATTAAAATTTGCATGAGGCAAGGGCTGGGTGAATGGGTAAATGAATCTGGGAAGCACTTGTTTTAGAAGAAGTAAGTCTTGAAGGTATCAGAATAGGCCAGATGGAAATCTAGCAGACGGAGAGACAAGGTGAATACAGGAATGGGAACAGCATTACAGCTGACAAGTCCAAGACCAGGCCTCAGAGCAGTAGAGGAAGCTTCTGACATAACTGGCCTAATCTTTTCACCAGCAAGGATTCCAGCAGCAACATAGGGACTGATGAAGCTGGGGGAACAAACAAAGCATTGGAAAAAATAACAGGGAGCAGAGGTACTCTAGCCAGGGATTTGAGTAGATTATCCATAGGGCCTGCCATGTTGAGGCAGACACTGTTACGGCAGGTGGTGTGTATTCATCTGGCTCTGAGTACCTGGTCTGACTGTACTAGATTTGTCCTTCTCAGAGTGAGGTCCAAAGACTGCTTCTGATTTGTCACGACATAGTGGTTTCCAGTTTCAGAAAAAAAGGCAATGAAATATTTAAAAAATATTTCACAGGTTTAAACTATGCAATTTGTGATAGTTGTTACAGAAATTCTGTAATGAATATGTTTTCAGCGTTTCATGTGCTGTATGAACTGTCATTTAGTTTGTCTTTACTGAAACTCTGTTAAAAGAGAGTACAGCACCTTTTTTATATCATTTGTACATTGTTTATGTTTAAGTTTGTATTTTCTTACCATTTTGTTGTATATTCTCCCAGTTCCTTAAAATTGGGTGGTTCACTGAAGCTTAAAAGTACTGTTGGAGGCTGGGCGTGGTGGCTCACGCCTGTAATCCCAGCACTTTGGGAGGCCGAGGCAGGTGGATCACGAGGTCAGGAGATCGAGACTATCCTGGCTAACACAGTGAAACCCCGTCTCTACTAAAAATACAAAAAAATTAGCCGGACATGGTGGTGGGCACCTGTAGTCCTAGCTACTCGGGAGGCTGAGGCAGGAGAATGGCATGAACCCGGGAGGCGGAGCTTGCAGTGAGCCGAGTTTGCGCCACTGCACTCCAGAACCTGGGTGACAGAGCGAGACTCCGTCTCAAAAAAAAAAAAAGTACTGTTGGAAATAATAACACAAATAAAAACTGTAAATAAGGATGTAAGAATAAATGATGAACAGTACTCAAGTGTGGATACCAAATGGGAATCTGTATGTTCTGGGACAGATGAAACAGCCAATATTATGATTTTACACAATAGACAAAAAAGAAAAGTATGGTTAGAGTATCATGCTGTATAGCTGAAAACTGAATTTTGTTGTCATTGTGAAATGTATTAAAGTGGCATGAAACTATTATTGAAACTTTCTAACTTTTTTTTAAGTAAAATGATAACTGGTAAAACAATTCAACTTTTCAGATATGGATTGCCCACTTTTCTTGCTCATTTTTCTGCTCGTTTTTTAAAAAAACTGATATATGGGAACCTCCTGTATATTCTGGATGCAAGCCCTTTGCAGTTATATGGCATTTTAAATACCTCCTCTTGTGTTGTGACTTTCCTTTCTAAATAATGCTTTTAGAAGAACAAGAGTAATTTTTAGTGTAGTCAAATTTAAATTTTTTCTTTATATTAACTTCATAATAAGTCTAGATATCCAGACAAATAAGTGTCCCACACCTTGCTCTTCCTCAAAAGGATTTTGGCTGTTCTTAGCACTTCACATTTCCATGTAAATTTTGGAATCATCTTGTTCAAGTATTGTAAAAAGATATATGGAATTTTGATTGAGTTTTCATTGAGTTCAATTAATTGAGTTTAGGTCAATTTGAAGAGAACTGATACTATTACATTAGTATTGTCTTCAATCCATGAACATGGCATTTTGCTCTGTTTATGAGGTTTTTCTTAAAGTTTCTCAATAAGACTTTGTTTTCTATGTAGAAGATTTGCACATCATAGGTATTTGATTTTCATTTAATGTAAATGTTATCTTTTTAATATTTTTCATCTTCTACTTGAATGTGGATGGAATGTAGAAATGCAGTCCTCTTTTTCATACTGAGCTTATTACAATCTAATCAATTCTTATAATTCATCTGTGGAGTTTCTTAGATTCCTTATATATGAAATCACATCTATAAATAATGAGTTCTTTTCCCTTCTGCTTCTTTTTTTACTTTTCCTTGCCTTATTTCTCTGTCTAGGATTTGTGTAAACTGTTAAACAGTAGTAATAATAGGGAACATCCTTGTCTTGTTTCTAATTAGTTTCGTTCAACATTAAGTACAGTGTTTCCTGAGGTTTGCTGTAGGTGTTTTGTAAAATGCCCTTTATCATATTTAAAAGGTTTTCTTCTACTGGGCGTGGTGGCTCACACCTGTAATCCCAGCACTTTGGGAGGCCGAGGTGGGCGGATCACGAGGTCAGGAGATCGAAACCATCCTGGCTAACACGGTGAAACCCCATCTGTACTGTAAATACAAAAAATTAGCCGGGCATGGTGGCGGGCACCTATAGTTCCAGCTACTCAGGAGGCTGAGGCAGGAGAATGGCGTGAACCCGGAAGGTGGAGGTTGCAGTGAGCCGAGATTGTGCCACTGCACTCCAGCCTGGGTGACAGAGTGAGACTCCATCCCAAAAAAAAAAAAAAAAAAAGTTTTCTTCTTTTCCTAGTTTGCTAATAATTTTCATTATGAATAAATGTCGATTTCTAGTTTGAATTTCAAATGTTAAACCAAACTTGCATTCCTGCAATAAACCTAACTTTGTCATGAATCTTTTTCTTTTTCTATATTGCTTTATTCATTATACTGTTTAAAACTTTTGCATCTATGTTCATGAGTGAAACTGTTCTGTAAATTTTCTTATACTGTTCTTGTTGGGATTTGGAATCAAAATGAGAGCTCATAAAATAATTGGGGACTGATTTCTCATTTCGTGTTTTATGGATGAATTTGGATGAAAAGAATAGCATAATTCTTCCTTAAATATTGAGTAGAACTTTATGGAGAAGATCTGAAGAGTCCTTTTTGCGAAGTTTTTAATTATGGTTTGATTTCATTAGTAGTTTTAGTCATATTCTTTAGGCTTATTCTGTGGCAATTTGGTAATCTGTATTGTCTAGGAATTTTTCCATTGTATCTAAATATGTTTTTAAATTTTAGCATGAAATTGCTCTCAGTATTCCTTTTTTTTTTTTTTTTTTTTTTTTTGAGACAGAGACTCACTCTATCGCCCAGGCTGGAGTGCAGTAGCATGATCTCGGCTCACTGCAGCCTCTTTCTCCTGGGTCCAGGCAATTCTCCTGCATCAGCCTTTCAAGTAGCTGGGATTACAGGCACTTGCCATCATGCCTGGCTAATTTTTTTTTTTTTTTTATTTTTGTATTTTTAGTAAGACAGGGTTTCACCATGTTGGCCAACCTGGCCTCCAACTCCTGACCTCAAGTGATCCACCTGCCTTGGCCTCCCAAAGTGCTGAGATTACAGGTAGTGAGCTACTCCACCCGGCCTCAGTAATCCTTATTATTTTGTAATGCTACAGAAGTGATGGTAATCTCCCTTTTTAATTATTTCATTTCTTATTTGTGTCTTCTCTTCTTCTTTTCTTTTTTAAAAATACCCATCTCAGAGAAGAACTCGTATTTTTTTTCTTGATCAGTCTTACTTTTGGTTTATTGTTTTATTAGTCTTATTAGAGAACCAACTTTTGGCTTTTCTAACTTTATTGTACTTTGTTTTGTATTTCCTTTTTGCTTTTTATTCTTCTATTTTCTCTGGGTTTGTTTTGCTGATATGTTTGGGACTTCTTGAGGTGGATGTTTAGCTCATTACTTTTTTGCCCTCCTGTAAGCTGTTAACGGCTATGCATTTTCTTCTAGACCCTCCTTTTGCTGTGTCCTTCAAGTTTTGATATATGTCCATGGATTATTTAAAATATTTTCTAGTTTTCACTGGAATTTCTTCTTTTGCCCTTAGGTAATTTGGAATTACATTGTTTATAAAATTTTTAATTTTTAATTTTAATTTTTTTAGAGATGTGGTCTTACTCTGTTGCCCAGGGTGCAGTGTGGTGATGTGATCACGGTTCACTGCAGCCCTGAACTCCTGGGCTCAAGCAGTCTTCCCACCTCAGCCTCCCAAGTAGCTGGGACTACAGCCATGCACCATCATGCCTAGCTAATTAAAATTTTTTTTGTAAAAATGGGGTCTCACTATATTGCCCAGGCGGGTCTCAAACTCCTGGCCTCAAACAATCCTCCTAGTGTTGGAATTACAGGTATAAGCCACCACACCTGACCAGAATTACACTGTTTAATTTCCAAAGTTGTGATTAACTATTTAACTACTTCTTCAATCACTTACTGAGACCACTGTGTAAAAAGAAATTCAACTATAGTTGTGTATTTTCTATTTCTCCTTGTAATTCTATCCTTTTTTGCTATCTACTTTACTTTTTATAGTTGTATGGTTGATGTGTATTTAAGTACATGTATAAATTGCTCACAGAAGATAACTGTAGAATAGTTCTAATGATAAAAATCTTTTTTTTGGAGCAATTGTGATGGATTAAATGCTGTGGTTTACATACATTATCTTGTTTAATTTTCAAAGCAACATTGTGCAGTAGTTGGTATTACCCCGGCTTTACTGATGAAAAACCTGAGGCTTAGAGATATTAAATAATTTGTACCAGTTCGTACAGCTAGGAAATAATAGAGTTGAGTTTCATATCCCAATCTGACTTGGAAGCCTTTTTTTTTTTTTTTAAAGATGGAGTATTGCTCTGTGGCCCCAGGCTGGAGTGCAGTGGCGCAATCGTGGCTCACTGCAACCTCTACTTACTGGGTTCAAGCGATTCTCTTGCCTCAGCCTCCTGAGTAGCTAGGACTACAGGTGTGTTCCATCACACCTGGCTAATTTTTGTATTTTTAGTAGAGACGGGGTTTCACCATATTGGCCAGGCTGGTCTCAAACTCCTGACCTTGTGATCCTCCTGCCTTGGCCTCCCAAAGTGGGATTACAGCTGTGAGCCACTGCGCCTGGCCAGAAGCCTTGTTTTTAATCATAATGTTGTAGGAACACTTGTATATTAATTCTCTTCAGGAACTATTTAATATAAATCTTTGTAAACTTGAATGTTTACATAATATTGCAATTTGAACATTATTTTAAATGGCACCAATATGAATTTTAGCCTTTTCAGTTTATTAATTGAAATATAAGAATGCTAAAATGTAGTCATAACCAACATGAACGCTGTTAAAATGTAAATTTTATTTTTCTGCTTATATAAATAATATAAATTTAGTGTTTAAAAAATCAAATAGCATATAAATATATATGGAAGTAAAAATTCTATAAAATTCTACCATCCTGAGATAATCCTCCATTGATACTTTAAGGACCATTTTTTCATGTACATATACAACATTACATAAATGTTATCTTAGTTGCCATTTTTACTTTGGACTGAACTTTATGTTTTCAAATGCTAGAGAGTAGAATTGCTTTATGATGTAAGGACTTCCTGTTTAAATTTATCATAAATGTATTTCTTTAATTTATTTCTTTAATCTTATCAGGTGAAGGTAGGCAATGAAGTTGCTACAGGAACAGGACCTAATAAAAAGATAGCCAAAAAAAATGCTGCAGAAGCAATGCTGTTACAACTTGGTTATAAAGCATCCACTAATCTTCAGGATCAACTTGAGAAGGTAAGAGTTAAGTTTACATGTATGTATCCTATCTGTCATAATATCAAAGTGATTAATAAATTTTGATCTTAACTGATATTAAAGTAAATGTCAATTTTAACTTTTCTGAGGCAATACAAAGATAGATGATCCAAGCACAAAATAACATATGGAGTAAGATGAGATATTAATGAGTATTTATAATCTTATGATTAGAAAATACAAAAAGTTTGTTGTATGGTTGTACATATTTTATGTAATACCAATTTAACATTTTTAACTTGTTGACTGGTTGTTTTTGCCATATAGACACAGTCTTAATTTGTGCCTTTTAAGAACACAGGTTGTTAGCCTTTATTTTTGGAATACAGCTGAAAACACTGGAAATAAAAATTCTGACTTATCCCTTTAGGGCAGGAACTGTATTGGACAGACACTCTATAAACTAATTTTTCTATTTACTTTAAATTTAAAGGTGAACTCATAGGTTGTTTATTTTCTGCCAAGACCTGTGTTCATGGTCCCCTATTTTTTCTGCAACAGTTAATGACATCATTAACACCTACATCTGTTACAAGGGAAGCAGAGAACCCTGAATTCAGAACTTGGCAGATAACTTGGCAGAAATTGGCTTATTTCCATTTTGTATTAAGTATCATTTTGTTATCTGTGGATATGTAGACATTATTTCTACCAAACATTTTATTTATGTGAACATTCACAAAACAGGCTTACTAATTACTTTTATCAAAAGTAATATGCTTTAGACCAGGCCATCTTCTCACACAAGAATTCTGTTTCAGAGATTTTTTTAGTTTCTACAGGAACACATTTTAAAAGTTTAGAATTAGAAACAAAAATATATAAAGACACTTAGATGTACTTTTTTGTTTTCTAGGCAATTCTTTTGAATGATTTTAAAAAATCTTTGTCTGTGTATTATTGCTAGAGATTTCAATTCTGTTTTTATAACCTGGCTAGTCAACACTTTTTCTTCTTTTAAAAGTATTTGTAACGTGAAACCTAACATGTGTTCCAGTTTCTATAGTCCTTATATTGTATATATGTTGTTTTAACTTAACACATTTATATTGACTTAAAACTGGTGAGTGATCTATAAAAATATGTCAAAATAAATCTCCTCACAGACATGTATTTGTAAATTAAGTGAAAGCAAACACAACAAAAAACCAGCATTAATTAATTTCATTAATTTGAAAAACATTTTTTGCATAACCACTGTATAAGTCAGGGTTCTCCAAAGAAAAAGAACCATCAACGTGTGTGTGTGTGTGTGTGTGTGTGTATGTGTGTGTCTGTCTGTGTATATATATTAAGGAATTGGCCCATGTGATTGTGGAGGCTTGGCTAGTGTAAAATCTGATGGGACAGCCTGACAGGATGGAGACTCAGGAAAGAGTTGAAATTTCAGTCCAAAAACAGTCTACTGGAAAATTCCCACTTGCCCAGGGAGGTCAGCGTTTTGTTCTGTTCAGGCCCTTCAGCTGATTAGATGAGGACTACCCACATTGTGGAGGGTGATCTGCTTTACTCAGAGTTCACCACTTTAAATGTAAATCTCACCCAAAAACACTCTTGCAGAAACACTCAGAATAATGTTTGACCATTTGGCACTGTGGCCCAGAGAAGTTGACATGTAAAGTTAATCATCACACTCACTAAATGCCAGACACTTAAAATGACTGATTTTAATAAGATGACTGAGACTTGGTCTCTGCACTCAAGGAGCTGATCGTTCTTTAAGTGCAGGGAGTGAGGAATTTTAACCATATAACAAAACTAGAGGATGAACCTGGAAAGTCAGGAAAAGCTGAGGTCACTGTTATTATGCGAAGTAGAAGGTTTGAAGAAATGCTTATTTAAGATTTGAACATGAATGTGAATTGATCTGGTTTGCATTCTTCAAAAGATAACTCTAAGTAATGGGGAGCATGGATTTGAGCAGAGTGAAACCAAAGGCAGAAAGGCCAGTCAGGAGGCAACCAGAGTTGTTTAGGTGAGAGATATTGAGGGTCTGAACTGAGACAGTGAAGGTAGAGAGGAGGAATGGAAAGACTCCAGAGATATTTCACAAATGTAATGGGTAAGATTTGAATAGTAGATAAGATGCATGCAAGGTACAGGAAAAAAGAGGAGGAAAGACTACCTGCAAAAAGGAATAGAGAATGACTGCTAGGTGGTAGTCAGATGCTGCAGAGAGATCAAATAAGAGGACTGAATATATTGATTTATCAATAAGACTTTTGATGAGTGTGGCAAAAGCAATATTTAAAACCAGCAAAAACAGGATTTTTTTGTTGTTTTTTTGAGACGGAGTCTAGCTCTGTCACCCAGGCTGGAGTGCAGTGGTGCGATCTTGGCTTACTGCAACCTCCGCCTCTCAGGTTCAAGCGATTCTCCCTCCTCAGCCTCCCGAGTAGCTGGTATTACAGTGTGCACCACCATGCCTGGCTGATTTTTTGTATTTTTAGTAAAGAAGCGGTTTCACCTTGTTGGCTGGGCTGGTCTTGCTCTCCTGACCTCAAATGATCCGCCTGCCTTGGCTTCCCAAGGTGCTGGGATTACAGGCGTGAGGCACCTCACCTGGTTGGTATTTCTTAATTATTTGGTAGAAGTTACCAGTGAAGGCTTTTGGGCTTAGAATTTTCTCTGTGGAAAGGGTTTTTTAACTACAAACTCAGATTTTAAAAATAGATAGGGTTACTTAGGTTACCTACTTCTGCTTGAATGAACTTTGGCAGTTTTAGTCTTTCAAAGAATTAGTTGATTTCATCTAAGTTGTTGAATTTACTAGTATAAAATTGTTTATAACATTCCCTTTTTCTTTTAATAGTGGCAAAATCTAAATAACATTTCTTTACTCTTTTAGTAGTAGCAGAATCTGTAATGATACTCACTTTCATTTCTGATATTGATCATTTATTTCTTTTCTCTTTTTCTTCTGTTCAGTTTAGCTAGGGGGTTTATAAAATTTTAAGTCTTTTCAAACAATTAGGTTTTAGTTGCATTGATTTTTCTCTGTTTTTCTATTTTCAGTTTTTTTGATTTCTGCTCTTTATTTTATCCTTCACTTGTTTTTGTTTTTAATTTTTTGTTCTTTTCTAATTTTGTGAGGTAGAAGCTTAGGCTATACATCTGAGAACTTTCTTTTTTCTAATATAAGCATTTAATGCTGTGAATTTTTCTTTAAGTACTGATTTAGCTCTGCCCTACACATTTTGACAAGTTGGGTTTTTCTTGTCTCTCTCTTGTTTTTTTTTTTTTTTTTTTTTTTTTTTTTTTTACCTCTGGGATACACGCTGTATGGGTTTTTACTTTCATTCAACTCAAAATATGTTCTGATTTCCCTCTTGATTTCTTCTTTCAGGCCCTGTATCTGTTATGATTACTTGTTTTGTCCAGTGTTAAAGTTTCCAACTATAAGTTTGGATTTTCCTACTTCTACTTCTTACAGTTTTATTAGTTTTTGTTTTATGCATTTTGAAACTTTGTTGTTATATATGTATACAGTTAGTGTTGTGTCTTTGTTGACTTGACCACTTCTATTGGATATTTCCCTTTATTCCTTGTTCTGAAATCTGTTTTGTTTGATATTAATATAGCTACTCCAGTTTTATTTTGACTGGTGTTTGCATGGGATATTTTTTTCCCTGTGCTTACTTTTAACCTATCTTTAAATTGGTTTCTTTTAGAAAGCATATAATTGGGTCTTGTTCTTTAAAATTTAATTTGACAAACTTTGCCCTTTAGTTAGGGTGATTAGACCATTTGCACTTACTGAAGTTATTGAGATTGTTGTATTTAAACACACCATTTTATTAGTTGCCTTTTTTTTTCCCCGCACTTACTCTGTTTACTTTTTTTCTTTTTTGACCTCTATTGTGGTCACATAGGTTACTTCTCTAAGTTTCTCTGACCTCCTATTGTGGCTATACATTTTAGTTTTCTATATTTTTCAAACCGTACAATTCACTGTTACTAATTTTGCTTTATATAGTCAGTTATCTTTTTAAGTGATTAAAATCAGCAGAAAATGCCTTTTATATTTACTCTCATTTTGATTATTTTCAATATCCTTCATTTATTTGTGTAAATTCAAATTTCTTTCTGGTATTATACCCCTTCCTTGCTTGAAGGACTTCCTTTAATATTACTTATTTTAGCAGATCTGTAGGCAGTGCATTCTCTCAGCTTTTGTTTGCCAAAAAAGTCTTTATTTCACTTTCATTTTTTTTCTTTGCAGGTTTTATTATACACAAAGTGGGGTGGGGGCTCAGACCTTCTTGGCAGCTGCTTTCCTCATGGCAGTCAGGATATTGCCTCAGCTCCTCTTGCTTCCTGTTGGTGCATATGTGTGTTTTCATCCTTTTCTTAATGAACTTGAGGGCCCGCTTGTCCTTGGAGACTTTGAGCAGCTTCATGGCATGCCACTTTCAGGGGGAAGCCACACACCTCCCAGATGATGTCTTACACAAGCTTTGTGTGCTTGGTAAGGTGTCCAGGGTGGCAGCCCTGCCTCAGCTTGCTCATATTCTTGTTCACCTTGGGCCCTGGTTGAGGCCCATGGGCATGGGGTAATGCAGAACTATGGCTGCTGCTCTTCAGTGACTGCTCTAGCAGAAAATTTCACGTTATTTTTTCTTTTTTAAGCCTCCAATGAATCACCTTCATTTTTGAAAGTTATTTTTTTCTGGATATAGGATTCTGGGTTTCCTGTTTCTTTTAGTACTTTAAAGATCTTGCTCCCTTGTCTCCTGATAGGCATAATTTTCAATGTAAAGTCTGTTGTAATTCTTACTTGTTCTTGTTGATGTATTTTTTTTCCTCTCTCAGCCTTTAATATATTTCTTTTCTTTATTTTCCAACAATTTGGTTGTGATGTATCTAATTGATTTTTTTTGTTTCTTCCTTTCTCCTCTGCCCCTGTACTCTTTTCCCACCCTTCTTCCTCCCTTCTTTCTATTTTTCTTCCTTCTCCTTTTCCTCCACCTTTTCTTCTTCTCCTTCTTATCCTCTTCCTTCCTTCTTCTCATTTCTTCTCTCGTTTTTTCTTCTCCTCCTACTTCCTTCTCCCCCTACTTCCTTCTCCTCTTTCTTCTATCTCCTCTTTATTCTTTCTTCTCTTCCTCCTTCCCTATTGTTCTTCTTCTCTCCTCTTCCCTCTTCCTTCTCCTCCTCCCTCCTCTTTCTTCTTCCCTTCTCCTTTTCCTTGTCTTCTTTATCCTCCTCCTCTTCCTCTTCCTCCTCCTGCTTCTCTTCCTTCCTCATCCTCATCCTCATCTTTGTCATCCTCCTTGTCCTTATAGGGTTCTCTGAGCATTTTGGATCTGTGATTTGATGTCATGGAATCAGTTATTTTGACAAGTTCTTAGCTATTATCTTTTAAAATATATTTTATTCCTTGTTTTCTCCCTCTTTTCCTTGGAGTTTCCATTTATACATTCATTAGACCATTGGTATTGTCTTATAGGATTTTCTTTATTAAACAGTTTGAGTAATTTCTGTTGATTTGTCTACAAGTTCAACAATATTTCTTCAGCTGTGTGCAGTCTGAATTAATGCATTATTAATAATGACATCAATGTTTTGATCTCTAATATTTTTCGTTTAGGATTTCCTTATGTTTTTGTTCTGTGGTTTCTATTGGTGTGCTGAAATTCCCCATATGCTCATGTATGTTATCTGCTTTTTCCAGTTGGTCTTTCAACCTATGAATCATAGGTGTTGTAAAATACCTTTCTGAAAGGTCTAGCATCAGGGTCATCCCTGGGCCCTGTTTTGTTGACTTCCCTGTGTTTTGGCAGTGGTTTATTTCTTCTTGCAGTTTTGGGTATCTCATAATTTTTGAATGAGTGTTGGACCTTGCAACAGAAAAATAGTAGAGGCTAAGTCAAATAGTATTTGTTGAGAAATCAGCATATGTCTCTCTCTCAGACTTTTTGGATCGAGGGTTGCATCAGTCTAGTTATTAACTGAATTCATTTTGGGTTTTGTTATTGCCATAGTCACTGTTAACTACAAATTCCTTCAATAGTGATATGCTGTTACCCATGCTTTGTGTAATGTGAGGTTTTGAGAGGATTTTTTCACAGTTTCTCTGCTCAGCCCTCAGGTTTAGAGGTCTCTTCTTTGCTGTGTCATGGCATGGGGTTATCTCTCTTCAGGCTCTGTAGTAGACTGCTGCTATTTATTATTTAATCCTGGGATTGTGGTGGGTGTCATAGTTCTTGATTTTTTTGTCCAGCTTCATTTTCTGGCAGATTCTGTGAGCCTGGATGTCAGAGGTGGATCTTTCTGTTTTTGCTGTCTTCTCTGTGGTAACCAAATTTTATCTTGGATTTTTGGGCAGTTTGGGCATGAGAGAGTTTCCTGTACATTTCCCAGCATTTGCAGACCTCTGCTTTATACTGGTGTAGTGTCTTACTCTCAAGTAGGTTTTCTATCTTTTTTTTTCCCCAGGAGCATATAGCTTTTGCTTTCAATCCTCTTCAGAAGCAATGAAGCTTTACTGAGCTCTTAGGACCAGAGAATTTCCTGCCTTTGCCCCAACGGCATATAGGATTTGTTTCTACCCTTCCCCCGGTGGCTTAAATTTTTTGTTTTGTATTGGAGAATGGCCTAGAGAAGTGGCAAGGTTCTGTGCTTATCCCTCAGTGCAGCCATTAACCAGCTGCATTCCTGCACCAAGTTGGGCTCTCTCTGGTCTGCAGCTGTAGCCCCAGTTGTCCTTCTGAGAATCCAGGGCAGGACAATGGAAAAGAGCTGCTGTCTGGAGCTCCCAGTTTTTCTAAACTATCATGCTAGCTCATACTCAGGCTTTAAGAATTTAACATTTCATCTACTTTCTTCTTACTTACATTCATGGCAGTCATCTCTGCTATCCCTGCCCTGCCAAAGCTGTTAACATTTTTGTGAGTCCTATCTCTCCCAGAAGGATTTATCACTCACTAGAATTCATTTTGCTTGTTTACCTTGTAATCTCAGGTCTCTAAAGGGTTCAAGAAAAGTTGCAATTGTCTTTTTCAGATTGGCTGTTTGTCATTGTTATGTTTCCAGATTCTAAGGAAAAGTGGAATACTCTCTTCACCTCTTTTTTATATGCCATTCTTGCATCTTGATTTTCTTCATTCAGATATCTTAGAGTTTTTCTTAATATCTTGGAGTTTGTTGAAGTCAAGACATGACTACTCTTTTTTGTATTTGATCATTATATTCATCAAAGTAGTACTCATACTCAAAATAATACATATATAAAAAGGCAGAATTTATACAAGATTAATAGTATAAAAACTCAAGGTTTATAATTTAAAATACCAAAATATCCTGTTCTCCTTCCCTGCCACTGGCCATTTCTGCTTCCCCTTTGCCAGAGGCAACCACTTTACCACCTATTGTAACTATTTATTTTATTACTTACCACTATGGGTAGTTTGTGCTATCTCTTGGTTTCTCATGTTTAAATATTATGAGAAGTAATATAAAAGTAAAAAAATTAAATGTACTTTCTGCTATGGAAAATGAGGGTTTAACTCTGGTACATACTCCACACATACACTTTTCTACATCTTTCTGTCCCCAAAGTCTTTACCAGTCAAGCACATCATGCAGTTTTTTTCGTTCCTTTCCCAACGTACACCCTACCCAACCCTTAGAGCTCTTTATCCTCCTCTTGTATTGCAGATTGATCGATATGCCTGCTGCAGAGCTGCTGTTAAGGTTCTTCTCTTCACCATTATCCTGAAAATTTCTCTGGCCTCTGTCCTTTGTTGAGTTGACTATTTTCTGGACAGTTTCCCTTGTTCTTGGTTTACTTTCTTGTTTTAATGGAGTACATACTTTAGGGCCTTCCCTGTGAAGGATACATGGGAAGTAAACTTTTTTTTTGAGATCTTGTGGTCTGAAATTTTTTTATATTTGCCACACACTTGATAGTTTTTTTCTAAGCTGTAATTCTAAATTGGAAGTAAATTTTCACGGAGTTGGGAAGGCATCGCACCCTTGTCTTGTACCTCCCAGCATTGCTGTTAAAATTTCAACACCTGATTCTTCAGCCTGTATATGAAACTTTTACCCTTCTCTTCCCTCTCGATGCTTTTCTATTTTCTCAGGGGTTCTGAGATATGTGTATTTTATATGTGTATTTGATAAATTGTGTTGGACATTTGAGTTTTAATCTAGAAATTCATATACTTTAAACTGAGAAATTTCTTATTTCTTTAATAATTTCTTTACTTTTATTTTTGCTGTTATTTATTTCTGAGATGCCAATCTTATGGATGGTCTTGTGGTTTTTCTTTTCTCCCCCTCTTTCTGTTTTTGTTGTTGTTCTGTTTTCTAGGAAGATTTCCTCAAGTTTGTTTTCTAGTCCCTCTCTGACATTTTCACATCAGCTATTTTATTTTTGATTTCCCAGAGTTCTTCCTCATTCTCAGAATATTCCTTTTAAGCCTTCCTATTCTTGTTTAATGGGTGTAGTCTTTCTCTTATGTGCCTGAGGATTTTTTTTTTTTTTTTTTTTTGCATTTTTTTTCTTCTGTTCTCCTCATTATCTTTCTGTTCCTGTGGTTTGGAACCCTGGATGTGTCTTCTGAGGGGCAAATGAGAAAAGAGTCTTGGAATCTTATTTTTCAGTATGAAACCTTGGAACTCCCATCTCCTTATTTGCAGGGTGACACATGGATTTCACCCTCAACTATGCCTGGTATCCAGAGCCTCTCTGTTTTAGCCTCTCCCAACAGGAAACCCCTATTAGGAAGGGGTAGGCACCTGACTGCATGGGGTCAAAGAGTTGATAGGGAGATTTCATAATACCTTGAAAAGACTTCCAGACAAATCTTTCTGTTTCAGCCCCTTCCAGGATTCATCTTTAAATGTACCAGGTGTACTCCTAATTCTGGAGGCTTTCTAGGGTTCTGGGTGACACATCACCTTACTGTGAGCTCTTTGTTGGCTTCTTCCTCTGCAGGTTAGGTTTCAGTTACTCACATCTGCTAAGCTAGCTACAACTTCTTCATCTGCTTTCCACTTTCCAGACTTTGACTTACCTCCTGCTGTTGCCTCCTATATTTGTTTGCTATAAAGAACTGCTAGAGATTGGGTAATTTATAAAGGAAGAGGTTTAATTGACTCACAGTTCTGCAGGGCTGGCTGGGGAGGCCTCAGGAAACTTAAAATTGTGCCAAAAGGCACCTCTTTATAGGGCAGCAGGAAAGAGAAATGAATACCGAGTAAAAGGGGAAACCCCTTATAAAGCCATCAGATCTTGTCAGACTCATTCACCATCAAGAGAGCAACATGAGGGAACCACCCACTTGATTCAGTTATCTCTACCTGGTTCCACCCTTGAGACGTGGGGATTATTACAATTAAAGGTGAGATTTTGGTGGGGACACAGAGCCAAACCATATCATCTCCTTTTATATTTCTCGTTTGTGTCTGAGGGGTACAGTAGAAGAAATACAGAAAGTAAGGATTGGGAGATGAACTGTACTTTGTGCTTGCTGGGTTTCTCCTTTTCAAGAGAGAAGTTCTCGTAGTAATTACTTTGACCTCATCTCTCCTGACCTCTTCCCCTTACTCTTCAAACAATGATCTTTAAAAGAAAGAAATTTTGAAGTTAGGCATAGCTCTCAGATGAAAATCATATGTTACCTACTGGATAAATTGTATAATATATACATGTTTTGAGACGGAGTTTCACTCTCGTTGTCCAGGCTGGTGTGCAATGGCACGATCTCAGCTCACTGCAACCTCCGCCTCCCGGGTTCAAGCGATTCTCCTGCCTCAGCCTCCTGAGTATCTGGGATTACCGGCATGGGCCACCATGCCTGGCTAATTTTGTAGTTTTAGTAGAGACGGGGTTTCTCCATGTTGGTCAGGCTGGTCTTGAACTCCCGACCTCAGGTGAGCCGCTCGCCTCGGCCTCCCAAAGTGCTGGGATTACAGGCTTGAGCCACCACATCCAGCCAATTGTATAGTATTGAGGTAACATAAGGTAAGAATAGAAGAAATTAGTTTAGTCAAATAAAACAGATTTTATTAATTCCACTTATTAAAAATGAAAAACTTGTTTAGAAAGACTAGAATCCTGTGGCTAATTGTAGAACTGCTCCAGGATTCTGGAAACGTAATTATTTCTCTAAGAACCTAAACAGTTGTCAGCACTTTGATAAGTACAGGCTATGTTTTGGAGGTATGAATAAAATTAAAAGTATGGTAGGAATGTAAAAGAAAAATTGAACATACTTTGTTTCTTTCTGTTCACCAGGTTTTCATGTGAATAATTATTTTAGCTGCTTTTCAAAATCTTTTAAATTTCTTTCATCCCTTGGAACTGGTCTACTTCTGTTTTCTCTCATTTGTTTTTGCAGTAGTCCTTTCCATCCTGGCCGTACCTTTAGAGCATTCTTCTTAATAGTTCCAAACTCTGTTCTTCATCTCACTGTTTTTCTTTTCATTCTTAGATGGCACAGTTTTACTTAATCTGTAACTTTTTTGCTCATTCCTTTCTTTAGCTTCTTTTTTCTCTCCTGATAATGGCAGTACAAAGGTAGCATGATTACTCTCCTCTAGTTAGAAGATGTAGTTTGATGTCCTGGCACCTGTGCATATTATCTGTGTGACCTTAGAGTAATTACAGGAACTCTAACCCTGTTTGCTTGTCTGTAAAATTGAATGTTAATATCACTTATCTTACCAAATTTTTGTGAGGATGAAAATGAGATAATCCATATTTATGCAAAACACTTAGCGCATTAGCAACCCCACTTTTAAATCTTCAGTGTTAGCTATTAGCTATTACTACTATCAGTCTATTTTATTACATAGTAATTTCTCTCTTGTGAAGGATGCCTGTGTTAGCATTTTGCAGTCAAAGGTTATAGCAGCAATCTCTCAGGATGGTAAATGTTGATGAAGACAGGAATTTGTGTTTTAAAGAGATAAAAGAGCTAATTAGAGAGAGAAAGAGATGCTCCCTAGTTCATATGAAGCTGCTGGTTGTTTCTAACATACTGTCAACTTACTCTTCAGGATTCTTTATTTTCAGTTTTGCTTCTGCTGTCTGCCACTATATATTTCCTTGTCACCCTAAGATGTATGATTAAAAAGGAATGAATTCAATAAGAACAACTTTTTTTTAAAAATGAACATGGGTAAACTATTTGCAGCAATTGTATTTTGTGTTTATATCTAGGCTTAATTATCTATTTGACCTTTGACCGTTAACATAAATATAAAATGCTGATCATCATAAGAGATAAGTTACCAGCTGTACAGAAAGATAATATAACTAAAGTCACTTATTAATTTGATTTGAATACTTACTACTTCAAAGCATCTACATTTCAGAATGTATTTTATACCAAACACTAATCATTTGGCAAAAGTCAGAATATTACATGTTTTGCTTAAAGTTAGGACTTAGTTTGCTTAAAGTTAGGACTTAAAGTTAGGACTTAGTTTTCAATTTTTTTGTATATGTCATTTTTTTATTTTTTTATTTTTTTTATATTTGTATTTTTTGTATATGTCATTATAGCAGTATTTGGTGACCCTTACCATAGGACTTTTCTAGATGGACATAGTAACATTTTTGTCTACAGAAATGTTTGATTGTTAGGTTGTTAATTTGACCTCGGGAATCATACAAAAGCTCTTTTGGTCACTTAAGCATTTGTGGTGATGATTATTATTTACTATTTTAATAAGATTTACTTTTTGGCCAGGCTTAGTGGCTCACACTTATAATCCCAGCACTTTGGGAGGCCAAAGTGGGTGGATCATTTGAGGTCAGTAGTTTGAGACCAGCCTGGCTAACATGGCGAAACCCCATCTCTACTAAAAATACAAAAATTAGCCGGGCGTGGTGGCAGGCACTTCTAATCCCAGCTACTCGGGAGGCTGAGGCAGGAGAATCCTTGAATCTAGGAGGTGGAGGTTGCGATGAGCTGAGACCAAGCCATTACATTCCAGCCTGGGCGACAGAATGAGACTCTGTCTCAAAAAAAAAAAAAAAGATTTATTTTTTTCACCACCTAGCTAGAGCTTACATTCTAATAATACATATATTGAATATTGGCTTTATGCCTTGAATTATAAATTTACATGATCAGACAAAAGTAGAAGGACATAAGTAGATTTAGGTGCAGAAAAGGAATAAATGATACCCTTCATGTTAGTTTCTTTTGTAGCCATCATCCCAGGGTCAAAGATAGAGATAATATGCAGAATAACCATGTGAGAGGACTTTGCCTTTGCTTAATTGGTCACCTTTTTTTTTTTCTTTTTGAATAAGCTTGTTTCTCTGGATTTGAACGATTGATTTAATCTTTCAGACAGGGGAAAACAAAGGATGGAGTGGTCCAAAGCCTGGGTTTCCTGAACCAACAAATAATAGTAAGTTCTCATTTTTATGTTGTCTGCACTTGGTGTTCATCAGTGGCTCAGTGACTAGCTGTCACTGGGATTGGTTGGGTCTGTCTGGGTCTGAGAGGCTGTGTTAAGTATTTTGGAGGGTACAAAGGAGTCCTGGTGTTTGCTTTCCTGGAACTGACAGAATAGCTGGAAAACTAAGACACAGATACACTTAACACAGTTAAGCCATTGCAGACAGACTGCCATTTAATACATGTAGTGATCACATGCTTTTTTAAAGTTGCCATTTTTATTGAAACAACATTATAAAAAATATAAAAATATAAAAAATAATTTAAATAATATAAAAATAATTTTTATAATAAAAATAAAGAAGTAATTATCTATAAGCTGATTATACTGTCAAATCAACTTTCAAAGTTCCAATTATTTTTTATGCACACAAATTTTTATATAATTATGATATACATAAAATTTTATTGTTTTCACTTAACATTGCCTAAGCATTTTTTGCGTTTTGCTGAGTCATTAGAATTTTAATATTTTATTAAAGTCACTAAGTGAAATGTCAGAAGTGTAAGAATAAAATTGCTGCTTTGTTCCACTTACAGTATTGTCAAACACTTAAAAAACAATTTCAGTTTACTAATTTTTTTCAAATGTATATGATCAAGATATTTTACATTGGACGTTTAGACATTTTTCCTTAATACTCTCCCTCACTTCCTGAAAAGTATCTATTTCACTGAAGTTAACATTTTACTGTAAATCAGTGAATCAAAACATTTGGCTAGTAAAAACACCCAGTCTATCCCATTTCCAACCCTATCTATCTTCTTTACAACCTCTGGGCACTGAAAAAGCTTAAATCTGTAAATTATCGTAATCCATGGTTTTAGTCTTTGATATTAGTGGCTCGTCTCTTGATGTATAATGAAATTAGTAACAAATTCTTATCAAAGTATGCTCATAAGAATTGAATTCTTGGATTATCAAAACTAGCCTCTTGAAAAGAATTATTTCAGTGAGGTAATGGCATTTTGGGGCTGCTTTCTGGGAATAATTTAAATTAATGTGCTTCTGAGCCCTTGGCCTGTATAAATAGGGGTGATGAATATGATGGCCTTAGCACATAGCCCAAGGAAAAAATGGAATCAGTTCAGGATTCCTAGAGTTTGTGTTCAGTTCCTTTGATGTTTGAATATATTGGTTTATAATGATTTGGTGAGGGAATGTAATAAACATGAAATTGATTGCAGTTTTATGTAAAGTACTTAGCACAGTACCTGTTTCCTAGTAAGCACGTAATGAATGTTGATTTCCTTCCATGCCTCCTCCCTCTTGTCTTTTATAAAAATGATACTATTCTATGTAGGCGTGCCAGAAATTCCATTCTTATACTTTTGTCTGTCAGATGGTTTGTGCATACATATGGTGACCAAGAATATATAGCTTATTATTGAATAGTTACATTCAGGCACTAAACTTTTTTTTCAAAGAATATAAACTTTATGTATTTTAATATAAAGATCAAATAGTTATTAACTTGACAATTTTAACGTGAAATCACTTTATAGATAACCTGCAGGCTCCATCATTAAACAATGATGTTTTGGCCCCTAGCTTTATGTGTTTGTTTTTTTTTAACTTGCTAAGGGATACATCTCATGGGATGACAAGTGGGGGATACTTCTGTCCTGTGCAGACATGGGAAGGAATATCACAAAGAGGCCAGTGAGTTTAAGTGATCAGAAATGTGTAAGAATGCATAACGGGTTTGCTTGAGACATAAAGTTAGAAGTGAGAAAACTATTTGAAGCCAGCTTAAATCTTAACCAGACGGTTAATGCTTTAGGAATTCATGGTCTACAATGGTTCAGATTAAGGCTTTGAAATAAGAATGTTCTGTTATCTCTTCCCAGCTGTAAGGAGGTGAGAAAGCTGCTCTAAGAGTTCTTTGAATGAACACTGGATTGTCCCTTCCTTGGATTACGATAGAGGATAAGGGCAGCCCAGCTCTGAAAAGTAGCTGTTTCATTCCCCAAGGGTTAGTTCTCACAAGTGAAACCTGAGTCCCCTTGAGCCAGCTCATTGGCACTTAAATACAACATTAGGAAGAAGTTGGACTGTGCTTAGGAATTGATCATTCAGATGATGGACCAATTAGCTGAAAATTAATTTAAATTCATATATTATGGTAATATTTAGGTTAACTTCTTAATCAGTTTCTTAAGTTTGAAATTCTATTCTAAAT
Organism: Homo sapiens; assembly: GCF_000001405.40. Classification (NCBI taxonomy): domain Eukaryota; kingdom Metazoa; phylum Chordata; class Mammalia; order Primates; family Hominidae; genus Homo; species Homo sapiens. Next base: position 73,580,536 of record NC_000008.11, on the reverse strand, counting down.
GGTTTCTGTCCTGTGAAGAATACCAGAGTTAGCATTTTGCAGGCAAAGGTTAGAGCAGGGATCTTGTGGGATGGCACATGTGGGGGAAGACAGGAATTTGAGATTGCCAGTGCTGGCTGCCTCACTGACATACTGTCTGACCTTGAACAACTCAATTTACATCTTATTATTCAATTTTCTCTGTTAAGAGTTATGCATACTAATTTATAATGTTGAGAATCTTTAATTATGTAACATTTATAAAATGATTACCCATCCTTGAATAACATCTGAAAAGGTAACATATTACTTTGTGAAAAACACTGTCATCATGAAATGGCTAACTCACTATGGTTTTTTGTTTGTTATGTTTTGTTAAACTCTACATTGCTTCAAAATTGTAGTTTTAAAGATCAAATTTTTAGCCACCCATTATTTGGATAAATAATACGAAATTAGCTTGGAACCATAATGTACAAAAATGAAAAGGGAATGTAGAATTGGAAAGGGGAAAGAGGGGAATTTTAATCTGGCATAGCACCTAACTATAAGTAGACAAAAAACATTAATGTACATGTGCATTTAATTTTTTAAGTGGAAGATATTTTTTAAAAGATTACAGTCATAGGAAACTGCTAACAATTACAACTAGAAAATAGTTTAAATGGTTTTGCAAGTGATTGTGATTACATAGCCTGGTTCCTCAATTTATTTTCCTTGCTTGATTGCCTGCAGATTTAAAATATGGACCTAGTTTTTGGGTGCTGCTCAGGCTTTCTTCATTGTACTGAAATGCAGCAGAAGGTAGACTATTCTAAGTGTGTTTTTATCCTTTGAATCACTGTAATAGTTATGTTGAAGAATAAAAACACATAACTCTGTAATGTGAGGTTTATGTTAAGTTTAGCATAGGGCAATTTTATGCTTGGTGTACACATAAAAAACTAGATTTTTACAGATGAATGAATAACTTTTTTAAAAAAAGATCATGAATTTTAAAGATCTACTGACAGCTCACGGCTCTTGGAAAACTTTGTAAAATATTTAGATACAGTTCAGCTGATAACATCTCTTTTTGTATTCACATTCCATGTTTCTTATTAATACAGGCTTTTACTTAAAAGCAGGTTCATAGTTTCTTGAAGGTGAACTGTAGCTTAATTCAAGATTGGACTAAGCTCAAAGGTATTCACTGGTATGTGCCAAATCCACCCACTAAAAGATTATTCGGAGGCATTTTTCACATAAATATTTTTCCGTTAACCTTTTAAAAAGTTTTATTTAGCCCCTGTGAAATATGCTGGCACTTGTAGGTTCATTAGAGATGACCAAAGACAAATACTTGTGGAATGAGATAGCATTCTTATTGACCTCTTTAGGATCTTAGTTGACTTACCAATATTTTTGTCACTTTTGTTTCATATGCATGTATTATTAAACACTGAACATCCTGAAACCAGGAGGCTACACTGTCCCAGTGATATGACATTGGGTAGATTGCCTGCTGGTTTCCCAAATGCTATGTACTATATTTAGAACCTCTAGTGTTTTTTTGGTTTTTTTGGGGGGGTGGGTAGGGGTGGGAGATAGAAGGGAGGTATATAAGTGTTGGACTTTTAAGGTGACAGATTAATATATACTTTCTTTAATAGTGTTTTGAGAGAGCTCCCTGAACAAATTCCCTTTGGGGTTCCCATAGTAGAAACCACTTTGTAGTGAGACAGTTAAAACAGTTGGAGCCAATTGGATGTAAATATAAAGCTGAGTGATCCAACTTAATTATTTCTTTAGACATAAATACTGTGTTAGAAATGTAAGAATGTAGCCAGCTTTTAGTGATCTTATTTAGAAGGATTGGTGGGTTACTTGTACTGGGCAGCCCAGTCCCTGAATATCTGGTTGTTTTCAAACAAAGGTCCCGTAAATAGAGGGCTATCTGAAGCAATTGGGAGCAATGGGAACATACATATTCTCATTGCTGTCCATTTGAGCCTGCAGGTAGAATTGCTGCTTCTCCTCTGAACACAGGAGGAAAGATCCAAATATTTCAGAATGATATCATCCTTCTTTTACATTGATGACTGTATATTAGACCTACCTGAGTGGTGAGAAGCTATAGTCTTTAAAAAATTACATTGACAAGAATTCTCCTTTCTTGCCTACTGAAGCTAGGAAGGAAGATTAGAGGTAATGTTAAGCTTGCCTCTGTTTTAGTCATACCAGTTGAGTCTGTCTCTGAAGATCCATTGATTTAAAGGAAAAAGAATCTGAAATTAGAGAGTAAGTTTTTAATCAGATTAGCACAGATAACATGTTTTTCTGCAATATTCTCCGGAAAGATTTAATGAATTTAAATTGTGATTTTAAAAACTCGCTTGGCTCATTTTTACATGTAAAAAGATATCAGATACATTTTTTTTAAAAATGGAAATAATATGAGCATTTTTAGGATGCATTTATTCATTGCAGTATGATAGTTTTTCTAAGCATAAGAGCAACGGATGAAACCATAAAGTAAAAAAGATGGATTTATATACGTAAATGCTAAAAACAAGTTCAAGGAGCCGCATAAGAAAATAAAAAGGCAAATGACAGTATAAATTGCAGCATAGCAACAAATTGAATATATGCAAAGGACACATAAAAGTCAATTTTTTAAAAAAAGGCAAACACCCCAATGGCCAAAGGTCTTAAGAAGACATTTAAAAAGAGCAGATAAGAAATCATGAAAAAATGTTTAGCAATCAGGAAAATGGGGATTAAAAATAAATGTTATGAAATTTCTGATCCACGCAAATTGTCAGGGATTTAAAAATGATACTTCCAACTGTTGGGGAAACAGACTGTCACATGCTGCTGATGGGACTCTGACTTATTGTCATTCTGAAGGGAATTAGCCATAAGTATACAGAGCTTAGGCCCATTTCTTTGTAGGGCTTGGCTAAAACATACGGAAAAATAGATTAGTTTTCCATAATGAACATATACTGGTTTTATAATCAGAAAAAAATGAATATTTAAAACACTTACATTTACAAACTTTGGCCTGAAATACACAATCTGACTGCATTTAAACATAAATATTATATATATGTGTGTGTATATATATATATATAATTTTTTTTTTTTTTGAGATGGAGTCTTGCTCTGTCGCCCAGGCTGGAGTGCAGTGGCGCAATCTTGGCTCACTGCAAGCTTCGCCTCCCGGGTTCATGCCCTCTCCTGCCTCAGCCTTCCCAGTAGCTGGGACTATAGGCGCCTGCCACCACGCCCGGCTAATTTTTTGTATTTTTAGTAGAGACGGGGTTTCATTGTGTTAGCCAGGATGGTCTCGATCTCCTGACCTTGTGATCTGCCCACCTTGGCCTCCCAAAGTGCTGGGATTACAGGCGTGAGCCAGTGTACCCGGCCATAAATATTATATTTAAACAGCTAGGGAAGCAGAATTATCTGTATACTGAAGTCTTGAGGAAACTTTTCTGAAGGTAAAGAAGAAGAAACAGTTTTCTAGAGTCTGAATGAAATTTCAATTTCTGAAATGTATGCTGAAATTTAGAATATGTACTGTGTATTCTAAGAGGTCTATGGGGATCAAAAGGTGTTTAAAATTAGTCTTTTCAAAATTAGGAGCAGACTGTAATGATAACACAGATAAATATCTTGCAGAAATTCAAAGTTGAAGTATTAAGAACTACTTAATTGCTTTTCTCTGTTAGCAAAGAAACTTTACAGTAAGCATAAGGAGAAAATAAAGGTAATGCTCCTAATTACTCATTCAGTTTGTCTAGAAAGATGGAGTTTTATAAAATCTTAAAGTGTATTACAATTTGTGAAGAAACATTAACTGCTATTATTTTTAAAGAAAAATAGGCAATATTTGATGCATAACGTATTTAACACTTATATAACTTATGAAGCAAGATAATGAACACCCATGAACCCACCGCCCAATTTAAGAACTAGACATTACCAATATATTTACCTTCACCTTTGTTCTCCTCTTTCATATCCCCCATTGGCTATGCCTCCCCCAGCAGAAGTAGCCACTATCTCTGAATTTTATATGTAGTCGCCCCACCCTTTATTCCTCATAATTTCATCAAATAAATGAGTCCTTATCAGTACTTATTTAATTTTGCTTTTTTTTTTAAACTTTAGAAAAATAGCGTCGTATGGTATATTGCCCTCTGGAATTCTGCCCTCTCCCGCCCCCCACTTAAGATTGCAATTTAAGATTATTTTGTTTTGTTACATAAAGTATTTCATCCACTATGTGAATATCCCATAATGATTTATCCATTCATCTGTTGGTCCACAGTTGGGATATTTTCAGGATTTTGTGATTATAAACAATATTATTATGAACATTTTTGAACATTTCTATGGGTGCACATGTATAAGAGTTTCTGGGAGTGGAATATAATATGTGTAAGTTCAAATTTACAAGAAATACCAGTTGTTTCATAGTGGGAGGGCCCTTCAAAGTATCTAATTTTCCATGCTGTAACAAGTAGAAATCTTTTATCGTTTTTTACCTTCAATTTCATTTTTGATGATGAATTTAGTTGAAGTTTAGTTCAAATTCCACTATTTCATTAATTTTATTTTTCATTTTCTATTTTTACTGGGGTTTTTAAATGGGGAAAAATTAAAAATGCAAAACAGCTCTCCGTATTTTTTGTCCTCATTAGTGCAGTGGCCACCCTGACCTTCAAGCAGGTAACTTGTGGTTTTTTGTGTGTGTATTGTCCCAGAATTTATATATATGATTTATATACATATGTATAAATGTATATACATTTTATACACACATATATACACACACAAATTCAAATATATATTATTCAATCCCCTAGCCTTTTGAACATGCTGTTCTACCCATTTTATTTTAGCTTAACAGTATGTCCTGAAGATCCTTTCCTATTGATATGTATAGGGATTTATTATTATTTAATCAATTTTTCACAGATGGATATTTAGATTGTTTATAGTATTTTCCTATTATCTGCCATGTAAAAACCTCATACATAAGTAATTTTACGTATGTGGTAGCATATTTGTTGGAGAAATTCCTACAAATGGAATTACTCCATTACAGAGTATGTATCCTTTTAATTTTGATGGATGTTGCCAGAGTACTGTCAATAGACAGCAGTTTACGTCTCTACCATCAGTGTAGGAGATTTCCTGTTTCCCTACAGCTTCAGGAACACAGTGTGCTATCAAAGTTTTGAATCTTTGCCAATTTGATAGTTGAAATATGGTATTCAGTATAGTTTTATTTTGCATTTCTCTTATTAAGAATGAGACTATGTATTTGGTAGATCTATGAGCCATTTCTATACTTTTTCTGTGAATGACATAACCATATCTGATGTCCCTTTGGACATTAGATTGGTTAGTCTTTTTCTCTCTTTTTTTTTTTTTTTACTTGGTAGGACTGTGTGCATCTGTGTGCCTTTATGACATGAAAATTCTTCTCTGTTTTCTTTTAAAGTTTGGTTTTTCTTTTTAATATATTTGAATGACATTTTAAAATAGTCTTTTCTTTTATAGCATGTGTAAGTTGGGTATAATAAATAATACCTTTCCGACTCTGAAATTAAAAACATTTCTTTATTTTTATTTTATTTTATTTATTTATTTATTTTATTATACTTTAAGTTCTAGGGTACATGTGCACAATGTGCAGGTTTGTTACATATGTATACATGTGCCATGTTGGTGTGCTGTACCCATTAACTCGTCATTTACATTAGGTATATCTCCTAATGCTATCCCTCCCTCAGCCCCCTACCCCATGACAGGCCCCAGTGTGTGATGTTCCTCACCCTGTGTCCAAGTATTCTCATTGTTCAGTTCCCACCTATGAGTGAGAACATGCAGTGTTTGGTTTTCTGTCCTTGCGATAGTTTGCTCAGAATGATGGTTTCCAGCTTTATCCATGTCCCTACAAAGGACATGAAGTCATCCTTTTTTTATGACTGCATAGTATTCCATGGTGTATATGTGCCACATTTTCTTAATCCAGTCTATCATTGATGGACTTTTGGGTTGGTTCCAAGTCTTTGCTATTGTGAATAGTGCTGCAATAAGCATACATGTGCATGTGTCTTTATAGCAGCATGATTTATAATCCTTTGGGTATATACCCAGTAATGGGATGGCTGGGTCAAATGGTATTTCTAGTTCTAGACTCTTGACGAGTGGCCACACTGTCTTGCACAATGGTTGAACTAGTTTACAGTCCCACCTACAGTGTAAAAGTGTTCCTGTTTCTCCACATCCTCTCCAGCACCTGTTGTTTCCTGACTTTTTAATTATCGCCATTCTAACTGGTATGAGATGGTATCTCATTGTGGTTTTGATTTGCATTTCTCTGATGGCCAGTGATGATGAGCATTTTTTCATGTGTCTTTTGGCTGCATAAATGTCTTCTTTTGAGAAGTGTCTGTTCATATTCTTTGCCCACTTTTTGATGGGGTTGCTTGATTTTTTTCTTGTAAATTTGTTTAAGTTCTTTGTAGATTCTGGATATCAGCCCTTTGTCAGATGGGTAGATTGCAAAAATTTTCTCCTATTCTGTAGGTTGCCTGTTCACTCTGATGGTAGTTTCTTTTGCTGTGCAGAAGCTCTTTAGTTTAATTAGATCCCATTTGTCAATTTTGGCTTTTGTTGCCATTGTTTTTGGTGTTTTAGTCATGAACTCCTTGCCCATGCCTATGTCCTGAATGGTATTGCCTAGGTTTTCTTTTAGGGTTTTTGTGGTTTTAGGTCTAACATTTCAGTGTTTAATCCATCTTGAATTAATTTTTTTGTATAAGGTGTAAGGAAGGGATCCAGTTTCAGCTTTCTACATATGGCTAGCCAGTTTTCCCAGCACCATTTGTTGAATAGGGAATCCTCTCCCCATTTCTGTTTTTGGCAGGTTTGTCAAAGATCAGATGGTTATAAATGTGTGGTATTATTTCTGAGGGCTCTGTTCTGTTCCATTGGTCTATATCTCTGTTTTGGTACCAGTACGCTGCTGTTTTGGTTACTGTAGCTCGGTAGTATAGTTTGAAGTCAGGTAGCATGATGCCTCCAGCTTTGTTCTTTTGGCTTAGGATTGACTTGGCAATGCAGGCTCTTTTTTGGTTCCATATGAACTTTAACGTAGGTTTTTCCAATTCTGTGAAGAAAGTCATTGGTAGCTTGATGGGAATGGCATTGAATCTATAAATTACCTTGGGCAGTATGCCCATTTTCACGATATTGATTCTTCCTATCCATGAGCATGGAATGTCCTTCCATTTGTTTGTGTCCTCTTTTATGTTGTTGAGCACTGGTTTGTAGTTCTCCTTGAAGAGGTCCTTCACATCCCTTATAAGTTGGATTCCTAGGTATTGTATTCTCTTTGAAGCAATTGTGAATGGGAGTTCACTCATGATTTGGCTCTCTGTTTGTCTGTTACTGGTGTATAGGAATGCTTGTGATTTTTGCACATTGATTTTGTATCCTGAGACATTGCTGAAGTTGCTTATCAGCTTAAGGGGATTTTGGGCTGAGACAATGAGGTTTTCTAAATATACAATCATGTCATCTGCAAACAGGGACAATTTGACTTCCTCTTTTCCTAATGAAATACCCTTTCTTTCTTTCTCTCTCCTGCCTGATTGCCATGGCCAGGACTTCCAACACTATGTTGAATAGGAGTGGTGAGAGAGGGCATCCCTGTCTTGAGCCAGTTTTCAAAGGGAATGCTTCCAGTTTTTGCCCATTCAGTATGATATTGGCTGTGGGTTTGTCATAAATAGCTCTTATTATTTTGAGATACATCCCATCAATACCTAGTTTTTTCAGAGTTTTTAGCATGAAGGGCTGTTGAATTTTGTCAAAGGCCTTTTCTGCATCTATTGAGATAATCGTGGTTTTCGTCTTTGGTTCTCTTTATATGCTGGATTACATTTATTGATTTGCATTTGTTGAACCAGCCTTGCATCCCAGGGATGAAGCCAACTTGATCGTGGTGGATAAGCTTTTTGATGTGTTGCTGGATTCGGTTTGCCAGTATTTTATTGAGGATTTTTGCATCAATGTTCAGTAGGGATACTGGTCTAAAATTCTCTTTTTTTGTTGTATCTCTGCCAGGCTTTGGTATCAGGATGATGTTGGCCTCAAAAAATGAGTTAGGGAGGATTCCCTCTTTTTCCATTGATTGGAATAGTTTCAGAAGGAATGGTATCAGCTTCTCTTTGTACCTCTGGTAGAATTCAGCTGTGAATCCATCTGGTCCTGGAATTTTTTTGATTGGTAGCTGTTAATTATTGCCTCAATTTCAGAGCCTGTTATTGGTCTATTCAGGGATTCAAGTTCTTCCTGGTTTAGTCTTAGGAGGGTGTATGTGTCCAGAAATCTATCCATTTCTTCTAGATTTTCTAGTTTATTTGCGTAGAGGTGTTTATAGTATTCTCTGATGGTAGTTTGTATTTCTGTGGGATGGGTGGTGATATCCCCTTTATCATTTTTTATTGCGTCTATTTGATTCTTCTGTCTTTTCATCTTTATTAGTCTTGCTAGCGGTCTATCAATTTTGTTGATCTTTTCAAAAAACCGCTTCCTGGATTCATTGATTTTTTTTGAAGGGTTTTTTGTGTCTCTATCTCCCTTAGTTCTGCTCTGATCTTAGTTATTTCTTGCCTTCTGCTAGCTTTTGAATGTGTTTGCTCTTGCTTCTCTAGTTCTTTTAATTGTGATGTTAGGGTGTCAATTTTAGATCTTTCCTGCTTTCTCTTGTGGGCATTTAGTGCTATAAATTTCCCTCTATACACTGCTTTAAATATGTCCCAGAGATTCTGGTATGTTGTGTCTTTGTTCTCATTGGTTTCAAAGAACATCTTTATTTCTGCCTTCATTTCGTTATGTACCCAGTAGTCATTCAGCAGCAGGTTGTTCAGTTTCCATGTAGTTGTGTGGTTTTGAGTGAGTTTCTTAATCCTGAGTTCTAGTTTGATTGCACTGTGGTCTGAGAGACAGTTTGTTATAATTTCTGTTCTTTTACATTTGCTGAGGAGTGCTTTACTTCCAACTCTGTGATCAATTTTGGAATAAGTGCGATGTGGTGCTGAGAAGAATGTATATTCTGTTGATTTGGGGTGGAGAGTTCTGTAGATGTCTATTAGGTCCACTTGGTGCAGAGCTGAATTCAATTCCTGGATTTCCGTGTTAACTTTCTGTCTCGTTGATCTGTCTAATGTTGACAGTGGGGTGTTTAAAGTCTCCCATTATTATTGTGTGGGAGTCTAAGTCTCTTTGTAGGTCTCTAAGGTCTTGCTTTATGAATCTGGGTGCTCCTGTATTGGGTGCATATATATTTAGGATAGTTAGCTCTTCTTGTTGAATTGATCCCTTTACCATTATGTAATGGCCTTCTTTGTCTCTTTTGATCTTTGTTGGTTTAAAGTCTGTTTTGTCAGAGACTAGGATTGCAACCCCTGCTTTTTTTTGTTTCCCATTTGCTTGGTAGATCTTCCTCCATCCCTTTATTTTGAGCCTATGTGTGTCTCTGCATGTGAGATGGGTCTCCTGAATACAGCACACTGATGGGTCTTGACTCTTTATCCAAACTGCCAGTCTGTCTTTTAATTGGAGCATTTAGCCCATTTACTAAAATCTCTCAGCATTTGCTTGTCTGTAAAGGATTTTATTTCTCCTTCACTTATGAAGCTTAGTTTGGCTAGATATGAAATTCTGGGTTGAAAATTCTTTTCTTTAAGAATGGTGAATATTGGCCCCCACTCTCTTCTGGCTTGTAGAGTTTCTGCCGAGAGATCCGCTGTTAGTCTGATGGGCTTCCCTTTATGGGTAACATGACCTTTCTCTCTGGCTGCCCTTAAAATTTTTTCCTTCATTTCAGCTTTGGTGAATCTGACAATTACGTGTCTTGGGGTTGCTCTTCTTGAGGAGCATCTTTGTGGCGTTCTCTGTATTTCCTGAATTTGAATGTTGGCCTGCCTTGCTAGGTTGGGGAAGTTCTCTGGGATAATATACTGCAGAGTGTTTTCCAACTTGGTTCCGTTCTTCCCGTCACTTTCAGGTACACCAGTCAGACGTAGATTTGGTCTATTCACATAGTCTGCTATTTCTTGGAGGCTTTCTAGATTGGGGAAGTTCTCCTGGATAATATCCTGCAGAGTGTTTTCCAACTTGGTTCCATTCCCCCCGTCACTTTCAGGTACACCAATCAGACGTAGATTTGGTCTTTTCACATAGTCCCATATTTCTTGGAGGCTTTGTTCATTTCTTTTTACTCTTTTTTTCTCTAAACTTCTCGCTTTATTTCATTAGTTTAATCTTTAATCACTGATACCCTTACTTCCACTTGATCAAATCAGTACTGAAGCTTGTGCATGCGTCACGTAGTTCTTGTGCCATGGTTTTCAGCTCCATCAGGTCATTTAAAGTCTTCTCTACACTGTTTATTCTAGTTAGCCGTTTGTCGAATCTTTTTTCAAGGTTTTTAGCTCCTTTGCAATGGGTTTGAACATCCTCCTTTAGCTTGGAGAAGTTTGTTGTTACCAATCATCTGAAGCCTTCTTCTCTCAACTTGTAGAAGTCGTTCTCCATCCAGCTTTTTTCCGTTGCTGGCGAGGAGCTGTATTCCTTTGGAGGAGAAGAGGCATTCTGATTTTTAGAATTTTCAGCTTTCCTGCTCTGGTTTCTCCCCATCTTTGTGGTTTTATCTACCTTTGGTCTTTGATGATGGTGACGTACAGATGGGGTTTTGGTGTGGATGTCCTTTCTGTTTGTTAGTTTTCCTTCCAACAGTCAGGACCCTTAGCTGCAGGTCTGTTGGAGTTTGCTGGAGGTCCACTCCAGATCCTGTTTGCCTGGGTATCACCAGTGGAGGCTGCAGAACAGCAAATATTGCAGAATGACAAATATTGCTGCCTGATCGTTCCTGTGGAAGCGTCGTCTCAGAGGGGCACCCAGCTGTATGAGGTGTCAGTCAGCCCCTACTGGAAGGTGTCTCCCAGTTAGGCTTCTCGGGGGTCAGGGACCCACTTGAGGTGGCAGTCTGTCTGTTCTCAGATCTCAGACTCCATGCTGGGAGAACCACTACTCTCTTCAAAGCTGTCAGACAGGGACGTTTAAGTCTGCAGAAGTTTCTGCTGACTTTTGTTCAGCTATGCCCTGCCCCCGGAGGTGGAGTCTACAGAGGCGGGCAGGCCTCCTTGAGCTGTGGTGGGCTCCACCCAGTTCGAGCTTCCCGGCTGCTTTGTTTACCTACTCAAGCCTCAGCAATGGCGGACGGCCCTCCCCCAGCCTCACTGCCACTTTGCAGTCTGATCTCAGACTGCTGTGCTAGCAGTGAGCGAGGCTCTGTAGGCATGGGACCCTCTGAGCCAGGCGCAGGATATAATCTCTTGGTGTGCCGTTTGCTAAGACCGTTGGAAAAGCGCAGTATTAGGGTGGCGGTGTCCTGATTTTCCAGGTACCATCTGTCACAGCTTCCCTTGTCTAGGAAAGGGAATTCCCCGACCCCTTGCGCTTCCCAGGTGAGATGATGCCCCACCCTGCTCCGTGTGCTGCACCCACTGTCCGACAAGCCCCAGTGAGATGAACCTGGTACCTCAGTTGGAATGCAGAAATCACCCGTCTTCTGCATCGCTCACACTGGGAGCTGCAGCATGGAGCTGTTCCTATCTGGCCATCTTGGAACCTCCAATCAAAACATTTCTTTTAAGTTATCTTCTGGAACTCTTATAGTTTCATTTTTTGAAATCTTGAAGTCTTGATCCATCTGTTACTTATACTGAAAGTATGGACCCAACTTTATTCCCCACTGCATTGAGAGTTCACTGTTACCATATACTAAGATTATGAATTTGGTATTATTCCAGACTTTCTGTTCTCCTCTGTTCATCTAACTATCTATGTGCCAGTTTTAATCGTTGTCTTTTTTTTTTTGAGATAGGGTCTCACTCTGTTAGCAAAATTCTGTCAGTTGTGCAGTGGCATGATCATAGCTCATTGCAGACTTGAACTCCTGGGCTCAAGGGATCCTCTTGCCTCAGCCTTTCAAGTAGCTAATTTTACAGGCACGTGGCACCACACCCAGCTTTGCCCCCACTCCCCCGACTAGAGACAAGGTCTTGTGGAGTTGCCCAGGCTTGTCTCAAACTCCTGGCCTGAAGTCATCCTGCCTTGGCTTCCCAAAGTGTTAGGATTATAGGCATGAGCCACTGCACCCAGCTTAATCATTGAGTCTTTCTTGTGTTTTAACATGAGTCAGTTTAAAGTAATGTGTGTTTTAAACAAATGTGAATAAAGATGTACTTGGTCTGTAATCTTCTTGCACGTACTACATGGAGTACAAGTAATTGAAAAGACAAAAATCTCCTTCCTTGGCAACAGAAATAAGAGATGTGAGAGTAGTCAAAGCATCAATTATGAAGCACTAAAATAAGCAACAGGGAACTAACTGTATGGTTGAAAACTATTAAGGTTCAGGAAGGCAGTGCAGATAGTTTCCCTAAAACTTCTTTGTATAATGTTAATGCATCATTCATTCTTTCATTTTTTTAGAAAGTATTTGTTTATTATAATGTACCCTTTTTGGTATTATTGATGATTTCAGTAGTTTTTAAAGATGAAATTGCTTATTGAAAGACGAGTCCATATTTAAGATAAACACCACCATCCTGCCCAACTCCCCCCTCCCCCCCAGCGAGTAAGAAAAGGTGGGATGCCTGTAATCCCAGCACTTCAGGGGCTGAGGTGGGTAGATCACTTGAGGTCAGGAGTTTGAGACCAGCCTGGCCAACACGGTGAAACTCCATCTCTGCTAAAAATACAAAAATTTGCCAGGCATGGTGTGGCACATGCCTATAATTCCAATTACTCAGGAGGCCAAGGTGGGAGAATTGCTTGAACCTGGGAGGTGGAGGTTGCAGTGAGCACAGATTGTGCCACTGCAGCCTGGACCACAGAATGAGTGAGACTTCATCTTAAAAAAAAAAAAGAGAGAGAGACAAATATTATTTGAAAAAAAAATCAATTTTTTTAATCGTTTTTTAATCGTTTTCTTGTTGCCCAGGCTGGAGTGCAGTGGTGTAATCTTGGCTCACTGCCACCTCCACCTCACGGATTCAAGTGATTCTTCTGCCTCAGCCTCCTGAGTAGCTGGGATTACAGGCATATGCCACCACACCTGGCTAATTTTGTATTTTTAGTAGAGATGGAGTTTCTCCATGTTGGTCAGGCTAGTCTCAAACTCCCAACCTGAGGTGATCTGCCCGCCTCGGCCTCCCAAGGTGCTGGGATTACAAGCGTGAACCACTGCGCCCGGCCTTTTTTTTAATCTTAAAAAGTAAATCACATAGCACAGTGTCTGGCATTGTTGGTGCTCAGTATTTGAGCAAATGCAAGAATTGCATTTTCACTTTTTTCCCCACTGTATTAATGATCTTTTGAGTAGTTTATAACATATAACAATTAGAATTCTAGGAATTTAGGTGTGATCCAGACCTGAGATTCTCAGCGTGGTATTGTTGGATTCAATATAATAATGGTTGGCATAATTAGTATTTCAGCAACCTAATGGAAGTAATACAGTTACTCTTAGTAGATTGCTTTGCTTTGGATTAGAATTTTATTTGAATTCAGACCTCAAGATGTTCTGAATCTCAGGTTGGCAGTCTTTGAAAGATGATTTATTATTACTTAATAAATGCAGTCTGTCTGAAAGACAGATCCTTTAAGCATGGTATACATAGAAGAAAAACAACATAAGGAGGCTTAAGTGTGAAAAGGTTGGAGAATGTCCAACCTCACATGTTTTACATACAGGAAAATTGAGGCTCAGTTGATTTTATAACGGGTCTAAAGACACTCTTAGTTAAAGGTAGTGAAGACTTGAACTCATGTCTTCTGACTCCAGGGTCTCTGCAGTTGCCACTAGACAGCACCTTTATTTCTAGATATATCATTTGCTGATAATTAAAGGAAAAAAAGAGAATAGTGTTTTTAAGAAATTCCATTAAAATTAAGTACGCATTTTTTTGAAAGAATGTTTTATATATCATGTACCAGAATCTTTTTTTATAAAACATTTAAGATGTTTTATTACATGGAAAATGTTCAAACTATTGTTTCAGATACCAGATTGATATTTGGGTGGATCATGTAAAAACACTAAATGGCTGAGAAACTATGTGAAATGTTTGTTTTAACTATTATTACATCAGTGACACAGCCATCTACATTACTTGATTTTTCTTAAGATTTAAAAAAACTTTAGTAATAGTCAAATTTAAAAAACACTCAACAGGCTTTTTGGGTGATGTTATTCAAGTGTGTTCTTTTATTCCAAGCTTTCTGGTTTGTGTTAAGATGATTCATAGATTATTAGGGCTGAAAGAAATGAAAAGTTCCTTAAGACTAATTCATCTTACAGATGAAGAAAGCATGATAAGGAGAATATCTGCTGCCTCAACTCAAACCCAGATAGCTGGGCTCCAGTCTGGTGCATTTACCAATGTACTATTGTTGTTTTTACTTTATTACATTTTGTGTTAATACAGAACATTAGACTTCTTTTTTTTGCTTTACCACTAAAAAAATTAAATCCAGTAAGTTCTTACTTAACATCATTGATAGGTTCTTGGAAACTACTACTTTAAGTGAAATGACATATAACGAAATCAGTTTTATCATAGGCTGATTGATATAAACAAGAGTTAAGTTCTCACAACATATTTGTGGTTAGAGAAATATCACCAGACTTCTCAATAAAGACCCAAATTGTAATATTAAACATTGAAATAAATATGAGCTTACATGTACAATTAAGAAAGTTTAATAAAAACAAGATAATTGTTTACTCAATGTGGGGTGAATAAGTGAGTGATAGCAGTCATGGTGGTGGTGGGTTAAATCAAAGTATAAATGTTTGCAAAGTGAAAATTGTAAGCAGTACTTCCTACCACCACACAATTAAAAAACAAACAATAACAAATATGGTGGGCTCACTGAACACTTTTATACTGCATTGTTTATTGTTGTGCATTTGTGTAATGTATTAGTCTGTTTTTGCAGGGCTGTAAAGAGATACCTGAGACTGAGTAATTTATAAAGAAAAGAGGTTTAATTGGATAATAGTTCTGCAGGCTGTTCAGGATTTTGCTTCTGGGAAGGCCTCAGGAAGCTTACAGTCATGGCAGATGGCAAAGGGGAAGCAAGCACATCTTCACATGGCCAGCAGGAGAGAGAGAGCAAGCAGGGGAGGTGCTACACACTTTCAAACAGGCAAATCTTGTGAACACTCTATCAGGAGAACAGCAAGGGGGAAGTCTGCCCCCATGATTCAATCACCTCCCACCAGGCCCCTCCTCCAACACTGGGACTCCAATTCCACATGAGATTTGGGTGCAGACTCAGAGCCAAACCATATTATATGATTATTGTGCATTTTACAGATTTTAATTTTACATTCATTTGTATACATTCAGTCATTCATTTTCTAACCCACTTATTCCAGTTCAGGATTGAGGTTGGTCAGAGCCTATCCTAGCAGCTTAGGGAGCAAAGGCAAGAACCAACTCTGGACAGGATGTCATTCCATTCCAGGACACATGTGCACACGCGTGTGCGCACACACACACACACGACACCCATACTGGGACAACTTAGACCTGCCAGTGAACCTAATATGCATATCTTTTAAATGTGGGATGAAACTGGAGGACCTGGAGAAAACCAGTGCAGATATGGGCAGAACATGAGAACTCCACATAAGACAGTGGCCCAGGTGGGATTTGATTTTTTTTCTCATCAATATTATAACAAAATGATGTTGAACAAAACAACATTATTTGAGGACCCACTGAGTATATTTTCTTTTTTTTTTAACTTTCATTTTTTAAGTTCAGGGGTACACATGCAGGTTTGTTATGTAGGTAAACTGTGTCATGGGGGCTTGTCATACAGATTATTTCATCATCCAGATATGAAGCCTAGTACCTGTTAGTTATTTTTCCTGATCCTCTACCTCCTTCCACCTTCCACCCTCCACCCTCCACCCTTCACCCTTCGATAGGCTCCAGTGTGTGTTATTCCCCTCTATGTGTTCATGTGGTCTCATAATGTAGCTCCTACTTGTAAGTGAGAACATGCAGTATTTAATATCTGTTCCTGTGTTAGTTTGCTAAGGAAAATGGCCTCCAGCTCCATCCATGTCCCTGCAAAGGACATGATCTCATTCTTTTTTATGGCTGCATAGTATTCCATGCTGTATGTGTACCACATTTTCAACAAATGGTGCCGGGAAAACTAAATATCCCAGGTATCCAAAATATGCTGGCTCTGTCGGCACTCCAAGTGAAGCAAGACAAAAATTAGTCCCTTGGGAAGCCCTCTGAAAACGTAAAATGTTGGATGCACATTCCACTCACCTTTACCCCAAGGGAGAAGTTGTGATCTGGAATGCTCTCTCCCGGCACTAAGCTATGTGGCACTAAGCTATGCTGACTTAGGGGGGTGGTGTGGGTAAAGTGAAATTGTTCTTACATGTTTCAGTGTGGCCATTCTTGGCTTTGTGCTCATCTGGGATACTGCAACTTCTTAACTGGATTCTGGAATTCTCAAAAAGGTATTTTGGTCTGTATATCATTGTTAAATCAATGTATGAGTTAGGAATAAGGGCTGGGACTTCCTGTTCTACCATCTTGCTGGTGTCACCCAAGACTTCTTTTTTATTAAACTTTTTATTTTGATGGCCAGGCATGGTAGCTCATGCATGTAATCCCAATGCTTTGGGAGGTTGAAGTGGGAGGCCAGGAGCTTAAGACCAGCCTGGGCAACATAGCAAGATCCTGTCTCTACAATAAATTTTAAAATAATTAATAAAAATTTTATTTTGAGAAAATTGTAGATGCACATGCAGTTGTAAGAATTAATACAAAGAGATCCTATGGACCCTTTGCCTTGTTTATCTCTGGTAACACCTTGCAGAACTATAGTACAATATCACAACTAAGGTATTAATATAAATATGATACAGAACAGTTCTGTCACCATGAGAGTTCCTCATGTTGTGCTGTTATAGCCATACCCTTTCCCCTACCCCCAGCCCTGGATTGAGTGGAAATTCTGGTCCCCATATGGTCTCCACTGACACCATAGTGAGGTGACCTTGTTCCCACTAGTTCTGATTCTCCTTTATTCTCTCCTGACACCACTCCAGCACGGAGGTGGGGGGCATCCTATTACTGCTAGGTGGGGGTAGAAGTTTAGTGTCCCTACATGATCTCCACTGACACCACGGGGCTAGGATGAAAGTCCAAGCTGCCTACTCAGTTTTTTCTGACACTACCACATCAGGGAAGTTGGGGAGAGTTGTTACAGCTTTGCAAGGGTGAAAGTCCCTCTCTGCCTTTGATACATAGATAAAAGTGGGAGAACAGGTTTTTTTGTGTGTATTTGGCTGGACTAAGGTGTGTTTTGTCTAAATTTTATTTCTTGCTAGGCTGCTTCTTTCCTGGTTCTAAAAAGTGAATTTGTTATTTTTACAAGAAAATTTAAAAATTGGATAAGTACTTTATATATATATATTATTTTAAAAATACAGTTTTTGAGATGAGGTTTTGCTGTGTTGCCCAGGCTGGTCTTAAACTCCTGAGCTCAAGCAGCCCTTTTGCCTTAGCCTTCCAAAGTGCTGATTATAGGTGTGAGCCACTGCACCCAGCCCAGTACTTAATATTTATACAGTTCCAGTTAGTTGTTTTTATTAATAATATTGTGGATTCTTCCATAAGTTTCTGAATAATATATAATAGACTGAATAATAGACTAATGTGTAGTAAATTGTTAAATCATAATTAGATCATATAAGGAGAATTGTAAGAAAGTGTTTTGTGGGTTAAGTTCTTTCATCCTAAGGCTGTGCTTAAGTTTTTCTTTGTGTGAACCTAATATTTGAATTTATTTTCTTCCCACAAACAAAATTGTGAAAATAGCCAAGTGCATTATTTTTACATTTTTCCCAATGGGTGGTTTTACAGTGAGAAAAATCTCAGTCTCTCTCTCTCTCTATCTTTTTTAAAGAGACAGTGTGTCCAGGCTGGAGTGCAGAGTTGCCATTATAGCTCACTGCAGCCTTGAACTCCTCTGCTCAAGGGATCCTCCTACCTCAGCCTCCTGAGTAGCTGGGACTACAGGTGCATGCCACCATGCCCAGCTAAAGTTTTAATTTTTTATGGAGACAGCACCTTGCTGTATAGCCCAGGCTGGTTTTGAACTTGTGGCCTCAAGTGATCCTCCTGCCTTGGCCTCCCAAAGTGTTGGGATCACAGGTGTGAGCCACTGCACTGACCTCCATCTTTTCTTTTACTATGAGAGGGGAGACTGAGGTTCATTGAGCCTAGAAAATAGGTCTGAAATGAAGAAATGAAGTTCAATATCTTGACAGTTTCTTGTCTCTATCATGGTGTTAGAATATTTCAAGAATCTAAATGCCCAGAACTTCTTAAATGTATAGATATAAGAACAGTAGTTCTTGGTTTATTTGTTTTACTACTGAAAGGTAGTTATACTTGCTGACTGTAGCCAGATGCCTGGATACTGCCCCAACACCTGCCACTTACTGGCTGTGACTTTAAGCCAGTCATATCACCTGTGTCTTAGGGCCTTCAAGTGTAAAATGGGAATATTCATAGTCCCTACTTCTTGAGGGTCATTGTGAGGATTACTAAACTAATATATGCAAAGCATTTGGAACAAGCCTGATATCTAGTAAGGACTCTATGAGTTTTAGCCAGAATTATTATTGTTATTGTATTGTACTATTATTGTATTGTGAGCCGTTTGCAGGTATTGACTAGGAAGCAATAGGAATCCTGGCAGAGGAGTATTGTGGTGCAGTGTTTGGAAGCTGCTGCGGTAGACATTTCAGTATGTGTTTCTTCCTGCTGAGAGATCAGGTCACTTTTGTCATATGTCAGACTTATATAATCCATTTTTTGGTGTTTTTCTGTCGTAGGGAAATCATAACTAATGGAGTTTTTCTGAGAAGAATCATAACCAAGAAGAACGATCTTTATTTTACGAGCAACATTTTAACCCCACTTAAATAAACTAAAAATTGAAGATGACTCATTATCCTCACAAGGTGCTCTCAAACATCATTTTCACAGCAACTATTTTGTCTTACTTGGTAGAAATAGTCACAGTTGTGTCTTTATTGAAAAGCTGAGCCTTGAAAAAAATTTCTTCTAAATAAGCCAACTAAGTGAAATCTTCCTTATTATTAAGATGAGTGGTGAATGCGCTTCTGGGGAATTCCTGAACTCCCCAATCACTTCCCTGCACCACACTGACTCTGAGTCATATACAATGTGCACTGCCCTTGTTGTGAAGTCAACCTATTTCAAACTATTTAGGGGCCCTTGGATCACTATTAATAACCCCTGTGCCAGACTGTTCTTTGATTTGCATGACTCACTTTGGGCTCCAGAATCTTCTTGTTAAAGAAAATTTCTGGCAAAAGTATAAGTTACTGCATTTGTGTAAGGTTTAAAAAAAAAAGATGAATGATGAATTTATTCACCATACCCAGGTTTATATTCTTTGTTATTAAATACTTTCCATTTGCCTGTTTTAAAGAAAAAATAGCAGCCAGTCCTGAATTTGAAAACTCACTCGCACTTTTATTTGACTAAGGTACAAGCTTTCCAAAGGCATTTCCCAGTTCATCATAAATTGATCTTTAAAACATTTTTGAAAAACCTTTATTGCTGTTATTTCTGTTCATTATTGGTGTTTTGAGGAATATGTATTATTTACTATTTTGTATTCCTCCTTCTTCCTCTTGGAGGTGTGCTGGATGCTATGTCATGACCTGGGATTCTGCCTTTTTGGGGGCAAGACTGGACTAAGTGCATTTTCCCGTTGGTACTGTGTTCACCAAAAGGCAAACATCTTCCTGAAAAGTTCTTTGTCAGTAATTTTATTCATAAACATTCACCAAATTAAGAACCCTTCACATACATCATTATGTTAAATGTAGCAGGAAAAAAAGGACCAATAAAATGCACAAATTAATAAAATCAGTGCTTCCGTTCAACTCTAAGGGTAAGAGCAAGGTTGATTTTCACCACTGTTCAGGTTATGCTTTTTGAGCACATTAAAATACATCATTTTGGCCAGGCGTGGTGGCTCACGCCTGTAATCCCAGCACTTTGGGAGGCCGAGGTGGGCGGATCACGAGGTCAGGAGATCGAGAACATCCTGGCTGACACGGTGAAACCCCGTCTCTACTAAAAATATAAAAAATTAGCCAGGCATGGTGGTGGGAGCCTGTAGTCCCAGCTACTCGGGAGGCTGAGTCAGGAGAATGGCGTGAACCCGGGAGGCAGAGCTTGCAGTGAGCCGAGATGGCGCCACTGCACTCCAGCCTGGGGGACAGAGCGAGACTCTGTCTCAAAAAAAAAAAAAAAAAAAAAAATCTGTTCAGTAATGACTCTTTTTTTAGTGTGTCTTTTTCGTTTCCAAGGTGATTCTGAAACTGATCTTAAGAAGAAACCTCTAACAAATTATTTACCTATTTTTTTATTTTTTCATTGTTTTGCTGTTAGCTAACATTTTCTCTTTTTAGTTTTCCACAAGAGTTTATATTTTGCATTGTTGATTTTTGATTTCATAAGTAGTATATATTTGGCTTAAAAATTAGGCAGAACTAAGGGTCTGAGGGCCTTATCTGGAAGACCAGATTTGCAGTGAGCTGTGTGTAAAAGAAGAGGTGGAGTCACTTACAAATACTACCTGTTCGATTTGATCCCAACAACAGGGCAGCAGGAAGGGGGATTTCTGTAGCTCACATCAGTCTAGTAGCTAAAGATCATGCCAAGGATGCATTCCACCTGTCCCTGACCTTCAGGGACATGACCATGGTGGTCCAGTAGGCTCCCTTGGGTCACATGTACTCTTAACTAATACGTGGCCTCAGGCTACCCTGGGAGAGAACAAGGTCCCGGCTATGAGGCCCACACTGTCATCAGGATCTCCCTTGCTTTCATGTAGCTAAAAGTCAAGCACCCAGAGCCTGGGGAGCCAGGGCCTGTGCATTAGGCAAAGGCCGTGAGCAAAGTTGTCAAGGAGCAGGCATTGCCAGTGCCAGCCCTGCTTATCCTCAGAGCTATATCTAGGAATGGTGCTGCCACCAGTCCTTCCCACTTTGGTGTCCCCATCACCACCCTGTTCTGGGGTCTCTATGTTGAGGGAGAGGCCCAAAGCAGCATAAAACGGTGCTTTCAAAAAAACTTTTAAAAGTGTAATAATGATAGACTCACAAGAAGTTATAAGAATGGTACAAAGAGGTTGCATGTACCCGTCACTCAGCTTCTTCCAGTGGTGATGTCTTATATAACTATAGTACATTTTCAAAACTAGGAAATTGTCATAATACAATGAACTAGACTACAGACCTTACTTAGAGCCTACCAGTTCTCATATAAATGATTTTTAAAAATCACTAGAGACAGATAATCATGCTGTTGTTCATAATTTTCTCACATTTCCTGTTTTGAACCAGAAGCCCCTGTTTCTAGTTCTTAAGAATTTTTAATTATAATTTTTTATTGTGAAAAACTCACTGTAGCAAAGTGGGCCTGAGTATTATTGGATATTTGGGTATTTATAAACAAATTTATAGTCCAACATTGTTGAGGCGTAAATTCAAGCTGGCAATGGAAACAAAGTTTTTTTTTTCAAAGCTTTTCTGTGAAAAATGAAAAGAAATTATTTGTTGTGAAATAGCTATGCCCATTCCAAGGACTTCCAGAGAAACTGGGAGTTCCAGTGGAGTGGCAGTAACCATTTGGATCAGTGGCATTATCTTTCTTGCTGCCTGGCTTGCTGTGTTTTAATACCTCTGATACCACTTGCTACTCACAAACACTTATCTTCTTCAGCATCTCTGAAAGAATCATGACATCAGTGATCATTGAAAGGCAAGGTTCTCCTAAGTTCGCTTATAAAACCTTTTAAGAGCTCTCCAATTCAAAAGTCCCTCTTCAACTCTTCAGTAAGAACTGGAGCTCCATAAAGATGCTCCAGGAAGATTTGTGTGCCAGAGGATTCATATACCCATCTGAAAGAAGCACAGATCTACTGAGCAAAAACATGTCAAGTGGGTACAATAGCCTGGTGTTAAGATATCACAGTCCCTGGCAACTTTAGACCTTTAAAATCATGTATAAACTCTGTATACTTCAGTGAGATTTTGGTGAGCTCATCTCTGGAACATCTAGGGACAACCATCATGACATGGGTCATCCTTGGAACCAATCTGGGCAAACCCCGGGCATTTACTTACTGGATTTAAGCCTTAGGGGTTTGGAGCTGGTGAGATGTTGCATTTAGTTTCCTACCTGTTCTTTTAGGAGGCTATTTAAGGTAATGGTTAAGTATTCAAACTCTAGAGGCAGACTGCCTGGAGTCAAATTCTAGCATTGCTGCTTATTATCCATATGACCTTGGGAGAGTTTCATATCTTCTCCATGCTTCAGTTTTTTTCATCTCTAATATAGGAAAATAATAATGCCCATTTCATATGGTTGTTATGGGAATTAAATGAGAAGTAAAGTACTAGAACAGTGCCCATGTTGTATCTGCATTGTAACTGTGTACTGTAGTTATAGACTGTACCAAGATGGGAGCATCAAAGGCAAAACCAGGGACAAAAGATAGATGATGGCAGAATGGGTTCAGGACCTCTTCAGATAAAGGGTGAATGAATATAATGGATGTTACAAGCCTGAGCGAGGGAAGTGTAGTGGTTGAAGTCCATGAGCAAAATTGAGGTCAAAGAAGGCACAGACCTAAAGTAGCTACATGAGAAAAAGTTTATCCTGAGCAGTAACCAAACAAAAATAAATTAACAATGAATTATTGTAGAGTGGCAATGATTATTTAGAGTAACTGAAACGTGTTGTGGGAGAAGTGTGGGAAAACAGTCACATCCTACTAATAGAAGTATGAACTGGGGTAGTTTTTTGGGAGAAACCTAATTAGCAAAATAAGGTCCTTAAATATGCATACCCTAAATTACTCTTTGATTCTACTTTTAGATCTTTATACTATTGAAAAGCGACTTAAATTTACAACAGGAAGATCCTAAGTGAATTAACACCCATCCAAATACTGTTACTGATGTTCAAGTTAAAAGTCATTCAGTTCTTGACCACATAAATCTATGTTTTTATGCTATTTCTATGACTAGTCTGTTAGTTGAACTCTGTAGAAAGTAATCTTTATTTGTGAAGAAAAGTCCACTTAGGCTTTACTGTAGAATAGGAGAGCCTGAACTCCACGTTCTTATGCTGTGAGGTAATGCCTCTCTTGAGTGTGGAGAGCATTTTTGTTGCTTTATAATATTGCTATTGGCAAACCCATTAGTCCTGTATAATAACAATACTGAAGTAATGCTGTTAAGTTTCTTGATTTTTTAAATTGAGTATAGAAGTTAGAATTATAACATTTAAGTTATTCTTTAAACTAAAATATATATAATGTTTATGCAGATAGTAAAAAACAAAAATCAGTAATATGACACTCCATTTGTCAAATTGGCAATTTTTTTTTACAACTTTATTGAGGTATAATTGAAGTATAATAAACTGCACATAATGTCTACAGTTTAATCAGTCTTGACATTTTCATCTCACCAAAAGATTTCTCATGCCCTTTTGCAATCTGTCACTCCCACCAGCTCCACTCCCCAGACAACCACTGACCTGCTTTCTGTTACTGTTGATAACTGGCAAAGATTTTTTTTTGAGACAGTTGCCTGGGCTGTAGTGCAGTGGCGTGATCTTGGCTCACTGGAACCTCCACCTCCCGGGTTCAAGCGATTCTCCTGCCTCAGCCTCCCAAGTAGCTGGGATTTCAGGCGCCTGCCACTACGTCCAGCTAATTTTTTGTATTTTTAGTAGAGACGGGGTTTCAACATGTTGGCCAGGCTGGTCTCGAACTCCTGACCTCGTGATTTGCCAGCTTCGGCCTCCCAAAGTGCTGGGATTACAGGCATGAGCCACAGCACCCAGCCTTAAGATTTTTTATAGTAATTTCCAATACCAAAATAGGAAACAAGATACTTTCATATATCTCTGTGGGCGTCTGATATTGGTACAGCTTCTTTGGAGGGCAATTTGTTAAGTGTCAAAAACTCTAAAATATCCTTTCAACTAGCAATTCCGCTTCTAACTTGAGGAAATAAATTTTCATGTGAATAAGGATTGAGTTACAAGAATGTTCATCACTGTGTTTATAATTGCAAAAAACTGGAGATAAATTAGATGTCTGATAATATGGAATTGTTTTAAGAAACAGTTCATATAATGAAATTTTATACTTTTAGTATTAGTTGTAGAAATATATTGTTTTATAAACAGTGACAGGATCATATTTTATTCCTATGTATTTAACTTGTTTTTTCAAGTAAACAACAACTAAAAAGTGCATAGATAAAACAGGATTAAAAACATATCTTTAAAGCAAAATGTTGAAAGTAATGTCCTCTGGCTGATGAGATTTATCTTAACTTTTTTCAGTACATAATGTTTTCTTGTAAAAAAATTTATTGAAATTTTTTCCTGATTATAAAAAAACTAACACATGTTAATGTAGAGAATTTGAAAGCTAACATAAAGGAATAAAGAAAATACATAAAATAGGATTGATATACAGTCATCCCTTGATATCCGTGAAGAATTGGTTTCAGGACACCTTATAGATACCAAAATCCACAGATGCTCAAGTCCGTGATAGAAAATGGCAATGGCATCATATTTGCATATAACCTATGCACATATTCCAGTATACTTAAATCTTCTCTAGATTACACAACATCAAATATTATATAAATGCTATGTAAATAGTTATTATATTGTATTAGTTTTAAATTTTGTATTTTTTTTTATTGTTGCATTATTTTTTATTGTGTGTGGGGTTTTTTGTTGTTGTTTTTGTTGTTGTTGTTTCTCTTTGCAAATGTTTTCTATCCACAGTTGGTTGAATCCAGGGATATGGGACTCATGCATGCGGAGGACTGTCTGTATTATTTTAAGCTATTTAAAGTGTTTTTAAAAAAACTTACAAAACTCTTTTATACTTAATGGCATCAGGATAAAGTTCCCTGGACCTTGGCCCCTGCGTGCCTCCACCTGCATTTGCAATTCTGACTCTGTATGCTCTTGTGATAAGGCATGGCCTGAGGTTTCCTAGAACACAAACCCTCCAGGTCCCTGCCCTTGCTCCTGCTGGCCATCTGCTCTCAGTCCTCTTCCTCCTGGACTGTATTCTCCTCATCCTTTGAAATTTACTGTCATCGTCATCTCCAGCAAGCCTTCCCTGAGCTTTTAGCACTTCTCCTTTCCCATTCCCACTGCTCTATACACCTGTCTCTAGTGAGACCCCTATCACATTGTATTATCCATTTTCGTTCCTCTCCTGATAGACTGAGCATGACTTGAGGTCAGGACAGTATTGGTTGGTGCGATGCCTGAAGCTTAACTAGCACAATAGCAGTTGGAGCTTAACTAAGAGAGTATGTGCATGTGTGTAACCGAACAATAGAAATAAAGATGTGTTGGGATCAAACAGCCTGGAGTATTGGATATATCTGTGTAACTGGAGCATGGGATCTTCATGAAATATTTCGTAGATGAAGATAGAGCGATAAGTAGGAGCCAGATTATTAAGGGCTTCCTAGGTTATCCTAAGGAGTTTGGGTTCTATAGTGTAACTGATAAACTGGTGAAAGACCTTTAAGTAAGAGAATGTTCTAGCCTTGGCAAGATGGTAGAATAGGAAGCCCTGGAACACAGCAATTCAACAATAATTTATAGGCAATTTTTCTTTGTGAGAAATCCAGAAACCAGTTAAGAGGCTCCTGTATGCCGGGTGAGCATGAAACCAGCCAGATCTTAATTGGCAGGGAAATTTAAGATACCCTCATGCCATAATCCCTCCTCACAGTGCAGGGCCATACAATCAGGACAACCACCCTCCACCCCCAGCTCCCAGCTTCTTTCTGCCTAGAAGGGGAAAGATGTATACCACGCATCCAATGCCTTAGCTTTTCTGGGGCTACCCAGAGGACTGGCTTCTGTCTGGCCAGTCTCAGAGTGCTGACAGGACATGGCATATTTTAGCAACCCCGGGGCCAATGAAGAAAGAGGTGGCTGGTGGTGGTGGTCACTGTAACCATCCCCTGCTCAGCCCAGCACAAAGCTAACTGTTGAAAAGCTTCAGCTTTCAGCTTTTTCCTGGAGAGGCAAAGAGGAGCACCATGTATCCAATGACCCAACTTATCTGGGAGTTGCCTGAAGAATTGGCTTCAGTCTTGCTTGTCTCAGAGCTCTGATGGGACTGAGACAAGCAAGGGACTGATGCCTGGGGACTGCCAAGAACAAAGAAAGTGGATTAGACTAGCATAAAAGTTTGAGAGGCCTCCAGAATCTCTGTCCAGGCTGATTGGTTAGGATCTTCTCCAGTATGAGGCCAGTTTGTGCAGACACAAACACAGAGAATCAAGGAAAAATGAAGAAACAGGAAAACATTTCCTAAATAAAGGAATGAGATAAAGCTCCAGAAACTGACCCTAATGAAATGGAGATATGTGATTTACCTGACAGAGAATTCAAAGTAATCCTTACAAACATTCCCACTGAGGTCTGGTGAACAATGCATGAAAAAAAGTGAGAATTTCAACAAAAAGAAAACTTTAAAAAGTAGCAAGCAGAAAGCATGGAGCTAAAAAATACCATAAACTGAAAAAGTTACCAGAGGGATTCAATAGCAGACAATGTCAAGCAGAAGAAAAGGTCATCAATCTCAAAGACAGGTCATTGGAAATGACTGAGTCAGAGGAGAGTTGGGCTAGCCTCCAGCATTTCCCAAAGTGTTAGCTGTTTTATTCATGCTATGTTAAAGGCTTGGACAAAAAGTAAACTCAGGAATCCTGAGTTAAACCAAGTCGAATAGATTTTTGTTCTTTGAGTTTTCTGATTCTTCACTATGCTAATGTGTATTTTTAATTTCACAAAAGGCATTTGTATTATGTAATTTGCATTATTTTCAGTTTTTATTTATGGAACCATTTTATTTGGGGACCATGTTATAGAACACATTTTGGGAAATGGACACTGAGAATACTAGCAGCAGAGAAACATTGAAAGCTTGAATCAGAAGGTTAGCATCAGGAGAGGAAGGGGCAAGAACAGGAAATTAAGTTGTGTCTCTCAGAGCACATTCTTTATGAGTGGTGACTTACCAATAATTTTAAAAGATAATATCATTTGAGAGTTATTGATACCTGATCAAAAGATAAGAATAAGCAGTTTGAAATGTGGTTTGAAACTTCTCTGAGACAAATGATAGTCAAAGGAAAGTGCTTCTCTAATATGGTTTAAGCTCCATCAACTAATGACATAGCCCCCACTCCTCTTGATTTCAGAACCTGTCCATGGCCTGGCTTGAATTAATGCACTAGATAATCCCTACAATGGTCATATTCTTGAGATGTTTGAGCAACACGATAACTACTTGCTTATGAGTAAATCAGAGATGGTTGCCAGGAGTCTAGGTTGGGTCATGAGCAGCCACATGGTAGTATGAGCAAAGCAAGTTAGAGACAGTGCTAGTTTTGAGATGATACCCATTTGCTTTTTTATGTGTTCGTGAGTTAGAGTTGTCTGTGGGACATCCTTGTGGAGGTGAGAGGATCACTAGGCTGTTGAATACATGCGTTTGTACCTCCAAAGAAATTTGGACTGATTCAGCCTTTATTTTACCTGATGTGCCTCAATTGCTGTATGTGTTGGGGTTTCATGCCTCTTTTATGAGATATAAAATATTAAATTGCAGGGTGAAGACACTGCACATTCCTGATTTTCTGCCCCATTATACTTCCACACATTCAGTTTCCCTTGTCCCTTTATAGCTTCACTACTACACATAAGTCCCATTGAAACCACTTTTTTTGGATGTTTTTAAACCTCTAATTTTAGGAAAATTGAAATAGACATTATTCACCTTTCAATAGAAGCTGCAACTGCCTCTACAGTATGACAAAGATACTTGTTTGGCAGTGTTTCTCATTTCTTTGTTACTACACCAAGTAAAGCCATTGAGTTAATAATGCTATGTTTCTATTTCGGTTATTTTAAGTGTAATAACAGTGTTCTTCATTTTATTTATAGCTCCAAAAGGAATTCTTCATTTGTCTCCTGATGTTTATCAAGAGATGGAAGCCAGCCGCCACAAAGTAATCTCTGGCACTACTCTAGGCTATTTGTCACCCAAAGATATGAACCAACCTTCAAGCTCTTTCTTCAGTATATCTCCCACATCGAATAGTTCAGCTACAATTGCCAGGGAACTCCTTATGAATGGAACATCTTCTACAGCTGAAGCCATAGGTTTAAAAGGAAGTTCTCCTACTCCCCCTTGTTCTCCAGTACAACCTTCAAAACAACTGGAATATTTAGCAAGGATTCAAGGCTTTCAGGTATGAATTAAAAGCAAAAACAAAAAACAAAACAATTCATTAGCCTCAGATTCTTCATCTGTATACATCACAAGGCTCATTCTTGCCTGCTAGTATGGCCTACATGCCACTTACGTTTTAAGTTATTTAGGAACACAAAGGACAGACAAAAAAGCCATATGCACATGCCTCATTTTCTCTTATTTTTGATCTATCTAGTAATTCTTTTGCTGCCTGTCTCTTCTCCATTTTCCTTCTTCTTTTTTAAGCATTTTTCATATTCTTCACTGTCTTCTATTTGGTCTTGATTAGGTGCATCTATCTCTTCGCTCTGTCTTCCACAAACAAAAATTCTGCCTTCAGACATTTGGTGTTAGTATTTCACACTCAGTTCTCCCTTTTTTTACATAAGGATTGAGTTTCTTTTTATGATGATTTTACCTTTATAGCAATTTTGAATTTTGCATTCTATTGCTAGTATTGATTCAGGTACACCATTAAGATACAACATTCTAGAAGTCTATTACCTTAGGAGTTAATTAAACATGATATTTGAAGAATAATGAAATGCTTTATAGTTGTTTGAGGCATAACAATGTGTATTTGTTTTACTGGATCATGTTTTGAACTGACTAGGGAGGGTAGCACCTGCCTCAGATAGTACCAACAATTCTGTTTCACTGGGTAGTCTAAAACTAGCTTATAGTTTAACTTAACTTGTTGTGTATGTGAATTTAGGGATGGAAACTTTTTTTCCCCTATTTATTCTTTGTTTCCTTCTGGGAAAAAACCCCACAAAAATCAGCACTCCTTTATGGATACATTGGAGCTTTTGAAAGAATTGTAAACTCTAGGAAGGGGAAATATCTGTGTCTTGATTTCTTAGTTGCCTTGAAAATCATGTACTGAACTGTAACCGCTAACTTGACTGGATGAACTAGTTTGCTTGTGTGTAGAGAGTGTATTGCTTCCTCAGATTTCACTGTTTTCATCTCCTTTTCCATCTTAGTCTTTATTCCTTAAGACCAAAAACTGTAATATCCTTTAGAAATGCTCTAGAAGATCTGTATTGTGTAGAATGATCATGTATTTATAAATATTTTACAAGTTTAGATTATAAAATGAAAAAGAAGGTCATGTGTTTTGGGGGGTATTTTGCATGTTCGGATTTTTTTTTCACTTCACCGAACCCTTCTGATTCTTTCAAACTATTGCCAGGTAGTTGTTAGTGTTTCTAATTGGACTCTTAATATGAACTTCAAGAAGCTGTTACCAGTTATCGGCTCTGTCATCTGAAATTTTAACCACTTAATTTAAAGTTACAATTTTAGAATTTGTTTTTGTTGTTTTACCTTAAGAAACACAATAAATCACTGTTTAAAAAAGATCTCAATTTATATAAAGTACTGGAAAAAAGCTAAGTAATTTTTAGTTCTATCTATAATCTCCGTAGGATGAATTAGAAATAAATTGTGATGAAAAGAAATTAACTGCTTATTTATGAATCTAATCATTTAGAAATGTCTGAGAGTAACACTGCATTCTTATAGAAACAAAGCACAAATTGCATTCAAGCTCTGAATTGATTTTTTGCTTGGAGCTGTTGTTACAGTAGCTGTAATTTTGCTACCAGAATGTCTTAATTTTTTAAATTTGTTTTTATTTCTAAGCTCTTGGCAATGACAATAATTATAATTTTAACATATCTTCACTGTAGTCAACATGTAGAGTCTGCTTCCCTCATTATTGCATTGCTAAGGCCTTTTTAAAAAGCTTATGCTTACATAATATACTCTTTTTTATGGACACGTTATATGTTTCCAAATCTGTGTATTGTGATTTTTACATACTAATGAATATAAACAGGTGATTTTAAAATATTACTGTGCTTCTTTGGTTGAATGAGCTGGTATTGATGTAAAATACTCTGTCATTGATGGACCACTACCTGCAGCTAAGCAGTGAGCAGAATCTCCGGGAAATGACTTAGTCTGGCCACATGCATAGCCCATCTTCATAATGTCGCAGCAGAAGGTTCTTTGTGGTTAAAAGTTTTAAAGCCTATTTCTTTATAGGTAACCCTCTCAGGTATATTTACCTGGTAGAAAAACATGTAGATTGTTTCTATTACTTAAATGTTTTAATTGGACTGTAGTTTAGAAATTACAGGACCAGCTTGTTACAGATTATACACTATTCTGTTACTTTTATTTCTGAAACTTAAAAACAATAAATTCTTTTTCTGTGTTTCTAGGTTAGAACTTTTTTATTTTATTGCACACTGAACAGATACTGTTGCTTATTGAATATTGTGTAAACCCTTCTTTGGCTTTCCTTGCCCATTGCAATTTGATTTAAGCCTACTAGAGCCATTGTATGTGACAGCTATATTGTATTACAAAGTAAAAATATATGAGTGTATTGAAAACAAAGTTGTTTTAACTTTTAATTTTGTTTCATCACCCAGTCTTTAATTTGAATTTATAAATTACAAAAAGCTACTTTGATCAACTGAATGTAGGTATCCAAGCTCAAATTCTTTTAAACCTACAAAATAGGTAAAATTATTATACAATTAAAGTTATTAATAAAACTGACTTAAGAGAGCAGAATGTGACCGAACACTTACACATTCTCAGCAGTTCTGTTATTCTTGTTTGGTCTCACCTAAAGTTTTTATCGTATTTTAGAATCGAACCTTTTGGATCTCTGTCAGAAATGAATGTTTATTTCTTTCAAGTTTTATCAAGTATTAATACGTTTTATTTATATTCTTTTAAATGTTTTATTCAGTAGTTCTGTGAACTTCAGACTTTGTTGTTCAGCCTAATCGTATGCTTCTGTAACTTCTACACATTTTATAAGAACTCATTCAAAGTTGTAGTCCTACCATAGTGTTTCAGGGTTCCTTGTTGTGTACACTTTTACTATAATGGCAAAATGTTTCAAAATCATTCAGCTTTTTAAAGAAACTTATTATGCAAAAGACACTCTTGAAATGCTGTGCATTTGAGCTGAAGTGAAAGAATTTGTTTCATGTTGTACTTTGCATTATTTTAAGTTTTCACATCTTTAATATGCTTTTCTATGCTAATTATATTAGAAATCTATAAATATAAGTGGTTTCTTTGTTTAAACTAGTCATTAAAAATTAGGTTGAAAATGAAAGTGGATTATTTTAGCAAATCGTCCCTTCTAGATGGATTTCATTTCAGTTTGCTATTCTGTGCCTCTCCTGTGAGCATCATCCACTGTAACAGTGTTGTTTGTGAAACCTTCCGAGTATAGTGTAACAAACTAGGTTTTTTCCCTCACATAAATAATATAAAGAAACACTTAGTTGGTGTTTTAGTTAAACTATAATTAGTTTATTGTCCAAAATCAGGGAGTGTTTTATGGAGGGGCATTTCATTATTGATCATAATCATGCCATTTCCAGCAAGATGAGATTGTCCACTTAAATTAAAATCTTCCTTTTCAAATATAATTCACGCTGAATACATTTCAACTCATATGCCTCCTTTTGTGGAGTTTAATATGATGATAGCAGGTTTTTATAGCCACAGGCTTCTTTTAAGTATTTATTTTTTAACAATATGACTTAGTATAGGTTATATTGGGATGGGGCTGGTGGAAGTGGGGGGGTGGTGGCTGGTCTCCCTGAGAATCTGAGAATCAACCTTTCACCTATTTATTCTTATCTCTCCTATACCTCATGTTTTCCAATCCATATAGTTATCATCAAGGTGGCTATTTGCAGCAGCTTTTTTTTTTTTTTTAGAATAAGGTATTCATTTTTGTTAGGAGATCAATACAAGTACAATTTTGTAAATTCCTCTTAGGAGAATATGGAGAAAGAAATAATGCATGTACATACACACCCACATTTAGGAATATAGTTGTCTCTTGGTATCTGCAGGAAGGATTGGTTCTAGGACCCCCAAAGATACCAAAGTTCATGGACGCTCAAGTCCCTTATATAAAATGTTGTAGTATTTACATATAACCTACACACATCCTCCCTTATACTTTAAATCATGTCTAGATGCCTTATAATACCTAATATAATGTAAATGCTATATAAATAATGGTTATACCATATTGCTTTTTTGTGGTTTTTTTTCAATTCTTTTTTAATATTTTTGATATTTGGATGCATAGCCCATGGATATGGAGGGCCCAACTGTGTGTTTTCCCTTATTTTTAATTTGTCATTGAAACATAACTTACTGTGTTGCCTCTGAGACCAAATGTTCATGTAGGCTATTAAACAAATGTATAAAACCATAATAAATTACTTAGACTACAATGAGCAAAACACATTTGTGGGTTTGGTCAGCAGATACTGCTCTGATTTGCCATTAAAATCTTAAAAATTCTTAAAAAGCTCTCTTGAATTTGACCTCTACTACCTTCCAAGGACCTTGGAAAGACTTAAGTATGTGTTAGAACTCTCTTGAAGGCTTGGTCTTCCTTTAGTGACATTAACACTCAGGTTTGTTATTCCAGTGGGCAGCCCCAGTTCATGCAAACTGACCTGTTGTGTCTGGTGTCCTTAGACTTTGATATGCAGGCCAAAGTCCAAGGGATATGCAAACATAACACACACCTGTACTTCCATAAAAACCAGCAGAATTGTAGATCAGCTCATTTTACTGAAATTTTAAACCCTGTAAAAAAAAAATACTATGTTTGAAGAAAGAAATCCTGGTGCATATAAAAACTACAATGAGTAACAGTAATACAGGTAAGAATCAAGCAGGCCTTGAGCAAAACAGTCCATTATTACTGCGTAAACTATGTTGCTATGATACTTATTTTGAGCCTTTATGCACCAGCACATACATAGTAAGACACACAAGATAGTTCAACAAAATCTAAGTAATATACAAACACTGTAAGAGCTTTTCCAACCAAAGAAACTTTAATGTAGATCTGAAATGAGCCATCATGATACAGAAAAAGATGATTATCATTTCGTGTCCTTTCCAAGTAGAACTATCTGATAACCTTTTCTGTTTGTATCAGAAGAGATTTCAACTCAACATGAAAATTCTACTACTTGGAATTATTTGAAAAATCAAGTATTTGAAGGAAAAAATTATTTTTCATCTAAAGATGCATTACATTTCCTTTTGCTAGAAACGATTGACAATGATGTAATTTTTCCTGACATATAATTAATTATGGTACTCTTCAGGTGGATGGCAGCTGTATACCTACACTCATTCCAAGTCATGTTGAAGTGAGTCCAGCATTTCCCTTTCTCCAGCATCCAGCTATATCTAAGGAGATTTTTTTTTCCCCACAAATGACAGTGGCTGAAATTTCATATGTATTGTTCTCTTCTCACCCAAGGCAACTCTTAAGAAAGAACAGTATGTGGAATGTTGCATGTAAAAGATTTTTGCATACTCAAAAAATTGCTCTGACATAACAGGGGCATGCATTTAGGGGATATATGGATAAACTAGGGAGGAAACTGACAGTTATTGATGGACTCACATATCCCATAGTGAAGTAGGCATTACATATATTATTTCAGAATACCTGGTATGTTTTTGCCTACAAATCTTTTATTTGATTTTGAAGAAAGCTATTGTATAATGTTTGAAGACCAGTCCCTGTAAGTAGGACTAATGTGTGGTGGTGGCCCATAGTCTTCTGGATATTGGTTTGTTTTTGTCATAGATTTCATTAATAAATTTATTTCTGCCCTCAACTATATATACAACTGAGTAAGCCATTTAAGAATTCTGACTCCTTGGCTGGGCATGGTGGCTCATGCCTGTAATCCCAGTACTTTGGGAGGCCAAGGCAGCCAGATCACTTGAGGTCAGGAGTTTGAGACCAACCTGGCCAACATGGTGAAACTCTGTCTCTACCAAAAAAAAAAAAAAAAAAAAAAAGAAAACCAAACAAAAATTAGCCAGGCATGGTGGCAGGCACCTGTAATCCCAGCTACTGGGAGACTGAGGCAGGAGAAGTGCTTGAACCAGGGAGGCGGAAGTGCAGTGAGCCAAGACCCCACCACTGCACTCCAGCTTGGATGACAGAGCAAGACCCTGTTTCAAAAAAATCAATAGGGCCAGGTGTGGTGGCTCATGCCTGTAATCCCTGCACTTTGGGAGGCCAAGGCGGGCGGATCACGAGGTCAGGAGATCGAAACCATCCTGGCTAACACGGTGAAACCCCGTCTCTACTAAAAATACAAAAAATTAGCCAGGCATGGTGGCGGGCGCCTGGAGTCCCAGCTACTAGGGAGGCTGAGGCAACAGAATGGTGTGAACCCAAGAGGCGGAGCTTGCAGTGAGCCAAGATTGCACCACTGGACTCCAGCCTGGGCGACAGTGTGAGACTCTGTCTCAAAAAATATATATTAAAAAAAAAAAAAAAAGAATTCTGACTCCTTTGAGATGGAAGGGACTTTAGATTTTATTCTAATGTAAAATTTTATATGTAAACACATTTGGGAATACATACATCAAACATCATATTAGTAATGTAGTTTACTTGTTTTTACTTGATTTTAAACCCTGACAGATTTTAGGTTCTAGAAAGTTCTGCCATCTTAATATAGTCACATCAAAAAGCAGATTTAACTGTCAGAGAAAACACATACTTGAAAAACTTCCAAATTTTTTTTTTATCTGTAGTATTATCTATTTTTTTAAAAGCATAAGAAAAGTACAGGCTGGATGAGGTGGCTCACACCTGTAATACAACCTGGACAACAGACAGAGCAAGACTCTGTCTCAAAATAAAGTCTAGAATCAAGTCCTAAAATGGAACATTTGAACCATTGCTGGAAAACAGTACTAGGTTTACAGTTTGAAAAACTCTTACTAAGGGAAAGATAGGTGGTAGATAGTATATTGTGAAGAGGTTTCCATAATTTCAGCATGTATATGAAGAATTAGATGGATATGAAGTTAATCTGCCCATAGAATGCCATCCCGTTGAACATTGGAACTGATTCAGCTGAAGCACAGGACATGGAACATTTGTTTGCTCACACTGGGCAGTACTCATTAAAGGCCTACAAATGCTGGGTAGCATGCTAAACTTGCTAAACATGCTAAACTTTGGACTCGGGGAGTTATGGTCAAGTTGGAGACTGACAGGCAAATAAAATCAATATGCAGAAGAAGATAACCCACGGCCACAAATCCTGTCTCCTGGGATCAGTGTTCAAACATTACACAATGGTCTTATAAAAATAGTTAAATGTTTGTAGCATGGTGCAAGAAATAATGTTTGTAATGCCTACCCCACATAATAAATGACATAGTAAGTATAACCTGATAAATGTTAACTCGAAGTGTGGTTAGTGATGTCAAGAATTGTGAATGGAAATGAACATTTCTGGCTGAAGGAATTAGGGAAGAGTTCATAGCAGAGGGAATATTTGAAATATGTTTTAAAGAATACTTCAGATTTTAAGGTGGATAAGAAAAGGAATTATAGGCAGAAGCATCAAAGCACTGAAGACATAAAAGGGCATGGTGTTTTAGAAAATAATTTAAAGTGGAAGTGGCTAGTGAGGAGGCTGAAAAAAATGTGTGTGTATTGTTGGGAGTTAGAATTTTTTTAGCCATTAGACAAAGACCACTGACTTATCTTTAAAAGAGATGTGACATGATTGGTTAACAGAAAGATAATTCTGTCAGCAGTGTACAAGATGAACTAGACAAGAAAGAGACAGACTTGATAATAGAAAGACCAATTAGAATGGTTTTTCATGAATCCAGGAAAGAAAGAATAAAGATTGAGTTAAGACAAAGCTGTTGGGCATGGAGGAGTGGATCTAGGGTACAGTTGTCTAAGGTTCAATTGAGAAAATTAAATGATCTCTTGTGCTGACTTCAGAGAGGATGCTTTCACTGGCCTGGTTAGGGTGGAAGCTGGATTTACATATGTTGAAAAGTAAGTAGAGACCATTTTAGGAGTAAGTGAGATAGTATGAGTGTGAGATGTTTAGGCAAAGTTTTATTTTTACTATGGATGAGATGAATAAACTTAGAGGAACTTAACAAGTTCCATTTTAAACGTGGAATTCGAATTGCTTGTGGGACATTCACATGGATTTGTCCAGTAGGCAGTTGAAATCGGTCTGGTGATCAGTAAGAGAACATGGTACATACAGATTTGAGAGTCATCAGTGTATAGATATAACTGAAGCCATAGAAACAGTTAATATTGCCCAGGGAGAATGGACAAAGGCCTACAAGAGATTCCAGAAGCATACTAACATGTAAGGGATTCATTTATTCATGAATTCAACCAGTGTGTATTGAGCACCTGCCATGGACCAGGTACACGACTTGGCACTGAGTATATAACATGAAAGTGATAGCCAGGGTTTCTGCCCTCAATGAGCTAACATCAGAATGGTAGTGTGGAAGAGGGGAGGGTTTGGTGTAGGTGCAAGGGCAGATAAACACATCTGAACACATACAATAAATTCAAATGGTGTTAAGCTCCTAATGTAACAGTTGCTTGGAAATTAGTTAATTGTGAGGTTACTTATGATTATGCAAAATATAAACCATGACTTAGTGTCTTCAGTTGTGTCAGAGATAACTACACTTAAGTGTTTTAATCAACCTTATTGATGTATAATTTACATGTGATAAAACACACCCATATTGTACAGTTTGATGAGTTTTGAAAAATGTATATAGTCACCAAAATGTATACTACCACCATAATCAAGATGGGACTCTTTATTGCAAAAGATTTGCCTCCGCCCTTGCCGCCGATTTTCCTCACCTCCAGACAACCACAAAATCCTTTCTGGCACTAAAAATTAGTTTTGTCTTTTCACTGATTTCATATAGGTGGAATTACACAGTATTCACAGTTTTGTATCTGGCATCTTTCACTCAGTATATTTTGAAATTCACGCATGTTCCATGTATCAGTAGTTTTTATTGCTAAGAATTAGTTTATTTTATGTATATATACCACAAATTGTTTCAGTTTGCCTGTTGATGGACATTTGGGTTGTTTTCACTTTGGGGCCATTATAAATAAAGCTGTTTATGAACATTGATTTACAATATTTTGTGCAGACATATGTTTCCAGTTCTCTTGGGAAAATACCTTAGAGTGAATTGCTGGATCACATGGTAAGTGTACATACAATGTTATAAGAAACTTTCAGATTCTATTTTAATGTATTACATACATTACATTCCTACCAGCAATGTGTGAGGGTTGTACACGTTAATATGGTCAGTCTTATTTTATTGAGAGTATAATGGTGTCTCATTGATATCTTAGTTTGTATTTCACTGAGGACAAATGATATGAGCTTCATTTCATGTGCTTATTGGTCATTTGTGTATCTTTGCGAAGTGTCCACATCTTTTACTCAGTTTCTAATTGGGATTTTCCCCCATAATTATTGATTTACACAAGTTCTTTGTATCCTGGCCATAAGTCATTTGCATTACAAATATTATCTCCCTCCCTATGACTTGTCTTTTTGTTATCTTAACGTGATCCTTTGAAAAACAGAGGTTTTTCCATTTCAATGAAGTAAAATTTTCAGTTTTCCCCCTTAAGGTTTATGCCTTCTTAGTCTAATCTGAGGAATCTTTTGACTACCCCTAAGATCACAAAGACTTTTTATCTTAAGTTTTCTTATGGACATTTAATGCTTTTAGCTTTTATATTTAATGCTAAGACCCACTTAAAGTTAATTTTTAATGTATGGTATGGGGTAAGAGTTGAAATTTATTTTTTTCCTCATAGGATAGCCAGTTGTTACAGGACCATGTATGTCATGTTGTGTTTTGTCTAGGCTTAAGCAAGGAATCTCTCCTCTTAATACTTAAAGCATTAAGATACTTTGTATATCTTTGTTTTTCACCGATTTGATTATGGTACATGTAGGAGTGTTTTTAATCTAGTTTGGGATACATTTAGCTTCTTAGAACTGTAAAATAATGGTTAAAAAATGGTGTTTTTTATTAACCATTTTTGGAATGTTTTGGACCACTATTTTTTCCAAAAAAGTTTTCTACCTTTTTCTCCTTTCCTTTTAGAGCTCCAGTTGCACATGTGTTAAATCTCCTGTTATTCTCCCACAGGCTTCAGAGGCTCTATTTATTTTTCTTTAGTCTTTTGGATTATGTAATTTCTATTGATCTACCTTGAAGTTTTGGATTCTTACAGATTCTTCCCTCCATCCTCTCCAGTTTGCTCTTGAGCCCCTATAATAAATTTTTCATTTTGTTGTATTTTTCACATCTGACATTTCCATTTGGTTGTTTTTTGTAGTTCCTTTTCTCTGTTGAGATTCCATATCTGTATAGTTACTGAGATTGTATTTTCATTTAATTCTTTGAACATCTATATCATACCTGCTTTGAAGTTTTTTGTCAACTAAATCCAACAGCTGGGCCCATTAGGAGTCAATTTCTGTTGACTGCCTTATTCATGAGTGTGATTTACCTTTTTCCTGATTTTTGCATGTCTTTAGTTTCTGTTTGAAAAATGGACATTGTGGATAACATATTGCAACTGTGGATCATCATTTCTTCCCCAGATTAATATTTTTATTTTGGTTTTGGTTTTTGATTAAGTTGCTTAAGCTAAAACTGCAAGCTTTATCTTCTCCATGGTGGTATCCCTCAGCTGATACAGTCTACTCAGTATTTCTACCTTATAACTGCAGCATTTTCTCTTATGGTCTCCTCTGTGCCTGCATCATATAGTGAAAGCCAATTATTTGGGCTGAGTTTATGCTTATATTTTGGGGCCCACTTTTTTTGCCTTTTCTTCTTTCTGGCATTTCCTCCTCTAAATTTCTAGCTGATCTGCCAGCCACACACCCACTGATACTACAGGCCTATAAAGCTTTAGCGTTCAATCATTTGAGCTGCATTCAGATTAGGGACTGCACTCTATTCAAAAAGTAGCAGACTTTCAAATCTCAACCAGTTCTCACTGGTTTCTGCCTACTTTTCCATTGGGCCTTCCAAGATCTCCCTTGTGCATGTGAAGTTTAGCAGTCAGCTGGAATTTGGGTAAAAGATTCAGATTTAGAGTTGTGCCACTTCTGCAGCTTTCTCCTGGGATTTCTTCCCAAAATGTCTAGCTCATTTGCCAACCCTAAACTCTTTCCTCTGCGTCCTCCAGTGGGTAAGACTGCAGTTTTCCACCAGTAGAACTATAAGAAGCACAGATGGAAAAAAAAAAGTCAAAACTCATAATTCTTACTGCATACATTTTGATCTTTCCAGGGAAATCTCTGCCCTGGTGGTATCTGCTTGATTTTGGTAACATTCTAGTGTCTTCAAATATTTTTTATTTTGTCTATATTTTACTTTGATATCTGCAAAAGACTTTGTCCAGTGAATTCATTCTCCTGTTGTCAGAAGCTGGAACTCTACCAATTCTTTTAAAATATTCATTGAATTGACTAATTAATTACTAACTGGTAAACTTGACATCTGTTCAAATAAAATAATTCAAAATTTGGGAAAATCTCTAAATGTAAGATATTCATTACATAATTGGTTACATAAAAACACAATGGATTGAACAAAAGAAATTTATTCTCTCACAGTTGTGGAGGCCAGAAGTCTGAAATCAAAGTGTCAGCAGGGTTGGTTCCTTCTAGAGGCTCTGAAGAAGAATCTGTTCTGTGCCTCTTTTCTAGCTTTTTGTGGCTGCTGGCAATTCTTGGTTTTCCTTGGCTTGTAGATTCATCATTCCAGTTTCTGCCTCCATCTTCACATGGCCTTCTCCTTTGTGTATGTGTATTCTTCTTTGCTGTCTCTTATAAGGGGACTTGTTATTAGATTTCGAGTCTACCCAAAATTCAGAATGATCTTATTCCCAGGTCTTTAATTACATCTGCAAAGACTTTATTTTCAAATAAGGTTACATTCAAAGGTACTAGGGCTACACACTTGGATATATCTTTTAGGGTACACTGTTCATCTCACTGTATATCTCTTTTTTCCTTTAATCTGTATATTTATTATTTTAATCAAATTTGGGAAATTTTCGGCCATTTTTTTCCCTAAATAATTTCTGTCTCCTTTTTTCTCTCTTTTTCCTTCTGGGACTTCATTTACATGCATTTTAGATATTGTCCCACAGATTCCTTGAGGCGTTATTCATTTTTTTCCTCTTAGTTTCAGATTGTACAATTTTTTTTTTTTTTTTTGGATGGGGATGGAATTTCACTCTGTCGCCCAGGGCTGGAGTGCAGTGGTGCAATTTCAGCCCACTGCAGCCTCCGCCTCCCAGGTTCAAGCGATTATCTTGCCTCAGCCTCCTGAATAGCTGGGACTACAGGCACCCACCATAACACCTGGCTAATTTTTGTATTGTTAGTAGAGATGGGGTTTCACCATATTGGTCAGGCTGGTCTCGAACTCCTCAGCTCAAGAGATCCACCTGCCTTGGCCTCCCAAAGTGCTGGGATTACAGGCATGAGCCACCACACCTGGCCCAGATTGTACAATTTCTATTGACCTATAAGTTCAGTGACTCCTGTCTCCTTAATCCAGTAAATTTTTTTTTATTTTGCGTAATTATATTTTTCATTTCTAGAATTTATATATGGTCCTTTTCATTAGTTTCTGTTTCTCTGCAGAGATTTTATATCCATTCATTAATTGCAGATGTATTTTCCTTTACATGCTCAAATATAGTTAGCATAGGTGCATTAAACACCGTTTTTATCCCCATAATTTCAACATCAGAGATGTATTGAGTTTGGTGTCTATTGATTGCCTTTTCTTTTGAGTATAAATCACCTTTTTCTGTTTATTCTATGGCAAGTAATGTTGGATTGCATCCTAACATTTGTGAATAATACATTATAGAGACTTTGGATTCTGTTTACAGTCCTCTGAATAGTTTTGCGTTTTATTTTCTGAGGCACTTAATCTGGCTGGACTCAAATCCAAACTTCTTTCTTCTTGGACTTTCTTTTCTCTTAGTTTCTGGGGCAGTAGCCTCTCCTGACTCTCCATCAAATTCTGTGTCAAATGCTGCACAGAAAAACCTAATAGAGTTGGTATTTATGTGGTTACTGTTCCCTGTTAGGGTGTCTTTAGTGCAAACTTTTTTCATTGAAGTGAATGATAGGGGAGAAAGTTGAGGTAGTGGTAGAAATGCTTTCTTAGAGTAAAAATAGGACTATCTAAAAAAGAACCTGTCATAAGTAGTGGTATTTGCTACCAATTTGGATTTGTAGTTTAAGCACCAACTTATTTCTTCTTATCTTTTGCAAATCAAGTAGCAAGTATTGATGTTTCTTGGTTTAAGTTTCTTGGTCCCCATTACTATGATTCTCATGCATAGGCCTATGTTACTATTTTTTTTTTTTTTCTAAAACTCTGACTTAAGGAGAAAGCTTTTACTCTTCTTTTTCATGAAGCTTTCAATATTACAAGTCTCCAGGCCTTTATACTAGAAATTTTTTCTGTACCCTTTTTCCTTTCCATATCAGAGGTAGACAGTACCACATTGCCCCACTGACTTTGTTTTTCTAATTAAGAGAAAATTTAGTCCCCACAGATTCCCTTCTTTCATTGATTGAAGACTCTTTAAATATAAAATTCTGGCATGCAAAGAAACACTTAAGTTTATTATCTATTCTTAATAGGCTCTTGGCTACTTTCAATTCTCCTTAATTCATAGCACTAATGATTTTATTTCGTATTGTAAATGGCCCTTAAAAAGGGATTTTAAACTTTCAGAAAAGTAAAAAAAATAGTACTGACTTTATTGTTACTGGTTATATTACCATAGTATAATTATCACTACCAGGAAATTTAAAATGATATAAAACTCTTAACTAATGTACAGATTTTATTCAAATTTTGCCAGTTTTCCTACTAATGTCCTTTTTCTGGTCCAGAATCCAGTCTAGGATCCACATTGCATTTAGTTGTCAAGTCTCTCAAGTCTCTTCCAATCAAGTATCAGTTCTTTGGTCTTTCACAATCTTAACCCTTTTGAAGAAAATCAGTTACTTATTTTGTAAAATGTTCTTGAATTTGAGTTTTCCTGATGTTTTCAAATGATTAGATTGAGGTTGTGCATTTTTGGTAAGACTATCACAGAAGTGATACTGTGCCCATCTTAGTGCTCTTCATGTGACTCTTTATAACATGTTTCCTCTACATGCTTTTAGAACCACATTAGACAGTGCTATAGTGTTTACTTCAAATGTCAAATATAATTTAGAAACTTCAAAAAGAGAAAGGAAACCTGTTGTATTTACCAATATTCATACTCTTTTTCATGTTTGTTCTTCCTGCTTTTATCATTTCCGTTCTGTTTCAATAACTTAATTTTAGCCATTGTTTCAGGGTAGGTATGCTGGTGACAGACTGTTTCCTTGTATTTGAGAATGTTTTGGGTTTTCCTTTCTTCCTCAGGGATATTTTTTCTAGATATAAAAGTCTGGGCTGACAGTTCTTTCAGCACTTGGAAAACGTTATGCCTGTTCCTTCTGGCATCCGTGGTTTCTGTTGAGAAACTGCTGTCTTTCTTTTACTTCTGTAGGTCATGAGCTGTTTCTCTCTCACTTCTTTCAAGATTTTTCTTAGGCTTTAATTTTTAGAAGCTTGATTGTCTGTTGATTTGTTTGTTTTTATCCTGTTGGGGCTTACCCAGCTTCTTAAAGGTATAGGTTTATCTTTTACCAAAACTGGGTAAATTTTAAGCTGTTACTTTTTTGAATTTTTTTCAGTCCCACTCATCTCTTTTCCTTCTGGGACTCTGATGACACAAGTCATCAGATTAGATGTTATGATCTCACAGACCCTTGAAGCACTATTTGTTTTTTTCTCAGTCTTTTTTTCTCTGTTTTTCAGATTGGGGAGCTTATATTTTTCTATCTTCAAGTTCAGTGATACTTTCTTCTGTTCTTTCCATTTTGCTATGAAGCCCTTCTACTGAGTTACCTTGTATTTCTTTCGTGAGACTATTTTTTAAAATCTGTTTCAAGAGTGTGTATGTAATTGCTTATTGAAACATTTTTATGATGGCTACTTTAAAATATTTGTCAGATAAGTCTATCATCTGTGACATCTTGTTGGCATCTGATGATTGCCTTTTCTCATTCAAGTTGAGATTATTCTGGTTCTTGGTATAAGGGTGATTTTCTACTGAATTTTGGACATTTTGAGTACTATGTTCCTAAAATTTCTGTTTCAGTAAGGCTCCTCTGACATTGTACCAGTTAGGGAATAGGGGTGCTGCCTTGTTACTGGAAGTTCACATTTTCCACCTAGCCTCTGTTGACATCTTCTTGGGAGGAGGGATATTGTTACAGCTGGGTGGGGGTGAAAGTCCTGACCTTCCACCATGCCTCTATTGACACCACCCTGGCAAGGAGGAGTACGACGCCCCATCATCACTAGGTATAGGTGACTGTCCAGGGATCCAACAGGGATGAAAATCCTAACTCCCCATTTGGCCTTCTCTGTCACAACTTTAGCAAGGA
Source organism: Homo sapiens (assembly GCF_000001405.40). NCBI lineage: Eukaryota > Metazoa > Chordata > Mammalia > Primates > Hominidae > Homo > Homo sapiens. The sequence continues at coordinate 73,536,551 of NC_000008.11, read as the reverse complement.
AATTGGGTCGCCTCATTACAGTCTGGTAAGGTGAAAGTGTAGGCTTCCAAATTGACTTTTGCTGTTGGGGATGGAGGTGGATCTGCCATTTTTTCCATGGTGTTTCCCTGGAGTAGGGCAGTTATTGCCTAAAAGATTTATATGTTGTTATATTATTATTTTTTTGGTCCTTTGGTTAGAAAGAGCAGACTTTCTTAGGGCTTTTTTTCCCCACCTGTACCCATTGGCATTCTCAAGTTGCTGGCTTTTCTGGTACCCAGCCAAGGATATGTAAAGCAAAAAGAAAACTTAGGAATTCACTACTGTATTATTCCTTGGGTCCCAAAGACCCTAGTCAGTCTTCCTCCTTCTCTCCACATTTTGGAATTATGCTTATTTTATATATAGCGTCCAGAGCTTTTTGTAGTTAAGCAGGAAAAATAAGAAAAAGTTAATCTATCTCATCTTGTCTGGATGTGGAAATCATAAATGGTCTGTCATCATAAATGTAACTATTTTAAATTCAAGTATATATTATACATTTTGAAAATCTGTAATTCCTGAGTAGAAAGCACCATGTTAAAATATTTTTTTTAAAAAAATTAAATGCCATTATGAATTAAGTCAGTATATAATAAGATTTGTAAGGTCCTGTGTTTGATACCTATTTTTTGAAGTGATATTCAATACAATAGAATTGTAATACATTAGAAATAGTAGAGTTTGCCCCATAGAGAGAAGAGTTTGTATTAGTTTGATGGTATACTGACTGCCTGTGTAACCACAATTTTCCTTTAATGTTGAAAATAATTTTTCTTATTAAAAGGTTAATTCTTTACAAAGCCCTCTGCCGTTTAATGTGGCTTCTTTTACGTATGTAAATGATGTATATAGGTATGTCAAAACATGGGTGCACACTGCAAAATAGGGAAGTGCCTTTTCTGGTAGACATGAAACTGTTAAAGAATCACTTAGTGTTTTCTTTCGATGGAAATGTAAAACTAAAATAATTGTTTGTGTGTGTGTAAGTGTAATTTATGTCCTAACTAGCTGTCTCCCTAGACCTTCACTGGCATAGTTAATGGAAACTAAAAAGCAAAGAACGGCCAGGGGCGGTGGCTCATGCCTGTAATCCCAGCACTTTGGGAGGCCGAGGTGGGCGGATCACGAGGTCAGGAGATCGAGACCATCCTGGCTATCACGGTGAAACCCCATCTCTACTAAAAATACAAAAAATTAGCCAGGCGTGGTGGTGGGCGCCTGTAGTCCCAGTTACTTGGGAGGCTGAGGCAGGAGAATGGCGTGAACCCGGGAGGTGGAGCTTGCAGTGAGCCAAGATCACGCCACTGCACTTCAGCCTGGGCGACAGAGTGAGACTCCGTCTCAAAAAAAAAAGCAAAGATCAAATGTTTAGGATTTTTGTCATGTACATGCTTGTCACTTACAGTAAGAATGTTATTATCCCCCTAAACAACGCTGACAACACATCTGTTTCATTTGTTAGACAATTTTTATCCGTGGCTTGCACAAAAAAATCTTTATACATTACTGCCAGATTTTGATTATCAAATATAAGCATGTAATTTTCAAAGCTTATCTAAAACATAGGATTTTTAAAAGAGAGAAAAGATAATTCCAAGTTGTGTCTCAGTCTGTGTAATGTAATTTCATTCATTTATTTATCCATGTCCCTTTAGAGGCATTAATGTGACAAGCATATTGCATTTAGAGTGAAACATTATGCATCAACTAAAACACTGGTACATGACCAAGCATGTTAAATGTATGTTCATATTTTTGTTACAAAGGAGTGGATGTGATGTTTGTTAGTTATGGAAAGGACTGGGAAAAAACTGAAGAGACAGTAACAGATATTATTCTCTTTAATATTACTTTCAATAATTATATATCTTGTAATTTATTTTATTACATTATGAGTGGATGTGTTATAAGACTATCTGATAGTTATTATTAATGCTAATCATGAGCTAGCTACAGTTCTGTATACTTTTCATGCCTAAATTAATTTTGTTTACTTATACATTAATTCATTAGTTATAAATAGAACTAACATGTAGATTTGTACTGTTGACTGTAGTTAAATAAATACAATAATTTACATGTCATCAAGTGATCAAAAAAAGTAGTAAAGTTTTGAAACCAACTTAATCTACTTATTTAGGTCAATATTTATGAAAGAAAGCTGCTTTGTGCCTTGCCAAGAACATGCTATTTTGTCTTAAGATTTGGGTCTTTATTTGTACAACTTTGTACAACTGAGGTGCAGACGTTGCGAAAATCAAGCATGTTTTGAATCTCCTAAGGTTTAGTGTTCAACTGTCACTCTTCAGCTCCTTGCTGCCTGTACTCTTCTGTGCAAGGCTTCTGTGCAGTAGCTACAGTGGAATTGCTACCTACTGCTGTGAAGTCAACTCCACAGTTAATGGATCTGAGGTGTACTAATCAAATACATGTTTTCTTAACACAGTGATTGTGCTATGTATCACATACCTTAATGATCTAACAGGCAACTTTCTTTAAACATAGGTCTTTTTTATACCCTCCTCATTTTTGTTCCATAGGGGGTGGCCATTAAAAACATCCGACAGACAAGCAGTTAACCCAGTTCCCTGCTGAGATTAGTAAAATTAGTAGTCATGCAACATCAAGGACTTTTAGCTCTGCAGGAAGTAGTTTGACTCAACTTCTTTTCGGAGCTGGGGGTAGGAAATTTAAATTTTTATTTGGATGGCCCCTCATATTTTCAAAACAGCATGAAAAAAATTCACACACCTAGCATTTTATGTAATTTAAGACATTCATTCATTCATTCAGACAGAAACAGGGTCTCATCTCTCTCTGTTGCTCATGCTGGTCTCAAACTCCTGGCCTCAAGCAGTTTTCACACCTTGGCCTTGTAAAGTGCTGGGATTACAGGTGTGAACCACAGTGCCTTGTCTATTTCTTAAATTCTATGAATATTTCAAGTGATTCTATGAATACTTCCTGATTTTCCCTTCAGAAAAAAGGAAGTCTTTAGACTGGCAAAGTCAATATCAGAATGCAAAAGTATAGTATCTCATCTGGGTTTAGAAGAGTACATATCAAACTAGGAAACTTAGTATACCATCTCAAGTATAGTATCTCATCTGGGTTTATGAGATTACAAATCAAACTAGGAAACTTATCTTAAAAGTTATAGATTTGCAAATTTCAAAGAAAGCCGTCTTATTTAATTGATATATTGAAATTTATAACTCACCTTTCAGTGGAATAGTTTTTGTAAATTCATGAGAAAGAAACAAAATATCAATTTATAGTAGTTGATGGTGTTATAAATCCAGAAGAAGCTCTATAACATTATAAAAATCAAGATTGGTTGCTCACATTTTAGAGTACCAAAGGCAGCAAAATGATTTAATTTATAAATAATAAATCTTAAACTGTTGATAAACCAAACTCTGAAGTATTTTTAAAGAGGTTTATTCTAAGCCAATGAGTGACCATAGCCCAAGGAGCAGTCTCAAGAGGTCCTGAGAAAGTGTGCACTGGGTGTTGGAGTTACATTTTAGGGAGACAGGAATTGTAGGTAAAATCAAATCAATACATGGAAGGTGCATATTGGTTCAACCTAAGGAGGCAGAATATCTTGAAGCTGTGGAAGGGGCTGGGTGGGGAGTGGAGGAGGTGCGTGGCTTACAGGTCATAGGTGGATTCAAAGATTTTCTGATTGGCAATTGGTTGAAAGTATTAAGCTTTGTCTAAAGACTTGAAGTCAGTTTAGAAATAAATGCTTAAGATAAAGGGAGTGGTTGTGGAGGCCAAGGTTCTTGTTATGTAGATGAAGCCTCATAGGTGACAGCCTTTAGAGAGAATAGATGGTAAATGTCTCTTTTCAGAGCTTAAAGTTGCCAGACTCTCATTTTTAAAATTTTTTATATTTTTGAGACAGGGTCTCGCTCTGTCACTGAGGCTGGAGTACAGTGGTGCAGTTATGGCTCACTGCAACCTCAAACTCCTGGGCACACCACACCTGTCTAATTTTTTTTGTAGAGATGGGGTCTCCTGTGTTGCCCAGGTTGGTCTCAAACTCCTAGGCTCAAGGGATCCTCCCCTGTTGGCCTCCGAAAGCACTGGGATTACAGGTGTGAGCCACCATGCTCATCCCAGACTCTCATTTAATCTCTTAGACCCAGGAAAGGCCTAAAAAGGGGAGGCTTAATGGAGTTTCTGTACAGGTGCACGTTCCCCGCACAAGGTACTGCTTTGCAGGGCCATTTCAAGGCATGTCATTTAAATATATATTGGGGTAAAATATTTTAATTTCCTTCAGGGACTGCTATCTGTCATGTGATGCTATGGTTGAAACTTAGAGTCAGGTTGGAACTTAGAATCTTATTGCCACAAATAACATGTTTCATCAGTCTTATGACCTCTATTTCAATGTTAATGTTGGTTAGTTATGCCTAAAATGACTGCGCATATCCAACCTCCCTTTCTGTCATGGCTGGGAATTCAGTTTTTCAGGTTTCTCTGAGGTCCCCTTGACTCAGAGGGGGTCTATTAAGTTGGCTGCAGGGGCCTTAGGATTTTATTGTTGGTTTACAAAACATAGGGTGATGACTCTTTTGTAATTTTCTATAATTATCTTTATTCATTTTTCTTTCATCAAAATCAAGGTCCTATGACATTGTGTATTGGAATTTTTCAGGCCACGTTTGTAGAAACGCACTGCTTTGTTCTAGCAGAAAGAGTTTACCCAGTCAGTTCTGAAGATTTGTGTGTTACAGACACAATGAATGGAATTTTGTTGCCCTAATTATTTTAATATAGTGTTCTAAGATTCCTGGTTCCTGCAAATGCTTTGAATCATAAGAAGCATTTTTAGACTTAGAAGAGTGAATTTCAAAATGTCATTTACATATTTTTTTTAATTCACAGTTTCATGAACACTGATATTTTTATTTCCAGGAAGAAAATATATACCTGAAGAAAGCCATATTTAACTTGTCTTTATGAGTCATTGGTTGAGTATGTAAAATGTGACTTTTTCTTAAGGCCTTTTATCAGCATATTATTACGTTTAATTTGAAATTGGGTCCTCAAGCAAGAGTTTCATGTTTTTCCCTACATATTTTTATCTGGTTTACTGAGCAGTCTCAATGCAGTGGGGATATAACACAGAATGATTTTATATTTCTCCAGTCACCCCCTTCCTCCGTGCCTTGCCACATCTCCCATTCATGTTCCTTTGTGATATCTTTGGCAAATTCCATAGTTTTCTGGCTAGCTTTTAGTTTTTAAAAATCTAATGCATCAGTGTAGAACTCCAAGTTCATACCCTTCCATTGCAAGCCATTCATTTTGGCTCCAGAGACTTAGAGGAGGGACAGTGTACACTGATCTCTTTCACTCCTCATCTCACTCAAGCATATGTATTTGAGATTGGTGGGGTCAGAGCTTAACCTGGCTCTGAGACACCTTCCTGCACACTTTACGTCTATTTCATGGGCTTACTGCTCTGGAGGGTTAGAGGGTGACTAGGGTAGAGGAAGCTGCTACTCATCCTGGTTTCATCCACTCCTGGTGGCCTCCATTGTGCTTTTCCATGTACACCATGTCCATGTGTCTTGAGTCAGTGGCCCCCTCTGGCCCTGAGGGACAGCCACGTTTTCTTTTGGCTTTACCAGTGGTTTGTGCTCTGACCTCCTCTGTTGGTGAGTGTTACTTTGGCTGGCCTGAGTAGCCCCTTGGCTTCTGCTGGGATTCTCTCATGCTGTTCAAAGGCCATGGAGGTAGGCAGTGATCATATCTTCCTTTATCTTTTTGTTTTTTCAGGTACACTACCTACCTAGGACTCCTTCAATAAGCTCTCAGATACCTCCAAGCCCAATTTCTGTATTTTCATGTGCTTCTAAACTGCCAGGGATATACAGCAAACTCAGTCAAAATTTCTATTCAAAAAGGGCCTACAGTTTCAGTTCTCAGCAAGCCTCCCACCAGGGAGTGATATGTCAGCCTCCCCTTCATGCAGGTATTCCCACTCTGTATCAGCTATTCTCTTAGAGCTACCCACTAGCTGGAAATACTGTATTTCTCATCAGGCTGACAATCCAGATGATTCCCTCCTGTTGTACTCCCCCATCCTTTGTTCCTTTGTGTGTTCTTTGTGATTGGACCAGTTGTACTGACTTTTACAAGGGGGTTCAGGGGAAAGCCTAGCCCTAAATGTTGGCAGCTCTCTAGAGCTTCTTTTGGTTTGGCCATGAGTCTTGGTGTCAGTTATGGGCCAATAGGAGAAAATCTCACTGAGATTAGGTTCTTTTGTGAGTGATAAAAAGCCCAGTGGCTTAAACAATATAGAGATTATTTTTTTGTCACTTAAAGGTCCATAAGCTTGCAGGCTACAGCTGGCATGATGGTTCTGTTCCATGAAGTCCTCATGGACCCAGTTCCCTTCCAACTCACTACTCTCATCTAGGTTTTGGCCTTTGTCCTCGCAGTCAAGATGATAATATCTATACTCCAAACAGCAGGTTGGCTAAATGGGTAAAAAAGCAAAAGGCACGCACTTGAAATCTCTTTTAAAAGTTTTCAGGAAGCTGCCACATAATTCTTTCTTTTACAGTCTACTTAGTTATATGGCCAGTTGCAAGGGAGCCTGGAAAATATGGTTTTTTATTTTGAGCTTCCAAGTGCCTGGCTAAGAATTACGGTGGAAGAATCTTGGAGGACAACTAGCAGTCTCTGTCACATCATTGGGTGCTGTGACATCTTTGGAGCTGTGTGCTAACTTGCACCTTTACATTTATCTTTCATATATGAGTTATATATGTAAACACACTAATATTGAATGTCTGTAAGGCACAATGTTTTATTAGTACTTGCAGGCTTCACAGTGAATTGTATACAGTTGGGAGAAAAATTATATGTCTCATTAATGGTATCTGAGTCACTGATGGAAACGAAGTTTAAAGTTTATTTTTTTGACTGCAATTGTCCTATTTTTGTCCTTTCTAATTTTCATTTCTCTAAGAGAAAGAATAGAGCTACATTAAGTCAGCTGACATAGAAGTGTGTTTACTGTCACTGTATATTTAGGAGATTGTCATGTCTTTCATACAGACTTTCAGTTGGTGTCGAAAGGGTAATTATATTTTATTAAATTTTAAAAGAGCATGTTTTATAATAGCACTATATCAGACATAATAGTTTAACCATGCCATAAATGGTTGTGAACTGTTGCTATTATTTTAGTGCCAGCATTTATTGGCTTTTACATAAACCTATTATGTGATAAGTTTCATTTTTCCCCTTATACCTAGTTGCTGTGTAGTAAACAACACTTCCACATTCTTGAACTCGTATACATTGACTGAGCTTTTAATTTGCTCAGGAAGTGTAGGATGGTGAATTAGAACTGTTGTCAAACCTTTTTCCCCAAGGTTAACTTGGTAAAAATATTTTTTATAACAAAATCTTTATAGTACTTTGGGAATAAGGCTTTTATGTTGACTTGATTTGAGCTCTAAACTACTTTTATAGATTCCCAGGAAGAAGTTTCCCTACCTCCAGGGAAAATGATGGCCATTCTTAACAACCCTACTGGTTTAAAAAACTTGAATTATTAAGCCATTAGACTAGGGCTCATATTGTAATTTTCAGTCAGATCCATATTATACATGATTAAATAAACGTAGGCCATATTCTGCAATAAAAATATATGGACATTATGCAGCAATTAGAATAAAACCCAAGACAAGGGAATAACTCAGGTATACAATAAAAACCAAGACAAGGAACTAACTCAGGTATGTGTTTTAATTTTCTTCCTCACAAATTCAAAATTTTCACTTAAGCCTTTATCCTAAATCTATACACATTTAACAAATTGAGCAAGTTATAGCTAATAAAACCAATTTTCTCTCTAATATAATAAATAGGAATCCCTAATTTATTCTATAAGCATATTTTCATTAATTTTATTACGAAAGTGATGCTCTTTTTACTTTATTAGCTTACAATTTTAAAAACCTGGAAGTTTTTGACAGTGGATAAATGGAAGGATGGAAATTTTCTTAATGGGAAGACGGACTCAAACTCTTCCCCCTTCCCCATGTACCTTACCTCTGATGTGGAGTGTCTTACATGTGGCTTTAATAATGGTTAGTTGTATTTAACTAAATGAAAGATAATATTGTGACCACTTTATTTTGGTCTGCACATTACAAATCATTTCAATTTAATTCAATTTGATTGTAATGTCACAATTTCAAACAGAACATGATATAGTGATATATATTCAACAGTGGTTTTGTAGGGACTATACTGTAGAAATAGAAGAGTGTCAGTACCAATTATGTGGCAGTCACATACACATGGAGTCAAAGAAGAGAGAAAATTCAGGTTGACAAAGTTACATTAGAATCAGATGAACTTTGACTTACGCTTATGCTTGAGCCCTTTATGGATCATGTATTATAAAAAGCTGGACTTGAAAGATAGGTATAGCATTTAGTTGTGAATTTTTCTACTAGCTATAATGTAAAAGCACTTTGCATAGCATTTCCTAAACTCCCTTAAATCCTCAAAAAGACTTAAGATGGAATTAATAGATTCAATTCAAGTCCCAGATATTGGAGGGGTTCAATAAGGTTTTAAATATTTAAAGTGTGTTCTGTGAAATCTAGACCCTTTGCAAAAGGACCTATTTGCATCTTGTCCCCTCTGAAAATGGTGTTCAGTGGATTGCGTGTGTTCTGTTATAGGTTCACTACTGTGATAGACAAAGTGGCAAAGAGTGTGTGACCTGTCTGACATTAGCCCCTGTGCAGATGACTTTCCATGCTATTGGAAGCTCCATTGAAGCCAGCCATGATCAGGTATAATATGCCACTGCCATTTTGCTGTGTTATGGCCCAGCTCGGAAATGGAAGGCCATCAAAATGGAAGCTATGTGCGCACATGCAGCTTTGCTTTCCTTAATACATTATCTGCTAGCACCATCTGCTAGACTTGAAAAATCAAAATTGTTTGTGTTGGGAAATTGATATCATAGTAGATTTAAATTATTTTAGACTTCTTGTTTGCAGTTCATTATTATTTTAAATATGGAATTATTTTATATGAAAAATAGTTGTCCCACAGGTTATTTTTATCTTTAATAGTTATATATGAGAGGAAGGGTCAACAAAACAATATAGATAACACTGGAGTCTCGCTGTAGTATACTCATTTGGTTCTGTTAAAAAGAGTTTTGTATTATAGAATGTACAGTGATGCGTCACTTAATGACAAGGATATGTTGTGAGAAATGCATCATCAGGTGATTTTGTTGCTGTGCAAGCATCACAGAATGTACTTACACAAACCTAAATACTAGAGCCTACCACACACCTAGGCTATGTGGTAGAGCCTCCTGCTCCCACTACAAACGTGTACAGCATGTTACTTTGCTGAATACCATAGGCAATTGTAATGCAATGGTATCTGTATATTTAAACATAGAAAATGTACAGTAAAAATATGGTATTGTAACCTTCTGGGAGCACCATTATATTTGTGGTCTGTTATTGACCAAAACGTCATAATGCAGCATGTGACTGTATGTAGAACAACTGTGTAAACTTTCAGAACCATCAACTTAGTCCCATAACTTGGGATATTATTGAAATAAAGTTCCAGTATTGTTTTTACTTTTAAAGGTTTATTTCTGAAATAAAGCTAAAAATCTGAAAAGTGTATTGTTTCTTAATAAACAAATTCCTTTTATTGTTTAGATAGCAGCTTGAGAATACATCCTGTTTACAACAGAATACATATTTTTCATTAAAATAATCACTTTAGACTAAACTAATGTCCTAAATCACAGAATTTCTGGCTTGGAGTCAGAGTAAGTAGACATACATGTTTTCTGTATGACTAACCAGTTATGCTTTCTAAATTAGCCATTCATGTACAGAACAACTATAATCCAGCTTTATATCCGTTTTTCAGTAAATTTGAGGACTTCTAATAGTCTTACCTAACTAATCTTCTTTTCTTCTATCTCACTAGTACTTCTTGCTTGGAAAGAATAAAGAGTCTATCTTCTCAAACTCATGATTTATCATTGTCCAACTCAAACAAGACTTTGGAAAACATTCTTAAGGACATACCTTTCTAGTTCACAATGCCTCTGACATTGTTTGTTTCCAATCATTATTCATTCATTGGTGGGGAAGTATTGTGATATTTAGGGAAGATCATGTAATTGGTGGTCAGAAAATCTGAGTTTTAGGAATGGACCATAGTATAGGTTTGCTGCAGCTACCTGGATGGATTCTGTTACTTCCTTGCAACTCTGTTTCCTGGTTATGTTAAATGAAGGAGTTGGGTTAGATGACTTACAAGATCCATTCCAGTGCTGTTATGATTCTGTAACTGATCTTCCTGATCCAGGTTGAATGAGCCCAACCAAAAATAAACAGTTGTAGCATATTAATATGGAAAGCAGCTTAGAGACCACTCCAGTGCTTCTCAGGGTTTTACATTGACATATGCCCTAGCTGTAGAAGAGAGTGCAGTAGGAACCTGAGGGGCATGGCCTAAATTAGCTTACAGAAGAGTATTATGTTTCCTTGTGTAAACTACAAATTGACTGTATGCTAGGTGCTAAGGATACATGAGGAGAATGTCAGACATGGTTCTTGCTCTCATGGAGCTTACAGTCTAGCAACTCCACCTTTTTGAATACTGGGCAAGTACAGTGTAGCTAACTTTATATCTATCTATGTATCCACTCATGGTAGAGGCAAATGTCAAAAGCAGCGTGGGATACCTCTCTTGGAAAGGTCTCTTCTAAGGCTGAGCAAAGAAATGAAAAAGCACATCAGTAACCCACACCTCTGAAAAGAGCAACCCACTGTTCACAGAGGTGGCATGTTGCTGTAACACTGGAGTGAGAGTGCAGACTGGGATCAAATGCAATTTTGCCTTGAACTAGCTTTGGGACCTTGTTTCTTCACCTCTTGGGGACTTGGCTTCTTCATATATAAGATAATGAGGCTAGTTTGGGCTTGTGCCAAGTTCCTATGCCAAGGTACTCAAAGTTCAGGGCTACTGTTCACCCATATGACACCTTTACAAATTAGAAAAAAAAAGTGCCTCTTCCTCAAGGCATTTTACTGCCATCTGACAGAAAATTTTTGTAATAAGTCTACAATAACTGCGGTGTGAATGCACCCCATTGAGGTGTGCAGTGTACACCTGCACGACTGTACATAGTGGTCTCACTATATCTAACTGAATGTCAATTGCACTCAATGATAAATTAAGACATTTTTATATTAAAGCAAATACAACTATTTTATAGATGACAAATTTGCATGAAATTTTAAGATAGAAACTTTCAGGAAATGTGTTGATGATGGTCACATTGGTAGATGAATAAATGACTGGAATAAATGTTGGACAGGAATAATCATCCTGTACATCAAACACTATTGTAGTGGCCTAGGAGGTAGAAAGTAGGGGGTGTGATCACTGCTCCTCTCTTGTTCTTGGATATTTGGGCTCCCTGGGGAAAGGAGACACAAAGTAAATCCCCACTTCACACCCTCTGGCTTTTCTACATTATGTTGCCGTTACCCTCTCCCCAACCTGAGGGTCTGTCTAAGCAAAAGGTACTCCTTCACCGTAGCAGCATCAACTTGATCTCATAAGGTGGAAAACTTGGACCACTAAATGCTTTTTCACCCATTAATTTGTAAATGCTAGTAAATAGGGAAACATTTTAAAGCAAGAAAAATTGTAATCATTTTTTTAAAGTTTCTATTCATAATCCATTTGGCCCAATGCAGTTGACCAAACAGAATTGGTATTCTGAGAAAAAAAGTATATGTGAAATTTGGAAGTGGTCCTTCTTATGAAACACAGGTTGTTCTTACCTGTGTGGAAAACAAAGGCAAGAAATGGAAGAGCTCTCTAGACTTGAGCCTTTATAGCTTATCTTCTTATTTTTTAAAAATGTAACTCTAGGAACTTAGTGAAGTGGAAATTGAATACATTACCTGGTGCATTCATTTGCTGTATTAAAGGGTAACAGGACAGAGACTGTTAAGTGAAATTTCTCTATCAGAAGTTGATACGGATATGCAAAATGATCAGGGGAAAGATTCAATACCATCTATATGCTGATGATGCCCAAATTTATGGAACTCTTTGTTCCCTGCGTCCCCCTACCATGCCTGCTCCTACCTCTTCTGTCCTTTCCTCTGTCCCAGTGAATGTTACCATCATTACCTTGTTGCTCAGACCATCCTTGGAGCTTTCCTTGAACCCCTAGTCCCCGTCACATGCTACACCTTGTCCCAGCATCTCTTCCTCTAAATTATGTCTCTGACCTGACTGCTTCTCACCACCTCCAATTTTACCATTCTAGTTTAAGTCCCTATCATTTTTAACCCAGATGACTGCAGCAGTCTCTAAATTAGCCTCATTTTTTCTACCTTTGCTCCACTGTAGTCTCTCTTTCACATATTATTTTGAGACAGAGTTTTGCTCTGTCACCCAGGCTGGAGTGCAGTGGCACAATCACAACTCATTGTAGCCTCAGCCTCCTGGGCTCAGGCAATCCTCCCACCTCAGCGTCCCAAAGTGCTGGGATTATAGGTGTGAAAAATTAATCTGATTACCTGACTCAACTACACAAAACCTTCCAGTGGCTTCCCATCACACCTCCTATAAAATGCAAAAAATTTAGCTATGGCACACAAACTCCTATGATTTGGCCCCCTCCACTTATCCAACTTCAATTCCTCCCACTTTCCAGTTCATCAGTTGTGTCCGAGTCTCACTGGCCTTGTTGTCAGTTACATGATGGTTGGTGAAAGAAACCATTCGAAAGGCTACATACTATAGATTCCATTTATATGACATTCTGGAAAAATCAAAACTATAGGGATAGAAAACAGATGAGTGGTTGCAGGGGCTGGGGGTATGGAGAGGGATTAACTACAAAGTATCATGAGGGAGTTTTGGGAGGTAATGGAAATGTGTTACATCTTAATTGTGGTGGTAGAAACATGACTGCGTTTGTCAAATTCACTGAACTACACTCTAAAAAGGGTAAATTTTACTGTATATAGATAATACTAGATTAAGCCTAATGTTAAAAAAACAGCCAGATTCATTGCTTTATCACGTACTCGTATGCAGTCCTGATTCTGAGAAAATGTGGATGCCATCCTCTTGCCTCTCCTGTGCTCTCTTGGTGTGTTGGCTCCACCTTGGAATGCACTAAATTTAACCCATAGCCTGGTTTAGAGCTTCTCCAAATGCCAGTGATTAGTTAAGGCCTGCTTCAGACTTTTCTTTTTTTTTTTTTTTTTTTTTTTGGAGACAAAGTCTTGCTCTGTCACCCAGGCTGGAGTGCAGTGGCGTGATTTCGGCTCACTGCAACCTCCACTTCCCGGGTTCAAGTGATTCTCCTGCCTCAGCCTCCTGAGTAGCTGGGATTACAGGTGCACGCCACCACACCTGACTAATTTTTGTATTTTTAGTAGAGACGGGGTTTCACCATGTTGGGCAGACTGGTCTCGAACTCCTGACCTCGTGATCTGTGCGCCTTGGCCTCCCAAAGTGCTAGGATTACAGGTGTGAGCCACTGCACCTGGCCCAGACTTCTTAAAGTAATTATCAGTCTACAAAAAGTGGTCTAAGCCCACTCCTGTCTGGCTTTAGCGAAGACGTCTGTAGGCCAGAGTTTCCCATCCTGAAACCCTGAATTCTCATCCAGACAGTGGGCAGTCATTCAGGCTGGGTTTGCCTGGAGGTCCTCGTGATGTCTTGGAGAGAATGTTTTGACATTCTCATGTTTACCTTATTCATCACAACAAATATGATATTAGAAATTCACACTCAAATTAGTTCAATTGTCCAGAACAAAAACATAGCTTAAATTTTCAGATACAGATTTCTCAGCAAACATGAGCTAACTGTGAATAACTGTATGTAGGAATACTCCTTTAGACACTAGTGCATACAAAGGTCACTGATTTACAATTGCTGAGCCAATTGTCTTATGAAATTTTGAACTTGTCAGTCATTTATTTTTTAAGATTGAGCTGGTGAGGGTTTTGCTCAATATTCTTCAGCATATCCTATTTGGAAGTTGGTTGTATTGGTTAGTGTATGTTATTAAAAGCAACATACTTAGTGATAGTTCAGGAGGGTTTTGTAATCTCCTAGCTTGATATAACTCACTAAGTATTATTCTTGACTCTGTCATGACACCCTTTCTATATGTTTCCTCATCACTTTTAGATGTTACTAAGTATCTTTTCCTGTCTCCTTTAATTACATTAGTCACCTTCTAATTACAGCCCCAAAGTCATAAACTTCCTTCCCTATCTTTGTTTCCTTTTTATTCATCTTCATTCTGATTGCATTGTCAATATCACCAAATCTCACAAAGATTGGGTAAGTAGATGTAGCTTAGTAAAAACACTATAGCTTCTAATTTCTAGTTGATAGTTTTATTGCTGCCTGCCTTATTGTGTTGAGGTTAGATCTTGAGCTTACTTGCTTCATATACATGAAAGAATGAATTAGTAAATCAACCACCTAACCAAGCATTAACTAGCCAATGAAGTTTAACATATGTATATTAGTATTTACTGTAATCTGACTTCTAGTCAACAAAAGCAAGATTACCACATAGAGTAAATGACTGCATATTTCATATATTACAAATGCTCTTCAACCCATCTAAATTGAAAATATTATAAGTAGAAAATGGATTTAATGCACCTAACCTACTGAATATCATAGTTTAGTTTAGCTTAGCCTACCTCATTAGTTGTTTTTCCTCATGATCAAGTGGCTGACTGGAAGGTGCAGTTTGCTGCTGCCACCCAGCATCTCAAGAGAGTATGGTATGCATATTACTAGCCCAGGAAGTTCAAAATTGGAAATGCAGTTCCTTCTGAATGTGTATCACCATTTTAAAGTCAAAAAATCATAAGTTGAATCATTGTAAGTTGGGAACCATTTGTATTTTGAATAAAAATCCAATTCTACAAGAGAAAATAAGCAAGAACCAAATCTATATGTAGTATGTTTACCGTATACATACATATACATATGTGCTAGGCTCTCCGTACATTATTTTGCTTAGTTCTCAGAATAATGAGGTATAAACTCTAGCAGTTGTATATTTGCTAAATCACCTTTAAGGGTTTATGTCCAGATTAGTAAAATTAAGCTGAATTGTTTCCAATGTGTATGCTTTGACTAGGATTCAAGTCAGGCCTCTTAATGAAAGGACATTCATGAAGTGTAACAATTTACAAATCTAATGAGTATTCTAGTTTTGATTAAGTTCTGCTTGTAGGTTATTCTCTGATTAATTAAAATTCTCCTCGCCTGAGTCATTAGGCTGTAATGTCTTACAACTAATGATATTTTAGAACTAAGAAAGGGAAAGCCTTCCCACATATTACCCCAATATACATTATCACAACAATAATATATTGATTGTAGACTATGTACAGAGCTTTTGCAGTACGAGATGGTCTTAAGTGATAGTATCTGTATTCCCTTGCCCTTGAGGTAATTATGGTCTAATGGAGTGTATCAGCCAGGATGCTTTTGGCTACAAGTAACAGAAAACCTGACTCATATTGGCTTAAATAATAACGAACCTCATTATCTCACATAACAGGAAGTTCAAAGGAAGGGTGAGCTCCAGGGTTGGTTGATAAAGCAGCTCAATGATGTCAGCAAGGACTCAGGTTATTCCCATTTCTTAGCTCTGACATCCTCCACTTCATCCTCTGACTCAGAAAGATAGCCACAGGAGTTCTCTGTGTTGTGTGCAGTATAACCACATCCAGAAGGAGAGAGCTGATCTTCTTGTGTCCTGGGCAAAGACATCTGTACCAGGAACCCCTCCAGCTATCTTTCCCTCAATTTATAAGCCTGGGTTGGGTTGGTCATGTGCCCATTTCTACACCAGTTGCTGGCAGGAGAAGTAATCACTTCTGGTTTAAATGCTTGGGGTGAAGTAGTTGTTGAGGAATCAACCGCAAGGACTACTACATAAGGGATCAAGTGTCACATATGCAATTTTAAATTTTCTAGTAGCCGTATTTTAAAAAGTCAAACAGTTAAAATTAATTGTAATAATACATTTTATTTAACCCAATATATCTAAAATATCATCTCAACATATAATCAACTTTTAAGATTATTGAGATACTATTCTTTCATACTTGAAATCTGGTATGTATTTTATTCTTATAATACATCTGATTTAAAACTATTACATTTCAGGTGCTCAGTAGCCACATGGGTGTTGGATGCACAAGTCTGTAGGATGAAATCTCAGGAGACTGTGATTTGGTTCTTTGCCTATGTCTCCAATCTCATCTTTTACCATTCACCCTGTACTTATACCCACGCTTTATGCTCTAGCAGTCCTGAGTTACCATATTTCATGCTCTTACATGTGTATCTTTGCATGTGTGTTCCCTCTGCCTGGCCCATTCTCTCATTGCTCATAGGGTAATTTTAATTGTTCTGTCAGATTCAGCCAAGATGTCACTCCAGTCAATAGGCCTTCCCCAAACCAAGAGAGAGTTAAAACTCTGCTTCCTTTGAGCTCTATCTGTACTTTGTACATTATCCCATTGTTACACTTATCAAGCTGTCTCCCAAGATCTCTTCATGTTGGTCTACCCCACTGGGCAGTGATCTCCTTGAGATACAGGGCAGAGTCTTGCTCACCTCAGTATTCTCAGTGTTTATGCTCTTGCACTTACGAGGCACTTGATATGTGTTTATAGGATGGAATTAAATTGAATTTCTAAGAAAATTAGAATGACTTAGGTTTGGTAAAATTCATTTGGTAAAATTAGTGAGAGAAATAGAATGTCTGGCCTAGTAAGCTTTTTCTAGTGGTGGCCCTATAAGGACATTTTTTTGTGAAAGAATCCCAGAGCTTGATCTTGGTGTATTCACATACTGTAAATACATGTAATTGGCCTTAGAAATCCATCATAATATCTCCATTAGTTCTTTTCTCTGTTTATAACTTTTCATTGTTCTAACATATTATGCATATGAGTACATTTTTCGTGGCGTCCTAAATTACTTTCTTCAAGTACCAGGGGCAGCCTCCTTATTAGTATACAAGTCACTAATCACTGAATAATGTCATTCATGACTGCATTCCTCAGAATCTAAAGAGACGTCATAGGTTTGAGCAAGAATTTACCAAGACGAACTTTTTTATTAATATAAAAGACATACTTAAGTGACATTGCATAATAACAGATTCCATGTCTTCATCCTAGGGGTCACTGCAGTGGGTCCTGGCATTCTTTGTTTGAGATAGATTCAGTGCAGGTTTTGAACTTCAGCGGCTTTGCTTGCTCTGTACGTCAGCAGCGCCAAGTGCTGTGGGGTGTGGAAAGATTGGGTATAATCACTGCCGCTGGCAACTTCCAGGAGGTCCTGGAGCTGCCAAAATTCAAAATATAACTTGATTTTTGTTTATTTTTTATGAATTAGAGTGCTAAGACAGATATATTAAAAATGAACATCAACTTTAATGTTTGCTTTGGTAAAGTGCTTTCGTATTTGTTGATTTTTTTAAATATTTCAAAATGGTCCTCCCTCCGAAACTTGTCCCTTGATCTTAGAACTAAAATGTCTTCTGCTGACATTTAACTTTATTATATACAATTTTCGTTTTACACAAATTATATCTTATAGTTAAGGAATTTAATCATATCTTAAACAAAATTACAGCAGGAAAAGTCACCAGGAGCTTCTCACCACAGGATAGATATTATTCTATCTAAATAATAGACTAAAAATAGACTGTGGACGAAAACAAGAGTCAGTAAACTATGGCCTGTGAGTCAGCTTCAGCCCACCACCTGAACTAAGAATGGCTTTTACATTTTGAAATGGCTGAAAAATATCACAAGAAAAATAGTATTTCGTGACATGTGAAAATTATATGGAATTTGAATTTTAGTGCCTGTAAATACAGCTTTACTGGGACACAGCCACAACCATTATTTTGGTATTGCCTATGGCCACTTTCACACTATGATGACAGATATGAGTAGTTATGACAGAGACCTTATTGCCTGCACGTCCTAAAATATTTACTATCTGACTTTTTACAGGAAAAGTTTGCTAGTTCAATCCTAGGATTAGAAGGAAGAAGCCTTAAAAATTCACCTTCTGAATTTTGTATCAAATATTGCCTTAAACATGGTTATTCAGAGTCCATTCTCTTTTGGAAAGAAGCCAGTTTTCTGGAAGTATTGCCCATTTTATAGCACAATTAGACTTGACTGAATTTTGAATTTATTTACAGTGGAAACCAATTTTATTTTCTGAAGGAATAATAAATAAGTCTGTCTTCATCAGTATTTATCAGAGTGTTAAAAGAAAGTTTGCCTATGGCAAAGGTTACTTTTCTCTCCTTGCTGAAATTCCATTTAGAAACACTTCTGAGCAGAACTTTTTTTTTAAGTAATAAAGAATATTCTGCTATTTCCATAGTGATCTTTCACTTTTTTCATTTCAGATGTATAAGCAGTTTCCAGAACCAACAGTGAGTTATAGGGGAAGCTAGTGGGAAGATTGAATATTGTGTATTTTATAACTGACTTATAATTTCATATATGCTTAGAACAGCATAACCACATTTCTGAGAGATTGCATATATCCAGTGATATTGTGCACACAAGTGACTTATTAATTTGAGCTATAAAATAATTTTGGACTAGAGTCAAAGGCCACGAACTTACTTATTGCTTTCCTTCTCCCACTTTTTTTTTTCCTGAAATGATGAATAACAGCTATTTTAATGGGCAAAAAGTGTGAAATTTTAGAATTAAAAAAACCTAACTTTTCACACTAAAAAAGACTAAAAATGTGGTTATTTAATCTGTACCTCAGTTATCTGTAGCTTGGTGTTTCATAACAGGTTATCTCTGAAGATAATTTGATGTTCATGATTTCATAGGAGACAAAGTATAAATAGAACCCAAAGTGTTTTCTAGATTTTCTAGTAAGTTTTGTTCAGTTTTGGACCTGCACATATGCTGCTTATCAGTAGTTCCTTTATTTATTTATTTTTATTTATTGAGACAAGAACTCACTCTGTTGCCCAGGGTGGAGTGCAGTGGCACAATCTTAGCTCACTGTAACCTCAAACTCCTGAGCACAAGTGATCCTCCCACTTCAGCCTCCTGAATTGCTGGGACTACAGACACACGCCAGCACACCTAATAAGCTAATTTCTTTTCTTTTCTTTTTTCTTCTCTTTTATTTTCTTAGTTACCCAGCCTGGTCATGAGCTCCTGGGCTCAATTGATCCTTCCACCTCAGGCTCCCAAAGTGATGAGATTACAGGCATAAGCCATCATGCCTGCCCAGTTTCTTCATTTTAAATTCAGTATTCTAATTCTTAGTGTCCCCTCTAAATTAAAAATATTTAGGTAGGAATTTACTATTCCTACTATTCTGTATGCCTCTATGTTTGATGTTGATTTGAAGATCACTGGGGAAATATTCTAAAAACCTTTCTGTTAACAGTTCACTACTAATGAATCAAACCAGATACATTATTAAACCAATAAATAACCATATGTATATAATTGCTAAATAGATGTGAAAGTTATAGTGGAAAACTGTTGCCTATATAGACTTTTTTAAAGTGATGATCAATGGAATATAGTTCCCTAGGCCACGGATTTGAGAGCATTATTGCCCACTGGAGGTCACTTTTACAACCTAAAGAGTATTACCTTCCTCATAAACTTAAATTATGGTGTTGCGTATGATTTATTACACTATTTAAAACTGAAAAGCGGTAACCTTCTCTCCCTTAGCAATACACCTTCAATTAAGTCATGCCTCTCCCCATGTCCAAAATTCCTTTTTAGACAAACCAGTTACTGGTTATTTTTCAAAAATTTCAATATTTTTCTTTCATTGCTAATAGTTATTTGGCCTACTCTCTTTGTTTCTAAGTTGGCACTGAATGCCTTTTTAGATTACATATTTTTTTAAATACCCTTTAGTTAATTGGCTTCTCGTTTGCATCCTCTGATGGAAGAAATTTGAAGGCATTTTTAAACCCCCAAATATTCTAGACATATGTGAAATTTAATTTCACATAATTTAATATGTGAAAATTAAATTTTAAGGGCAAGGTAGTGATAAAAAAAAAATGTCTTCTGTTACCCTCCATAGATGAAACAGTGATAATGCTACGAGCAAACCTAGGTCAGGTTTTCTACTGTTTGGTAAGAAGAGTCACTGCTCTAGGTCAGGCATGGTGGCTTGTGCCTGTAATCCCAGCACTTTGGGAGGCCAAGGTGGGCAGACTGCTTGAGCCCAGTAGTTTGCAACTAACCTGGGCAACATGGCAAAACCCCATCTCTACAGAAAATACCAAAAAAAAAATTAGTTGGGCATGGTGGTGTGTGCCTATAGTCCCAGCTACTCAGGAGGCTGAGGTGGGAGGATTGCTTGAGCCTGGGAGTTTGAGGCTTCAATGAGTCATGATCACATCACTGCACTCCAACCTGGGTGACAGAGCAAGACTCTCTTTCCAAAAAAAAAAAAAAAAAGAGTCAGTGCCCTATCAAGACCCACACTTAAATGTCTTACTCTAAAAGACTGATATGCTGAAGACCTGGAAGGTGGAGGTTGCAGTGAGCCACCACTGCTTTCCAGCCTGGGTGACAGAGTGAGACCGTGTCTCAAAAAAAAAAAAAAAAAAAAAAAAAAGAGAAATTTTTTCAGCACAGGGAGAAGGTTGCCTTGAAGTCAGAGTCTCCTTATCCATGCATTTCTGCTTCCTAGACAACTGTTTGCTGGGATCCTCACCTAGAATTTCCTTACTATTTGTTTGGCTTGTTCCACCTACTTAATTTGAACTCTGACTTCTGGTTACTTACCTAGGGTCTCCACTGTTGGTTTGTCTTGGCCTATGGTACTTTTGTACTCTATGATCTTTTGCTGTTTAACTGATCCTTGACACTGGCTTCTGACTGTTCTTGTCTGCACTTTACATTTCAGGGACTTATTCTCATATTTCTCTCCAAATCCAAAACTGCTGAAGGTTGACAGAATTCCACTTTATAGATATTCTATAGCCATTATGAAATCCAGAGAGTATCAGTCTACTTGCTGGCAGAACCGACATTCAGGCTGTCCCCTGATACTGTCGTGCCAATTGTTAAAATGTTTAAATACTTTCATTCCACATGGCAAATAGCTGCTACCTCATGCTTCACCCCCTGCCTTCATGGCCTCATGTCCAGGACCTCTGGGACTTCCCCATGGTCTAGGAACTAATAGGTCATTATTTGGCCCAGCAGTTTTCAGGACTCTGTTTTCTTTTCTAATTTTATTTTCAGTTTTCATGGCACACTATTAAATAGTTTTAATACTACTGCTGCTTTCAGAGGTATATGTAAGAGTTAAGGTCTTCAGGAAAAAAAAATCCAAAAGTGTTCATTTTCAAAGAGTTTTTAGAATTTTCATTGAAGATCAAGAAACATTTTATTCACTCAACAGTCATGTTTTAACCACCAGCTGCATGTCCACCACTGTACTAGATGCTAAGAAGTATCTTCTATTTTGTAAATAAAGTCCTAAATTGATTATAATTAAAAGTTGGAGGCAAGGGTTATATGAGAAGTCTCTGTAAGTTGTGCTCAATTTTTCTGTGAATCTAAAACTGTTCTAAAAAATAAATCCTTAAAAAGGAAAAAAAAGTTGGAGAAAAAATAAAACATATACAGAAACAATTGAAGACCAATTGCAAACCAGTAAGATTTTGTGCCAGAAATGTTTTAAAAATCTACATATGAATACTGAAGAGCTATGGAGTATAGGAATGATCAACAACAGAAGAATTAATCTGATTAAGCTTCTTTTAGGAGTTGATGGACCAAAAATTGAAAGGCAGATTATAAGGACATTCCACATAGGGGAAACAGCATGAGAAAAGGTAGAAAAATGGAAGTTGACAAAGAATATGTGGGGATAGAAAAACTCAACTTGGTGGGAGTTCCAGACATAAATGATTGTACATGAGATCAAGGCAGTTGAATACATTCTTGAAAGGTAGGCTGAGCAGTATGAAATTTATGTTCTTTGCAACAAAGAGCCGTTCTTCATTCAGGAACAAGGGATGTGATTATGCTGGTGTCTATAAGATCAATCTAGCAGCCAGATGCAGAACTGACTGTGATGAGGAGGAAGGCTTCTATCATAGGAATTTAGGAATGGATACTGATCACCTTGATGGGTGTGACTCTGAAAATGGCAAGGAAAGCAGCATCTCTCCTAAAGAGACATTGCAGAGAAAAAATCAGCAGGCCTTGATGACCAGCTGAGTATGAAAGAGTGAAAAAAAGCTCTTAACAATAGTTCTAAAGGTAGACTACCAAAAGAACAGAGTGAGAGCTGAACAAATTCCCTTTCCAAAAAACAACAGAACTAGACAAAATTGTCAAAAACAGCAACTTTAGGACTCTGAAAATTGATAAAAGACACTCAACAAATTGAGAAGCATTTATTCATAGACAAACTATAGTGCTCCAAGTAAGCTAATTAGGATTTTGTGGTGTTTCTGCCTGCGGGTGCTCCCATCCCCCACCTGCAGACTCAGCACAATAGTTCTACAAGGGTAAAGAAGGCCATGAAAACCATCAGTTTCACTGATGGAGTGGCCTTCCTTGATATGAAATGGAATGTGAAAGCCCCATGCCCACCAACATTATGAGTAACAGTAGACATCTCGGTAAGAGACAAGAAAGGCTAGCTAGCAACTCAGTGAACCTGAGGTTACATTCCTAGTTGGGGCCAACAGTGTATCAGCAGACTAGCCAGAAATCTATCAGGGAGATTTGGGAAAATGGCACAGTGATAGGGAGCCTTGATAAACTCACCAAAACACTTCAAACACAAGCAGGAGATATCAAAGAGGGCTCAAGCTACCTATACACCCTGGATGACTGTGAAATCTGCACATATGCAGAGAAGATGCAAAAAGGCCTGGCAGAAAGTAAATGCCAGGGCAGACTTGAAAACTGCCTGAGTTTTTAATGGGCTCCCCCAACCCAACCACAGACCCATGGGCAGAGGGTAAAAGCTTTACTAGCTTAGGGTATTTGAGCATAACCACCGACTAATTACTGGCTGACCACTAAGCTATGCAGACATGGGAGTGACCCCTAAGAATCAGGCTTAAAAATAAAAACAAAAATAAGTTTTAAAAAATTAAGTAGAGAGATAAGCAGCGATGCACCATGAAGGAGATGGATTCCACAGATTTAGTTTAGGCAACTTAATAAACAAAAAAAGAAAACCACAGCAAGAACAACAATCCCGAGGGAAGAACATAAAAATCCAGAGTTAGTACAATATTGTACCTAAAATTCAGGCTTAAAAAATTACAAGATATTTAAAGAAAGAAAAGGGTGATTAATACTTAGGGGGAAAAAGCAGTGAATGGAAGCAGAAGCTGAGTGTTTCTGAGTGGGCTCAGATGTACTATGCAGACAGATACTTCAAAGCAGCTAAAATATGTTCAAGGAATTAAAGAAAACCAGGATTAAACGAAAGTATAACAACAATGGTTCAACAAATAAAGAATCTCAAGATAAATTATTTAAAAAGTCAAATGGAAATTCTGGAGTTGAAAAGTACAATAACCGAAATGAAAAATTCACTTGAGTAACTCAATAACAGATTTGAGATGGCAGAAGAACCCACACCCATAAACTTCAAGATAGATCAGCGTGTAGCTTTGAAAGGAAGAAGCAAAATGTTCTTTATTTCCAGATGATGTGATCCTGTATGTAGAAAATCCTGAGAAATACCCACCCCCCACACACATACACACACACACCCTATTAGAACTGATAAACAAGTTCAGTTACAGACAGGATATAATTTATAGATGAATATACAAAAATTTGTTGTATTTCTATATACTGGTAAAAAAAAACCAAAAATGAAATTAAGACCATTTCATTCACAGTAGCATCAAAAAGAATAAAATACTTAGGAATCAGTTTAAACACAGAGATGCAAGATTTGCACATGGAAAACTATAAAATATTGCTAAAAGAAATTAAAGATCTAAAACAAATGAGAGGTATTCAATGTTCATGGATTAGATGAACCTTTAGTGTTAAGTTCGCACTTTCTCTTAAATTGACCTATAGATTTAATACAATCCCTGTCAAAATCCCAGCAGGCTTTTGGGGATAGCAGTTGACAAGCTGATCTTAAAATGTGTATGGAAATGCAAAGAGACCAGAATCGCTAAAACAGTTTTGAAAAGGAAGAACAAAATTGAAACATTTACACTACTGAATTTTAAGTTTTACTGTAAAACTACAGTACTCTACTTAGTGGCATTAAGGATAGACATGTAGATCAGTGGAACAGAATTGAGAGTCCAGAAATGAACTTTTATATTTATTTTTGATCAATTTTCAATAAAAATGCCAAGGAAATTTAATCAGGAAAGAATAACATTTTCAACAGAGGGTACTGGGAAAATAAAACATTCATATGAAAAAGATGAATTTGGAGCCTTACCTCATACCATATGCAAAAATTCACTCAAAATAGATAATAGACTTAAATGTAAAACCCAAAACTTTAAAACTTCTCAAAGAACCATAGGAGAAATGTTCATGATCTTGGGTTAGGCAAAGAGTTCTTAGATATGACACCAAAATCATGATCCATACAAGAAGAAATTGGTAAATTGGACTTTACCAAAACTTAAAACTTTTTTGCATTAACAACATTATTAAGAAAATGAAAATTGAGAGCCACCTCATGGTGGGGCACCAGCTGCCACCCACATGGGAGGGGCGGAAAAGTGGGGGACGTGGTTGTGGGCAAAGACAAGTGCAGGGAGCAGTGGCTTCTCTTGCTGTCCCTGTCCCACATCTGGTCATCATGAAGAGTTCTCCCATGGTGTTGTGCATCAACCTCGAGGTGCTCCTGGCCAAGGCCACACAACTCTTTGTTAAGTCTCTAACCATCTATTCCTACGGTCATGGCAGTAGAAAGAAGAAAGCACTAACAGTAATTTAGCAAATACAGCAGAGGAATCAGAAATTTTTCAGTTTCTTGAAGGTGTATTATTGCCAAAGAAGGTTTCCACTAGTAAATACCTGAAAGTTCTTAAAGAGGAAAGGAGGGAAGAAGAAGATGAGGAGGAGGGGTAGAATGACTATGATGGTGAAAGTGATGTTGATGAAGGTGAATACTAAACCAAAAGAGAAGTGCTTTAATCAGCCTGGTATGGACCCTTCTGGATTAGCTCCATTGCTTAGAAGTAAGCACAACACTGCATGTTTAGTTTCCTCACTTTTTCAGATGTCCAGTAGGTTGTTTCCCTTCGTGGATAAGATAGAGCATCTCATGCACCGACACCATAAGTAGCCAAAGAGGAAGGAACCCAGAGAGCAGCCTCGCTTTGGTGAGCCCACACTGCCTTCAGTGGTCACCAAGAACGTTGCCCACGCAGGCAGGCGCTGCCAGTTGACCTTCTGCAGCTCCCAATTGCAAGGCAGAGATGATTCTACTTAACTTTTAAATTTACAAATAGATTTGAAGAGCTTCTAAATATCAATTGTGTAAATCCATTGATAAGGCTTGGCACCAAAATCTCATCTTTAATTGTAGTTTCTATAATCCCCACATGTCGTGGGAGGGACCAGGTGGAAATAACTGAATCCTGGGGGCAGTTTCCCCCATCCTGTTCTCATGATGTGAGTGAGTTCTCAGGAGATCTAATGGATTTATTAGGGGCTTCCCCCTTCACTGGGCACTCATTCTTCTCCTTGCTGCTGCTATGTGAAGAAGGATGTGTTTGCTTCCCCTTCCGCCGTGATTGAAGTTTCCTGAGGCCTCCCCAGTCATGCTGAACTGTGAGCCAGTTAAACCTGTTTCCTTTATAAATTACCCAGTCTTGAGTGTGTCTTTATTAGCAGTGTGAGAATGGACTAATACATCCATATATGTATATTTTGAAATTAGTTCTTGTAAAAATACATAGTTTATAGTTAGTGTGTTACATCTGAATTGTACTATTTGTACAAATTTGACTATTTGTCCAAATATTATTAATTTTTTACTGTAAAGAAATATACTTTCTGGCCAGGCGCGGTGGCTCACGCCTGTAATCCCAGCACTTTGGGAGGCAGAGGTGGGCGGATCACATGAGATTGGGAGTTCGAGACCAGCCTGACCAACATGGAGAAACCCCATCTCTACTTAAAAAAATACAAAATTAGCTGGGTGTGGTGGCACATGCCTGTAATCCCAGCTATTTGGGAGGCTGAGGCAAGAGAATCGCTTGAACCCAGGAGGTGGAGGTTGCCATGAGCCGAGATCACGCCATTGCTCTCCAGCCTGGGCAACAAGAGCGAAACTCAGTCTCAAAAAAAAAGAAAAAGAAAAAGAAATATACTTTCCAATTAAAGATTTATGCATATTTTTACATCAAAATGCTGTATGGAACTAGTTGTAGAGGCCTTTATTGTTCTAATGCTTTGCTTACTACCTGAGAATTTTGTGAAATTTAAAAAATAAGCATTTCTAACAGTTTTATGCCAACAGAAAAATTCCAGGTCAAATTATCAACTCAAATACAAAAAAGAAATTTCCTCTGCATAAGCATATTATTCTTAATTTTTTTTTACCAGTTGTATATTGAAGAAATCTCTCATCTTACTGTTCTTTACTATAATTCCCCAGTAATTGTTTTTACTATCTACCAGAGAAAACCATAAACCCTATTTTTTTTCACATAAGGAAAATATGTGGCTCCTTTCTTTTCAGTATCTTTCTCTTAAAAAAAGAAAGTTACGATTTACACCCAGTAATCACCCTTTTTAATATCCAATCTGTGAATTTTGGCAAATGCATAGTTATATAACTAATCAATACATTAAACAGTTGCATAACCCAAAATATTTCCCTCTACCCCCTCGCAGTTATTCTCTTCCCCACCCCTGGCAGCCACTGATGTTTTCTGACCCTCTGCTTTTAAAAATTTATTTTAAAATAAAATGTTTTTTAAAAAGCCACAGATTAGAGGAAAATATTTACAAATTATATATTTGATTAATGAATTGTATGTAGTTTATATAAAGAGCTCCTATATCTCAATAATTAGAAGACAACCCAATTAAAATGAATAAATGATATGAACAGACAGTTCACCCAAAGAAAATATACAGTTGGCTAATAAGCACCTGAGAAGATGCTGAATGTCATTAGCCATCAGGGAAATGCAAAGTAAAATCACGATAACATACCATTTCACACCCCACTAAGATGACTGTACTCAAAAAGACCATAATAAATGTTGGTGACGATATGGAGAAACTTTATATAGGAAGCTTGTAGATTGCTGGTAGGAATGTACAGCATTTTGGAAAATAGTTTGGCAGTTTCTTTAAAAAGTTAAATGTAAATTTACCACATGATCCAGCAATTTCACTCGAAGTATCTACCTAAGAAAAATAAACATATGTTTACAGGAAGACTTGTATATAAATAATAGTAGCAGCATTATTCATAGTAGTCAAAAACTGGAAACAATTCAAATGTCCATCAACTGGTTAATGGGTAACCAAAATGTCATTTATCCATATAATGGAATATTATTCAGCAATGAAAAGGAACTACTGCACTATTTTGAACTACATCTATATTACAACATGGATGAACTTCAAAAACATGCTATATGAAAAATAGACATGAGACCACATATTGTATGATTACATATATATGAAATTTCCAGAAAAGGTAAATTACAGGCATAGCTCATTTTATTGTGCTTTGCAGAAAGTGCATTGTTTACCAGTTGAAGGTTTGTGACAACCCTATGTCGAGCGTCTATCAGCACCATTTTTCCAACAACATGTGCCCACTTCATGTCTCTGTGTCAC
This sequence comes from Homo sapiens, assembly GCF_000001405.40. Lineage (NCBI taxonomy): Eukaryota > Metazoa > Chordata > Mammalia > Primates > Hominidae > Homo > Homo sapiens. Next base: position 73,508,568 of record NC_000008.11, on the reverse strand, counting down.
ATTTTGGTAATTCTTGAAATATTTCCAACTTTTTTATGATTATTGTATGTGTTATGGTAATCTGTGATCAGTGATCTTTGATGTTACTATTGTAATTGTTTTAGGGTGCCACAAATCATGCCCATATAAGATGGTGAACTTTATAAATGTTCTGTGTGTTCTCACTGCTCCACTGACCACCCATTCCCCCATCTCTCTCCATCTCCTCAGGCCTCCCTATTCCCTGAGACACAACAATATTGAAATGAGGCCAATTAATAACCCTACAACAGCCTATAAGTGTTCAACTGAAAGAGTTTCATATTGCTTGCTTTAAATCAAAAGCTAGAAATGATTAAGCTTAGTGAGGAAGGCATGTCATAAGCTGAGAGGGGCCAAAAGCTAGGCCTCTTGTACCAAATAGTTAGCCAAGTTGTGGGTACAGAAGAAAAGCTCTTGAAAGAAATTAGAAGTGTTACTCCAGTGAATACACAAATGATAAGAAAGCAAAACAGCCTTATGGCTGATATGGAGAAAGTTCAGGTGGTCTGGACAGAAGATCAAACCAGCCACAGCATTCTCTTAAGCCAAAGCCTAATCCAGAGCAAGGCCCTAACTCTCTTCAATTCCATGAAGACTGAGGGAGGTGAGAAAGCTGCAGAAGAGAAGAAAGAAGCTAGCAGCAGTTGGTTCATAAGGTTTAAGAAAAGAAACCATCTCCATAACATAAAAGTGTAAGGGGAAGCAGCAAATGCTGATGTAGAAGCTGCAGCAAGTTATCCAGAAGATCTGGCTAAGATCATTGAAGACTGTAGTTACACTAAACAGGTTTTCAGTGGAGGCAAAACAGCCTTCTATTGGAAGAAGATACCATCTGGGATTTTCATAGCTAGAAAGGAGAAGTCAATGCTTGAATTCAAAGCTTCAAAGGACAGGCTGACTTTCTCATTAGCGGTGAAGGCACCTGATGACTTCAAGTTGAAACCACTGCTCATTTCCCATCCTGAAAATCCTAGGGCCTTTAAGAATTAGGCTAAATCTGCTCTGCCTGTGCTCTAGAAATGGAAGAGCAAAGCCTGAATGACAGCTCATCTGTTTACAGCATGGTTTGCTGGGTATTTTAAGCCCACTGTTGAGACCATATGCCCAGAAAAAAGGGCTTCTTTCAAAAGATGTCTGCTCATTGACAGTGTACCTGGTCATGCAAGAGCCATGATGGAGATGTACAAGGAGATGAATGTTGTTTTCATGCCTGCTAATACAGCATTCATTCTGCAGCCCATGGGTAAAGGAGTAATTTTGACTTTCAAGTCTTATTATTTATGAAATGCATTTTTTAACACTATGGCTTCCATAGATAGTTATTCCTCTGATGGATCTACACAAAGTAAATTGGAAGCCTTCTGGAAAGGATGCACCATTCTGTATGCCATTAAGATACATTTGTGATTCATGGGAGGAGGTCAACATTATCAACATTAGCAGGGATTTGGAAGAAGTTGATTCCAACCCTCATGGGTGACTTGGAGGGGGTTTAAGGCTTCAGTGAGGGAAGTAACTACTGGTGTGGTAGAAATAGTAAGAGAAGTAGAATTAAAAATGGAACCTGAAGATAGCGCTGAATTACTGCAATCTCATGAAACTTGAACTTCTTATGGATAAGCAAAACAACTAGTTTCTTCATACGGAATCTACTCCTGGTGAAGATACTGTGAGTGTGTTGAAATGACAAAAAGGATTTAGAATGGTACACAAACTTTGTTTATAAAACAGCAGCAGGGTTTGAGAGGATAGACTCCGATTTTTAAAGACATTTCTACTGTGGGTAAAATATTATCAAACAGCATTGCATACTACAGAGAAATTTTTTGTGAAAGGAAGAGTTAGTCCGTGCAGCAAATTTTATGGTTGTCTTATTTTAAGAACTTAACCATAGCCACCCCAGTCTTCAGCAACCACCACCCTGATCAGTCAGCAGCCATCCACACTGATGCAAGACCCTCCACCAGCAATTACAACTCTGAAGACTCAGATGATTGTTAGCATTTTTTTCTAATAAACTGTTTTTAAAATTAAAGTATGTTCTTTTTTTAGACATAATGCTATTGCACACTTAATAGACTGGAGTGTAGGTAAACATAACTTTAATATGGACTGGGAAACAAAAAAAGTTGTGTGATTTGCTTTTTGCAATATTCACTCTATTGCAGTGGTCTGGAACCTCACCTGTAATGTCTCTGAGGCAAGTCTGTATCTTCAGAAACAGAAAGCAGATCAGTGGCTGCCTTGGACTAGGAATTAGGAGCAACGGCTCACTGCATACGTGCACAGGGGAACTTTTGTGGTGATGAAAATGTTCTCAGACTAGATTATGGTGACATTTGCACAAGTTTCTAAATTTACTAAAACTACTCACAATGGAACACGTGTTAGCCCATTCGTGTATTGCTATAAAGAAATACCTGAGGCTGAGTAATTTATAAAGAAAATAGGGTTCATTAGCTCATAGTTCTGCAGGCTATACAGCAAGGGTGGCACCAACATCTGCTTGGCTTCTGATGAGGCCTTAGAAAGGTTACAATTCTGGTAGAAGGCTAAGTGGGAGCAGGCGTGTCACATGGCGGGCATGGGAACAAGAGAGAGAGGGAGGAGGTGCCAGATAGTTTTAAACAACCAGATCTCATGTGATGAGTGAGAACTCACTTATCACCAAGGGGATGATGCTACACCGTTCATGAGGTATCTGCTCCCACGATCTAGTTACCTCCTGCCAGGCCTCACTTCCAGCGCTGGGGAGTACATTTCAACATGAGATTTGGAGGGGACAGACATCCACACCGTATCAGAAGAACTTTATGGTATGTCAGTTACACCTTAATAAAGCAGTTAAGAAGTAGTTTTCTAAGCTTCTATTATAAGGTCATTCATGATCATGGAAATTTTCATAAGCAATAATTTATTTAGGTCAGAAACTTCAAGAAATTCAGCAGACTGACTCTCCATGGGAACTAGGGGCTTTTATAATTTGAAGAAAGAGTGGAAAAACATGTCACCATGCATTTTTAGGTCCAAACCTTCCATGTCTCAGGGGGTCCTCTTGGACTCAAGCCTCAGGACTTGAGCTGTGGTACTCCGTCCAACCTCTTTTACTTCTTATTTCCAATTTTTTTAGCTTTAACTTTGTGACCTGCCTCAAATTTCCCATGTTCCTGACCTCAATTCCTGTTCACTATTATTGCTCCACCCTCTCTTGATCATTGTGTTTCCTCCTGCCCAGCCCAGTAAACTGATCCTGACTTCTGATTGTTCCTTTTGCTTAACTGTTTTATTAATTTTTACTTGCTTAAAAAAATCTCTTCTGCCATTTTTAGCCCTGGGCTGCACTCTAGCTCTGATTAAGCCTGCCACACTGGCTCAAAAGGAGAGCCCATTCTTTGATCCTTTTGGAGAACGATGACTTAGGTTTTTGCCATATTAAATGTCTTCCAGAGATGATTTGGTGGATAACTGAAGATTGAAGATTGTAGCCACAGTGAGAAATTAGGGATAAAGATATAGATTTGGTCCCCACCTAAGTAGAAAGAACAACAATGAGCCAAAAGATAGATCTTGTGAGATACTACAAAGTCAAGGGATAGAAAATAACTGGAAACCAGGAAAAGGCCTTTTTTCTTCTGAATAGTTACAAATTATAGATGTATACAAAAAAGTTTTATTTTTACCTTGAATTCTCTAAGTTAATCATTGTAGTGAATACTAACTGCTTGAAAGAAAACCAATAGCCATAGAATAAACCAATTTGGAGAAATTATTTAAGGTTATTTTAAAAATCTATATAAAATCCTCACTAGGAAAAACAAGTTTTGTTTTTTTTTTCAAATCAGCTGATCATTAGGTCTTAAAGGAGACAACCTTATTTATACAAAACATAAAACCTGACTCTGAAACTGCCTCCCCCACTAGGTGGCAAAAGTAAGCTGCCAGAGAGAGACCTAACAGCTAGGCTCCCACACCCTGTGTTGTCTCTGCTTCCTAAGCGGTGCGTCCCCAAAACTGTCATTTTGAAAAATTCAAACACTCTATACATTTGAAATGTATAGTCTATGTAATCCCTAAAGTCTGTAAAATAAAGGAAGGAAAAATGAATCTACAACTTGTGTTGATTTTTGATAGCAATATGAATATTTTGTGACAACTTAGTATTTCTTTCACATGAAACACTAAAGAAAAAATGACTGTGGTCATTGATAATTTTGTCTCAGGAGTCCTTGGGAAATGCCAAGTATTGAAGAACCTGGTGCCAAATTATCAGTTCCATTTTAAGTAAGCTATTGTATCTGATAGTAGCTGGTAGGAAGCTATTAGAAGTCATTTTTAAGCTAATATCGCTGTAGGTTGCTTCCCCCTCTGGGCTTTCATGAATGTGAAAAGTTTCTGGAGGTCCTACTGACTATATGGGTCTTGGGATATGCGTAAAAATGACCTGAGACAAAATAGCATTTTCAAAGTGTGCTATTCAAAGGTTTTCTTTATTAAGGTCACCAAATAATGGTCCACTTTCATTTTAATATTGACATCAGTTGCAATTTCCCTCTTCTTTCTTTTTATATGTCTTTTACTTTGTCCTTTTGTCTCCAGATATCTTTGATGGGCAGCAGACTATTGCTTTCATTCTAATAGAAACTGAGTCCCTCCCTAAGGTTGGTCAGGCCCCTGGGACTGTCAAAGAGAAATAGAGTTTCCCTGGAGGTGGTGTCCTACAAAGCCAGAAACAGTATAAAATTTAGGGGAACATTTCTCAGTCTCAGCCAAGAGACAAATTTTCACTTTCTTCCCCTGAAGTACATGCTCAGATATTAACGTTGCATCACTTGTTTAATTATTTAATATTCTAATTTTATACTTGGTCTTAGCCAAAAGGCCAAGAAGTGATTAATATTCTAATTTTAAAAAGCAGCTAGTCATTCATTTATCCATTCAACAAAATCAACAAACATTTAGTATCCCTATGTGCCAAAAAAAAAAAAGTGCTGTTGGATTTTAAACAAGAATCAAGGCATTTGAGTGTTTAGTTCTTGTTTTAGATGAGTAATTTTCAAATAGTAATTCACTGTTTAGGTCAATTCCATGAAAAGAAACCCTATTTTATTAATTCTTCCATTCCCGGCTTCTCAGTTTATGTAGATGATAGAACTCCCAACAGAGAATCATGTATCATCCAAGGAAATGAGCCCTGCTATTACTTTAAGCCTCATTGATTTGGAGGTTTTAAAATTTGACCACTTCAATAGGGTAGTAAAAAAATATATTCAGCATAACTTCATTATAAAGCACTTCGATGTACTATGTATTCATTTATGTTTTATGCCAAATGGTGTCTCCCATGTACACTGTGCTATGCAGCGTGTCTTTTCCACAGCTATGAGGGCACCTGTCATTCAGACCTTTTGCTTAGCTCCTGACATCAGTCTTGTTATGGGCTTCTGCTGTCTCATTTTATGCATGAGGTTGATCTCTATTCTTACTTCCAATCAAATTTGTAACTTAAGAGATTAATCATTTCTATTGTTTGCTTTTGAAAGGAGATTGCAGGCAGTAGCAGTTTTTCCCACTGGTTTCTACAATGATTGCTCAAATAAGAATAAATCCAAATACAAAATTATGATAACATAAAAGTTAATCATTCAATAAACCTTTATTGAATATCTGCCTCATGTAAGCCAGTGTGACAATATGTGCCCATGTGGATTTTAAAATGTGTATAAAAAATGGATGCTGTCCCTAAAAATTAATCATTATAATTAGAAGAAAATCTGTAATGTAAACAACAACAACAACAACACATAACTGGCCTATGAGATATATAAGCAAAATGCTTAAGGAATTTTAGAGATGGGGCAGGAGTGATTTCCACAAAGAGAATTTTATGCAGAAGGTGACCTTTGAAGGATGAACCAGAGCTCCCTCTAGGCAATAGAGAAAAAACGCATTTAGTAAAAGGCATTCGGGCCTTTTACTAGCTAGAGCTAGCATGGGCCCAGACACTGAGTGGGGAGGCACAAGGTCATTTATTTGACAGACCTTTTGGTTGAGGTATAGGGTTGATCTTTGGATATTAGTGGGAACAAGGGTTAGAATGTGAGGTACAGGTCAGAGAGTGAAGCATCTTGGACACTAGGATGACGAATTTGAATGCTATCTAGTGGGTCAGGGGAAGTCAAGAAAATTTGCAAGCATTATGGCTAATGCACTGGTATAGGACATGTATCAACAGTTAATATGAAGTAAGAAGTTAGCAAATTCTTATGAGGAATTTTTTTTCTGGTGCTTCTGCAATTCTGTAGAATAGGTATCATAATAATGCTCTATTGGTAACATTATAAGTGGTTCAAATCAATAATTTTTTATTTAATTGGGAACATATATCCTAAAATATGATGTAATAAAGGAAAATCCTACTGTAACTTCATGGATGCTAATTCTGCCCAATTATTAGCCATAAAAAAAATCCAATTTTAAGAAAATGTTTTCCACAAATTAGGTAATTTGGATTCTGGGTTTTTTGAATATCAGCAGAAGGAGCCCTAAGAAGTATCTCCTGTGTCCTAGTTCTGCACACACACTCCTACCCCCAAGTGGCCAACAGAAATGGAAACTCCTGCTTCCTTTTTCCTCTCTGGAATAATAGGTACTTTCTCAGGATTAGCTGCTGCTGGAGAAGAAGCAATAGATAATTGAAAACATCTTAATTTACATTTATATTTTGGTTGAATTTGTGAGCCAAAAGAGCAATTGACAAATATCTTGGCCAATGAATAATTATTGCATTGAACTTGCTTTTGGAAATACTTGTTGAATTTTATACTTTCTTTTCCCATTAAGGCCAAAATTTTGAATTCTCTAATGGGTAAGGGAGAACAAAGGCAAAGAGAAATCTAAGATTCTTTCCCCAGGAAAACATATTAACATCATAGTAGAATATGCTCAGGAAACTCTGACCTAAGCTTTTACCTTTAGAGGTTTAGAGTCTGGGAAATGTTTTACTTACACATACTGGGGAAGATTTATAGAGAAGTGAAATGTACTAGTATACTTTCATAGATAAGGCATCTGGAGTGTGTGTATATAGGGTGTATAACATAATAGCAACAAATGTAATAGATATTTAAAATTTTAAGATGTCAAATATAAATACACAATTCTAAAATAGATCATAATTTGCTATTAATATCTGTTTTCTTTGTATAGAGATGTATTTCCATCTAAAAGCCTAATGTTACTCAAGATAAATTTTGAAGGCCTAAAGTACATGGTTCTCTTTTTCTTATTAAATCACATTTTAATGAGGGTTCAGTACTTTTATTTAGTAAATATTCAACTGGGAGGGTTTCTGCAGTTTTTTTTTAAGTAGGAAAGTTTGCACAAAAGAAGTATTTTCTTATTACCAAATTAGTTACTTTGAAGTATCTGGCAGATTACATCAGTCTCTTATTTGAATTGGTACTGCAGAAGACATCTATTGTACATCATTAGTGATGCATTAAATTGGTTATGTTTTAAAATCTAAGCATAGTAGAATCTTTTGTGTTTGCCTTCGAAGACTGCTGTTATAATAAAACATTTTGAAATGAGTAAAGTTGTCTCTTTGGTTTAGTTAATGCATCATTGGAGAACTTAAAGATTTTAGCCTCTAACCATTCATCTCCTTGTTTAGCAGAATGTGAGAAAATTGTGCAAATTCCTTTATATTTTAAGGGAAAAATATCATTACTTATTATTTGTGTAATCACTTTAATATTCTGAGGTAAAATAATAAAACAGGAGACATTGATCATATAATTAGTCTCAAGTTTAGTCTTCTAAACATATGAACAGAGTAAGATTAAAATATACTGTGCAATTTTATCACGGTCATATTCTTATTGCCACTAAGATCATATGGTTAATTTTCTAATCGAAAATATAACTAGCAGAAATCACATTTTCAAGCTTCTATTTTTTTAAAGTGCACAAATGATGAAAAACAGGGCCAACAATATTTTTTTTACTAATCACTGGCAGAAACAAGCATAGTTTGTTAAAGGTTTCCCACAAAATACTGTGTAACTTAATACTAGGGATAATTTAACTACAGTGAGCCCTCAACATCTGTGGATTCAAATAACCAGTGATCAAAAATAATTGGAAAAAAAAAATTCACAAAGTTTCAAAAAGCAAAACTTGAATTTGCCATGTGCCAAGTAGTATGTTGAATCCACACCAACGAAGTGGTAGGTAGGCATTGTATTCGGTATTATAAGTAATCTAGAGGTAATTTAAAGTATACAGAAGATGTGCATAGATCATATGCAAATACTATGCCATTTTGTATAAAGGACTTGAGCATCTGTGGATTTGGGTATCCATGTGGGTTCCTGGAACCAATGCTCCATTGCTTCTGAGAGACTGTATACTGGACCATAATAGCTTGACAGATAGACTGGCAAAGAATGGGTCTTGTGCTTTTTTGAATCCCATATGGTACTAGACACATATATGTTATTTAATAAGAACTCTCAGTGATGACCTCACCTCTTAATTCCCTGGAAAAGTATAAGATAAATAAAATAAAGGCATGGAGCCCCAGCTTCAGCTCAATCCGTGAGAGCGCCAATCTCTTGACTATCACTGCTTGTCTTTGACAGAGGTATTTCACTTCTGATTAGAGTTATTCCATACTCCCGTGGTCTAGAGCCCATATGCAAGGATATCTTACTCCTGGGACTTGTTTTCTCACTGGTTTCTATCTATCTTTATCTTCTTCTCCAGTGACACCTTTCCCTCAACTTACAAATGTCTCCCTAATTCTAACACAGTCTTCCACCTCCACCATTCTGTCCTTTTTGAGCTATTGTTTTCTTCCTTTCCTCAACTGCCAACCTTTTTCTAGTTTCTCACCTCTTATTCACTGGTAGACAATACAGTGAATACAGGATGGATACCATCCCAGTCACCATTGCAACTGACCTGGCCACAGTCACCCTTGTCCTACTGATTGCCAAATACAAAGGCCTATGCTCAGACTTCCTCCTACTTGCCTTTTCTGCAGGATTGCCTCCCTCCTTTGTGAAGCCTTCTTTTGCCATGACTGACTTATCTCTTCCTTTTGGCTCTTTGACTTCTGCTGGCCCCTTAAATGCTGTTGTGCTCAAGGCTTTATCCTTGGTATCTTGGGTCCATTTGGGTCCTATCCACTTTCAAGTATTGCACTACTAGCCACATTTTGATGCCCTCTCAACCTCCATATTTAGCCATGACACCCTGTGTCAGTCAGGGTTCTCCAGAGTAACAACAGGACATAGATGTATTGAGAGAGTAGGTGGGGGAGAGACTGATTGATTTTAAATAATTGGTGCACATGATTGTGAGGGCTGGCAAGTGCAAAATCTATAGTGCAGGTAAGTGGGCTGGAAACAGGCAGAGTTAATATTGCAGTTTGAGTTGAAGGTGGGCCAGCAGGATGGAACTCAGGGATGATTTCTGTGTTACAGTCTTAAGGCAGAATTCCTTCTTCTCTGGGAATCCTGTTTTTGCTCTTAAGGCCTTCAACTGATTGGATAAGGTCCACCCACATTATGGAGGGTAATCTGCTTTATTCAATCAGCTGATTATATATGTTCATCACATCTGCAAAATGTCTTCACAGGAACATCTAGACTAGTGTTGGACCAAGCAACTGGGCACCACAGCACAGCCAAGTTAACACATAAAATTAACCGTCACATTCCCTTAGCTGCTCAATGTTTATGTCTCATGGGGTAGTTGAAAAACATATGGATACAGCTTTGACACTTGGTTCATATACTCACTTGCTGGGTTGCCTTGGGCAAGTTTCTTAATCTCCCCAAATAGCAATTCCCTTGTTTACAAAATAAGGACTATAATTATTAGTCTATGTGTTTGTCTTTATGATTTTCTTTTTATGTCAGCGCCATGCCTATCATAGTGCCAGTTACACAAATACTTGATGAACAAATGAAGTACTTAATGATGAAAGCAGGAAAGAGACTTGAGTTTTTATGTCACCCCAAGGAAGAGCTAGATTTGGACTTCAGAATCAGGATAAAAGTTTTCTAGCAAAAAAAAAAGTAAACATGCATACCTACTAAATGTATAGTGTATTTATTTACCTATGGAATCAATGCAGGCTACAGTGTATACACACATGTAGACTGTACTGTGTACATATGTTCTATGGCCATTCATTCAACAAACACTGAATGTCTCCTAAATGCCAGGCAGTGTGCTGGGCATGGGCCATATTATGTTTAGAGTTTCTTTGCCTTTGCCTTTATTACTTTTTTCACTGGTCTCTGACATGTAATAGATAATTGCCTGGAGGAATTATAGGTGACTACAGCATAGCAATAATGTTTACCTTTTTCCCCCCAGAAATAAGGTAGTATTATGTGGCAGGCTGGCTCTGCTAAATGTTCATTAAATAATATAAATCATGTAGAAAGTTAACTTCAACGGACATGATTTTTATCTTACTGGCAAATTTACAAACACAATGTGTCCTGTGCTAGACATTAAGAGATCAGTATATTATGTTGCCACGTGTACATAAGTTGTATCATTACCAGCTTTCACTGTGTATTTGTTAAAACAAAATTTAGAGATTTGCAGAAACACCTTTTGTATTTTGACAAAGCATGTGAGATGTTTTATTCACTTCTTTTTAAGAAATAATTCTGTTATGGTAATTATACTGATAAAGAAACACTCGAGTGTGTTATTACTAGTCTGTTATAAATTTGAGGGGGAAGAAAAGGGTCAAAAGATTATAGTAACATCAGGGAGAACATTTATATAATTTCTGTAAAGTTTGGTATAAAAACTGATAAGCTAGTTGAAATTATGTATGATTTTTACCTGGAGATAAATAACTTGCAGAGGTTCTATTACAAGTGTAATTGATAACTCGAAAAGTTGTCCTGTGATGCAAGTAGGTTCTACTTCAGTCTTTATTACCGAGGGATACTTCATAGCTAATAGTTTATACATTTTTCTCAGTTAGAACCTGAGTATCAGCTTTTATATCACCTGTTTTAATGAACATGGCCTTTCCCAATCCTTTGCCAAGAATTGCAATATTTATTATTGAATATTGATTTGCTTATATAAATGTGGTTCACTAAAATAAAGCCCTTTAATAATCTTCATAATTTAGACTACATGAAACAAAGCAGAAATTAAATAAGCTTTACTGCTATAGCAGTAATTTTGGATGTTTATTCATTTTAAAACCAGTCTTGCAATTCTTATGATTACATAAAGATCTAAAGCTTCAGATTAGAGCCAAATCTGCATCATAGAATGTGAAATGGGGACTTGGCAATTATTTAATAGACTTAAGCCAATTTAATAGATGAAGTAATCCACTTTCTGTGAGGTTGAGTTCAGAAGATAATTGCCAGTTCTTTGCTTCTTAATGATTGTTCAATGTTAGAAAAAAATCATCCAGAATTTTAAACTGCCAGATAAGAATTAATGAACCTTTCCTGATGAAAGTAGATGTTCCATGGAAGCATTTGATCTATGATTTTTATATACTTGCACTGAATTTGATGCTAATTTTATTAATATATTATTTTCAACAACAAAGTAATAAAAATTATAAAACTGAAAGGACTATTAGCAACTGTCTAGGTCTGTGCTGTCTAATACGTTAACCATTAGCCACATGTGGCTATTGAGCATTTGAAATTTGACTCATCCAAATTGGGATGTGTGCTCCAAGCATAAAATGCACACTGGATTTGAAAGGCAGCACCAAAAAACAAAAGAATGTAAATGATCTCAGTAATAAGTTTTTATTGATTAAATGTTGAAATGGTAATATATTGGGTATACTGTGTTGGTTAAATAAAGAATATTATTAAAATTAATTTCATCTGTTTCTTTTTACTTTTTAGATGTGGCTACAAAAATTACATATGTAGCCTGCACTATATTTCTGTTGGACTGTGCTGGTCTAGATCAACACTTTTATGTCAAAGATGAGGAAATTGAAGCCCAAAGAAGTAAAGGGATTGATCTAAACATGTACAACTTATAAATGGCAGAGCTGATACTCAGACCCAGGCTTTGTGATACCTGATACAGTTCTTTCCATTCTAGCACACTTCCTTCAGTTGTGGCAGTTACAACACACAGACACATACACATTCCAGAGCATATACATCTAAGTAAGCATTGATTCCTCCAAAGTGGTCATCTTCACATCTGGGGAGGAGGCTGTGTATGCATATTTTAGTAATACATTTAGGTTTCCACTTTCAGAAACATCTTGGAATTTTCTAAACATTCTTTTGATAGCAAATTTGTGTATTTTTGATGCACACACACACACCGAGAGAATAAGAGAGACAGAATTTTATAGTGAATACCCACATACCTACCACCTAAATTGTATAGTTAATATTTTGCTATATTTGTTCACCTCATCTCTCTATTTAAGTGGGTCTCTATTAACCCATCTCATTTTTGAATTGGATTTCAAAGAAAGAGGCAGACATCTGTATAATCTGATTTTGATTTTTAGAAATAACTACAAGTTATTTGGAGGTGTCTGCTAAGTAATACTGTGTCTGAAACAAAATGTGTTTATAAAAGAGAGCAGCTTTGTGTGTGTACATATATGTGTGCGGGGAGACAAAAGAGAACATACAAACTTGAGGTGGACAGTCTTGTGAGAGAAAGTTCCAAAATGGAATTCTACAACTGTATGAATCAATTGTTGCTTCCGTAGATTAATATCATAAAACAATACTCATTTATATAATCTTTTAGATATTTTAATCATTGTTTTATAGTCACATTTTTGTTAGGTAAATCCAATAAATAGTGTTAACTATACATATATATATATATATATATATATATTTGGCTTTATGAATCATTCCTTAGAGTAGTTTATGATTTAAGTAAGGGACCATATAGTTAAATGTGGGCATATTGACTAATAAAAAGTATAAGTTTTTATTGACATTTTATTTGAACACTGGAAGATTCTATGATAGTATATTAGCAGATAAAGCACTAAATAAAGAATTAAGTCATTTAGTAAAGTAACTGATATGTTTTAAAAAATAACTTGTTAGAAGAAAAATGTAAATGCTTAAGATAAACTGCCTTTAACATTTTGACTATTTCTTATTAACCATTTAAAAATCCTCAATTCCAATTAAATGGCAGAATACTTCTACTTTATTTGATATATGATGCTCAGTGTTTGTATACCTGAGAGGAAAATGCATACTCTAACAGCACTTAACAGGTACTTAAAAAAGTACCAAATACCTTTGGAGAGACCAACTCACTTCTAATTTGAATATATCAGTTTCCTTACATGATATTTTTGCATTACACCCAACCATCCCAGAATGTGATACAAAGTAGAGATTTATTATTTCCATTGAAAATGGAAAAAAATCATACCCAACAAATAAGAATTAAAAACTCCCATCTTTATCAGCAGAATCCATTGATTTATAAGTGGAATACAGTTTAAGTTTTTAATATGAATATATGATAAAAGAAGCCGGAGAATATGTGCTTAATTACACATGACCTTCTGGGCTTTGCAGTATCTTATGGTTCATCTCCATTTTAATGGCTCAGCACAATTGGAAGGATTTTGCTTTTCCTTCCACATGCATGTAAATCAGTAATCTACAAAATTTATAATGTTATTTGTTAACAAAACTTCCGTTAAAATTTAAGATAATATTTCATAAAAGTTTTGGGATTCCTAATTACAATACAAGTGGCTTACAATTTATTGTTGTTGATCATTTTTAAAAGAGTCTCTGCTCTGAGCCATGTTGTAGATTTTTAATAGAAGGTGGTGCAAAACTACTGTACTTTCATATTGTCTAAAAATGTGGAAAACTTCAATATCCAAATCAACTGATCAAGCAGAACCAGTTTTATTGTATATCTTCCTTTGACATTTGCCATAGATGAACTTGAAAATTATTTAATTATTCTATGTTTTAGGAGAAGTTAAACTTCATTGAGTACAAAAATAAACAAGTGTCTATTAATAGAGGTTAAAATGTCAGTTTGGAAAAATGGTATTTTGAAAAATTAAACATGCTGTTTGTAAGTCACTTGCAATCATGCATGCACACACACACCAAGAGAATAAGAGAGACGGAATTTTATAGTGAATACCCACATACCTACCACCTAAATTGTATAATTAATATTTTGCTATATTTGTTCACCTCATCTCTCTATTTAAGTGGGTCTCTATTAACCCATCTCATTTTTGTATTGGATTTCAAAGAAAGAGGCAGACATCTGTATACTCCCTCCACCCCGAGTACTTTAGCATGGGCGTCCATAAACGTGAGTTCCTTTTTTCTTTTGAGATAAACAACAAAGTGTACAAATCTTAAGTGTACCACTTGACAAGTTCTGATCATATGCTTGTACAACTCAAACCCCTGTCAAGATATAAAACGTTATCATCACAATAAGTTCCTTCACGTCCCTTTTCAGTAAATCTCAGCCCACACGACCCTCAAAGGCAATCATTGTTCCAGCCCTTATGTAAATGAAATGTAATGTTCCTTTTACTCAGTAAAGCGCTTTTGACATTCAGCCCTGTTCTGTGTATCCATAATTTGTTTCTTTCTTTGCTAAATAGTATTTCATTGCATAAATGCAGTTTGTTTGTTCATTTTCCTTTTGATAGACACCTGAACTGTTTCCATTTTTTAACTATCATGAATACAGCTGCTGTGAGCATTCTTGTGTAAGGCTTTTGTGGACATGTTTTTTTCTCTTGCATCAATCCCTAGAGGTGGAATTGCTGGGTCATAGGGTAGGTGTGTGTTTTGTATAAGACACCATTTGACACTCCCACCAACGTCGTATGAAACTTCCAGTTGCTACATATCCTTGCCAACATTTGCTACTGACCTTTTAATTTTAGCCATACTGGTGGGTGTGTAATGGTATCTCATTAGGGTTTTAAATTGTTACTCCCTAATGACTAATAACATTGAGTACTTTTTCCTGTGTTTATTGGTTATTTATATTTCTTTGTGAAGAGTCTATTCAAATTTAAATCCATTTTAAATTAGGTTGTTTGTCTTTTCATTATTAAGTTATATTTCTTTATATATCTTATCCAAACCCTTGTCATATATGTTTTGCAAATGTTTTCTCTTAGTCTGTTTTCTCTTAGTCTCTTAGGCTTCCTTATTCATTTTCTTATCAATGTGTTTTCATGAGGAGAATTTTTAAATTTTGATGCAGTTCAATTTATCAGTTTTTTATTTTATGATTATTTATCTTTAAGAAACTTTTTTCTATTCTCAATTTGTGAAGATTTTCTCTTTTGATTTCATCTAAAAGCTTTATAGTTTCAGCTTTTACATTCAGGTCTAAGGTAGACCTCAAGTTAAATTTTGTGTGTGATGTTAGGAAGAAGTTGAAGTTTATTTTTTCCACATGGATATTCAGTTATTCTGACATAAATGGATTTCCTTGGCATTTTTTTGAAAATCAAATGACCAAGTAAGTGTAGGTCTGTTTCTGGGTTCTCTGTTCTGTTCCATTGATCCATTTGCTATTACTACTGTAGCTTTATATTAAGTGAATAGTGATTTTTAACAGCTGCATGTATGCCAGTGTATGTATATACCTTTATTTAACCACCAACTTAATTTCCAGCTTTGTACTACCATAAAAAATACTGCCATGATAATCTTTGCACATATATCTTTCCTCACTTGTTGAATTATCTCCTCAGCATTCTATAGGTAGGAATGTTGGGTCAAAGGATGAGTGCATTTTTCATTTTGATGTATAAATCCAATCTGTCTTTTACACTCCCATCAACCTTTGCATTAGAGTACCTGTTTCCTCATACCATATGAAGAATTAAACTTCCAAAAGATGAATTTTAATAACAAGAATCAGTGAATTCTTAGGAATTGGGTCCTAAGAGGTTTGTGTATATGTGTGTGTGTATGTTGATGGCATTGGCATTTGCTTTTCTTCCTAATTTTTAACTCTGAATCATGTAGAAAGTATTTTCAAGAGAGTACTTATCTAGGAAGCATCTTGTCAATTGGAGGTGATTTACTAAGCCTCGGATTCCATTTTAGCATTGGCTGGTAATGACCGTGCATTGATGGAAGCAGTAGGAGAGGTTGACTAAGGTAATGAGTACTGCTGTGATTGTGGAGTCACCTCTGAGAACTTTCACTGAACTCTGTACTTAGGCTTTCCAAAACAACTAAAAAATTCTTAACAATAGAAAACAGTCTGAGCTCATTTAATGGATACCTGGTAATTTTCTGACATAATAGTAGCTTGTATGGCATAGTTTACAATGCCAATCTGAGTCAGTAACAAAGAAATGCTTTATTGTTTTTGTACTCTACATTTACACTAAACTCCTAAATGTTGAAAGTAGAAAACACATCTTGGTACTGGGCCTTTTCTCACCCCAGCCCCCACCTCTACTTCTTGGTGGTGTGGGGAAGGAATTTTCCATTAACTCTCTCTCTTTCTCTGTGGCCAGCATAAAGGAAAATAATCAAAACACGCCAAATCAGAAAAACACTGAACCATGAGATCTTACTCAGTTTAATGGTTTCTTCTCTTGCGTATTTTTACATTGCTCAAAGAAGACTACTTCTCATTTATTTCTTAAGGATAAGTTTAGTGTACTAATTTTGAACCAAGGAGTCAGAAAATGGAAGTTCTAGTCCGAACACATGAACAAGTAAATATTTGGCAAATCACTTAAAGCTCTGTAGGCCTTAGTTTCCTCATCTGTGAAATAATGGGTTTGATCTTTGCTATCTTCAAGGTTCTTTACTGTCCTATAATTATTTGATTGAATCTGTTCCAGGTTTCTAACTTAGGATAAAAGTTTGTTTGAAAATAAGATTTTAAATGTAACTTAGCTAATTTTTTTAGTTAAAAAAAGCAAAAGTACACATTTAAAAAATATGTCTAAACCCCTTAAACAACTATTTCCCCATCCCTGCATGCTGTGCCTTCCTAAATAAATCCCAGAGCAAAGTCTAGGATGATTTTTTTGTGCACAAGTACACACAGAAATGTTAGGGGAAATAGACTGTGTGCCTATTTAAGTCACCTGTTGAGAAAATAGGCAACTATTGACAAGTCTGATTCATGGCTGAGTGACTGCTCTGCTAGCCTTCACATGATCCCCACAGAGCAAAATCTTTGACCGCCTGCTAAACAAGGTCTGTTTGAAGTTTCTTTTTAACATTTCCAAAACGTTAATTCAGCAGGATGTCTCCTCTGGGGTTCTCCATGTCACCAAATCAGCAGCTGTTGAGATCCATTCACTTCAGCATGAAATGTTTTCATAAGTGCTTTTTTTATTTGTGACAACAGCAAAGTAAATATAAGCCTAAAATTCTACCTCATTCAACATTTACATGTGTTAAAACTGCTTCTGATTGTAGTTTACATTCATGGTGTTTATTTCCAGGCATTAATACTAATAGACAGTTTTACTGCCGAGGATTTGAGATCAGCCTTGCCTATAAAATAAACTATACCATGAATTTCTTTTCAGAATACTTTATTTAAACATTCATACTTTGAATATGTAAGAACTTACGACTTTAAAACAGAAGTGGATGTTTCTTATGAAGCTCTAATTTTTGTGATTTTTGTGCCAGTTTAAGGTACGTTTAAATCTCCAGATGAACTATTTGTTAATTTTGCATGGCATTATTTATCAATTCTTTAAGAAATTTCCTACTTTAGAAGGAAGAATATTGAGCTCCCAGGAAAATAATTTAACAGGATAAAGTAATGTAGAATTCTTGAGGTAAGGAACTGAGGACCAGCAAAATCTGATGGTAAAGATAAGGCACAGCAATTTCTACAGATCATATTGAATTGTTTGAATAGAGCTATACTCCTTGGAGCTGGAATCTTTTATTCCTTTTAAGTAAAGGCCGTGTATCTTTGATTGCAGAGTTAAAACATGAGAACTGCTACGTTTTCTCAACATGGATTGAGCTAAGTCCCTTTTAATGTTTATTCAGGTTTTAAAAGACTTAAGTGTAGTTTTACAAGTTCATTAGCTTGCCTCATTCTTTGAGATGCATCTCACCTTCATATTATCAAATTTCATTACATGCAAAGAATTATCAGATCAACCCATTATACAGCCTAGCAGCATGAAGTCTTTTTCCATCTACAGGGAGAATATTGTGTAAATCAGGCTCTCGGGTTTCAGTGGGAGGCAGAGGGTTGCGCGGTGTCCATTTGTCAAGTTGATGGCACCGCAGTGAGGTTACATTAGCTTGTCTTTGAACAGAAGTGAAATCTTATGCGAAGCTCCCCTTGCTGTCATTTACACGAACATCCATCCTCTTAAACCAAGGCCTCTGAGAAAAACAAAGTGATGGCACAATATAATCAGTCACTCAAGTTGTCTGTCATCTGTTTTCTTAAGGAAATGACTTTTAAGTTACTGGAGCAGAGAACTGTAGCAAATTAACAAAGGTTGTAGTAGTAAAAGTAGGTGGAATTTTTTTAAACTGCAGATGTCTTTCTGAGAAGATTTTATATGCAGAATGCCAAAAAGGATTTCCCCCCTCTCTTTCATAATGAATCTCATGAAAAGTATTACTTCCTGAACAATAGACCTACTGCTGTTAACAACTGGAGTCTTTCTTGCTTAATGTGAGTACATGTTAATGCTCCTAAGAAACTTTCTGCAGAACTGAGTCTATAAAACTCTCAGCCTCACTGAGGTCCTCTGACAATTAGCTCACCACCTTTGAATTCAGAGCTATCTGAATTTCAGTTATGTAACGGCAAATCTTGCATATAATAGTAAGCTGCTTTAGAGCAAATGGTACTTTAAGTATAAATGATTGGAACTTCATTACTTAATATTACATGTAGACAATTGCTTTAAAACCCTAACTGCATTGCCAATGGTGGTCAATCTAAGTCTGGTGATCAAATTTGCAGGTTTTATTTCCCTAAGCCTGTTTTATGGGCTGAAACACTCAGGTCATTTGCACCCTGTCTCATTCATCATGAAGTAGTTAAACTCAGATTGTTAAACCAGGAGAGATTAGCTGACAGACAACGGTACATTAGATTAAGACCTCCATCAGTTGTACTTAACTATTTATTCATCCCATTTGTGTGTCATTTGTAGCAAACTATGTTTTTTTAATGGAATTTAAAAGAAGCAGGAAGAGCATTTTTAAATGAGGGAAAATAAGCTTATTGCCTTATAGTCTCTTTTCAGTAATGCAATTAATATTTTTTTCATTGTCATTTGCTCTCTCAGTAACTAATATTGAAGGCCTCTTGAAAAGGAAATAATGGATCATTGTGCTTGCATATAAAGGAAGTCACCATTTTGTTTGCTTTGTAGACATTTTTCTTTAGTTACATTGTTGTTCGTTTTTAAAAATTAATAAATTTGAAAAAAAAATTCCTTCTGCTGAAAGTACTGCTAACAGCAGTACATCCCATCTTTTCTTTAAAACTATTCTAGAAAATCCCTTAAGAATTGATAGAAAAAAAAATTGACCCAGACTTTTTAGTATGTGGGAAAGAGACAGTTAGGTTATTCAGAAAAGAAATAAATGAGTACTTTTAATTAGAGTTAAATGTATTTTATAAAATGCCACTGTCATTAATTCCTCTGACCCACAATGAGTTATTAAGCATTGTATTATAAGGAAGCTTAATTGTTTTATTCTCTTTTGAAACTTATGAGAACATTTGGAATTGGTGAACTTCTGAGGACCCAGGAGATCAATCTTGATTAGTTTATTTTCCTTAGCAACGATTTTGATAGTCTGGTATAGCTTTTTTTTTTTTTAAGGATTTCTTATTTCCTCTGTTGAGGGATGAAATATTGTTAAAAGCAACTCATAAATGAAACAGTGAAAAACAGTTTAAGTAACTGAATCTTTCATTGTCAATGAGGAGACCTCAGATTTAAAAGACTGATCTTTAATTGCCCTTTTCCTCATATTTCTTCCCAGGGTAACCTCAAGGTGATTTTTAAAGTTATAGCTTAATTGGGTGGTCATTTTGCCTTTGCTTTGGAGCGATTTATTACAGCTTTATTTCCTTTACTACAGCTTTATTTCCTTGAACCAGCAAGACATAAATGCTGGGATCTGTCTGATCCAAAGCTATTTTATGGTGAATTTGGTCTTCTAAATAGAAAACTTGAACCCATTTTTATATTTGAACATTCACAACTGGAATATAAACATAGTGTCAAAAGCGCTGTAAAAATTCAGAACATAATATATTGTTTTCTGATTTTAGTCTTATCATTTTATTTGGAATTTGAAATTATGTTTACAAGTTAAGGTAATTAAAAAATTCCTACTCTGTAAAAGAGTACAATTATATTAGCCCTTTGTATTTTCAAGAGACAAAAAGTATTTATGGTACATTTTTTATTCATTCACACATATATTCCCTAACATTTATTGAGTGCAAACTGTATGCCACTAAACAAACTAATTGGCCTAGCTTAAATATTTGAGCCACACAAAATGTTTTTTTGTTCATGGTAAACAGATTTTTTTCCCAAAGAATATATGTAAGAAAATTTGTATTTCAGAATCACGGATTCTTCCAAATATTTTATCTCAATCAGCTAACATAGGTTGTGATATACTAATTTTTTTATTATAGTTTGTACCTAATAAAAATTTATTTTTGGTTTTTGGAACTTAACCTCTCCTTTCTTGGATCCCAAATTTTGGTTTTCTTTTGTGGTAGGAGTGGTTAATCTGTATTAAGCTAATTTGTCCTGGGATTATTTGAACCATTGTTCAACATTGATAATAATGCCACAATATTGCCTTGTACAGATATATGTAAAGCTCTTAAGATGTCCCAAGATGCCTTATGTGGGCTATTTATAAGAAAAGTGTTCCTTTTCAAATTGCAGAGTGCAGCAGGATCAGGCAAGACTTGGACATTAAACAAACAAACCAGAAGATCTCCTATCACCCTCTTTATCAAATGGAAGGGCACTTCTGTGTGTTTATGTGAAAAAGGAGAAAGAAGTAAATTCTTCATTCATAATCATTGCAATGTTTGGGAGCCTCCTCTATTATTACATAAAATTCACAAGTCACCTCTTCACTTTCTTATTAATTTCCAATGGCTATTAGTGGGAGAGAAAGACCAAATTCCCTCACTCACATGCCAGTCAAGACACACATTTGCCAACCTCCACTCCTACCACCCACCAGAGTTAATTATAGGCACTGAGCACCAGAGTCCTTCCTAGAGGTAATTCTGGAGAATCCTTTCAAAAGAAGTTCTTTGCATCATTTTCCTAACTGACCCACAGATAGCACTGGCAGCCTGATAGACAAGAGTGTTCTTAGGCCATGATTTCATGAAAATGCTTTCGTGCTTGGATAATGTCACAAGAGCTTATTGCCTTTACCACTTCCAGACGTCTCAAGAGTTCAATGGCCAGTGAGAAAGGGAAGTTTTGAAATATTACATATAGTTTTCTGTTGCCATTATAAAAAGATTTGCTTATATTTCCAGCTTGAAATAACCCTGTTAAAAACAGATATGAGGTGGGGCACAGTGGCTTGTGCCTGTAATGCCAGCGCCTTGAGAGGCTGAGGTAGGTGGATCACTTGAGCCCAGGAGTTCAAGACCAGCCTGGGCAATATAGCAAGACTCTGTCTCTACAAAAAATAAAAAAATCATCCAGGTGTGGTGGCACACGCCTGTAGTCCCAGCTACTTGGTAGGCTGAGGTGAGAGGACCACTTGAGCCCAGGAGGTAAAGGCTGCAGTGAGCCATAATATGCCACTACACTCCAGTCTGGGTAACAGAGCAAGACCCTGTCTCAAAAAAAAAAAAAATATATATATATATATTTACTTATAAATGTGTATATATATATATATAATGGATATTTTTCAGGAAAAAGAGAAAGGATTTTCTAAAATTAGCGGTCATGTTTGATAGAGTAGCTGTTCTACTTTTTATACTAATAGCTAGTTGATAATATGCAAAACCAGTCTGAAGTATGTTTGTGACATCATCTTCTTGCATATAAAATTTGTTAATATTTCTCTAGTTATATGACATTTTGAGTAACCTGGAAAGAAAGTAATGTGGAGGGAAGAAACTGCTGGATTATTCAAGTGTTCATTTATTTGAAATAAATTACACAGGAACTTATTTTTACTAAGAGAATACTAATAGCAAAATTAAAGTGTTTATATGTACCTTTAATGAATCAATTTAGTTACTTGTTCATTTACTTATTTATTCAACAAAAAAAGTGGAGTGTTTACTAATGGCAGCCCCTGGGATTCAGTAGTGAGAAAACATGACTCTTGTGTTCACGGAGTTCACACAATCAATAAGAGGAAGGATATTCTATTATGTACCTAATTGGCAAAGTTAACAGGTTAGTTACTTATAGAAAGAGGTCTGGCCTCTATGTTGTTCCCTCTGTCTAGACTCCTTAAGAGAAGAAGCCAAGACCCTGAAGAGTATACCCTGAACTTCCTGTCAGCCTCTTCCTCTACTGGACCCCCACACAGTCCTTGGCTTTGGCCAAATTACCTAATTTTCCTTGGGCTTTCCTGACTATTTATTTCACTCTGCCTTTCCTTGTTTTGGACAGCTTTTTCCCTACTTTTGCCTATCATGGTTTTGTTTGTTTGTTTGTTTGTTTGAGATAGGGTCCCATTGTGTTGTCCAGGCTGGAGTGCTGTGGCACTATTACAGCTCACTATAGCCTCAAACTCCTGCTCTCAAGTAGTCCTCCTGCCTCAGCCTCCTGAGTAGCTGGGACTATAGGCTTGTGCTCATGCCCGGCTAATATTTTTATTTTTTGTAGGTGAGGGTCTTGCTCTGTTGCTCAGGCTGGCCTCAAGCAATCCACATGCCTGGACCTCCCAAAGTGCTGAGATTACGGGTCTGAGCTACCGAGCTTGCCATTATATTGGTTCTTGAAATCCCATTGCAGTAGCCACCTTTATCCAGAAGCATGTATTTTAATTCTCTAGCAGGTTCGGATCTCTCCCTTCCGTGGTCCTACTTGCACTTGGCACTTTTCTCACGAGGCCACTTGGTAATTGGATTGTAAACTTCCCGGGGGCAGAGCACCAACTTTTACATTCACAGAATTGTGCCTGTCTTGGAAAGAATCAATGCTCATGTGTTATATGAATAATAATTTTAGAACAAATAATTTAGCTACTCTGGAAGCTGAGGTGGGAGGATTGCTTGATCCCAGGAGTTCAAGGCTGCAGTGAGCTATGATTGTGCCACTGCACATTCCACTATAGTGTGCCACTATCACTCCAGCCTGGGTGATAGAGCGAGATTCTGTCTCAAAAAAAAAAAAAAAAAAAAAAAAAAAAAGAGTAAGGATGTAGTTCTCAGGGTAACAAAGCAACATTTTAAACAGTACCTGTAATACCAGTTGCTGGGGTTGAGGAATGCATCATAGAATCCAAACAACAGGGGCTGTTCTGGGTTTTTTGCCTGTGAAATTAGAATGTATCTACCTGAATTTGGTCTTGGAAGAAGGATCAAGTGTAATTATGATGTAAAATTGTCAACTAATTAATAAGGTATGGAAAAGGTAAATACCTTAAAGTGACTTCTCTTCTGTCATGGCCCCAGTTGTCAATCCTTATTTTATTAGAGAAACCTTTGTACGTAATTTGAACTAACCTCTAGTGTGCTCACATCTGAGTTTGTGATTGCCATGGAGTGCCGAGTGATTGATTTATCAGGGTTTTACAGTGAGCTAGTGGCAGAACTGGGAATCACAGGCTGGTCATTTCTTCTAGGGAAAAGCAGGAGCCATAAACAGGAAAATGGGACCCTTTTATGTAACTTGGGTATTGGTAAGCAAGGCTGATATCCACCTTACAAACTAAGATATTTTTGTTATACTTTTTAAATATCCTTTTATTGTAAGTAATAGGTGAATCTGATAGAACATTATTTAACCCTCACTATATAGTAAATCGTATCATAGAAAGCCATTCATTAGCCGAGTTCTACTCTGCAAGATTTCCAGGGCTTCATTTCTATTCCAGAAAGAATGTTTTAAAGACTAAGAATTTCCAGATCCACCAAGCTGACCTCTATTCCATTATGTAGTCACTTGCGATAGAAATAATATATTCAGAAGTAACCTTTGTCTTTTAACCTTTCAAGGATGTTACGTTAACTTGAACTAGATTCCAATCCTCTGTAGCAATTCTAGAAGCAGCCTCAGAACACTGTCTTCTTCCATACTGCCATACTCATAAATATCAAATTTTTGACATTGTTTTTATATCATATCATTATGTTGGCTTCTGAAATCTTATCATTTATTAGCAATATCCAAGGGGACCTACTGATAGGAACACAGGGACTTGATGACCTCATGGTCATTGTCATCCCTGTGTTTGTATGAAATGTAGCTTTTTAAATAGTTGTTGACACTAAAAGTGAACACTAATTGCATCTTAATGTGAGACTAACTCCGGATATGACTATATTTTTCTTTGCCTCGTGAAAATGCTCCCTTCCTGACGCTGTGGCTGAAACAAAATCCTTAGCATTTAAAAGAAAAGAACTAGCAAGAGCAGTGACTCTGTAAACACCACTTCAGTCAAAGTCTGATACCAAATATAGCACTATGTTAGATGCATGTAGGCATGGCCTCAGCAAGTCCCACACAGTTAATCTCCAAGTCCTGCGTATCAATCACACCTCCTTCACATACCTGGCCTGGAGCCTTAATGGAATTCCTGCTCATTATTTCAGTGATAGCTTACTTCCTCTGTTTTTCCTATTGGCTTCTCGTTGTGCCAACTTCTTCAAGGAGCATTTTCTTACCTAAGCAACATTGTAATGTTGTAATATATGCTGACAGTTCATTTATACAGTCCTTCTTGTTCCAAATGTTTTTATGTTCAATTACTGAAATTTAATCATCAGAAGAGATTGAATTCTCTCTAGATCATGCAGCTTTGCTTAAATGTTAAGGTAATAGTACATTACTGAAATATAAGATTTCAAAGGTTGAAAAATTCAATATCAAGAAAATTCATTAAGCTTTGAACTGATCACCTTTGAAATCATAGATAAGAGCTATATAAATGGTCACATATAAATCACATATTTTAAGGGAAGTTAATTTAAAATTATAACAAACCAAGTCAATGATTGCTCACGACTGCCTAGACAATTTGTGAGGTTTTTTCCCCCCTGATTTCTTTAAGTTCTTGTGGACATGCTTTTTGGTTTTATTTTACAGCTTCTTTTCTCCTTAATGTTATGTTGTTAAAATTCCTTCAGGCCAAGTGATTCTTTTTAATCTTTTATCAGCATGTTGAAAGCACTTTTTCTGTAACTCCATTTTTATGCTACTAGAGACCAGAGGAAAAAGTCCAGCAACTCCACCCTCCAGAGTCTGTGATAGGCTTGCACATTCTTTGCTGACCACTGATGTGTATGGGGCTTTTTAAAAATTTATTGTGTAAGGTGCAAAGCAAATATTAAATATTATTTTTGGTTCTGATACAAGGAAATTATAAGAGATATGGGAGCTCTGTTTACCATTCTTTATAGAGAAAACCACCAATTAAGTCATCTCAGTTGGTTAAATAGCATCTGTACTTTAACACCTGAACCTTGGTGTAAGTACACAGTAGCTGGTCCTAATTTCTCAACATGATCCTGCAAATGAAGTTGTGAAGTGTTATTTTTGAGTGTTTTCAATCAATTAACAAACTATAAATATAACCCCCAGTTATTGCTACATGTTAAAATATCTGTCACAATTAGTAATTCTTAATTTCTCTGACCATGAAAATAAATTTCTTAATAGTATATATAGCTTGTAACCCAAATAAAAGACTTCTGTTAAAAATAAAACTTAAATACATTTTAACACAAATAAGTGGTCTATGTTAAATGCAGGGCAGAATACTGAGATCACTTCTGTTACTGTCTCCTAAAAGAGCTTCTTTGGCATAGACTGCTCGTATGAGAGTGTGTGTTTGCAAGTAGTCAGTTTGCAAAGTGCCAAGGCGAAGGATTTCTTCTCCTTCCTTTGGATTCCTTTCATACCTAGAGATACCTGAAAATAAACCAATTTGTTCATATGTGCAAATGTCTATTAAATTTTTCAACTAAAAAAAAGACAGTTTTTTTTTAAGATCATAAATCTTTCTGTTTTCTTTATTCTTTATTTTTTTTGAAGTTGTAGCCAGTAGCTATGGTGGCCCCGGTGGGAATTCTCCAGGAGTTGGAGTCAGGGAGTTTATCTGCCAGCTCACCAAGAGACTCCTGGCAATGCGATCACAGGCCAGTGCTCTACCTGTCTCTAATGAGGCATGCAACACCTATCCAGCAGGGTTATGGTGGGGATTAGATGAGATAATAGGTGTGAAGCACCAAGTGTGGCCCCACACCTCGGAGGCGCTCAAACAGTATAAACCAGCCGCAGCCAAAAGAATCTCTCCAGGTATAAAAGTAAATTCAAATAAAAGGAAAAAGAACCCCACCTCTGTGGGATAGCACTCAAAAGACTATATACACACAGACTAACTTCACAGTAGGGAAACTGGACTCAGAAAATGGCCCACCTACTGTACTAGACCTAAAGGAAAACAAAAGCGCTGCCCTATAGAGTTGTTTTAAGAGGAGGGAATTTTTGAGTCATACTCAACTGTGATTCATCCCCAAAACTCACTGGTTACATGTAGTGAAAATTCATTATAATGTTTCAACAAGCAGTATTTCCTACCTTTAAGAATCACAGCTAAAAATTCAAAGCAATGAATATTTCCCCATATTTTTGAAATACAATCCTATTTAAAACATTTTAGTTCTTTGCATAGTTGTTATTAGTATATAACTAACATACAACAATTTAGCCTTTGGTTGGAGCAACATTATATAAATGTGGGGTTGCAGAAAGCCCGTTCTCGCTAGAGAATGCTTTAGTTTGGTTCACTCAAAAAAAGTGTTTTTTTTTTTTGTTTTTTTGTTTTTTTGGCTTATTTTGATCCAAATACTTATTCTAGAATCAGAAGCTAGAAGGGACCCTAGCCAGTGGCTCTCAAACTTTGGCATGTATCAGAATTCCCAAGTGCAATTTGACTTTTCAGAGAACCTGAGGCAGATGAGGCAGGCCCCTGCTGTTTCTTTTCTCCCAGCCCTCCATCTATAATGGCAATGTTGTGCTTTCCTTAGACTCTGGCTTTGCGCTGGCTGTGCAGGGTTCCAAAACTAAAACCCCAAGTGTTTTCTAGGTGGTAAAAATGTGTGTGGTGAAGTTATAAAGAAAAGTAAAGGAATGATTAATACAAAAAGCAAGACAGTGGTTCCCACTCAGAGGGAGAGAGTGAAAGGCAATTGGACAGGAGGATTCTAAGGGCTTCCAAGGTACTGATAATGTTCTATTTCTTAACCTGGCAGGTGGGTACATGAATACTTGTGTGTAGTATGTGTGAGTTTGAAATAAAACAGCATATATGTATTCTTTTATATGTGTTATACTTTTTATGACAAGAATTTTAAAATATTTACATGATTTAAACGATGTCAGAGTGAATGTGGCAGCAAGTATGGCACACTTAAGTTTAAGCCAGCTTGATTTGTTAGTATCACATTGAATTTCTTCCTTCTCTGAGTGTGTACTTTAGTATGCTTCATTCTTTGTTGGAAGTAACTGCTTCATTTTCTTCATGCGTAAGTCAGATTGCTCAGCCTCCCTTTACCATCCTGCACTTCCAGTTTGGTTCCTACATATTTCGTGTTTATTTGATAGCAAAGGCTTCTTAAAAGAAGCAAACTGATTACATTTGAGTTTGCAATTACAGTCTCTCACAGGCATTACCTGTGATCAGCTGCAAATGATTTTCAGTTATCTCTTGGATATAACCATCCCGTGGCTATATATTAATTTGACATGTCCACTTTTGGGGGATTTTAAGTCATCCATTGGACCCTCCTTTCTCCATGTGTTTTCTGCACATTGTGTTTCCAAATGCTAATAGTCTCATGTCCACAGCAAAATCCCTCTTCGTGTTGTCACCAAACCTAGAACATCTTAATATGTCTGTACTTATCACACCTCTCTTGAAAGTTACTTATCTCTGTCTGTAATGAGGTTGTGAGCTTCTTGAGAGAAAAGCTCATGTCTTATTCCTTTATCTCTTCATTGCAAGCTCACATTTATTATACATTGGATACATAGGGAATATTGTATCTCAGAGAGAACAACATGAACAGAACCACAGAGGCATAAGGAAGACATGTTCAGGGAATGGGACTATTCCAACATAGCCAGGGCATTGAGGATATTGGGGTGGAAAGGGCAGTGGGATAGAAGACTGGAGAATTGGGTGGGGGTAGATTATATTAGTCTTTGACTGCCACTGTTAGAAATTTGAACTCTATTCTGTAGACAGTGGTGAACAATGGAAGACTTTTAAGTAAGACATGAGATTTTGGTTCTGTGTTTTAGAAAACAAACTTTGCTAGCATCTATGTCATCTAGATGGTGTCATCTAGATGACACCAAGGAGGGAAAGACTGGAGACAGGGAAACCAGTAGGAAGACGGGAGCAGTAGAAGGAAAGATGCATCTGACAGTGTGGGATGCTTTTTTTTGTTTTTCCTGAAGCGATTCATTTTAATATGTCTACGTTCCTGAAGATACTTTGAGAGATATAATGGATATAAAACTTCAGAAACTTTGGAGTAGGATGTTTTATTTCAAAATGCACAGTAAAGTGTTCTTTTTAGGTCTACACACACACACACACACACACACACACGTATATTTAAGTGTATCTTTGTTGGAAGATATCCTGCTCAAAGTTTTGATAGTTGTCATTAATTAAAAATTTGATAATTCTTAAGACTAGTTTTCTTAAGTGCTTGTTTATTTTTTTCTACTGTATTATCATTTTTATTTTAATGTTAAACATTCATTTTCATACAGCCTAACATGTAGCACAAGTTTTAAAGCTTTCCCCCATTGTATGAGAGTGTGTGTGTGTGTGTGTGTGTGTGTGCAGAATAGGGAGAAAGCAGGAAGAGAGAGGGGATTTGAATGAACAGCTAGAGGAATCCCAGTCTCATGCCGTGAAGGGAAGGTTCCTTGGGAAAGCTCTATTCTGGTCCTCAGTTTAACTTTCTGAGAAATCGTTTTATAAGTTGACCCAGAAATAATCAGTATCTAAAATTCAGACAAATTATTTAAAAAATGAAGAAACAGTAGGGGAAATTTGAACACTGATGTTTGATGGTATTAAGGAATTACTAACTTTTTAAAGGTACGACAGTGATGTAGTTATGAGTCCTTGTTCTTTGGAGATTAATACTAACACATTTTGCCAATGAAATGATGTAGTGGTTAGAATTTGCTTTAAATTAATCCAGGGGTTGGGGGAGTGGGTGAAGGTATAGATGAAACAGAATTGGCCATGAATTGATAATTGTTGACTCTGGGGCATGGGTTCATGGAGGTTCATTATACTTTTCTCTCTACATTATGATATGTAATACATTTTTAATAAAAGAAACCAAGGTTCAGGCAACTGATTCAGCTACCCAAAGTCGTAGATATTTGATTAATAATTTAAAATATAGCCATCCGTCAGTTTCAACCATCTATCTGTCTATCTAATCTATTTATCCATCTACCCACCTGTCTATAGGCTTTGGCTTATTTCAGAAAAATATTTAAAGTGATTTTTTACAATTCTTAATGATTTTTGGGGGGTGAAGGAATTGAGAAAAAGGCTTAAAAATAGGATAGGTGAAATATGCAAAATGCATATATTGAGTTTCTGTACATTTACTAGAGATGCATCATGAATTTGCCCATTAACTTCTTGGCAGCCCTTGTAAAACAAAGAACATAAACCGTTTTGTGAATCAGAGCATCATTTGCTAACTCTAGCTATCAAGTGACTTGAAATATACTTATGTAAATAGTTTGCATTGCTGCATCTTGAGACTTAATGACAAGGTATAAAAAAGTGGAGGGGAAAAAAAAAACTATTTTTAGAGCATCTACTCTGCGTCAGGTATTGTGCTAGATCAGACTTGTCCAACCTGCTGCCCATGGGCCACATGCAGCCCAGGACAGGTTTGAATGCAGCCCAAAACAAACTCATCAACTTTCTTAAAACATTTTGAGATATTTTTTTTTCGATTTTTTTTTTTTTTTTTTTTTTAGCTCATCAGTTATCGTTAGTGTTAGTGTATTTTATGTGTGGCCCAAGATAATTCTTAATTCTTCCAATGTGGCCCAGGGAAGCCAAAAGATTGGACACCCCTGTACATGCTCATATACTTTATCTTTAATCTTTATAGCCCTTATCTGTAAGTGTTCTTGCATTTGCTTTAAAAGATCTTTATAAAAACTTGTCCCCAAATTGTGAGCACTTGCAAATCCCTTCTGTACTTACTGCATTTTCTTACTACAAAAAAAAATATATATATATACATATATATATTTCTAACATTAGTATCACACTTCAGTGTGTCAGACAATAGACACTTGATCATGATTGGTTTGTAGAGCAGTATAATGAATTTGTTTCTATAAAGTTATCAAAATTGTACTTATTCTCCATGTTTTCAACTTTTTATCTCAACATGTCTCAACCTAATAATCTTCTTCTGTCCCTAAAACTGCTTTTGCTCTGGCATTCCTTACTTGCCACAAAGAAGGGCAGCAAGACCCACCCAATTGCCTAATGCAGAAACCTAGACAGTCCAGGTTGCATTTTGGACACCTTCCTCAGCTAAATCTTGTCCTCCTCAGTGTATCCCTCCTGGTATCCCTCTGTAGAACTTCTGTCCGTCTACTGGCCCTGCCCTCAGTTAGCATTGTCCTCTTTAGCCTGACTATGGCAACTGTTCTTCCTGTACTCAGGCCTGCCGCCAGTCCTTTCTGCACAGCAGCCAAATTGATTTTCTGAAGCACAAGGCTGTTCATATCATTCCTCTGCTTAAATGCTTTCAAAGAAGTGACCTTCAAACTTTCTGGACTGTGACTCACAATAAAAAATGAATTTAACATCATGACCCAATACTCATATCAATATATATATGTGAACAAGTTTTATGTTTTCTGTCCTTTTCTATCCTATTCTATTTTGATCTCTTTTGTTGAAAAAGTAGTGCTGGTTGGACCCCATGAAAGTTATTTCAGAGCTAACTAATAGATGAGATCCTACGGTGTGTAAAGCATTGCTTTTTAGAATTCTTGCTGTCCAAAGGATCAAAACCAACCTCTGTAACAAGAATGATGGGTCTGTCCATGCTCTGCCACCTGCTCATCTCTGTAGCCCCAACTCTTCCCCTCCCGTCTGATGGCTCCACTCTCCTGAACCTCTTAGTGTCCCCAGGTGGCACTACTCTCTTCCACTCCACCCCCACCTACCCGGTTAATTCTTCCAGTTCTTCAGTGTCACAGGAAGTGTTATCCTGCTGTTCACGTGGATTATCTCATTTGAGCTCCAGTTGCCAGAGTAGGTGCTCAGTAATACTTGTTGAATGAATTAACTTCACATTATGCCCCTGCAGTTGTTAATTAGAACTGGGATGGTATATATGCAATATTCTCACTATGCTGACATTTCTATGGTACCTAGAAGCCACTTCTTAGTCTGGCTGCTCTCACGAGCGTTTGTCTCCATGTGTCCACTGGGCCTTTGGCCAGCAAGTCATCTGTGGGTATAAATGCCATGAAAGATGTAACCATTTCCTCAGATTTGAGAGGAAAGTACAATCTACACCCCCCAGTGATCTGAGGGCCTTAGGATGAGAATGCGGTAAGATACTAACGTCTGCCTCGATATTTACGTTGTTAATTCATTTTCATCAATGGTTGTTTTTAAAGCCTAGTTTAATCTTGCATTTCCTATTCTTAGAAGTGTACTGAATCAGACCATAAATGTTATACAGCTGTGATCAAGGAAACATATATTTTTAATCTGATAAGGGTCATAATACAAAGTCATAGTACATTACCCATAATACAGAAAGTAAGGCAGTTGAAAAATAATGAACTTCTTTTGTTCTATAGCAAGTGAGTTAGAGCAATCTAGATTCTTGGAAACAGAATGGACATGGGTAAATACAGTTTCAATTTCAGGTGACTATTACCATTTACAAATAGAAATGACCCACAGCAAGTAAATAGTCCTTGAAAGAGCATCATAAGATAAAAATAATCCAAATGTTCTTAAGGCAAGAACTTCCATAATAACACCAGATTCATCTCAGCTAAATGTCCTCAGAGGTGTGTAGAAGGGCCTGATAAATTCTGTTCTGGGTGCTCTGAGGTCATTCGTGCTCCTCTGACAAGGTATGTTCTTGAATAAGAAAATAAAGGTGCCCATATCGCTCCCATTGGTAACAATCATTTCCAATATAAGAGTATTCCATTTTTTTCAAGTACTGTTAACATATTAATTTCTAAACTGGTGTTAGCTAATTTCTAAAAACCAGTAATTACTCAGGGCCACGTAATTTATTGGCCCTGCTCTTTAGAAAATATGACTGTCACAATGAAGTAAACATTTAGTGTCATTACATTGTCAATTTTATATCATCTGTTTTTAGTTGTTCATAATTCTGTGAATCAACAATAATGTGGAAGCCAGAAAGCTAGAATGAAAAGTAAATTGGTTTAGCAGTTAGGGAACCTGAATTCTAGTCCATATTCTGCTTTGGAATATTTGCATGGCCATACGCATATCATTTAACCTCTTTGGGTATCAGATTCCTGACCCACAAAATGAGGGAGTTAAAATCATAGCATGATTGTTTCCAAAGGGACCTTCTAAATTAGTATTAAATGAGACCCTGATCACATATCAGTAAGAAAATCCTTTGTTGACTTAAATAAATTCAATAGACCGTTTTTATAGATGATTTCTTTCGTACAGGAGATGTGAAATCTCTAAGGTTTTTAAGACATCTCAAAAATGGAACAAAATCCATATTACTAAAATAGCATCCACTGAATTTATAGATCTATTTACTGACTCAATGATTTACAGTAAGAGTAAAATACTCATTCATATGTTCCGGGTCTCAGCTGCAAAGCCTCGAAGCAAATCAAGCTTCTGTGCCTCAGCTGCATCCTGATCTGTGGGAACAGGGGGTTTGAGAACAGATGGCCTCAGAGCACACGTCAAAGCAAGTCTAACTGAATCCTGCCAACTTAGAAGGCTGCTCCATTTTTTTTGAAAAACTTCTCACTGAAATACAATATACTGCAGAAAAGTGTACATCAGTGTACATTTAATGTATTTTCATAAACTGAACACACCTGTGTAATCAGTATCCTGCTCAGGAGACACGCTAGCCTCCCAGAAGCCCCCACCCCATGATCCCCTTCCAGTCACACCCTCTCCCCAAAGGTCACCACTGTTCTGTCTCCCAACAACATAATTTAGTTGTGTTTGTTTTTGTACTTTGCGTAAGTGAAATCTTACTGTAAATACTCTTTGGTGACTCAATCTTGAATCTGTTTTCTGTTTCTTTCACTCAATATTGTATCTGTTTATAGTCACAGGTTATTCTTCTCATGCCTGTATAATATTCAGTTATGTGGCTGTCTCATAATTTATGTAACCTTTCTAGATTTTAGCTATGTTGAATAATATTGTGACGTACACTGTTATTTTTATCTTTTGGTGAACGTGTGTACCCAATTCTATTGAGGAGACTGGCCCATTTTTTAAATGTTGCCTTTTCTGCTACTTTGGCATATAGGCTACTTGTCTGTTGGAACATTAAATAAAAATAAGCTGTATAAATATCAGAAGGCAGGGATTAACTTAAATTCAAACCAGCCTACTTTTTTTTTTCTTCCTCCCCTAAAAGACACACCCATTAAGATGAACAGAATACACCTCCTCTACCTGAGGAGTGATGGAACAAAGCCATGAGACACCCAACCATAACAATGCTCAGAGATAGAAAGTGGTGGGCTTTGGTTTTGCTTTTGTTTGTTAATAGAGCAGCGGATTGTGAGTAGAAAGTGTTGAAGGTCTTTTTATTCTTTAGGTAAGATAAAGTTTCAGATGCACTGAGACTTTTTCTAGCGCTCTTTCCTTACATATCACAATAAGTCAACAGTAATTAGATCATGAAGTAACCCATCCCCCAAACTTGATCACTCAACTTTTATTTGCATTTTATAAGGTGAAATATCCCTTTTATTACCCCAGAATATTCAGTTCCAACGCATGCTGGCAGACATTTCAAGAAGAAAATGCCTGCAGACTCCAGGGACTTGCTAAAGGCCTAACCATTTTCAGGTATTCCTCTTCAAGCTTCCCAGGTTTTGTGGGTTTTTTTGTTTTTTTGTTTTGTTTTGTTTTGTTTTTTAACCATTTAGACCACATACCACAGCAAATTATTAAGGGATTTGTAGTTCAAAAACCACTCTTGCAGACAATATTTCATTGGTTGGTCTTAGCAACTCTCTGAGGTGGGCAAAAAGGTTATGTGGATCACAGAGTGTATGAAAACATGACATTCTCATTTGCAAAGCGCCACCCACTTGGAACTTAGTCTACTATGGGTTATTTATTATTTTGTAGCTGGAAATTTCCAACCTTCTTCCATCTCCTTTTTTCTCACAATGTTCCTCTTCACTCCTCCCGCTTTCTGCCTGCCATCCTTGGCATGAGGGTGAGGTGGGTCTAAGTGTTCTAATACTCAAAGCACCTTCAGATCCACCTTTTAATTTTATTTTTTAGCTAGTGAGCACTTAATCCTTGTGATGGTGCTGTATTAGGAGGTGTTAGACTAGGCAGTGGCTTGTCATGTGGCATCACTGGCAAATCCAAGCCTCTGGCCGTTTCTCTCTCCTTCCAGGCCAATGTTCAGATCACAAGACAACACTAAGCTGAGGGCTTCCCGGGGAAGAAGGTGCCAGTCCTCACACAGCCCTCTGGCTTCATCGCATATCCATATATCTGAGGTCTGCAAAAACGCCCAGTGTGCACATTGCTTGGACTTGAGGCGTGTGGATTTTTGTCCCATATTCAGGCCATGTGACTAAGACCACATAAACTTGGATAGGATGATTCTTTTTCAAAACCGTATTGCACAGCCATTCTGCTGTGGATATTCTATCATTCGACTTACCTATACATTTTTTTGACAGAAATATTATTGGATCTGGGATGCTCCAAGAGTCTTAGGCGTATTTTCCCCAGTATACAGCTCTTGAGTATTTCAGAGGTCACGTATTCTCATTTAGACTGTACCATGTAGAACAGCACTGATGAAAGTCACCACTGCCCATCTGAAGCCGGGTCAGCCTGAGTCTCAGGCTTTCTTACTCTCCTCATTGACTGCTCGGCCTGCCAGCATATGAATGCTATAATTCACTAGTATGTGAAGAATGACAGTTTTATATAAGCACTTCTTCCTCCTTCATGCTGGCGTGCACCTTGGCTATTGTGTGGAGTGTTATATTTTTTTCTGAAATAACTTAAAACTGGGAAAAGATTCTAATGTATATGGTTTCATTTCTTAAATTTGCTGCTGAGTCATTTCCCCTTCATAACTGAGCTAGTTTTCACCAATACCTTTAATTACATCAGTTCTTTTTTAATAAAGCTCATTTTCATTGACTTGCTCTCACTTAATGAATTCTTCTTGGTGAAACAGGAGCTTACTGGCACAACATATAAAATGACCCCTTAATACAGCCGAAGGTGGGTTGTGTTTCTCTGTCTCCTTTATCTATTAGCAGTGTATGTTTTTTGTTTTTTTAATGCTGAACCAAATCCACTGCAACTTTTATCTCTCTATTATATGAGCCATCCTTACTTTATGAAACAGAATTCTTTGAAGTTTGTACTATATGCAAAAAAAAAATTTCTTTGGCATGTTGAACATTATTTTAAATGGCACTTAAGCCTTGAAGAGAATTCTTTTGTAAAGCTGGTAATTATTTTATATTTTAAGTAATTATTCCCTCGTTTATCAATTTTTTTATTGATGGTTTTCTAATAGTGCACACTTACAGTTGAACACCCAGGAGAAAAAAATAATGTATTTTACTGAAGAATAAGCAAAGCAAAGGCATTTTCTGTAACTTTGGCCTGGTGTATGTGGGGCCAACTTTTCACTTTCCCTTTATATATCCTTCCCCAGTTCTGTTCTCTCTACACCCACTCCCCTCCCTCAGTTACCATGTATAATTCACAGTTATATCTCCATGCTCATCATTAGTCCATTAGCGGCACTATTTTGATTGGGTGTTACCCAACTGTATAGCTTTTCATGAAGCCTTATTTTAAACGTAATGTCATCTCTTCTTAGCACATCAGTTTTTCTTCTCATGTTTTGACAGATTTGTCCCTCTCCACCCAATTCTAGTACACTACCGCCCTGTCCTATCACACCACACACTGATGAAAGGCGAATCCATTCTGCATTCCCTTCCTGCACCTCCACTCCTGGGTTTTGTTAATAGTGTTAGCATTTAGCTCAAACAACGTAGGTATGTAATATCTGACAAATTTCAAGGGATCTGAAAGTCCCTCTTCCACTGGTTCTGTCGTACAATGCTCCCTACTTAAATGCAAGTATTACAAGAGAGTGCTAACCTACCTACGTCTTAACGTGAATTTCTTTCTTCTCCTTCTCCTTCTCCTTCTTCTCTCTTTTTTTTTTTTTTTTTTTTAGTTGGAGTCTCGCCCTTGTTGCCCAGGCGGGAGTGCAGTGACGCAATCTCAGCTCACTACAACCTCCGCCTCCCAGGCTCAAACGATTCTCCTGCCTCAGCCTCCCAAGTAGCTAGGATTACAGGCACCTGCCATCATGCCCGGCTAATTTTGTATTTTTAGTAGAGACAGGGTTCCACCACATTGGCCAGGCTGTTCTCAAACTCCTGACCTCGGGTGATTTACCCACCTCGGCCTCCCAAAGTGTTGGGATTACAGGCGTGAGCCACCATGCCCAGCCTTTTTTTTTTTTTTAATTACAGAAGGAGGAATCAAGAATTATAATATGAGGCCGAGCACAGTAGTTCATGCCTGTAATCCCAGCACTTTGGGAGGCCTAGGTAGGCAGATCACTTGAGTCCAGGAGTTTAAGACCAGCCTGGGCAACATAGTAAAACGCCATCTTTACTAAAAAAAAAATAAAAATAAAAAAATAAATTAGCCAGGCATATTAGTGTGTGCCTGTAGTCCTGGCTACCTGGGAGGCCAAGGCTGGAGGATTGCTTGAGCCTGGGAGGTCAAGGCTGCAGTGAGCCCTGATTGTGCCATGGCACTGCAGCCTGGGCAACAGAGTGAGACTCTGTCTCAAAAAAAAAAAAAAAAAGAGAGAATTAGAATGTCAGAAAATTAAATATAAGACAGTTGAGTTATTGGGGGAAAGAAAGAGGAAAAAAACCTTGGAAAATCGAGTTCACTATAAAGTAGCATTAGGGAGTACTGATTTAGAGGAACTAAAAACTATTAGGAGTTGGGGAGGGGAGTGGAGGTTAAAGAGAAGACATAAAAAGCAAATGGTAATGTCAGATGATGAAAAAGGGAGACCCTGAAAAAGTAACTCAATCTCTACTCAGTTTTGCAGGAAACATGCCTATGTGTTATTTTTCCTAGAAACTAGTGGTGGCACTGCTTCAGTAATTTCTTACTGGGCTCTTCATGCCACTATCTCTATTATTTAAAAAAAAATTTTTTTTTTAGAGGCAGGATCTCACTCTGCTGCCCAGGCTGGAGTACAGTGGTGCAATCATAGCTCATTGCAGCCACAAGCTTCTGGACTTAGGCAATCCTCCCACTTCAGTCTCCAGTGTAGCTGGGATTACAGGCACACACCACCACACCCAGCTAATTTAAAAAAAAATTTTTTTTGTAGAGACAGGATCTCGCTGTGTTGCCCAGGCTGGTCTTGAACTCCTGGCTTCAAGCAATCCTCCCATCTAGGCCTCCCAAATTGTTGGGATTACAGGCGAGAGCTGCTGCGCCTGGCCTCTACTACTTTTAATTTACTATTTAATTAGATTCACCTTCCCCAGCCTACGACTTTGCTTTATTAGTCTCATAATCCCTTTCTTCTGTGCAGATACACATGTGCTGTTGCTACCCTGTATTGGGTATTATAGCCTATGTTGACTAATCTAAAGCTTTTCCTAATTCTCTTCTGCCTTAAATTCTTCCCTTTATAGAAGCCAAACCAAAGGAAAAGCAAAACTGGGGATCTTTTTCCCAGACTCCCTTGCAGTCAGGGATAGCCACACGACTGAAGCCTTCCCAAGGAGACATGAAGACACATCTGCCTAGAAGCCTCTGAGAAAGCTGGCCAACAACCTAATCCAACCCTGAATGTAATCATTTGAAAAACAAATGCGAATTCACTAGTGTAAAGAAGAGTTGATCCTCACCACATCCCTGCAAAAGCATCACCTTTACCCACTGTTTAAAAAGAAACTAAGGTTCAGAGAAGCTGAGTCACTTGCCCAAGTCACAGAGCCTGTACATTTTGAGAGACCTAAATCCAGGGCTTCTCGCTTCAGATGGATCAGTCAGGCCCCTCCCACTGCTTGTGCTGCCTTTTGTTTACCCTTATATAAAAACAAAAATATATCTGCACATTTAAAAGCCACATCAATTAGAAACTCACTCATAAATCTGCTCAGCGGTTTCCCATATTTCCTGGGTCACAGTGTTGTTTGTCAAACAACCTCGCTCTAATTCGAGGTTTAATCTGATTCTCCCCAGGTGCCCTCTGTCTGGATATTTTTTTGTGAGTTCTTATCCAGTAGCAGCCACTTGTTAATCTGCTTTTCACCCTTGTTTTTCTCACCCATATTCTTTTCCTTTCTCGAACTGACCGTGGATAGAATCCACGCAGCAGCATTAACCCCCAACCTGTCTTCTTTAGAGACAACAAGAAGTGGTTGTGATTCAGTGACCTCTCTTTTGCCGAATAGGCCTCCTACCACATCTGTCCCGTCTCCTTACTCAGTCCTTCTACTCAGTCTCCATCCAGACACACTTTCTTTTTTTTTTTTTAAATATATATATATATTTTATTATACTTTAAGTTCTAGGGTACAGGTGCACAACGTGCAGCTTTGTTACATATGTATACATATGCCATGTTGGTGTGCTGCACCCATTAACTCGTCCTTTACATTAGGTATATCTCCTAATGCTATCCCTCCCCACTCCCCCAACCCCACAACAGGCCCTGGTGTGTGATGTTCCCCTTCCTGTGTCCAAGTGTTCTCATTGTTCAATTCCCACCTATGAGTGAGAACATGCGGTGTTTGATTTTTTGTCCTTGTGATAGTTTGCTGAGAATGACAGTTTCTAGCTTCATCTATGTCCCTACAAAGGACATGAACTCATCCTTTTTTATGGCTGCATAGTATTCCATGGTGTATGTGTGCCACATTTTCTTAATCCAGTCTATCATTGTTGGACATTTGGGTTGGTTCCAAGTCTTTGCTATTGTGAATAGTGCCACAATAAACATACGTGTGCATGTGTCTTTATAGCAGCATGATTTATAATCCTTTGGGTATATACTCAGTAATGGGATGGCTGGGTCAAATGTTATTTCTAGTTCTAGATCCCTGAGGAATCGCCATACTGTCTTCCACAATGGTTGAACTAGTTTACAGTCCCACCAACGGTGTAAAAGTGTTCCTATTTCTCCACATCCTCTCCAGCACCTGTCGTTTCCTGACTTTTTAATGATTGCCATTCTAACTGGTGTGTGGTGGTATCTCATTGTGGTTTTGATTTGCATTTCTCTGATGGCCAGTGATGATGAGCATTTTTTCATATGTCTGTTGGCTGCATAAATGTCTTCTTTTGAGAAGTGTCTGTTCATATCCTTCGCCCACTTTTTGATGGGGTTATTTGTTTTTTCTTGTAAATTTGTTTGAGTTCTTTGTAGATTCTGGATATTAGCCCTTTGTCAGATGAGTAGATTGCAAAAATTTTCTCCCATTCTGTAGGTTGCCTGTTCACTCTGATGGTAGTTTCTTTTGCTGTGCAGAAGCTCTTTAGTTTAATTAGATCCCATTTGTCAATTTTGGCTTTTGTTGCCATCGCTTTTGGTGTTTTAGACATGAAGTCCTTGCCTATGCCTATGTCCTGAACGGTATTGCCTAGGTTTTCTTCTAGGGTTTTTATGGTTTTAGTCTATCATTTAAGTCTTTAATCCATCTTGAGTTAATTTTTGTATAAGGTGTAAGGAAGGGATCCAGTTTCAGCTTTCTACATAAGGCTAGCCAGTTTTCCCAGCACCATTTGTTGAATAGGGAATCCTTTCCCCATTTCTTGTTTTTGTCAGGTTTGTCAAAGATCAGATAGTATAGATGTGTGGTATTATTTCTGAGGGCTCTGTTCTGTTCCATTGGTCTATATCTCTGTTTTGGTACCAGTACCATGCTGTTTTGGTTACTGTAGCCTTGTAGTATAGTTTGAAGTCAGGTAGCACGTGATGCCTCCAGCTTTGTTCTTTTGGCTTAGGATTGACTTGGCAATGTGGGCTCTTTTTTGGTTGCATATGAACTTTAAAGTAGTTTTTTCCAATTCTGTGAAGAAAGTCATTGGTAGCTTGATGGGGATGGCATTGAATCTATAAATTATCTTGGGCAGTATGGCCATTTTCATGATATTGATTCTTCCTATCCATGAGCATGGAATGTTCTTCCATTTGTTTGTATCCTCTTTTATTTCATTGAGCAGTGGTTTGTAAAAGGACACAGGGGAAACAGGTACACCTTTTTCTAATACCAGATCTGTTTAGCCTGGAGAATAGAGCAGACACGGCTTCTTGTCTGGCTCTACCATCATTTAAATTTGGAGGCAAGTTATTGATGCTCTCTGCCCCTTTGTTTTCCTAGCTGTAAAAGGGGACAAATGATATCTTTCCCACCCCACCTTAGAGGGACAGTGTGAGAAGAACTAATCAATTTTTTTAAATTATTTATTTATTTATTTGAGACAGAGTCTCGCTGTCTCCCAGGCTGGAGTGCAGTGGCGCGATCTCG
Source organism: Homo sapiens (assembly GCF_000001405.40). NCBI lineage: Eukaryota > Metazoa > Chordata > Mammalia > Primates > Hominidae > Homo > Homo sapiens. Next base: position 73,467,479 of record NC_000008.11, on the reverse strand, counting down.
GCTCACTGCAAGCTCCTCCTCCCGGGTTCACGCCATTCTCCTGCCTCAGCCTCCCACGTAGCTGGGACTACAGGCGCCCGCCACCATGCCCGGCTAATTTTTTGTATTTTTAGTAGAGACGGGGTTTCATCGTGTTAGCCAGGATGGTCTTGATCTTCTAACCTCGTGATCCACCTGCCTTGGCCTCCCAAAGTGCTGGGATTACAGGCGTGAGCCACTGCGCCCGGCCGAGAAGAACTAATCAATTATTAACTCAACTAATATTTAGTGGCTATCTACCATAGAACAGGCATAGCTCTTGAAGTTGGAGAATCAAAGATTAAAAAGTGAGACTTCTGCCCTGAGTCCAGTGGCAGAGATAGACTTGTAAATGGAAGATGTCAACTTATGGGAAGTGCTGAAAGAGGTGTGTGCATATTCTATAGGAACTCAACATTTCCCAAAAAACTTCCTGAACAGTTTATGTCTAAGGCCTTGAAAGACAAACGAGAAAAGGAGAGGAAGGCCATTTCAGGCAGGGGAGACTGCACTAACAGGCCATGGTGGGCACAATGGATGGTGGGCCTGGTAGACCAGAGCCATGCCAAGACTGGGAGGCTCCTGAGAGCTGAGGCGGTGCCACAACCGTCTGTGTATCCCTGGCATCTAGCAAAGCGCCCGGCACCCAGAGAGGTGCTCAATAATGGTTTATTAAATGGCGAGTCAGTGGAGGGCTTACAGGAAGTCACATAAATATCCACAGCACAAAGTAGAAGTTGATGAGGGCTGTAAGGGAGATGTAGATAAAACGTTCTGGGATTCCAGTGGAGGCTGACATGAGGTGGGAGAGTGAGAGAGTGGGAAAGGCCAGGGCAACTCCATGGCAAGAGGCCTTTGAAACAGGCCTTTAAGGAAGGATGGTGAGATTTATCAGAGTGGCTTCTCCTTTCCCCCTCTTCTGTGTCACATTCTTCCATTCGCCAACCTCTTGACACTGGCTTAAGTTTACCTCCACCCCCTTTTTCTTCCTGGCTTCCTTCCTGGATTATTTCTTTCATCCTGCCTAGAAACCTTCATCCTCTCTAATAAGCCAGAGGGTAGAAAGGCGTTGCTCAAGCCCTTTCACCTCTCCTCTAGAGGAATTTTATTACAAACACCAGGGATTATTTTTTTTAAAGACACAGAACTCCAGTTTCTAGCCACATTAAAAATGAATAGAACCTGAAAATAATAAAGATGCATGGGTAACTCCATGAGTCTAAAACCCAGAAAACCAGTTCTAAGATTGAACCATGGTATTTTGGCTTAAAGGAATGTAATGTATGGGTTTCCATTTACATTTGTGAGGTCTACAAGTGTGCTATCCTAAAATGCAAGAATGCATTTCTTGTGTTCGATGAATTAGTCAAGAGTTTAAGATGAGAGCATCTGGGCATGACCCTACACCAGTATACACTGCCTTTGAAAACAGGGGTGAGCCAACATGGCGAAACCCTGTCTCTACTAAAAATACAAAAATTAGCTGGGCGTGGTGGCGTGCGCCTGTAATCCCAGGTACTCGGGAGGTTGAGACAGGAGAAACGCTTGAACCCAGGAGGCAGAGGTTGCAGCTAGCTGAGATCAGATCACTGCACCTGCACTCCAGCCTGGGCAACAGAGCAAGACTCCATCTCAAAATAAGTAAATAAATAAATGAAGACAGGGGTGAGAAATAGGCTGCAATAGAATGAAAGACAACAAGGGAAGGGGACACCAAGTCCTGTATGGTCTAATCAAGCAATGCATATGCACACGCCAGTGAGCACACACAGTTAAAAGGATTCCAACCAAGCAAGCCAGTGATGCAGACACAGAATGATTGGTGTTCAGCATCAGTCACAACAAACTCAAAAAAGGAGCAGAAAGAGGTTAAAAACACTCTCCTATAAAAGCAAAGAGGGAAGTTAAACATCCCAAACAAAAAATTATATGCAGCCACCCAAGCCTAGTTAGAAAGAGATAATTAGTTTGAAGACATAATTAAGAAATACAGTAATACGTGAGGCATTCTAATACCTCTACTAACAAAGAAAGTGAGTATAACATATTTTCTAGTCAAAAACATTCCTATTAAATATAGAAATTAAGGACAATGGGCTATATTCTAGGATATTGTAAAGGAACTGTGGTAAAAAATGCCATTAAATACTTACTACGATATTATTGCGTGTGCTAGAAAACACAAAATAGGCACCCAAAAGAAATGGAAATGACTCTTGAGCACTGAAGAGGACACCCCAGTGCTATTTGGCCACACTGCCTCCGTGGCCGGGAAATTGAGGGGCCCAGCTCAGCTGTCAGTGTGGGCCGGGGTGGGCTCATTTCTCTTTCACCTGACTTCTCTCCTTTGCATTTTTCTGCTCTTTGATAAGCAAGACTGTCTAAAAACTCAAAACGAAATTAAGTATTTTCTCAGCAAGAGTACAGAGAATCATGTTGCTGTTTATTCTTATAAGTTTTTTGGTTTCATACATAAATTATGCTGAGAAAATGGTGGCATCCTCCATTGGGCAATGACCTCATTTTAGCTGTATCTTCTTAATATGATATCACAAAACAAATCCATGCCTCTGAAATTGCTTACAAAGAGTAGATCTTTAATCACTCTGAAAGAGATCGTTTTTATTTGCAGGTTGGTGATATAACTTCATCTAACCTCCCAACTTCCTTTCTGTTAAGCATGTTATTACAAGCTATATTCAATTTGGATTCCTTTTATAATCTTTCCTTTGATTATTCTGTTTCCTTTTTTTTACACTTTGTTTTTGAAAGTTTCCTTGCATTTCCTGAAACCCTTGGAGTGTTTCAAGAGAAACATTGAGCTATTAAGGCTGCAGTGTGTGTGTGTGTGTGTGTGTGTGCGCGTGCACACATGCACGTGTGCATTTCTGTGTGTGCGTATTTAAATCCAATGCTGCCTGTGAACAAATGTTGCATTGTCTATTATATGGAGCTGCCTCCTTTGCTTCTTGGACAGAGCACCTGGTGTTACTGGTTTCAAAGAATATTTCAAGATTGGCAGTTGGAGTCTCTTCATAGAAGTGTAACAGCGCTTCTCAGAAAGCTTGAAAAATGATATTCAAAGTGAAGGAGAATAGAGAATAGGTGTCACCCTCTAAAAGAACAGTAAGCAGCCGCAAGGACCTTCATTCAGAGACAATTCTGAGGGAAAATGGAGACTTCTGAGAACCAATTTGCTAGCTTGACGTGAGCTTAGAAGATTGGGTAGCCTCTCAAAACTGGGTTCTGCTTGATCTATCTGCCAGCCTGTTTCTTAGGAGCTGTGTGCAAAAAGACAAATCCAAAACAAACAAAAAACAGGGCCCTTTACTTCAGGCAATATCCCGGAAAAGTTTATTCAAAAGCTAGAAATTGCTAGATTATCAGGCCCATTGTAAACTGTTGTCTCGAAATCCAAATTCTTTACCAAAAGGAAAAAATAGGTGTACTAAAGATGTTTCCTAATAAATCTGGCCTTCAGTGAGAAGAATTATGATGTATTAACACCACTTTGAAGTCTTTTGTAGCCACCAACCCCACTTCCTTCTCAGTACACACAAGGTGAGCAAATCTGTGTGGAAGGAGAAAATGAAAGATCCCTCAAAGTCAGTTCCAGGAGACATAAGGTACTGTCCTTATCTCGTCCTGCATACCACAGTTCATGAATATCCTCGTGGTTGCCACTCAGCAGAAATCATTTTACAAAAATGAAATTTATTCATTCCAGATATGAGATAAACAAGGAACAGAGGAAATTTCCTGTTTGAAAGCCTCCTCCCCAAATGAAGTACATATACCTTGATTTCTTTTTCTGAACATGCTTCTCATAAAAGTAAGGGTCCAAATGTTGGATTGCACATCAGTCGGTAAACCTAAAGCAAAGAGCATCAGACTAAGGCCTTGAGCACTTAGAAAAACTTAGCAACCTGAACTGTGAACATTAGTAACACCAGCTTCTGTAATCATTACAGTGATTTATTTTTCTGTAGTCTTTCTTATGAAGCAGTATCCTTTATGAACAAGTACTCAGAAATTCATACAGAAACCATATTTACTCTCCAGAACTGGCACATAGGAAATGAAGTAGATATGGGGAATACAGTTTTTCTGGACAACATTGTTATAAAAGTGTTTTTAATTTGTATTTCATCAGTTCGAGGCAGGTCAAAAGAAAGTAAAAATAGACCAGCAAAAGTCCAGCACATGCATGTTGCCATGCACAAGGTCTATGGCCATTTTCATTCCTAAAGACCAGCATACTGCATTGAAGGTACAAAGTCAGATAAAACTGGACAGTGTTCATCTTGTCACTTTCTAGTAAGCATCATAACTACTAAATAATTTGTCCATGATCACACAGCCAGGGGTCAAACCCAAGTCTACCAGATTCTGCTTCTCCACTGTGCCTCAGGAAGTGCAAGTGGAGAGGCCGGCAGGCAGGCATCCTGGAAGGAAGAAGAAGGGGCTTTCCCATTGCTTCTTCATATGACTGCCTTCAAAGAAGTCATTATTCTGCAAAAACATGTTCAGAGAAGGTTTCTTCACCATCATTGGCTACACCCTCTGGAATCCCATAGTCTTTGCTGTGTATACTCTAAAGGCACTCAAAGAAGTTGTCTTTTTTTAATACTAGATATCATAAAGACATTAAATTTGACTAACACATATTTTGGCATATCACAATATAGGCAAGGCTTGAAGTGCATAGATGCAGCAGGAATAAGGAAAATCTTTTACATATTTTTTAGGTTTATAATGTTTTATTGGCCAGCTGTGGTGGTTCGCGCCTGTAATCCCAGCACCTTGGGAGGCCTGGCAGGAGGATTGCTTGAGCCCAGGAGTTCAAGACCATCCTGGGCAACATGGGGAGACCCTTTCTCTATAAAAAAAATACAAAAATTAGCTGGGCATAGTAGTGCATGTCTGTGGTCCCAGCTACTTGGAGGGCTGAGGTGGGAGAACAGCTTGAGCTCAGGAGGGGGAGGTTGCAGTGGGCCATGATCATGCCACTAAAGTCCAGCCTGGGTGACAGAGCGAGACCCTGTCAAAAAAATAAAATAGGCCAGGTGTGGTGGCTCACACCTTTAATCCCAGCACTTTGGGAGGCCAAGGCGGGTGGATCTTCTGAGGTCAGGAGTTCAAGACCAGCCTGGCCAACATGCCAACATGGGAAAACCCTGTCTCTATTAAAAAAAAAGAAAAAAAAATACAAAAATTAGCTGGGCGTGGTGGCAGGCACCTGTAATCCCAGCTACTCAGGAAGCTGAGGCAGGAGAATTGCTTGAACCCAGGAGGTGGAGGTTGCAATGATCCAAGATCATGCCACTGCAGTCCATCCTAGGTGACAAAAGCAAAACTCTGCCTCAAAAAAACAAATAAATAAGTAAATAAAAATAAAATAGGTGAAATTTTTTTACCGATAGATGTGAACAAAAAGTCATTCTATATGGGGGATAATAAGAGAAAAGATGGAGGGATGGGGTGATGTGGCAGGCATGGCTTAGGTAATCAAAGCAGACAAAGAAGCAGGAAGATCGGATTGACAAAGGTGAAGAGCCTGGGCAGAGCTGCTGAGAACCAGACAGCTGGGGCCCTGGGTGTGGCCACACGGCTGGGCAGAGTCCCAAGTGCAGAGTTCTTGGGGACTGTCCAGTTCCATCCCTGCAGGCTCTGAGTTTGAGTTCCCCTACATTCCACAGATTGGTGAAAGCCCGCGGTTGCGTTCCTGCCTGGCTTCTGCTTCTCCCCACCTCATTCTCTCCCTCCTACACAGTCTCCATCCTCCTCCTACTTGCTGCCGTGCTTGTGCTTGTGCTCTCTGTTGGCCTCTTTGCTGCCACCAGCATGACATGATGCAAGTGGTATCCTCTCCTTAGCATGTGCATTTAATACATAGAAGAAATGGTGTGGAGCTTCCAAAGTCACCTCATATTTGCCATGTTACTTATGACTCTACAAGGTTTATGATTGTCTTTCAAACCACAGAGGATGGCTTCCACTGCTTATCCAATAAAGCATAGCTCAGGTATCATTTCCTGTATTACTCCTCTGAGCCCCATCTTCCACCTACCCACTTACTAAGGCTGGAATAATTATTACTCCTTTGAAACTAGCCCTTACTAGGAAATACTCAGATGGCCTGTAGTGTTTTCCTTCCCACTAGCTCATGAGCTGTTTTTGATCTGTCGTGTATATCTGTGTAATAGTGAGAGATATTATGTCCTGCACATCTCCTGTGTGCCAAGCACTCTGCTAAATACTTTGTGTGCATTGTCTCATTTGAGGATAGTCATTGAAGAAACTGAGACTTAGAGGGGTAAAGTAACTTCCCCTAAGTCTCCTAGCCAGGTTTCAGGCCAGGTTGGTCTGACTCTACAGCCTGTATCACCACCCACTACCCAATACATTCGAAAGAACTTGGCACACAGTTACCCAATGTATGTTGGGTGAACTCAACTGAAAGAAGGAAAATAGTGTGGAGAGAGGAGAGGAGCAGGCACACCCCAGAAACAGAAGCTCAGAGCTACAGTTCAGGCTCTCGGTCTTAAGCTGGTTCTTGTGTCAATGGCTAAACCATTGGAATGAATTGCTCTCAGAAGCGTATGAGAAATCTGAAGGATGTGACCAACCTACCATAAGATAATGTTAGGACAATCTTAGAGCTCCTTGTGACTTTGGTTTGAAGAATATATATAAAAATAAAGCTGTGTATAGTGTCTGGCACTAAATAATTATGGCTGTCATTCCAGAAGCAACTGATAATGCCTCTGTTGTCACCAAAATGGAGACCTCCAAAGCAACTAGAGAATGCACAAGACAGCTCAAGTCTAGAAGACCATGGATCTAAGAGTACTCAGAGCCTTAGCAGAGAACAAGTCATCCCTGCCACTTAGGCATTTTCCTCAAAAGGCCAATGTAATAATTATTTAGCCATCCTTTACCTCTGTTGGGTACTCACATCAATTTCCAGGAAAGGTGACAAGGAGTTTTTAAGCTAGATGTCGTCAAATGTGTTTAAACTTGTTCAAAACCTCTCTCGTCCCCTGTAGTAATTCACCATACATGTTTAACAAGAATTAAGAGCCCCCAAGTATTGAATCAGTAATTTGTGCTGTCTGTCAAATAATGTCTCTCTTCTAACCTGGAACAGATGACCTTGCCCAAACCACTTTAGTCAAAACAACAACAATGCCCTCCTGCCCCCATTTTCTTCTAGTTTTTGTTTGATTAAATATAGAGACCACAGCTATTCCGTAGCATCGAAGAGGCTAGAAGGAATGTTTTGCCAGAAACATAACTTGTCAGGTACCTCAGGCTAAGACCCTGGGAATCTTAAGAAGATACAGATACATAACTTGAATTGCATCTGAGCTTGGGTTGGCAGCCACTGCTGAGTAGAGGGAGAGGGTGAAGTGAGATGTGCTGACCTATATGAATGGTCTAATAGAAGGGGAATGATCCAATTAAGCACTGCCCTAGATTCCTCCTGCAGCATTCCTCTGATCTCCATTGTGTATTCACGGCTGGGGCTGGGGACGCAGGAGGCCCCAAGAGTCAAAGGAGCCGTGCCCGATAGGAGTTGCTCCTTCCAGAGACAGTGGCTGCATTGAGCAGATGATGCGGAACCAAGGACAAGTATTCCTGAAATATGTTTTGAAAATTCCTATTGAATGCATATATTCAGCAGCATACCAGGGCCCTTAGTAACAGCCCGTTGGGTGTTGTGACAACAGCGTGGGTGTGATGACAGCAGCATGTGTGGGATGTGACGATATGTGGAGGCGGAGCTGCGTGAGCTTGAGGTTGGGTTTTGATTTCAGTGGGAGCTCTGCACATGGTAGGGCTGCTGGTTGAGGTCTTCGCGGAGGGGATCACCTTAACGAGAGGCGACTTCACACAGGAGGCCCCCCTTCCTGACAGGGTGAAGGGTAAAAATGCAGCTCCAGAAACCAGAGTGCTTCCAACTATTTAAAGTTCCCCTTTTAAAAAGTTTGGACATTCAAGATGGCTCTCAGAATGTATTTAGGGGTTTCTGATTTCTATATGGAAAATGTATTCTCAAAGGCTATTTCTATAGACTGGAAAAATATGGCTTTTTTGGTGCAAATCTAATAATAAAGCCTATCTGAAATAGTTCATATTATCTGTATTCACTAGGAATTTATTCTTCATGTTAGAAGAGGAGCTTGGTTTCTTGGCTTCTCTTCTGTGACTATACACTCTCAAAGTAGGAGCACCCTTTAAATGTTATTATTCTTTTTCAAATTATGTCTCTGCATTTACCTTAGTAATATAAAAACCTTGGCAAGTTAACACCAAAACAGCAGCCGTTAGTTGTTAAAGAAAAATGAATATAGGAAAGTTCTTTTTGAAAAAAATCCTTAAGATGAAAATGTGATTACTTTCATGAAAGTAGGCTTCCATTCGATAAAATAATTTTGTCAAATCATTTAGTCATTGTAGGGAGTTGGAATGATTTAAATGTTTTATAATGCACTGTTGTTTTCCACGAAACTCTAGTGTGGCCCTGTTCCCTGGCCACAGGAATGTAAGAACTTCTTGGCAAATACCCTGACTAGGATCGGATGGGGCAATGTATAATTAATGTCAAGTGTTACTGCCCTTCTCCAGTGCCACCCACCCACTGACCAGCATCAACTTCTTCCTGTTCTTTCTGTATTCAGAGCTTGGTTTATACCACTTTGGTTCCAAATATATCTGGATAAAATGCTGATTTCCTCTTTTGAGAATATACCTGACAAGGATCAGATTCATGTAACAAGAGGTAACTTTCTCATATCTTTGAATGGGTTCAGAATAAACCAACATTTTTTGCAGTTAGAGAAAATATTCAAGTTAGTGAATTTTTTTTTAAAAGAAGCTTCTACACTGTAGCTACTTTTGGGTGATTTTTGTTGTTGTTCTCAGTTTTTTAGCTTTCTCCTTGAGCCTTGCTTCACAAGTATTGGGAGAGAATGTCTGGCAACTGTTACTGAAACTGCAGGCTTTTTTCTCTTTCTTTCTTGTTTCTGTAAACTTACTAGACAGGATTAAGCCCAAAGAACTGATAAAGTAAAAAGGTGTTTGTACATTAAATGAAAGAAGGAATAAGAGTACGATTCCTGGATTTCTTAGAATAATACTGAACAGGGATCAAAGTGGAAACCATGAGATTCAAATCCATTATCATGAAGCTGAATTGTCTAATGAGGAAAATCATAATGGTGAAAACCAAAATTCCAAGTCAATCCTAGGACCAATTTTATTTTATGGAAGTAAAGCTGAGAATTTTAATGAAGTAGTTCTTCCTGTGAGGTTCCTGGGAAGGAAATTTTAAAAGTCAAATTTAGGAATGAAATTTAAGGGTAGATTTTAATGGGAGTGATATTCAGCAGGTTGGTGTTAGTGTGCCTTAGTATGTCCATATAGGTTGTTAAAATATTGAAATACTTCCATGTTGCCAATTATCTGCTATTGGTAAGTAGCTATGGCCTTAAGTCCTCAGTGCCCTCCTCCAACCCCGTGCCTAGGTCCCTCTCCTGAGACCCCATTCACCTCCACAAGACCCAGCTACTCAAGGGATCACACCCAGTGCAACAAGGGAGTATCTCAGGCTCTGCCCCAGCCCAGGGTGGCAATTAGTTCTGCTCAGTTGGTGCCCATGCACTCCCTACCTGTTAAGTACTTTGCATATCATGCCTATCCTGATGGAAATTATGTGAATAAAAACAGCTAAAATAGGGATACTTCAATGGAGAGGAGAGTCAGGCAAATACAAATATTACACCAAAGAAAAAGCCAAGAATGGTATTTAAACCCAGACTTAAATAAATTCTGAGCAAAGCCTTGGCGTCATAGGGACGTGGGAGATGTTCTTTTCCTCCCCCATCTTTTTATTTTGGCGGCATATCTTTTTTGTACCAAATCTCTTAGGCTGGAAAGTATAAAATGAAATTCCCTTGTGACAGCATCACCAATGGAAATATGAGAGGGTGCCTAAGCCTAAGCGGTTCATTCGAGATGAAGATTCAACTATGCATGTAAGAGTGTAAGAGTGTGGAGGCCACACAGCCCCTGGGGGCAGCCTTGTTGGCCCTTATCCTAATGGGGTCCTTGGGAGGGCTGCAGCCTCCAAGGGCCTGGGCTTGGACACCAACCTGCAGTGTATTGGATTGTTGATTGTCATGTAGATAGTAACATCTGAAGGGAGGTGGTTTTTGGTTGTTGAAATTTCTTTCTGTGTGTTTCTAAGCTGGGGTAGATCTCTTTAGTATTCTCGCCATTTTCCATTTGAAAACAGATATCTGACTGCACAGTCATCGTTTCTATCCCTTTCAGTGCCCTTGATGAGCTAGAAAAGGCCAGAGAGGATTATGAAAAAAATCTAATTTATGGATATAATATGTCCTGAGGAAAACTCAACTTCAAAGAATTCCCAATGCAAGTTAAAGATGTCAGGGCTAAAAGAATGTTTGAGTAGCAATATATTTATTGTATTAGAGAATCAAAGATTTGGGAACATTAAGAGACCTTGGTTTCATTTGGTAAATGTTGTTACTCGGTACACTGCGTGTGATTCCCTACTCAATAAAATGTTCTGTACAACTCCTGGAATTTGAATCTAGCAGCCCCTGTACTGTTTCCTTGTTTAAATAGATGCCCAAATGTGTTTGCATATACATTTTTCTATACTTGAAACATATGTCATCATAGAGAAAATATCAGTGGCTGTAAACATAGAGAATGTTATCAGCTCCAGTAACCCACATAGGAACGGTAGGAAGAGAATAATTATCTGGTAAGACGGAATGCAATAGAAACTCCCCAAGACCTCCGAATATGGGCCCCATGCTCGTTCCTGCCTCCACACCAGGACTGTTCTGCCCCCTCCCTTCCTGCCATGAGGAGCACCTGCTCCCTCCCCCTCCCACTTAGCAAACTCTTCCTCTTTCATGTCCACATTTCCAATTTCTTTACATCCTCAGCAAAGCAGGGACTATATTGTACACTTAGGAGGTGTTCAAAAGATACCTGACTGAATGAATGATTGATAACTCTGGGCAGATTTCAGTTATTCTTTCTCCATGTAATGGAAGATGAGAGGTTCCAGTTCTTACACTGGATTAATTTAGGTTCACCTGTTTTAAAGAGGCCCTATTTAAAGTCTTCTATATCACCAACTGGGACCTGTTTTAAATAGACCACACTGTATATTTTCGATTGCCCTTTTGTGCCTAATCTCCTGCGGCACATTTATTTATTCCGTTTGACTTTCGGTTTTTAACTGAACAATGCTCCATGACAACAAGATAGAAACACGTGCTGTTCACAGATCTGAAGATTTTAAGGGTATTTGTCTCACTGCTGAGCCTGAGTCTGCCCACTGGAGAGCATGTCCCATCGTCATTCATTTGTACCAGTACATGGATCCTTTCTGACATGGGTCTAGACATTTAATCCATCTTCTTAAACTCTAAAAACAGCCAGTGAACTTTGATTTGGATGACACACTCAGACATTAAACCTCAGCTTCTCATCCATCCGTCCGTCCATCCATCTCATATGTACTGAACATCCACTATGTTTTAGGTTATGTGTTGGGGCTAGAGAGATATGTACATCACCCCCCTTGACCACGGCCAGGTGGTGTACAGAGACACGTTGTAGTCTCACATATTATCAGTGTGATAAAAAAATAAAAAAAACTATAACAGATATATGGGCAAAGCATTCTGGAAGTGCAAAGGACAGACACGAAATTTGGAGAGCACTTTAGGGGAGGAAATGACGGTGGTTTTTCAGAGGAAGATAAGAGGTTAGGGCCTTTTAAGGATAGGGAATAACCTCAGCAGAGGCACAGAGCACCCCTGGGCCTGTCTCTGGAGGTTGTGAACATACCTCGCACTCCTGGTTTGGGCTGCTCTGGACTGCCCTGAGCTGAGGCTGCCCCAGAGCCCAATGGGGACAAGTCCCACATTCTCTCTAGGTCAAGGGAGGTCTGGTGTCAGTGTCTGCTGCAGCAACAGTGAGCCTCCTAAACATGATGGCCTTTGACTCCCAACCTGTACTCCTGGCTCCCAAAACCTTCGCCCTGACCGCACAGCCCCTGAGAGAGTAGTAGTTTGACCAGAGACCAAGTTGCTAAATTCCCCAAATCAATCTCACAACCTCTCCTTCCTGAGCCTTTGCAAGTGTAAACTTCCTTACCATCAGATAGCTGTGAGTCTCTAGATAGATAGCTGTGAGTCTCAGAGCCAGCCCAAGCAGAGCGGGCAGGAGGCTTTGTGACCTGCACCTTTGTATGAGGAGATGGGATCCAGATGGCCCTTCTGCCTGCACCAAGGCATGTTTTTGGTAGGGTTGCACATGGTAGAATTCTAGGGTCATGCCGCAAACACTGAGTAGGATGAACTGGCTAAATGTTTCCATCTCCAGTTGAAGCTGAATCCTATCTCTAAGCATGAGCTGGCTTGGACTCCAAGGTCCTGCCTAAACTACCTCTCTCCTAGTGGTGGGAGGACCACTCGACCTCTCCACAGCCACAGCTTCCCAGATCTGCATAGGCTGCAGCTCTCACTGGGCACCATTGTCTTGTGGGGAGGCACAGTCCTACTGTGGCTTTACTATAAAGTCATTTAAATCCATGATCTGTGTGTGTTAATATACATCTACAGACCATGCATATTAATCACGGCTTGAAAGAATGCCATCGTTAGTCTTTTCCTTGCCTAATACTCTTATTCTTCTCTCTTTAAAAATAAGAAAATGTAAAATGCCATTCAAATGGAAGATGTCATCATGGTCTGTGATTGCTATTTCTGTGTTGAAGAAGAGAGTGGATGGATAAATGATTGGCATGTCCTGTTGGGACAGAGTGACCTAGGACCCCATTCTATTGAGTCCTAATCTTCACTACCCTTGTCTGTTGCCACCTCTGATTCAGGGATTGAGAAAACATCCCTCCATACAGATACACAGATCACAAAAGGAAGTCTTTCAAATTCGGTTTTATGATCATATTATCAAGAAGCAAAAGTAACTATGTGAGTTGAAGGTAGGCCCACTTAACATTGTAAAAATTAGGTTACAGCTGCAAATGAAATCAGCAATAAGATAATCCAAGAAGAAATGTAATTCTTCAGGGTTCCACAAATTTTAAATTTGTCCGGTTGGTGTCATATCACAGCTACTGTGTAATATTTTGGCATGTGTAGCAAAACACAACTTTATGAATGTGTGGCATTTTAAAAACTAACAGCCTAAAGTGCAGAATTTGTGACTGCTAGATTGGGGAACGGAATTCCTTTTTTACAGCTTGCTCTATTGAGAAATAATTTTATTAACCTTTATATTCATTAAGGATAACTAATTTTTAAATAGTCTAATATTCTGAATTTTTTTTTGTAAAAAATATATTTAGAATTAGGTGATCTTGAGTAAAAGGAACACAACATTTAGTAAAAGTGTACATTTGTTTTCTGGCTACACAGACATGCATCCAAGTGGCAGCTTGAAGCTCAGCCCTCTGGAGTGGAGTGGCTGCTGGAGCAAGTCGTCACTTCAGAAAACTGTCATCCTCACAGAGAGAGGGCTACACTGACCCACACCCGGGAATTTGCTTTCTTAAAACAAAACAGATACATGCCTGATCAGTAGCTTTGTATCTTTTTTTTTTAAAAAAAAGATGTTATTTGTACTACCAGAGTTTAATTTCTTGTTGGTATAAAAATTAAAACAAAAATCTACTTATCCTAAGAAATTAATTGCCTCTTAAAAATTTTTTTTCTCCTTCTGTGCTCTAAAAAGAGGTATCTATTTTCAAACTGGTTTAGCTACTCAGGCCTCAAAGCACCTAAGCACTCGTGCCAATTTTCACCAGTTTGGTTTGGGTAGGTAACAAGGTGCCCCTTGATTTTTCCCAGACAGCTCTTAGAATCTAGAGTGTGTTTGCTGAATCTATTTGCACATTCAGTGTCCATGTAGAGTGTAAATGATAGGATTACTGAGCAAAGAAATGGGAAGATATGCTTACATAGTCATTGTTTGTAACATCAAATGATAGCTTTTACATTCTTACTCAAATTCACGTGTTTGGGATTAATAATTGCCAGTTCATGAATATACAGCATGATATTTTATATGCTACTACAAGTGAATTTTGCTTCTACAGAAATGCATTTTCCCTTTTACAATAATTGCCAACCTCTTTTTTAAAAATCACAGGTGTTTCTTTTGTTTGTTTCTTTGTTTCATTTTACTTTTCTGCTTTGTAATCACATTTTAGAGGTGAGATCTAGAGATTATATTTTTTGTTAAGAAACCTGCAGCTGCAAGTCTTATCTTTGAGAATTGTTCCTGTTCTTTTTCAATGTCTCCTTGAAGACACCGAGTCAGAGTCATTTACTAGCCACAAATACAAAATGCATTAGGTTTTAACAGCAGATCTAAATTAAAAACTCAGTAACGTGGAACAAATGGACCCCTAGTTCATTTCCAAACTAAAATCCTAGTTACATTTTATTGTTTCTAAACCTTTCTTACTGCAAACCATCAATCCACCGACTTTCTTCTGGCTCGTTGGAGCTTTGAACTGTACCTTTACGGTGCTATAAATTAGCATGTCACTGAGATACACTGTAATTTGCATTAATTTCTTTAGAGTCGAGGTTGTCTGTCTTTGAAGACATCTTTACAATACTTAGAATTCACTCAGAAAAGCAATGCCCAACTAAAAGATGTAAAACATAAATTTAAAAAATACGTTTTGGCTTTTATCTCAGGATGGAAACAAAAGTGGTCAAAGTTATGTGTGCAGTTCTGTGATCCAGAACTCACATTCTACTACTTCAGTGTTATTGCTTAAGGCACAGACGTTTAGTGACAGGAAGGAGAGGGAAGAGCACAGCCCTGCTCTCACCCACCTGAAGACAAGGAGCCATTTTAAAGATATTGTTACAGGGGGAAATGGCCAGGGTCATAAAATTGTCAATGAAATGCACCATCATCAGGCCTTCCGTGGGATGCATGGCAGGAAAAGCAAAAGGTCTCAGCCAAGGAGGACAGGGCTTCTCCAGCACTGGGTGGGCTGGGCCCAGGCGAGGTTTGCAAGAGTGGCCCTGACCAGGTGCTGCAAATGGGCCCTTTGAGCCTCCTCAGAGCAAGTGTGCAGCGAAGCCCCTCTGTCCTCTGTCACAGAGCCGGGTGTCATGATAGGGAGAGAGAGAGAGAAGAGTTAGAGAAGAGGCAGTGGATAATTGGAGGGAGCCTCTTGAGAGAAAAAAGAAAACCCTCAGTTCCTCCCCTGGGAACCTGAAATACTAGAAAGCGAGCCCCTGGATGCATCAGGAGCTGTCTGTCTAGGGCGGCACCTGTCTGAGAGACCGTGTCTGCCCTGGTCCTGGCTCAGCCCTGCACCCAGCTCCTTGCTCTGCCTTGCTCCAGGCTGTATCCTGCAGAAGCTGATCCTTCTGTGGAATTTGTTTTCCAACCTTCAAAAACAAAATTACTTGGGAAGGTAAAAGAAAACCAAAGCCTTCAGTCCTTGGGCAGCATGCCGCCAAGCTCCTTTAACTCCAGCTCTGGGTTTTTGTGTCCCTTTGAAATAGACACGGTTTGGGTTGAACCTGCACTTCCTAGCATCTGGAGAAGAGAAGGAAGAATATACTATTTTTAAAAGGAACATTCTGGAAAGTGTACAAAACCTAATCATTAAAAAAATAAAAGCCAAGTCCTCAGCTGCACAAACAGCCCTTGTTCTCCTCCAGCAAGGTCTGTCAGGAGTGCCCACCTTCCTCACCCTGAGAAGAGCAATTAAGGAGACCAGGAAGCATCGCTGAGTTGGTCTGCTCTCTCCAAAGCCTTTTCAATCACCTCCTTTGATCTAGTTGCGGGGGGTGGGTAGCCCAGCCTGCTTCATGCCTCAGCCGTATTTGTAGGCACTGTGTTAGAGGAACGCTTTCTCTCTCTTAACATATTTTTTTGAATCCGAGTGTACACATCTGTCTTTATACCCAGCCGCTTTTCTGGCCCCAAACAAGTTCTCTGTGAGTTTCCCCAACTGAGCTCAGTGGGATCTCTGTCAGCTGCAAGATTTATGTCATCTTGTCCAGTCCTGAGAACTGTTCCTTCAGCTTTTCACATCTGGATGTAATTGGAAAGACATTAAGTGCACTGGAAAAGCATATTTTAGGGCAGTTCTTTATAGACACCCCTATTAAAGAAGCTGACGGCTGTAGGTTCAAGTGGGATGAGCCAAGACAACATTTCAAAAAGTAGAAAGCACAAAATTATGAAAGAGCTGCTGGAAATGAGAAGGCCCTGTTCAAGGATTACGTTTATAGGGTTGCTTTGGGAGAGAAATGTGGCATGATGCCTGCCAGCTACAGGCTTTGCCGGCAGCGTGTGGATCAGCACACGGATAACTGGGTTCTTCAGTGTTTGTGAGGATGGATTCCTCCTGGGCCTGGTCTCCACATCCTCATGTGCTGGCATTAGGGTGTGTATACACAAACATCCTAAAAGAGCAGGAGGGTGGCTGGTAACTACAAATGCCGTCACCTTCTTGCCTCACTGTCTCCTTTAGGGCAACCACACCCTGAGATGTCTTGATACATAACAATAGAAGCATCTAATCAGCTTGGAGCAAAAACAGCACACACACTTGTGTGACTTTGGCAAAATCCCTCACTCCCCAGCCTTCTCCTGGTTTTGCACACATTGTTAGGTTTCAAATAAACACACCCAAGATTGAAGGCAGAGGGTACTTGAGATGATCAGCATTATACAGGTTTTCAAACTTGTGACTTGTGTTCAGAAGGATGATGAAAATCAAAGAACATTTGTCATCAGAAGAATACCAATACTTTGCTTTTCTTTACCTGTATTATATTTTGAAGCCCTGAACTTTCCAGTTGCTCCAGAGCAGTTGAACTTTTCTGAAGTCCTAGCCCCCAAACGTCTTATTACTAGAGGGTAAAATGAGTCTTTAGTTTCCTCTCCTTGGACTCCACCTCATCTCATCCGTGGCTTTGGTTAAACAGGGATTCTTAACCTTTTTTGAGCCATGGACTCTTTGGCAATCGGGTGAAACTTATGCACCTCTTCACAGAAGAATAGTTTTAAACTACATAAGATAAAAATGTGTGCAATTTTCCTAAGTTATGTCGACATACAACTATCACAATATTTTGAAAGTAAGTTTTTGCTCTAGTCATAAATGTGTTTAAAACATTGGCTAAAAAGATCTCCAGTTGGTTTAATAACTTCTAATATACTTCCAATATTTCTAATATTGTGCCTAAAGAAGTAAGTTTCTGTTACTTATTAATACATATTTTAAAATGTCTAAATTCATAAAGCCCCCAAATCCATGCATCCAAATTTACCCATCCTCTGTTGGTTTGAAGGCCATTTGGTTGTCCACTGATCCCTTGCCTCTGCCAGCCCGGCATATCCTGCTGCCTTTGTCCAGGACTGCCTCTTGGAAGGTATCTGGCCCTCCCTGTAGCCCTGGTGGGGAAGTGCTGCTCCCTTCTGAGTCTGCAGAAGGTGCCCAACGGGCTGGGTCCAGATAGTGACCCTGCAGAGCTCCTCCTGCCAGAGGCAGGAGTAGTGAGGGGGCTGCCAGGAGAGGTGTCTCCCCGCCTCACCCCCACCCTAAGCCCTCCTGGGCCTCAGGAGTCCAGAGAGCCAAGCAGCAAAAGTGGTTGTAACAAGAAAGGGGTGGGCTGGTGTAGGAGCTTAGTCAAGAGGGAGCTTAATCTGTCCTGCAGGCCTCTTGCCGGTGGTCCCACTGCCCACCCAGCCCCAGGGCAGACAGGCCTTCCAAAAACAAATCTGAGCTCGCTGCTGCCCTGGTTCCAGTTGGTGCCTGGGAGAATCTGTGCCCCTGGAAATGACACAAAAGCCTTGTTACGGACTGGATTGTGCCCCCACCTCTGTAATTCATCCGTTGAAGCCCTAACCCCCAGTACCTCAGAATGTGGCTGTATTTGCAGATAAAATCTTTGAAAGAGGTAAAGTGGCGATAAGATCATAAGAGTTGGCCCCAATCCAATCTGCCTGGTGTCCTCAGAAGAGGGGATCAGGACACAGAGCAGCCAGGTGTGCTGCCCAGAAGGAAGGCCCTGGGAGGACGCAGCCAGAAGGCCGCCACCTGCAGGCCAAGGAGGGACCCATCCTGATGCCTGCTCTTGGACTTCCGGCCTCCAGAGCCCAGGGAGAACTGGCTGCTGTTGATTCAGTGGCGGTCTGTGGGATGGTGCTGCGACGGCCCCAGCAGATGCTTGCGGCCTAACTCGCCCGGCCCCTGCCCGCCGCCCTCCCACTGCGGGGACACGGAGCTGCGCGGTCCCTGCTCGAAGGCCGCTGTTGGCTGGCCCAGGCCTCTCACCCAGCTCGGCCCTCTCCCGGCACCTTGCTCCTGCGCCGGGGGCCGACTCCAGCTCATCCTTGAGGAAAACCCGGGCTGCCCCTCGTCCAGGAAGTCTTCCCAGCCCCAGCCGGGCTGCAGGCCCCTCCTCAGAGTACCCGCTGTCCGCGCGCACGTGGCGGTGGGAATATTCCCGCGCTGAGCACTGGCCCCTAGCGCCCACGGCAGGGACCGGCTGTCCACTTGCGTTCCCACAGTGCAGGCACGCGACGTCCCGAAAGGGCTGGGTGAACACATACCCTGAACCATCGCTCCAGCTGGATTGTCGTTGCTCTGTCCACCAACTCTGATTTGGGAAACAGATAACCAGGGTTCAAGGCCAGGTGGGTCATCTTCCAGCCCCGTGACGTGGATGAGTCCCATGACCTCACTGAGACCCCAGTTTCTGAGCAACTGTGAGCTCAGGAACACATCAGTGTCGCTCAGTCCTTTTAAGACTTGTGTCTCCTAGCCGGGCGTGGTGGCTAATGCCTGTAATCCTAGCACTTTGGGAGGCCGAGGCGGGCTGATTGCCTGAACTCAGGAGTTCTAGAACAGCCTGGACAACAGGGTGAAACCCCGTCTCTACTAAAATACAAAAAATTAGCCGGGCGTGGCGGCGTGCGCCTGTAGTCCCAGCTACTCGGGAGGCTGAGGCAGATAATTGCTTGCACCTGGGAGGCAGCAGTTGCAGTGAGCCAAGATCGCACCACTGCACTTTAGCCTGGGACAGAGCGAGACTCCAAAAAAAAAAGACTTGTATCTCCTTTTAGCAAACGTTAAAATCTTATATCCTTCCTTCCCAAAATGGTCCCTGACCCATGAATTCCTGTAAGCCAATATGATTATGCCAACATTTGCCTTCTCTAGTTTAACACTCATGGGTACCTGCAGCTGGGAGGGAGAGGATCAGTTTATGGCAGGCCCATTTTAGGATTTTGCCTAGGGTCCTCCTTGGGAGGGTCCAGTCACTTTGCACCCGGGTTAGTCCAGTGTAAAGTCAAACTAGAATTGTTTTGGGAATGGGTCGGTGGTGGAAACGAGGAAGTGAAGTTGGAAGATGTTGGCTAAAAATCCCATCGATGGATGCCGTAGCCAGTGTGTGCACTCATGGGAATGTCCCGGTGTGTCTTGAGAGGAAAGACTAGCCCTGCTGTCGCTTTCCAGAGGGTGGTAAGATAGATCCTCTCATGTTAGATAATCTCACTTCATTTCCTGATAAAGATGAAGTGTCCCCTAGCCACCCAGAGGGGGGAGGAAAAGGAAAACGACTGCTAACTTTCCATAAGCCTGGTGTCCCCACCAGTACAGGTGGGAGGCGCCCTGGTTCTTCCAGGGGTTCCACCTCGTGGTCAGCGAGGTTCCTTCGGGTCCCTTCCCTTCCAGGCCCTTGGGGATGCAGCTGCCCTCCTGTTCTCTTTAAAGCTGCTTTTACCCACAACTTGTTACAAATTTTTAAGAAAGCAATTTGACATTATCTATCAAAATCATATATTTGTCTTATAGATGTAGTATTTGCACAAAATGTTTGTAGAGGAATATCCATTGCAGCATTTTTGGTAAGAACTGGACACAATCTAAATATTTATTATTATGGGACTGATTAAATCAATTATGGCACAGCCATATGATGCAATGCCATGCAGCTATTAAAAAGAATGAGATCGAGCTGTTTATGGTGTCTTGAAAAGATGTCCAAGATGTATTATTATTATGTGGGAAAAAAAAGTTGCAGAAGAGTTAGCATAGTGATTCCATTTGAGGAAAAAACCAAAAGTCCATATATGTGTATATAAGAATATAATAATTGGCTGGTTGCGGTGGCTCATGCCTGTAATCCCAGCACTTTGGGAGGCCGAGGCGGGCAGATCACGAGGTCAGGAGTTCGAGACCAGCCTGGCCAATACGGTGAAACCCTGTCTCTACTGAAAATACAAAAATTAGCCGGACGTGGCAGCACATGCCTCTGTGTAGTCCCAGCTACTTGGGAGGCTGAGGCAGAAGAATTGCTTGAACCCGGGACGCGGAGGTTGCAGTGAGCCGAGATCTTGCCACTGCACTCCAGCCTGGGTGACAGAGCAAGACTGTGTCTCAAAAACACAAACAAACAGAAAAGAATATAACAAATAAGATGCACACCACACTTGACTGTTCATAGTAGTTATTCTGTGACATGAGATTGGAGTTGATTGAAGGGTGAGACAGTATGGGGGACTTTCCTTTAACATTTAAATAGTCTTAAACACTTTACAATGAGAGTTATTAATTTTAAAATTAAAAATAGGCACAATGGCTCACGTCTGTAATCTCAGCACTTTGGGAGGCCAAGACAGGAGGATCACTTGAGGCAAGGAGTTCGAGACTAGCCTGGGCAACACAGTGAGACCCAGTCTTTAAAAAAAATTAAATTAAATTAAATTAAAAATGTAAAATACTGTTTTTCCAAAAGCACAGTTTTAATTTTGTTCTTGTTTTACCTTGCATTTAGATATAATTAAACATTCACAGAATGTAGTAGAAATAGTACAGAGAGGTCCCACGTACTCTGCACACAGTCTCTTCCAGTGGTTACATCTCACTGACCTGTAGGACAGTACCAAAACCTGGAGATCCATATTAGTAGAACACACCTTATGTTGCAGCTCTGTTCCATTTTATCACGTGTGTAAGATTTGTGCAACCACTCAGCGATCGAGATACAAAGCTATTCTGTCACCATGAGGCTCTCCCTCGTGCTGTCTATTCTCCCCTCACACCTACTTCCCCACCATCCCCAGCCCTGGCAACCATGAATCTGTTCTCCATCTCTATGCTTTTATCATTATAAAAATGTTACATAAATGGAATCATAATAACATGACTCTTTGAGATGGACTTTTGTTCACTCAGCTTCATGTCCCTGAGGTCCATCCAAGTTATATCAATAGTTTGTTCCTTTTGATGGCTGAGTAGTATTCCATGGTATGGATGCACCACAATTTGTAACCCACCACATGCTTAGGGATATTTTGGTTGTTTCTAGTTTTGTGTACAGGTTTTTTTATGGATATAAATTTTCATTTCTTTGGGATAAATGCCCAGGAGTATGATAGCTAGGTTGTATGGTAAGTGAATGTTTAGTTTTTTATGAAACTGCCACGCTATTTTTCCAGAGTGGCTGAGCCAGTTTACATTCCCATCAGAAGTGGCTGAGGATCTAGTTCCCCCGAATCTTCTCTAGCGTATGGTGGTGTCACTACTTTTTATGTCAGCTGTTTTAACAGGTGTATAATATGGTCTTAGTAGCCAGTGATATTGAGCATCTTTTCATGTTTGCCATCCGTAAATCCTCTTTGGTGAAATGTCTCTTCATGTCCTTTGCCCATTCTCTAATTGGATTGTTTGTTTCCACTGTTGAGTTTTGAGAGTTCTTCATGCATTCCAGATACTGGCCCTCTGTCAGATATGTGGTCTGCGAATATTTCCTCCCTGTTGTAGCTTGTCATTTTCCTTCTCTTATAGAGTCTTTCACAGAGCATAAGTTGTAATTTGATGAGGTCCAATGTATCCATTTTTCCTTGATGGTAATTGTGTTTTAAAAAATAAAGCTTAAAATTTTGTTTTTTGTTTTGTAATTTTGCACTTTTTTTGTTTTGTAATTTTGTTTTGGGGGCTTTGTTTTGTGTTTTGTGATTTTGTTTTTGTTTTTGTTTTGCTTTGTACTTTCGTATAAAAAAATGAATAAGGGACTGCTGCCGCCATCTCTTCCTTAGGATTCATCCTCTCCTAGCCTGACTGCAAAGTGGAGTGCAACCCTGCAGAAACCCCTTCCTCTCTGGTCCCTGAATATTCATGTGGGGGCTGTTCCTGTTTTAAGTGAAATAAAATGGAGACAGAATAAGATTCTGGATTTGTCTAAAGTTCTATAGTCCTGCTCACTCACTTGTAAATTCTGACTTCTTTCTTGGCTGATAAGGACGTCTGGTTCGAGTTTGGCTCTCTTTTTATTCATGAGGTTGGGTTTCACTAGAAACCCTCCGCCCTATTCTTTGTCTTCCAGGAACACAGCCTCCCCATCTAGGCGCTCCTTCTAGAGGTGAAGAGTGCGAGGATGCCTTCCTCTGAAGGCTTCTCCTAGCTTGAAGACACAATGAGAGTTAACAAAGTATGTGCCCCTTGCCTACTGTTAGCATGTGGTCCCTGTGTCCTCTGGAAGTGTCTTCACAGGGAAGCCATCTTGAGGAGGGGAGAAAAATGCAAGTATTTCTTGGCAATATTAAAACACAGAACACCAGTCTTAACATCACCAGGTCACTGTGCTGGGCTTTGTGAGCCAGACAGCCACATCCACTGACTACAAATGGAGCATCAACTCCATGCCAGTGTTAGTGTTAAAGATACTGAGATACATAAGACCTAACTCTATCCTGTTCTAGGAACTTACAATTTACCATGGGGGGATAGAACAGAGATTCCTCAGCAAGTGAGTACAATGTCATGGTACCATTTGCAGTAGAAACTAATTACTCACACCTGCTTCCTCAGAATTCTCAGCTCACAGCTACACTCCTCAGCCTCTCATGGAGTTAGGTGTGGTCATGTCACTGGGTTCTGGTCAATGGAATATGAGGGCTTTCGCTCTTCATTCTTTTTTTTTTTTTTTTTTGATGGAGTTTTGCTCTTGTTGTTGCTTAGGCTGGAGTGCAATGATGCGATCTCGGCTCACTGCAACCTCCACCTCCTGGATTCAAGCGATTCTCCTGCCTCCACCTCCAGAGTATCTGGGATTACAGGTGTGCACCACCATGCCTGGCTAATTTTGTATTTTTAATAGAGACGGGGTTTCTCCATGTTGGTCAGGCTGGTCTCGAACTCCCGACCTCAAGTGATCTGCCCGCCTCGGCCTTCCAAAGTGCTGGAATTACAGACGTGAGCCGCAGCACCCAGCTGTCACTCTTCATTCATAATATCCTCCTATGCACTACCTTCCATTTTATTTTCTCTTCCACTGGCTAAAAGGAGAGGACGATAATGCTAGCCTAGAGGAGAGCAGAGTCACAACATGGAAGGAGTCTGGGTCCCTGACTGACCAGGGTCTACTGCCCAGGAACACCTACTTGGGCTTTCCATAATCACTGAGGTTCTGGAGTGTTTGTTTAGCAGTTAGCTAACTTTAACTGGTATCCAGATCACAAATCACAAGTCACTACTTTTTTTTTTTTTTAAGAGACAGGGTGTCACTCTGTCACCTAGGCTGGAGTACAGTGGAGCAATCTCAGCTCACTGCAGCCTCAAACTCCTGGGCTCAAACAATCCTCCCACGTTAGCCTCCCAAGTAGCTAGGACTACAGGCATATGCCACCACACCCAGCTAATTTTTATTTTTTAAAGGCAGAGACTTACTATGTTGCCCAGCCTGGTCTCAAACTCCTGGCCTCAAGCAGTCCTCCTGTCTTGGCCTCCCAAAACATTGAGATTACAGTGTGATACGCTGCACCCAGCCACTACTTTCTTTGAAGTCTAAAAAGGCTTCATTGAGAAGGTGCCTGATTTCCCTTGGGGCTCATCCCACATTACATCTCAGACACTATGACTACTACTTACATTTACAAATTAGGATATTGCCTTGTTGCTTTCTATGCATGTATTCATTCATTCGTTTTCCTCCTTTGAAATGTCATTTTACCCTTATTTGGCTAATAATACTAGCTATACAAAGCACTAAGTTGCATGCTGCCAAATTCCAAATAGCTTATTGCTTTTAGAAACCGCTTCTCCCTCCGACTTCCAGCAAATTCTTCTAGCCTTTTGATAAATTAATTCATAACCTTTCCACATATTTATCCAAAGAGGCAGCTTTTTAATTCTGGCACAGTCACCCTTTTTTTTCCTCCTGGGCTTTGATACTACCAGATGCTAGAGGAAAAACATTCGCAATATGCCTACAATCTATTTCAATATATAATTCTATCCAATTGAATGTCAGGCATTTCTAAAGAATGCTGTTGGTTGATATAACATCCCTTGCCCAAGTTGAGGTTTTGATTTGAAGTTGCGTATTGGAATGCTTTGTGTTACATTTTGCCCCAAATTTATAAATCTATCATGGATTCTCCTTTCTATCTTGCTTCCTTAATCGATGAACCATCAAGAATGAAGTTTAGCGTGATATCTTGAGAAAGCAAAAGAAGAAAATCTTCTGCTTTTGAAAGGGAATGTACCCTCAGGCAAAAATTTTAAAAAATTCTCTGTCTCGTAATACATATTAGGAAATGCCAGTTGTCATGCACGCAACTTAAGATGGATTAGGATTCCATCACTGATCATGGAATAAATTCTTATACTTTTAACCTTACAAGTTCATTTGCAGCCAAGCAATTAGAAAAAACTGTGTTTGGCTATATTAGAATGTGTCAACCCTCTTAACAGTACTAGCAGTTTCTAGAAACAATTTAGCAGAATTTTTTCCAAAAGTATTTGGCAGGCCTAACTCATATCCCCATGAGTATACTAAATTTCTTCTCATTTAGGGGTGGAGGTAGGTAAGGGAGACCACTTGTGACCATATTATTCAAACACAGAGTAAATCTCTTCGTATGGTTAAATTGTCTTAATGAGGATATTTTGCAGAAATCAGGATACTAGCTTTTTCTTTGAAATGGTTATTTTAAGTATAGACTTTAAACATTACTTTTTAATTTTTTTTTTTTTTTTTTTTTTGAGACGGAGTCTCGCTCTGTCGCCCAGGCTGGAGCGCAGTGGTGCAATCTCGCCTCACTGCAAGCTCCACCTTCCAAGTTCACACCATTCTCCTGCCTCAGCCTCCCGAGTAGCTGAGACTACAGGCACCCGCCACCACACCCAGCTAATTTTTTGTATTTTTAGTAGAGAAGGGGTTTCACCATGTTCGCCAGGATGATCTCGATCTCCTGACCTCGTGATCCGCCCACCTCGGCCTCCCAAAGTGCTGGGATTACAGGTGTGAGCCACTGCGCCTGGCCTAAATGGGGTTTCTAAAAATTGCCAAACCAAGTTTGGTATTATTAGTGATGTGCTTTCCTTTCAGCTGTAACTAAAAGAAGATATCGTTTACTTCTTGAACTTTACAGTGACTTTGCATTTGTGTTAGTTTAAAAAAAATACTTTCTAGAAAAAAATATTAAAGTTTGTCCTAATAAAGTTTCTTCCAAAGTTGTGATAATATAATTGACATAAAACAAGTTTAAAATACATTAGAGACACATAATACTTAACTTACTTCATTTGAACGGCCAACATTCAGCAGCTACTTACTCCAGACGGATTAGTCTTTAAACATCAATCGTTAGTTCTGGGTTTCAATAAACGGGCGAAATAATCTGCTCCCTAATTGCCATAGAAAACTTCTGAGAATTAATGAAACTGTGTGTAAGAGGTGGCTATATATTCTTCCACATGGGTACTGTTTCTAACCACTCATTCATTCTTTCAGTCATTCAGCCAATAAGTGTCTATGGAGGGTCTACAATTCTAGATGTTGAGTATTCAGCAATGAATAAAGCAGAAAATTTCTGCCTTCATGGAACTTACTTTCTTTCTTTCTTTTGGCTCACTGCAGCCTCCACCTCCCAGGTTCAAGCGATTCTCCTGCCTCAGCCTCCCGAGTAGCTGAGATTACAGGTGCATGCCACCACACCCGGCAAATTTTTGTATTTTTAGTAGAGACAGGGTTTCACCACGTTGACCAGGCTGGTCTCAAACTCCTGACCTCAGGTGATCTGCCTGCCTCAGCCTCCCAAAGTGCTGGGATTACAGGTGTGAGCCACCACGCCTGGCCAGAACTTACTTGCTAATGGAAGACACAGATACTAAACAAGTAAATGGTTAAATATATAATAGAATTTTAGACAGCAATAAAATTTTAATGAAATCTTGCTAAAAGTGAGGCAGCGTGAGGAGCTATGAGAATATAAGGGTAGGAGTGGGGTGGTTCAACTCCTTTAGATCCAGGGGTCACAAGGAGGGGACACTGGAGAAGAGACCTGGATGAAGCGAGTGAGCCATGTGAACTGGGAGGGGTGTCTCCTGTCTAAGGAAAAGCACAGGAAAGTCCTTGAGACAGGAGTGAATTCAGGGAGTTCTAAGAAGAGCCAAGAGGCTGATGTGCTGGAGATCCGGGGGCTGGGAGCATGTGGTAGGCGATGATCCGTGGGCTGGGAGCACGAGGTAGGTAATGAGCCTGGAGCTGTAAATGGGGCAGGATCATGTAGGGCTTTGGGGCTGTAGTCAGGAGTCTGGGTTTTGTTCTAAGAGAAATGAGAAGCCCCTGGAGGATTTGAATAGGGTGGTGACCGGTTCTTATTTACATTTCAAAAAAATCACTCTGGTTATATGCAAAGGGTTGGCTTTGGGTGAGCAGGGATGCACACAGGGATGCACACAGGGGTGCGAGTTAGGAAGGTACAGCTTGTGTCTCTGGGAGAGACTGACAGTGGCTTGGGCTAGAACCATAGCAGAGCATGTGGTGAGAAGTAGCCTCCGAGTACATTTCAAAAAAGAACCAACAGAATTTGCTAATGGGTTTGATGTGGGAGATGAGAGAGAATGAAAGCAAGTGAGGCTGATTGCTAGGGTTTTTGCCTGAGCAACTGGTGGAACGGGGACACCATTTTCTTAGGGAAGAGTGGTTTGGGGATGGTAATCAAGTTTCGTTTTGGGCAGGTTTGAAATGCTTATGAGACATCTAAGTGGAGAAATCCACTAGGCACTTAGACAAGTGAATTCTAGGGCAGGAGGCCAGGCTAAAGATAGGGATTTGGAGCTATCAGTATTTCTAAGGGATTTAAGCCATCGGCCTCAGTGAAATCATCCAGGGAGAGAATTTTGATGGAGAAGATAAGAGGTCCAAGGATGGGCTTGAAAAGTCAGGAAGAAGGAAAAGCCAGCTGCACAGGAGACCAAGAGCTGAAGTAGGAGGAAAAGCAAGATGGCAGCGGTTTCCAGAAGCCAAGCAAAATCTGGTCTTCCCATATTAAGAAAAAAATGGAAGCGGCTGATTAACACCCTCTCAGGTCCTGCACCCTGAGCTTCGCTCTTAAGAGGCTCCAGGACATGGTCGGGCTCTTGATGTATCTTGAGCACTCAGGTGACACGTTCTCTCACTGGACTGAGGTGGGATGATATAGGTAGTTCAGAATTCAGCTCCAGAACCAGGCTGCCTGAGTCCAAATTCCAGATCTATCAGGAGCAAGCCATATGGCCTTGTACAAATGACTTCCTCTAGGTCTCCGTCTCCTCGTCTTTAACTGCGAATGAGAGTCAAACCAACCTGTTGTGGTTACTGTGAAGATTAAGTGAGTTAGGAGATGGCAAGTCCTTAGAACAGAATGAATGCTTCATCAGCAGAAGATGCTTTCCTATTTACTAATTGAGATTTGTACTTGCTCAAGGTCATATGACCGGTAAGAGTTGGAGCTGCTCATTGAGCCCAAGTTTGTTCAGCTGCGAATCTCAGCCTCTTTCCCACCCCTGTCACTGCGGCCTCTACCTCCCGGGTTCAAGCAATTCTCCTGCCTCAGGCTCTTGAGTAGCTGGGATTACAGGCGTGCACCCCCATGTGAGGCTAATTTTTGTATTTTTCAGTAGAGATGGGGTTTCACCATGTTGGCCAGGCTGGTCTCGAACTCCTCACCTCAAGTGATCTGCCCGCCTCGGCCTCCCAAAGTGCTGGGATTACAGGCATGAGCCACCATGCCCAGTCAAATCTTAGCCTCTTAACCAGCTTGCTGTCCTGCCTTCACACAGGATTCAGGGAGCTGGAGATAGTGCTTGACTTTTGCATGCAATGCGGGTGCTGGAGCAGCTCCTGCCAGCTCACGGTGCCAGCTGTGCACATGTCTTCCCAACTGCGCATCAGCCAGGGTGGAGGTGTTAACAGATGCTACACTTAGTGATTTTCTCCCCACGAAGAGTCAGTTGTTAAATATTTACCAGCACAATACTGTCCATGGAGAACCCCCTGGGAAGTCCAGACACATCCATCAGTTAATTCCCATGGTAGGATGGTTTTGCTGATGCAGTCTTCTAAACGGAGACGTTGAGGAACCAGGTATAGAGGCTTTCTCACATGACCAGTGGTGAAGGTCAGGTCCAAATGTGTCCTCCTAACAGCGGGAAGGAAGACAGCTTTTACCAGCAAATCAAGCTCCCCACACATTAGGTAGTTCTGAACGCCACCTCTCTGATAGCCCTTCTCACGTTGCAAATTTGCTGGTGCTGTTTACCTATGTGGCCTTGTCCCCGTTAGCGGGCCTAACCCTGAGTATCAGGGAGCCTGAAAGATGAGAGGCCTACACAGCCACCTGCCTCCCATCTGACATTTGGCCCAAGGTAGTAGGCGTCACCCAGTCTTAGCATCTAGCTTGCCCTCGCTGGACACAAGATTCCTTCCTGTTTTGAGCCCGAATCCGTTTGCCTGCAGCTTCCACTCCCTGGGCTTGGCCCAGCCTTCCCCAGAATAAGGCATTGCCCTTTACTGCACCACAGCTTTGAAACTGCCTGGGACACTCACGGTGTCCTGGATTCCCACTCGCCCTGGTGGCTGCAGCCAATCTGAGTGGCTTTGCGCCCCAGCTCCCTGTGGCTCACCCCAAATGCTGCCTCTCTGGGACACCTCCATTTCCTCCAGGGTGACTTGAGCACCACCTCTTGGTGTCATTGCTGTATGTCCTTTCCTCACAGCTGTCTGGTTCCACTGCCGTCGCTGTCCTGCCTGTCTCCCTGCTGGGACACATGCCATGGAAAGGTGATGACTGTCTGTTAGCGCCCAGCGTGGTGCCTGGTTCTCCATGAGTGTTTGTTGAATGCATGGCCATACCCCAGTAGTGAGTCAGACAGGCCAGCCCCTTCCTTCAGAAATAATGACAGACTGAGACAAGTGCTATGAGGGAAATAAGCACAGTCCTGTGATTTGTTGGGGGGCACACTCTAGACAGAGTGGTCAGTGGAGGCCTCCCTGGAGCTGAGACCTGGAGCTGATGAGCAGCCAGTGGAGAAGGGATGGCCAGAGGGACTAGCCAGCGGGAATCCCTGAGGCAGGAGGGAGCTTGTCCCAGCAGAGGGACAGAAAGGAGCCCAGCACAGAGCGGAGGAGTAACGGGGGCATGGTGCGTGATTGCCTTCCAAGGGCAGGGGAGGCTGCTGAAGGGTGTAGGTGGGAGGTGGCCTGATCCTGCTGCGAAGAGGCCACTGCAGCAGGAGGGCGAGCTCTTCTCTTCTTGCCTGACTGGCCCGTGAGGAGTGGGCAGAGGCAACCGAAGGTCCCCTGGCACCTGGGCCGCTCTTCTCAGGCCCAGCCTCCCCTCCCCAGGCATCTCAGCCAGACCCTTACCTTTCCCTGGGCCCATCACCAACCTTACACCTCAGTGTGACTTTCAGTCCCCCTTAAAAAGATGTATATTCATTTTTCCATGACTGTGGTGACAAATTGCCACAAACATGGTGGTTTAAACCAACAGCAATGTGTGATCTTGCAGTTCTATAGGTCAGAAGTCTCCCATGGACTCGCTGGAGCTATTGAGGTGTCCCCACGGCTGAGTTCCTTTCTGGAGGCTCTAGGGGAGAAGCCGTTTCCTTGCCTTTCCAGATTCTAGTGGCCACTGCATTCCTGGGTTCATGGCCCCTTCCTCCAAGTACAGAGCCAGTAATGACCCATCCCTCACACCCTTCTCCGATCATCATGTCTCTATCTCTGTCCTCAGCTGGGAAAGGTTCTTTAATTTTAAGCACTTGTGTGATTAGATTGGGCCCACCTGTATAATCCTGGCTACTTGTCCCATCTCCAGGTACTTAACCTGATGATATCTGCAAAGTTGCCTTGCCAGGTAAAGTAACATACCACAGGTGACATGGATTAGGACATGGGCATCTTTGGGGGCCCTTATCCTGCCCACAACAGAACTCCTAGATCTTAAAGGATCAATCAATCAAATACAGTGTGTGAACTGTCAGGATGTAGATTCAAAAACTGACTTTAAAGGACATTGTTGAGACTATCAAGGAAATGTTCGCATAGGAATTTAGATGATATAAAGGATTTAGAGTTAATATTGTTAGGTGTGTTAATGGCATGTATCTTTACCTGATATTTGATTTGGAATATTACAGGAAAAACATGGAGTGAGACACCTGAAACAAGATTGGCAAAATAGACCAGGCACGGTGCCTGACACCTGTAATCCCAGCACTTTGGGAGGTTGAGGCGGGCAGATCACCTGAGGTCAGGAGTTTGAGACCAGCCCGGCCAACATGGTGAAAACCCGTCTCTACTGAAAATACAAAAATCAGCTGGGTGTGGTGGTGCATGCCTGTAATCTCAGTTACTTGGGAGGCTGAGGAGGGAGAATTGCTTGAACCCAGGAGGTGGAGGTTGCAGTGAGCCGAGATCGCGCCACTGCACTCCAGCCTGGGTGACAGAGTAAGACTCTGTCTCAAAATAAATAAATAAATAAATAAATAAATAAATAAAAAATTGGCAAAATACTGATAATTCATCTGGGTGATGGATGAGGGAGCTTCAGTGTATTATTATCCTTTGTACTTTTGCAAAGGTTTAGAACTTTTATTTTTAAAAGCTGAAAAATATAAATAGATAAATATACGTGTAAAATCAGGTATAAGAGGAGGTTAAGGAGAGAAATTTGGGACGGAGCAAAGGTCTGTTCTAGCTCCGTCTTTGCTGTCCTCCCACCACTAGGATGGCCACCAAATGTCCCAAGAAAAACGTCAGGCTCACTGCATCCCTCACCCACTGAGAGAAACTGCCTTTACCATCTTTTATGCTGGGGCCTCTATTTCAATAAAACCAATATTCAGAATTAAACAGAACTTCAAAGCTTATCTTGTTTGACCATCACCCCCTCTCCCCAGCCCTCCCACATGCAATCCAGGAATATGCTAAGTGCAGCAAAAATGATGAAATAACCGTAATGTAAGGTTTTATCAATTGCTTACTCAAACCAAAATGAAATTCCTAAGTAGAGCTGTCTGTGCCCATGTTCAGCAGGAATGCTTCACATTTTTGTTGGAGTCGAATATCAAAGGACCAAGAAATCTCAAACAGACCTTCCAAGTGGTGAGGGGTGAGGGGTGGAGGCAGAACTCAGCCATGATTGCCCTACAGACCCAGGCTCCTCTCGGGCGAGAGGTGCTTCCCTCAGGTCCCTCTGGTTCAGGATGTGCCACCACCAAGGTTTTAGGCAAAACCCCAATTGTGGAGTCCTCCCAGATAAGGTTTCCCAGGCATCTCCTTTGCAGACCCCAGACTGGCCTGAAGAGGGCAAAACACTTGTTTCAGACCTCGAAGATGAGAGAAGATTGAGATCTCAGATGACTGACATCTCAAAAAGACAGTAACTATTATCCATATTCCTTGGAGGTAAATTATGGGGCAGGAACATTTCTCTCGGACAAGATAGATACAACCCAGTCCTGCTTCCTAGGACTTTTTATCCCTTTGCATTTTGGCCGCAGAGCCCAAGGGTGGGGTTGAGGGGTGTGTTAGAGGCGGAGAGAAATATGGAGTGCTACCTGCTGAGAGGAAAGCCAACCAGGGCAAGATGCTGGCTCTGAGAACAGACAGAACAGAATAAGACCCCTGTCTGCGAGCACCTGTCTTCCTGGGGGAACTTCAGATGGAAGTGGATGGGTCATCAGCTGAGGAATATTTTTTGAGGATGTTCTGTGGACACACTGTGGAGATTTCAAAGAGGGAAGGGGCCCCACCAGCCAAGGGTTTACCAGCTACCTGGGAGACAAGACGCAAACATATCAAAGGTGACTCACAGTTTAGAGAGGCAAATGGCAGGCACTGTTAGGAACCCAGAGGGAGGCAGGTGGGAAATTAGGGACATCCACCTGGAGAAGCAGAAAAGACTGCAGGGGCGAAGGTGTGGAGACAGTGGGCAGACCAACCTCAGCAGGGCAGAAGGTCCAGGGGGGGCATCTCCATACCAGCTGGCCAGGGAGCGTGTGGATAACGCTGACATCTGCCAGGTGTTCCTGAGGCTAGGGACTGGTCTCCTGGGTTGGGGTTCACACTCTGGGAAATGGACTGGCACTCAATGAGGTTGTGAGGTAGAATGGGGCCAGCCAATGGGGGCCTTGAATGCTGGGGCAAAGATATGGAATGTGATTCTAGGGGCGGGAGTTATTAATGGCTTTTGATTGAGAGAGTGGCTTAATGATAGGATTCTCTTAGGAAGACAAGTGAGAGAGCAATGGGCTGAAGGAATGAACAAAAATACAAAGGAAATTGAACTTAAATTAATATGGAGTGAGAAAGGGAGTGTAAAGAATTTCATGACTGGATGTTGGACTCAAGAGAGAGCAAAAGAGAGAAAGATGTGTAATGAAAGCCCTCATTTATTAAACACCACTATGGTCAAGGCATTCACCTCTCAGATAATCCGGTGCAGTCACGTAGCCTTCAGCTTACAAATGATGAAAAAGAGGCTCAGAGAGATAAAATGACTTGCATAAGGACACACAGCTGGTCTGCAGTAGAGCTGGAGTTTTAATCCAAGTCTAACAGACTCCACATGCCAAGCCCTCTCCCTTCCTTGTTCAGGTGACAGGGAGAGTGTATTCATTTTCTCTTGCTACCTTAACGAATTGCCACAGACCTAGTGGCTTAAAACAACACAAATGTGTGATCTTGGAATTCTGTAGGCCAGAAGTCAGACAGGTGTCTCACTGGGCTAAAATCAGGAGTCAGCACTGCCTTTTTGGAGGCTCTAGGGGAGAATCCACCTCCTTTCCTTTTTCAGCGTCTAGAGGCCGGCCACTCACATTCCTTGTGTTGAGTCAAGGAATGTGAGTGGCCTCTAGAAGCTGAAAGCCCTCTTCCTCCATCTTCAAAACCAGCAACATTGCCTTTCTTGGACCCTTTGTCCCTAGCCACATCTTTCTCTCTGACCACAGCCAGGAAATGTTCTCTGACTTTAAGCACTTGTGTCATTGCAGTGGACCCCGGGAGAACCCAAGGCTAACCTTCCCACGTCACCATTCATACCTTCATCTCATGCACAGAGTCCCTTTTGCCATGGGAAGTAATGTGTTCACAGGCTCTGAGGATTAGGACGTGGGCATCTGGGGCGCTACGATTCTGCCCGCCACACAGAGTGAGCGTGCCGTGTGGACTCGTGCCTCAGCAGCAGGTGGATGTGCCCGCAGCTCTGTTTCAGTAAGCCCCGTGACAAAGGGGACTTTGTGTTGAATCAAAAATAATTAAATAGGCCAGGCACGGTGGCTCACGCCTGTAATCCCAACACTTTGGGCGGCTGGGGCAGATGGATCGCTTGAGAGCCCAGGAGTTCGAGACCAGCCTGGCCAACATGGCGAAACCATGTCTCTGCTAAAAACACAAAAATTTCTCAGGCATAGTGATGCACGCCTCTAATCCCAGCTACTCGGGAGGCTGAGGCACAAGAATCGCTTGAACCCGGGAAGCGTAGATTGCAGTGAGCTGATATTGTGCCACTGCACTCTAGCCTGGGCAACAGAGCCAGACTCTGTCAAAAAAAAAAAAAAAAAGGCGGGGCGTGATGGCTCACACCTTTAATCCCAGCGCTTTGGGAGGCCGAGGTGGGCGGATCATGAGGTCAGGAGATCGAGACCATCCTGGCCAACATGGTGAAACCCCATCTCTACTAAAAATACAAAAAATTAGCTGGGTGTCGTGGCGGGTGCCTGTAGTCCCAGCTACTTGGGAGGCTGAGGCAGGAGAATCGCTTGAACCCGGGAGGCGGAGGTTCCAGTGAGCCGAGATTGCACCATTGCACTCCAGCCTGGCAACAGAGCAAGACTCCATCTCAAAAAATAAATAAATAAATAAATGACAAAACCCAGGAATTTGAAAAGGAATAATATTAGGAAAACAGCCTGGTTAGAGGAAGGCCTAGTAGCGAGGACTCTGCACTCAACATTTGTTCTAAGCACAGAACACATTCTGTGCAGTTACTCCTGCTGTCAGTTCCACTCTGCGTTGTTGTCAAGGCTAGCAGCTACACCATCATCCTTCTAAGAGCTTGACTGCAGAAATAAAGGCAGTGGCTAGGTCTGTGATTTAAGTGCTCGATTTTAAATGAATTCCCCAAATTCTAGAGTGAAAACACCTGTTCTTCATCTTAGGCAACTGTCTAAAATCTATGTGTCTCTCCGACCACCTACTCCTCTATTTTTTTTATGAGTAACCACCACCTTAGCAGGCAGATGCTCCTTTGTTCCAAGGGTAAGCCGTTTTAGAAAGTACCAATTTTATGGAAATTACCTGAACTGATAGGATCGTGGAAGCATGAATAAAAAGTGCAGGCTATAATGAAATTATTAGAAAACAGGGCAGCAAGTGGGTTAACTCAAGCTCAATATAATCCTTTTTTTATTTAACAAAAAGTCATATCATTGATTCATCTGAAATGTAATAGACTGAAGAGCCTATCGTAAAGTTTTAAGTTTAGAAATATACAAATGTCTTTTTGGTTTCTCTTATTTTATATAAAAAGAGACACAGTATTTAATTACAGACCTTTCAAAGAAAGAAAAGGATAACTTAGAAATATTAATATTGACATACTTTGGACAATAAACTTTCAAGCTTATTGAAGAACCTTCTGGTTTTTCAGTTATTTTTATGATTTAATATAGATTCAGTATCAGAGATTGCTGGGATGAGAAATTAGGAGAATACTCAACTGCAGATGAAGACATTTACATTCAAAACCTCTCATTTCCTTGTGAAAGGAGACGGATTTAATTAACTGCATATATGACTACTGTGTTCATTTTGAGGTGAATCTAGCAGTTAGATCAGCTCCCAGGAGGAGTTCAACATGAACAAGCTTTTCAGGGAGAAAAGGCAAAACAAACCAAACTTTGAACACTTAAAAAATGAAGGCCACATTTAGACATATTTTGTTACCATCGACTTTAATGGGAACTACTTGTCTATTTCTGGGAACCAGAATATGACGTCAGTGGGGAAAGACTGAAATGGAAAAAGACAAAATAAAAAGATCCATTGGACATCAATGCTCAAAGACTCCACAAAGAACTACGTGTCACAAGGGGATAAGTTAATACCCACATGTTGCTAATGAAGACTGCCATTATCTCTCAGAGAATGGCCGAATGCTGCTACATTGTCGTTACAAACTGTTTAGTCCTGAAGAAAGAAGCAGGGCTGGTTTCAACACTATTTGCAAATTGCTAATTGACAACAGGAAAGTTAGAAATTACAGACATGACTGGACTCACCTCCATTCTGTGAGCACACACACACACACAGGCGTGCGTGCGCAAACCAAGGCCAACAAATAGGCATGAAAAGTATCTTATTGGCATCATGTTTCTCCATTGCTATAACTACGTACAAAACAAGCGATACATGAAATGGTAGAGACACCTGTTCTAAAACCTGTGGGGCTTTACTCACAAAACAGTTGTAAAATCTTTGGGGGACAAAAATATTTCTTGTATCTATGCAGATGCTTTCCTCTAAGGGACGGACACACATACAGATACGCACACACAGTCACATGCAAATGAATATGTGTTGACCTGAAAAGACAGGAATAAGGAAAGGAAATGTCATCCACTTCTCTAAAATGCTTCTTTAATTTTTCTCCTTCAAAGGAAGCTACATTTATTGCTTTAGATGTACCTTTTATTTCTTTTTTTAAAATCCTGGAACATATTAATTGTCATAAAGCTGAGTTTAAGATTCCAGTTAGTAGGCTGTGGTAAAATACAAGTAGATGCTAAATGTGTTTGTTTTGATTTGCTAGGAAAACATCTTCTGAGCTGGGAAATGAAATCATTTAGTTGTCCATTTGTTTATGGCCAAAGACTTATGGAGCGTTCTGGATGCTTATGTTAGTGTATCTTTGAAATTCTCTAATCTGCGGCGTGTGGGAAGTTACACAGCTTGGATTTAAGCATCATTCAGGATGTTCCTCATTAAGGAACCCAGATTTGCCTTCTTCCCACAACTCCCCAAGATTAGTTTACACTTACTACACAGCAAATTGTCCATGTTGAAAGTGAACTGCAGATGGTAGGATTTAAACACCTTGTTATCAATTTACCCACTCAGTAAATACAAAGTTTAGAGCTTGCTTCTTAATCAGGCTTCAAGTATGTCTTCCAAAATGAAGGTTATTTGCTTTTTCTCTCATTCCAAAGTGTCTTTTAATATTATGTAGCATATTTATAATGCTTTGAATTTTTAAAGCAACTGGCCTCTAGCAAGTTAACAATTTATTCTGTTAGAGTAGTTTAAACATGAGGATATTGTTGATTTTACCATCTTCTGAACAGGTTTGGAGGTATGTAGTAAAACATTTTTGTGGACTGTTAAATTTCAGTGTTTGTTCACAAAGCCACTACATTATATGTTCTTTGAAATCATCAATCTGATAGCAAAAGCTCACTCTGCTTGCCAGCTTCAGTATATACTTGGGTCTTGCTAAAGGTAGTGTGGCTCTTACAGGTATTGGCATGATCCTGTAGAAAGAGAAGCAAACTCATCTCTTTCCATAGCGTTCTTTAATCTGTAAAGTGTTGTTTCTGGGAAAATAGGGGGTGATGAAGTGTGAGAGGAGAGCCCTGATTCCTTGAGCTCATGGTGAGCAGGGAGGCAGCCGCTCTGAGGGTTCTGTCCGTACCTGTGAGAGGGGTACCTGGTCGGCAGGCCCTGCCCACTCTGTTTTCCTGAACATGTTGAGCTTGTTGCTATCTGTACATCACAGTTAAACCCTTCACCCTTGATTTTTATTCGCTTCACCTTTGCAATCCCAGTGCCTCTTCTCACTGCAGCATCCTACATGCCACAAGCCCAGCAAAACCCTGGGGCTTCTCCCTCCTGCTAGAAACCACAGGAAAGTAAGAAATGAAAAAGAATTTTCAGAGAAATGGAGGAGGGAACAAGATACTCAGAATGTGAAGAAATGGAGAATCCAGTAGTCTTGTCTCTGGCCACTGGGTAACAAAACCCAAGTGACAAAATAATTAGTAATTTAGTTTTAGCCAAAATTGCAAGTGTTACGGAAGTGCTGAGCGAAGCCTCGGAAGTCAACCCAGGGCTGGAAGCGGACTGCTGACGGGACACTGTGTGCTCCCCACAAAACAATCAACCCCTTTTCTAGAAAATGGAGATAATTTTATGAGCTTACCTCAAGTAATTATTTGTGAGAAACAATAGAATGAGTGTGGAAGAGGTAATGAGTGATTTTGAAATATTAATATTAAAAGAAACTCTGCTGAAATCAGGTATCTGGAACGTGAGCGGCTTTAAATTTGGAGGAAATAAAGAGACATGAGCCACGCCTGTGATCCCAGCACTTTGAAAGGCCAAGGCGGGAGGGTTGCTTGAGCTTGGGAGTTTGAGACCAGCCTGGTGACATAGCAGGACTTTGTCCCTACTAGAAATAAAAAAAAAAATTTAGCCAGGTATGGTGGTGCCTGCCTGTAGTCCCAGCTGCTTGAGAGGCTGAGGTGGGAGAATCACTCGAGCTTGGGAGGTCTAGGCTGCAGCGAGCCATGATCACACCACTGCACTCCAGCGTGAGCAACAGAGTGAGACTTTGCCTCAAAAAAAAAAAAAAAAAAAAAAAAAAAAAAAAAAAAAGACCTGAGCAAGAATATAGATTGGTTTCAAATCTCTGCTCTGCCACTTATTAGCTGTGTGACCTTAAGTAGGTTACTGAATTCTCTGAGCCTCTGTTTCCTTATGGGTAGGAACTATCTCACAAGGCTGTGATAACAACTCAGGTCATGGCAGGTAAAGGGCCAGTCCCATGACAATGGCGGAGTGATGCTCATCGAATGGTAGCTATTACTGTTTACATAGGTTAAGATAAATCGGTCACCACTGCCTCTTATAAATTGAAAAGAAATCCCTCTCATACTTATAAGCTATTGTATTCAGGGTTATCAGTGAGATGTGGGTTGAGTTATCTGATCAGGTAGATAAGGGACTGCCCCTTGGAAGCTTTTAAGCATACCTGTGGAGGAGAGCAGCCACGCAAGAATTCTGAAAATCCATTCGTGGCATCAAGTGAGAGAGCACGCCGCCATTCCAGACTCTAGGACATTCTTGGAGGGATGACGATCATTTTGACAGTGCACGGGGGACCTGCCTGGCATGTTGATAAAATCGTCCAGGAGATTTTGCAAGAGCTAAAACGCTGAAGCTGCTCCCTGAGACCTGGCCTTCGTCTCATATATGCAGTTCTCTTCAGATGGAAGAGAGCAGGTGCCATGGGTCCTGGACTGGGTGAAGCAGGTCATTTGGTTCTGGTGTTCAGGCCACACTAAGAACCAAGTATTCCCAGTGTACCTAGTGAAAACAGGCTATAAGTAGCCTAAAAACGATTTTTTAAAAGATTTTTAAAAATTGTTTTTAGTTGTTGTTTTGCCCTTGCTAGGAATAAAACAGGACCGAGAAGCCCTAGAGCTCGTAGGAACCCCATTCAGCAGTATCACATTGCACAGTTCCATTTCCTGGCTCTCAGTAGCCCTCTGTGATGGTGCTTTTGGGATCCAGCACTGTCACATCTGGGTATTTACCTAAAAAGTTTGAAATTTGTGTGTCAAGAGATATCTGCACCCTCATGTTTATTGCAACAGTATTCACAATAGCAAAGATGTGGGATCAACCTAAATGTCCATTAATGGATGAATGGAAAAAGAAAATGTGGTATATAGACACAATGGAATATGTTCAGCTTTTAAAAAGGAAGAAATTATGTCATTTGCAACAACATGGATAGAATTGGAGAACATTATGCTAAGTGAAATATGCCAAACATAGACAAATCCCACATGTTCTCATTTATATGTGAGATATAAAACAATTGAACTCCCAGAAGCAGAGAGTACAGTGGTGGGTACAGAGGCTGGGGGTAGGTGGAATGGGAAAATGATAGTCAAAGGGTACAAAGTCTCAGTCAGATAAAAAGGATAAGTTTGATTTTTTTGGACATCTACTGCACAGTGTGGTGAATATAGCTAACAGTTGAGTACTGCACATTTTGATATTGCTCTGAGAGTATATTTCAGGTGTTGTCATCACAGAAAATGTTAAATAATTTATCATTATGTTACAAAAAATAATAAAATTTCAAATGTAATTGTCCACTTTGGAAGAAATTCATAAATTTCAGAATTTATGCCAATAATTCACATTTTAATGGCTCAGAAGAAAAGTAACTGGTCTTTTGTTAAAACTGTTGAATATACAAAGAACTTGAAGTTCATGAGCCCACTCCGTGAAAATGGGAATATCTGGAAAAAGGTCTGGCATGGATTGGTCCTTGGAGCCTACAAGTGAGTGAGCCTGGCCTTTAGCGCCCCACGCGCATGTGTGAGGTGGGACAGTGGGCCCCGGTTGATGGACACAGGCTGTGGGCACATGCACTGCCCTCAGCATAGCCGCCTTAGCACTTCAGGACTTAAAAGGACCTCAGAGTCACTGAATCAAAGCTCCCTGAGAGTCAAATTCCTCTGTGAATTCCTTTCTTGCAGGGAGGGTGGGGAGAACTGTCCAAACCTCAGTCTTTTGAGGGTGAGTTTAATTTTTGAAAACAGCAAAACTTCAGACAAAGCCAAGTCTAGTGAAGAAGGTCAACAACCAGGATGAACACATTAAAATAAGGTGGGGCCAAAAGATGACAAAACTGGTTTGCTTCTCTGACCCACAAAATGGTTCTGAGAGGTAATTCCAGAAGCACCTAGAGTAACACCCTCCTCCCACTGCTGCTGCCGGCACAACCTC